>NC_000007.14:126881779-127506779 GCF_000001405.40 Homo sapiens | reverse complement strand
CATACTCATGTAACATAGTATATGAAGCACAATGTGTAGTGAAGAAACCAGGCCCTTCTCTATAGTATTCTTGATCATTATTTTCTGGACATGACATTGATTTATGATTATATTCTTCTTCACAGCTCAGGACCGTTAGCATAGGACTAAATAAACACTGCAGCCTTATTCCTTATTTTTTATTTTTTAATTTTTTTGAGACAGACTCTCGCTCTGTCACCAGGCTGGAGTGCAGTGGCGCAGTCTCGGCTCACTGCAACCTCTGCCTCCTGGGTTCAAGCGATTCTCCTGCCTCAGCCTCCCTAGTAGCTGGGACTACAGGCACACGCCACCACTCCTGACTAATTTTTTGTATTTTTAGTGGAGATGGGGTTTCACCATGTTGGCCAGGATGGTCTTGATCTCCTGACCTCATGATCCGCCTGCCTCAGCCTCCCAAAGCCCTTATTTTTAAATCAGTTTGTCATATATTTATGAAACGTAAGTGAGTTATTTCACATCAAGTTTATTAGAACAGTATTCTGCTTCCTCCAGTATGTTGAACTAAATACACAGCTAGAGCAAGGATAAAACATATTTATGTTGAGTAACAGGATGTTGGACTGAAATCCTTCCCCTTGAGGTTGACTGAAACACCAATATAATAGATACCAAAGAGAATGTGAATATTTGGAGAATGCACTCCATGACGTGGTAGACCAATAATATGAAATGTGGTTAGCGCAAGGAGAGAGGAAAAGCATTTAGTGAGGAAGCATCTTTGGAGAAAACAGTAAAGTCCCACTTCCTCCCCCGACACAGAGGGAGATACTTTCTTCTTCATCTGAGGTCTACTGAGGAGGACTACCATGGTACCTGGAGACCTTTGATATGTGGGCTGGGGCTTGACTCTGATGTTGGAAATCTAGAGGGCAAGAAAAGAGCTGACTAACCACTCTCTTGGCAAACATGGGAAGGGGTTGGCCTAGGGTTTCTTGTGTTTTGTTTTTTAGCAAAGCCTGTCTCATTGTTTCAAAGGGACTACATGTGGGTGCTGAGAGCCAGCATGGGTTCTCTTAGAGCCTGCCACCTGGAAGAAAGTGATTTCTGAAGATAGAAGCTGGTTACGTAACGCTGATGTACAAAAATGAAGAGAGGAATCATGCAGGATCATTCAGGCTAGAAATGCACCTACCTGGGGCTAGATGTTGCAGGAGAAAGGAGTACAGTGATAGGAACCTTTGAAGAGCTCATGACCCTCAGGGCATGAAGATATCAGTTCACAGAATATTTTATCATTTTCCTGTCTACCATCTTCCTGCTTTGACTTTGAGGACATGAAAACAGCTGGGAGAGGGAAGGGGAAGGGGGAGAAGGGAAGCACAAGGCAGTAAATAAAGGAAGAAACTAATCAGCCACTCTTTCTCATTGTAGGCTTTCAGCCTGAAGCAGAACCAAGCTGGGGGAGGAGGAGTTTTACTGTAAGTCAAGCCCAGAGTTATAATTGTTATACAGAATTGGACAATCTAATTTCTGAATCAAGATTGTTTTTCATCCAGGCTCAGGGAAACTTTACTCCTGCTAAATAAAGCCTAATGGAACAGTGGGAAGAAAAAATAAAGTTGTATTTTGATTACATTATATCTGCTTGAGTAACATTGTAATTTCAAATGCAGTGCTAGGTTTGTAGGAAATGAGAGAAATATCCAACGGTGTTAAAAAAAAGAGAGAGAGAGAGAGAGAATACTTTGTTGAAATCTGAAAAGGAGATGCAGTGAGCAGTAAGCAAATGCAATCAGGACACTAAGCTTTGGGCTCAACCCAAGGCCAGTGAATGGAACCTGGAAGGAAATAAGGCAGCTGAGGTCTGGCGCCCCCTGGCCCCCAGTGGAAGCAAGGATAAAGCTGCTCTGGAGGAAGTCAACCTCAATTAGCCCCTCAGGATTCCATAGATGAAGATCTACCAAACATGGGCTCACCATCGAAGATCACCAACATGACAGAAGAAAAAGCCTCTGTCTCACCATGGGGAGAGTCAGCAGAAACAATAAACGAAGGATTTAGAGTCCTCATGAATTCTGATTTTGGAATGATCAAGATGTAGAATATCAAACAATTATGTATACCCAGGTATCTCACAGAAATGTAAAGCAATAAGGAACTACCCAAAATAAGCAGGAATCTATAAAAGAAACCACACAGAATTTGCAAAATAGAAACAGGCTTGTTTGTACTAAATTGTCTTTCACTTTTTCTATCTCCTTGTTTTCTCTGCTGTATTATGAGTACTTTTAAAAAAATCCATATATCAATAATTCTCTCTTCAACTGTTTACTGTTTAACCCATTAATTAAAAAATTTTTAACTATTATACTTTTCTGTTTTGAAAATATTGATTCATTGAATCAGGTAGATCTTCCAAACATTTACGCCAAAATTACGTTCATTAACATCACCACTGATCTCATTAGAAAAGTCCAAGTATTGGGAAGCTGTCAGACCCATGGTGGCAAATACAAATTTTCTAAAATTCTAATTTTTGCTTAAAAACTTGAATTTTATCATTGGCAACAAGTTCTGTTGGTTGTTTTCCTTGAAGTTACAGGCTCACTTCGTTCCATTTTGAGAAAATGTCTGCCAATTATCCAAGTCTGAATAGCCATAGTTCATCTGTCAGTCATCCTTTTAAGTAAAAATAGTGTTCCATGAAAAAATCGGTTACGTCAGCTTGCAACTCAATCACAAAAGTGTTTTTCCTTGAGAAAACGATCATACTTCAGTATTCAGAAGAAGTGCCTTTTGTAGTTCCCATTTTGTCACAGAGAATATTAAAAAGACATTGCTTAAAGGTCAAGATTTAATAAAATTAATATATATTTTTTCTGCTTCACCAAGCACATTGTTAAGCATAACTGACATTTTAGAAATTTACTGTGAGTGTGCGGCAGAGAAGAATGCAAGGTTACCAGCATCATTTGGTGCCACTGTCTTGATTCATGCTAAGTCACCAGATGTTTGAACCCACCATTGCTTCTGCACCACCAGTGTACATGTCAACACAGAGAAAAAGACTAATAACATCTTGGTATTATTATGAAAGTAGTTTTGACCTTGTGGGCCCCAGAAAGGGTCTCAGGGTCCCTACAGGTCCATAAACTACACCTTGAGACTACAATTCTGAAGGAATAAGAAAAATGCCTCCGGGAGTAAGGTCTGAAATAGAAGAAGGTCCGGTGGGCAAAAAAAGTTGGTAATCTAACAAATCTTATCTATCTAAAACAATAATGTCTTCCGTGGGGATTAAAAAATTAAAGTTAAATGATAGACAACAGTAACATAAATTGCAAAGGGTAAAAATAGCATGCAAGTTGGGGGGGTTGCCTAGGAGTGACACTTTAGAATTTAACTTAAATATGAAGGAAAAATTTTAAGGATGGAAAATGGCCAGTTAAAGATTATGGATTGAATGTATGCATTCACTTCACTCCCTCCCCCAAATTATAAAAATGACAACCAATGGATGTTTTTTAAAAGATATAAACCTATAAGAAAAGTGAGGAGACAATAGCAGTCAAAAGTAGGAAGGTGGAAAGCCGTTGGATGAGTGGTAACTGATTTTGACCACCTGGGAAAACTGAGCTCCAAGCTTGCAAGAGAAGTCAGCAGAAAACATATGACAGATTCAAAACTCATTCATAATTTTAAAAATTTGCATGAAGCTAAATATTGAAGGACAATTCCTTAACCAGGTAAAGGGTATCTAAACCAAACCAAATCAAACCTACAGTGAACATTATTCTTTTTTTCTTTTTTAACTTTTTCTTTAGGTTTGGGGTACACATGCAGGTTTGTTATATAGGTAAACTCATGTCACAGGGATTTGTTGTAGAGATTATTTCATTACCCAGGTACTAAGCCCAGTGCCCAATTATTTTTTTTGCCTCTCTTCCTCCTCTGACTTTCTCCCTACTCAAGTAGGCCCCAGTGTCTGTTGTTCTCTTTTTTGTGTCCATGTGTTCTCATCATTTAGCTCCCACTTATAAGTGAGAACATCTGGTATTTGGTTTTCTGTTACTCTGTTAGTTTGCTAAAGATAATGGCCTCCAGCTCCATACATTTTCCCAGGAAAGACATGATCTCGTTCTTTTTTATGGTGACATAGTATTCCATGGTGTATATGTACCACATTTTCTTTATCCCATCTGTTGTCAATGGGCATTTAGGCTGATTTTTGTCTTTGCTATTGTGAATAGTGCTGCAATGAACATTTGCATGCATGTGTCTTTATGGCAGAATAATTTATATCCCTCTGCATATACTCAGTAATGGGATTGCTGGGTCAAATGGTGTTTCTGATTTTAGCTCTCGGAGGAATTACCACACTGCTTTCTACAATGGATGAACTAATTTACACTTCCACCAATAGTGTATAAGTTTTCCCTTTTCTCTGAAACCTTCCCAGCATGTGTTATTTTTTGACTTTTTAATAACAGTCATTCTGACTGGTGTGAGATGGTATCTCATTGTGATTTTCATTTGCATTTCTCTAATGATCAGTGTTATTTGAGCTTTTTTTCACATGCTTTTTGGCTGCGTATATATCTTCTTTTGAAAAATGTCTGTTCGTGTTTTTCACCCACTTTTTAACGAGGTTGTTTTTGTCTTGTAAATTTTTTAAGTTCCTTCTAGGTACTGGATTAATATCTTTGTCAGATATATGGTTTGCAAATATTTTCCCCCACTCTGTGTTAATTAATTAATTTAATTAATGCATTAATTAATTAACTTATTAATACATTAATTAAATTAATTAATTAACATATCCCATGTCTGTTGATACTTTCTTTTGCTGTGCAGAAGCTCTAAGTTTAATTAGATCCCATTTGTCAATTTTTGTTCTTGTCACAATTGCTTTTGGCATCTTCGTCATGAAATTGTTGCCAGTTCCTATGTCCAGGATGGTATTGCCTAGTTTATTTCCAGAGTTTTTATGGTTTTGGGTTTTACATTTAAGTCATTAATCCATCTTGAGTTGGCTTTGTATATGGTGTAAGGAAGGGGTCCTGTTTCAATCTTCTGCATATGGCTAGCCAGTTATCCCAGCACCATTTATTGAATAGGGAGTCCTTTCCTCATTGCTTGTTTTTGTCAGCTTGGTTGAAGATTAGGTGGTTGTAGGTGTGCAGCCTTATTTCTGGGGTTTCTATTCTGTTCCATTGGTCTATGTGTCTGTTTTTGTAGCAGTACCATGCTGTTTTGGTTACTGTAGCCCTGTTGTATAGTTTGAAGTCAGGTAACGTGATACCTCCAGCTTTGTTCTTTTTGCTTAGGACCTTGGCTATTTGGGCTCTTTTTTTGGTTCCATCTGAATTTTAAAATAGTTTTTTTCTAGTTCTGTGAAAGTGCCACTGGTAATTTGATAGGAATAGCATTGAATCTGTAAATTGCTTTGGGCAGTATGGCCATTTTAGTGATACTGATTCTTCCTATCTATGAGCATGGGGGATGTTTTTCCCTTTGTTTGTGTTACCTCTGATTTCCTTGAGCAGTGTTTTGTAATTCTCATTGTAGAGATCTTTCACCTCCCTGGTTAGCTGTATTCCTAGGTATTTTATTCTTTTTGTGGCAATTGTGAATAGGATTGTATTCCTGATTTGGCTCTCAGCTTGGGTGTTGTTGGTGTATAGGAGTGCAAGTGATTATCGTACATTGATTTTGTGTCCTGAAACTTTGCTGAAGTCGTTTATCAGCTGAAGGAGCATTTGGGCCAACATTATGGGGTTTTCTAGATATAGAATCATGTCATCTGCAAACAGGGATAGTTTGACTTCTTATCTTTCTATTTGGATGCACTTTATTTCTTTCTCTTGCCTGATTGCTCTGGCCAGGACTTCCAATACTAGAACATTATTCTTAGTGAATTATAGAATATTATTCTTGGTGAAATTTTGGAAGCATTCTTTTAAGAACAGGAAAAGGCAAAAAACTTCCACCATTGTCAGTTTTCATCAACATTTTATCGGATTTTCAGTAAGGCAAGAAATAAATGAGTCACAAATTGGTCATTGCAGATAATATGACTGTCTACCAAGAAAGTTCAAAGAATCTATAGGCTTCTTATGGAATTAATGAGAGGATGGTTGGATATCATATTGTTGTATAAACTTTTTTGCCATCAACAAATAGAAAGTGCAACAGAAGAAAGAAAATCTCATTTACAATAGCAACAAAAAATATGGTACTTAGGAATAAATCTACCAAAAGATGTATATGACCCCTTTGAAATAAATTATAAAACTTTATAGAAAGACATTAAAGAAGATCTAAATGAGTGGAGAGATATACCATGTTGATACATTAGAAGACTCACTATCATGAGACATTGATTCTTTCCACAGTGATTTATAGCTTCATTGGAATTTTAATAAAAATTTTCAACAGGGTTGTTTTTTTGTTTCATTTTTGGTGGAACTTGAAAAGCTGATTGTAGGCTGGGCACAGTGGCTCACACTTGTAATTCCAGAACTCTGAGAGGCCAAGGTGGGAGGATTGCTTGAGTCCAGGAGTTAGAGACCAGCCTGGGCAACATGGTGAAACCCTATTTCTATAAAATTAAAAAATTAGCTGGGCGTGGTGGCATGCGTGGTGGTGTATGGTGGTGGCACACACTGTGGCTTCAGCTACTTGGGAGGCTGAAGCAGGAGGATTACTTGAAACCAGGAGGTTGAGGCTGCAGTGAACCATGTTCATACCATTACAAGCCATGGCATCTCATAGCAAGTGAATTCTATGATTCTGTGACTTAGGGTGAGTTTTTGTTGTTGTTGTTGTTAAACTGTATGGTCCTAGTAAATGTCAGAGCATAGCAGCCTGAAAATTAGTACAAATTTTATAAGTGAACTTTTGTGAATTCTACTCTGGTTGGCATAGTTTTTCCTCATCTGATCATACACTCAACAGAGTGGAACTGAGACAGAGCAAGTGAATTACATGGATGCAAATAGCACTGCTATGAAAGAAACTTAATGACGAAAGGTAGAATCCTAAGATTTGAGTAAGCTTCATTTCTGGAAGGGGCTGCTTTTTACAGGGAGTGTTTTAGGACACCATAAATGAGGGAAATAGGCTTTGGGCCAGGAAAAATTGGGGGAAGGAGAGTCTAGGGGCACATGTACAAAGTAAGCATAGTGCTTAAAGCCAAATGTTGAGAACTTAATGAAAGAGATTTCTCTCTTAGCTGTCTAATTCTGTAAAATCAAGAGTATCTCTCTAAGACAAACACCTTCCACCCGGAATTTAGGACGCCACAGGTCCCATAAAATTTGATGATATGGACAGAGTGGTAAAGCTTTAGGTGCTCAGGGGTTCACCTGAGTTTCCCCACAGGTATACTCTACAAAGTGTACTTATTCTCTCTATAGCTTGAGTTCCTGCCTGGAGAACACAACGTGTGTGTTGTTTCATTGTATTTGAGATCTCTAGACTTGGGAAGCAGTTGCTTGGTGAGCTGTGGCTCAGTTCAGGCTGTGATAATGTTTGCTTCAAAACCTGTGATAGCTTTTAATGATAACTGAGTCTCCTAGAGTTAAATGAAGAAACAGAAACCATATGGGAATAAGTAGAAAAAATTAACAGAAAGAGCTATAAGTATGCAAATACATTTTTATGAAAGTTGTTGAAGTATTTTAAAATTTCCTCTTATATCCCTCTATGAAATCCTTCAGTTTCACTACCACATTATTAATCTACAAGCCCCCCAACGTGTGTGATAGTGGTCACATGAATCACTATTGGTTACAGTCACCTTCACTGTCTTGGGGAATTCATGCACTCATTGGTTTATGTACTAGCTTACATAGATAAATTGTATTTTGACATCTCTTGCCCCAATATCTTATATTCTCTGCCAACCAAGGATTCTGGATCTCTAAAGGACATTTCTGCATGATTACAATTCTGTTAAGTAAAATAAAAAGGTTACATTGCTTTTTCCTATCAAAGAAATTGTACCAACAGGTCCCCAGTGCTATAGAACCATCCCACTGTGGAACTTTTAATTGACTTTATGTCTTCCTGATAATTCTTCATCTAGAACTGTACTGCCTACTATTACAGCCACTAAATAGCCACATGTGACTATTTAAATTTAAATTTAAATTAATTGAAATAAATGCAATTAAAATTTAAGTTTCTCTGTCACACTAGCCACATTTAAAATGTTCAATAGGCTCATGTGTCTAGTGGCTACTGAATTGGATAGGGCAGATATAGAATACTTTCATCATTGGAGGAAGTTCTCTTGGACGGTGCTTATTTAAAACATTTCTCATATTTATCTTGAGCTTTTAATTTTCTCTACCAACTAACCTAGGCAATACTCACAATACATCTAGACTTTTGCAACAAACACTATATGGTTTCTGTCTGATTCCTCAGTCCTTGCATCTACTTCCATGAATCGTCCAGAATCTCAGGGTCATACCTGGGCTTGTCATCATCCAGAATCACTCTGCCTCTGGCACTTTAAATCTAAGAACTAGTTCTCAGCTCCTTTTTTCCTGCTAATACCTGCAACACCTATTCTTCAGTTACACTGAGACCTGCAGTTCCTGGGCCTCTCCCTTTGTTCTCATTTGACTTCTTTCTTATTCAGCCAATGTCCATCTTTGTACATTTCTCTTGCCATTATCCTAGAATATATAAACCCTTGTCCTCCTGCTACATCCTCCTTTAGATCTCTGGTCCCATGTCAGGTAAGTGGATCAGGAAAACTGAGAAAATTATATGCAACTGAAGTTAGGTGCTCTATACTAGTGTTTTTTGAACATTGGATCACAGCTTATTGATGGATCATGAACTAAATTTAGTGAATTTTCAAGAACTAACATTATTTTGAACTGACAAATCATACTTGTATACATTTATGGGGTACAATGTAATGCTTTGATATATGTGTACAATGTGGAATAATTAAGTCAAACTAATTAACATATCCATCACCTTGCTTACCTATCATTTTTTATGGTGAGGCATTTGAAATTTACTCTTTGTTATTTTGAGATATACAATGCACTATTATTGACTGTAGTCACCCTGCTGTGCAATAGATCTAAAAAATTATTCCTCTTTTCTGAAACTTTATATCCTTTGATAAAAATTTCCCATTCCTTCCCTCCCCAATCCCTTAGCCTCTGGTAACCATTTTTCTACTCTCTACTTCTGTGAGTTCAACTTTTTTAGATTTCATATAAAAGTGAGATCATGTGGTATTTGCCTTTCCATGCCTGGCTTATTTCATTTAAATAATGTCCTCCAGGTTCATCCATGTTGTCACAAATGACAGAATTTCTTTTGTTTTTAAAGTGGAATAGCATTCCATTGTGTATATATACCACATTTTCTTTATCCATTCATCCATTAATGGACACTTAGGTTGATACCATATCTTGACTATTGTGAACAATACTGCAGTAAATATGGGAGGGCAGATATCCCTTTGAGATATGGATTTCAATTCCTTGGGATATATATGCAGAAGTAGGATTAGTGGATCATATGGTAGATCTATTTTTAGTTGTTTGAGAAACCTTCATACCGTTTTTCATAATGGCTGTGCTAATTCACATTCCCACCTATAATGTACAAAACTTTCCTTTTCTTCACATCCTTGCCAATACTTGTTATCTTTCATCATTTTGATAAAAGCTACTCTTAACAGGTGAGAGGTGATATCTCATTGTGGTCTTAGTTTGCATTTCCCTAATGATTAGTGATGCTGAGCATTTTTGCATGTACCAATTAGCTCTCTGTATGTATTCTTTTTTTTTTTTTTTTTTAGTAGGAGTTTCACTCTTGCTGCCCGGGCTGGAGAGCGATGGTGCGATTTTGGCTCACTGCAACGTCTGCCTCCTGGGTTGAAGCAATTCTCCTGCCTCAGCCTCCCAAGTAGCTGGGATTGCAGGAGTGTATCACCACGCCTAGCTAATTTTTTTTTTTTATTTTTATTTTTAGTAGAGATGGAGTTTCACCATATTGGTCAGGCTGGTCTCAAACTCCTGACCTCAAGCGATCCACCTGCCTTGGCCTCCTAAAGTACTGGGATTACAGGTGTGAGCCACCCATGCCTGGCCTGTATGTATTCTTTTGAGAAATATCTATTCAGGCTTTTTGCCCATTTTTTAATTGGGCTATTTGTTTTCTTGCTAATGAGTTGTTTTAGTTCTTTATATGTTTTGGATATTAACCCCTTGTTAGATGTATGATTTACACATATTTTCTCCCATTATGTTGGTTGTCTCTTCACTCTGTTAATAGTTTCTCTTGCTGTGCAGAAGCTTTTTAGTTTGATTCCATCCCATTTGTCTACTTTTGGTTGTGTTTCCTGTGCTTTTAAGGTCATATACAAAAAATGTTATGGAACTTTTTTGCCTATGTTGTCTTCTGCTAGTTTTACAGCTTCAGGTCTTACATTTAAGTGTAATCCATTTTGAGTTGATTTTTATATATGGTGTGAAATATAATCTAATTTTATTCTTTTGTGTGTTGATAGCCAGTTTTCCCAACACCATTTATTGACAAGAGTGTCCTTTCTGCATTGTGTGTTCTTGGCACCTCTGTTGAAAATCAATTGATCATAACTATGTGGATTTATTTCTGGGCTTTCCATCCTGTTCCATTGGTCGATGTGTCTGTTTTTATGCCAGTACCATGCTGTTTTGATTACAATTGCTTTATAGTAGGTTTTGAAATCAGAGAGTGTGATGCCTCAATCTTAGTTCTTTATGCTCAAGATTATTTTGGATATTAGGAGTCTTTTGTACAAATTAAGGACTGTTTTTTCCTACTTCTGTGAAAAATGGCATTGGCATTGAAATTTTGATAGAGATTGAATTGAATCTGTAGAAAGCTTTGGTAGTATGTATATTTTCACAATGTTAATTCTTTCAATCCATAAACATGGGATATTTTTCTATTTATTTGTGTTTTACAAATTTTCTTCCATTAGTGTCTTATAGTTTTCAATATACAAATCTTTTACCTCCTTGATTAAATTTACACTTAAGTATTTTTGTTGTTGTTTTTGATATTGTAAATTGTTGCTATTGTGAATTGTTCTTAATTTCCTTTTTAGATAGTTTATTATTAGTATATAGAAATGCTACTGATTTTTGTGTACGGATTTTGTATTGTGCAACTTTACTGAATTCATTTATCAGTTCTAATGGTTTTTGTGGTGGAGTCTTTAGGGTTTTCTATATATAGCATCATGTCGTCAGCAAATAGAGACAATTTCACTTTTTCCTTTCCTATTAGGATGCCTTTCTTTCTTTCTCTTGCCTAATTGCTCTCGCTAAAACTTCTAGTAGTGTGTTGAAAAGAAGTGGTGAGAGTGGGCTTCCTTATCTTGTTGCTGATCTTAGAGGAAAAGCTTTCAACTTTTGACTTTTGAAAATAATGTTAGTTATGGTTTTGTCATATGTGACCTTTATTGTGTTGAGATACATTCCATCTATCCCTAATCTGTTGAGGGTTTTTATCATGAATAGTGAATTTTTTAAAAAGTAAATAGAGTAGAAAATATTCATTTCAGAAATTAAGTGTAAGTATTGTTTCATAATTTTTAAAATTAGTTATTTACACATATATGTATGTGTGTGCTGGGCCATAATATAAAATGTATGTCTTAATGTAGAATAAAAATGTTTGACAGCTAATGCTGTATGTTGTCTAGCAGTTCTTCAATGTGCCCAATGCCTTCCACAGCTATTTAAAAATTTCCCTTCCATCTTCGACTCTGTTCTCTATTGCCTCCTTCACAACTCTTGGAGGTTTGCCTTCATTTTGCATTAAATAGAGGCTATCAGGTGAAAACTCCCTGGAAAAATTCTTCTCCTTCACCAAGAAATACACATCAATCTGCCCTTGTTCTTTCTTCTTTTTTATCTTAATGGGAGAGATGGTACCACTCTCTTATTGAATTGGAGCTCATCCTTTCCTTTTTCTTGGTGATTACTATGGTTTCAATATTTATGTCCCCTTGAAATTGATGTGTTGAAATCCTAACCCCCAAGGTGATGGTTTTAGGAGGTGGGGCCTTTGGGGAGTGATTAGATGACAAAGGTGGAGATCTCATACATGGAATTAGTGCCTTTATAAAAGAAGCTTGAGAGGGACCCCTTAAGCACCATGTAAGGACACAGCCGTAAGATGGCCATCTGTGAACCAGAGAGTGGGTCCTCACCAGATACTGAGTATCCTGGTGCTTTGATCTTGGACTTCCCAGCCTGCAGAACTGTGAGCAATACATGTATGTTGTTTATAAGCTACCGATCTAAGGTATTTTATTATAGCAGCCATAACAAACTGAGGCAGGAATCCTGTTGTTGCGCTTTTCACAGCCATCCCCTTGAAAGCTTCTGTGGTCTGATGTCAGCTCCTCCCTTTCACTGAAGCTGATCCTGTCCCTTACTAGTGACTTCTACATTTTCTGGTTCTTGCTTTTCCTCTTGGTGATAAGTCCTGTTGACCATTTCTTCCTTGTTCAAATTCTCCCCTCATTTAACTTCTGTGACACCATGTTTCCTCAATTTTTCTCCATCCTCCATGGTCATGCCTTCTCAGTGTTTCTCATGATTTCCTCTTCCTTTGGTTAACCCTTAAATGTTAGTGGTTTCTCGGGCATTCTGCTTGGATTTCTTCTCATTCTGTGAAGTTTGTGGGGCATGTCATTTAGACCCGTAGCTTCAGGCACCATTTGCAGACTAATTATTTGTGCCTATACCTCCAACCTAATGTTTAAGAAACATCTCCACTTGAGTTGTCCAAAGCATCCCAAAATATGACTAAAACTGAACTCATTATATTTTTCTCTAAACCTGCTTCTCTTCCAAGACTTTCCTTTTCAGTTTATGGTACCCGCCATCAATTGTTACTTACATATTTTTTAGCATTCCTCCCTCTTCATGCCCACACCTGAATAATCACCATTTCCACTTTCCTATCTCTCTTGAATCCATGTCCTCTTTATCCCAGTTCCACTCCCACCCTGGGCTCCCATCTTTTCCTGTTTGCATAATGACAGCATCCTTCTCATTGTCCTCCCTGTTTCTAATCTTACTCCTCTTTAGTTTTTCCTACTCTGCCATTGGAATAACTTTTATTTTTTGAAATTTGTAATAGGATCATACAGATAGACATTAGCATATTTTTGTTGTAAAAATGTTAAACAAAACAGTTGAGCAAGAAACGAAAGTCTCTTTTCCCCAATCCTGCTCTTCTCCAGAGGCAATCAGCACGAACAATTTGGTGTGCATCTTTCCAGTCCTTTTCGTATGCATTTACATGCACTTATTTCATAAACAAAAATACAGGATTAGATTTTGCATAAATGGGATTATACTGTTCATTCAAGTTCACTTTTTCTCTTAATATATCATAGCACACTTTCCATATCAGTATAAATATATCCACATAATTCTTTCAAATGGCTGCATTTTACGTAGCATAGGCTTAATTTTCTTTCTGCTACTAATGGACATTTAGATTATTTTCTTTTTTTGGTCGTTGCAGACAATGCTGATATAAAAATCTTTGTACATGTATTGTATCAAAATTGAGAGTGTATTTCTGTTGGGTAGATGCTTAGAAATGGAATTGCTGGGTCAAAGAGCATACGCATTTAAAATTTCAGCAGATACTGCCAAATTGACTGCCAAAAAGCTGTAGTCAATTTATATTTCCATAAAGACTATTCTGTGAAATTTTTATACCAACACCAAATATTTAACATTTGCAAATCCAACTGTAAAAATATTCAATTCTTGCTTTTATTTGCATTATTTTAATCAACAGTAATATTAAACATCTTTTCACATGTGTAGTGTGAAACATTTTGGTAAAATTCTTGTTTTATCCTTTGCCTATTTTAAAATTGGTTTGTCTTTTGCTTACTGATTTTTAGGCGCTCTTACAGACGCTTTCTCACAGTCTGTTGCCCCTTTCCCCCGTTTTTAAAGGTACCTTTTATTATATAAAAGTGAAAAATTTTAATATAGTCAAATGGTCAATATATGGCCTCTGGGTTTGATAAAAACCTTCCACTTCAAGATTATATAAAATTATCTTGTATAGTTTTGACTTTACATTTAGCTCTTTAATCTATGTGTATTTATTTTTGTGGAACATAGGTTGTAGGGATCTAATTTTTGTTTCCAAATGGTCAGCCAATTTTACCAATGCCATTTGATTCACAACAGAAATTATGAATATGTGTCTATTTCTAGAATCTCTGTTGTCCTCTGTTGTCTATACTACATATTTTAAATATTAAAGCTTTCGCTTTGAAGCCTGGTATGGAAAATACTGCATGAATGTTTTTTTCAAATGTATTCTTGTATGTTTTCTCTTCCAGATGAACTTTGTAAAAAGCTTGTAAGTTTCATAATATAATTATGCTTGCATCTTCATTGAGATTTATTGGATTTATAGATTTATCAGGTAGCTTTACAGTGTTGGGTTTTCCCATTCAGAAACATGGTATATTTCATTTACTTAGGCCTTCTTCAGGGTATCCTTCAGCAAATTTTTATATTTTCATTTAGATGAGTTGTATGCATTTCTTGTTAAGATTGTTTCTGAGTATTTCCTAGGTTTTTCTGTTTCTGTAAATTTTTTTTTTCTCATTACATTTTCTACTTGGTGATGCTGGTATATAAGAAATTTATTGATTTTTTGGTTTGATCTTGGATTCAGCCACTTTAGTGTACTTGTACTAATTATGAATATATTAATAATTTTCAGTTTATTCTATTACAATTTCCAACTTGACTATTATATTATCTTCAAATAATGAATGTTTAATTTATTCTCTTGAGATATTTACCACTTATTTCCTTTTTCTTTCTCTCTCTCTCTCTTTTTTTTTTTTTTTTTTTTTTGCCTTATGAGGCAGGCTAGGAAGTTGTGCAAGAATTTTTGTTTGTTTGTTTGTATCCCAGCATCCTACAGTGCCTTGATCAATTGATTGATTTTTTTTTGAAATTATCTCTCCTCTATTGTAGGCAGTCATTGAAGAAAGGTAGATCCAGGGGTCCCTGTTTTCCTATCATGGAAGGAAGGGATCTTGGACATTTCTTTCATTAGATCTTTTCTGTCAGTGATTCTGCACATCCAAAGGGAAGGCCCATGGTCTAAGCTTAGTCAATTGGATTTACTGTCCTAGGACTATGGCTCTTGAAGAAAGTATTTCATGTGTAAGCAAGCAAGAACAACTAGAATTTATTATTTCCAGAAACCAGGTAATTCCATGTCTGCTTTTGAGCCTTTTCTCCAGTCTTCTGGTTGATTTTGTGAGCTTTCTAAAAGCTTTCCAATAAATTCTCCTTTTGGGGGGATTAAATTAGAATTGATTTCTGTTTTTGCTCATTCAGTATGATATTGGCTGTGGGTTTGTCATAAATAGCTCTTATTATTTTGAGATACGTCCCATCAATACCTAATTTATTGAGAGTTTTTAGCATGAAGGGCTGTTGAATTTTGTCAAAGGCCTTTTCTGCATCTATTGAGATAACCATGTGGTTCTTGTCTTTGGTTCTGTTTATATGCTGGATTACGTTTATTGATTTGCATAAGTTGAACCAGCCTTGCATCACAGGGATGAAGCCCACTTGATGATGGTGGATAAGCTTTTTGATGTGCTGCTGGATCCGGCTTGCCCTCTCTCACCACTCTTATACAACACAGTGTTGGAAGTTCTGGCCAGGGCAATCAGGCAAAGGGTATTCAATTAGGAAAAGAGGAAGTCAAATTGTCCCTGTTTGCAGATGACATGACGGTATATTTAGAAAACTCCATTGTCTCAGCCCCAAATCTCCTTAAGCTGATAAGCAACTTGAGCAAAGTCTCAGGATACAAAATCAATGTGCAAAAATCACAAGCATTCTCATACACCAATAACAGACAAACAGAGAGCCAAATCATGAGTGAACTCCCATTCACAATTGCTTCAAAGAGAATAAAATACCTAGGAATCCAACTTACAAGGAATGTGAAGGACCTCTTCAAGGAGAGCTACAAACCACTGCTCAACGAAATAAAAGAGGACACAAACAAATGGAAGAACATTCCATGCTCATAGATAGGAAGAATCAATATCGTGAAAATGGCCATACTGCCCAAGGTAACTTATAGATTCAATGCCATCTCCATCAAGCTACCAATGACTTTCTTCACAGAATTGGAAAAAACTACTTTAAACTTCATATGGAACCAAAAAAGAGCCTGCATTACCACGTCAATCCTAAGCCAAAAGAACAAAGTTGGAGGCATCATGCTACCTGACTCCAAACTATACTACAAGGCTACAGTAACCATCACAGCATGGTACTGGTACCAAAACAGAGATATAGACCAATGGAACAGAATAGAGCCCTCAGAAATAATACCACACATCTACAACCATCTGATCTTTGACAAACCTGACAAAAAGAAGAAATGGGGAAAGGATTCCCTATTTAATAAATGGTGCTGGGAAAACTGGCTAGCCATATGTAGAAAGCTGAAACTGGATCCCTTCCTTACACCTTATACACAAATTAATTCAAGATGGATTAAAGACGTAAATGTTAGACCTAAAACCATAAAAACCCTGGAAGAAAACCTAGACAATACCATTCAGAAAATAGGCATGGGCAAGGACTTCATGTCTAAAACACCAAAAGCAATGGCAACAAAAGCCAAAATTGACAGATGGGATCTAATTAAACTAAAGAGCTTCTGCACAGCAAAAGAAACTACCATCAGAGTGAACAGGCAACCTATAGAATGGGAGAAAATTTTTGCAATCTACTTATCTTACAAAGGGCTAATATCCAGAATCTACAAAGAACTCAAACAAATTTACAAGAAAAAAAAACAACCCCATCAAAAAGTGGACGAAGGATATGAACAGACACTTGTCAAAAGAAGACATTTATGCAGCCAACAGACACATGAAAAAATGCTCATCATCACTGGTCATCAGAGAAATGCAAATCAAAACCACAATGAGATACCATCTCACACCAGTTAGAATGGCAATCATTAAAAAGTCAGGAAACAACAAGTGCTGGAGAGGATGTGGAGAAATAGGACCACTTTTACACTGTTGGTGGGACTGTAAACTAGTTCAACCATTGTGGAAGACAGTGTGGCGATTCCTGAAGGATCTAGAACTAGAAACACCATTTGACCCAGCCATCCCATTACTGGGTGTATACCCAAAGGATTATAAATCATGCTGCTATAAAGATACATGCACTTGTATATTTATTGCGGCACTATTCACAATAGCAAAGACTTGGAACCAACCCAAATGTCCATCAATGATAGACTGGATTAAGAAAATGTGGGCCGGGCGTGGTGGCTCACGCCTGTAATCCCAGTACTTTGGGAGGCCGAGGCAGGTGGATCACGAGGTCAGGAGATTGAGATCATCCTGGCTAACACACTGAAACCCTGTCTCTACCCAAAATACAAAATATTAGCTGGGTGTGGTGACAGGTGCCTGTAGTCCCAGCTACTCAGGAGGCTGAGGCAGGAGAATGGCAGGAACCTGGGAGGCGGAGCTTGCACTGAGCTGAGATCGTGCCACTGCACTCCAGCCTGGGCGACAGAGCGAGATTCTGTCTCAAAAAAAAAAAAAAAAAAAAGAAAGAAAAAGAAAAAAAGAAAATGTGGCACATATACACCATGGAATACTATGCAGCCATGAAAAAGGATGAGTTCACGTCCTTTGCAGGGACATGGATGAAGCTGGAAACCATCATTCTCAGCAAACTATGGCAAGGACAAAAAACCAAACACTGCATGTTCTCACTCATAGGTGGGAATTGAACAATGAGAACACTTGGACACAGGAAGGGGTACATCACACACCGGGGCCTGTCGTGGGGTTGGGGGAGAGAGGAGGGATAGCGTTAGGAAATATACCTAATGTAAATGACGAGTTAATGGGTACAGCATACCAACATGGCACGTGTATACATATGTAACAAACCTGCACGTTGTGCACATGTACCCTAGAACTTAAAGTATAATAATAATAATAAAAAGAATTGATTTCTGTTGCTTGCAACCCAAGAACTCTTATTTGATACATTTTCTTTGTCCTGTTCAATTAGAATGCCTCCAATATTTCACCATCCAAAATGATTTATGTGTTTCTGATAGTTATTTAGCTTCTATCCAGAAACAAAATTTTCTTTCCATTCCTACCTCATAAAAAGTTTTTTAAAATGTAGAATGTGATTTTTAGTTCAAAAGATTGCTATATTCACAATGCATTTTGAATATTAATTATTATTAAAATGGGGAAATCCTGATATTTTCCCCTTTGTTAATGAGATTTCTTAATGTTGAATCATCTTTGCATTCCTGCAATAAGCCTTATTTGGTTTATGATATATTTTCCCTCCCTCCCTCCCTCCTGTCTTCCTTTCTCTCTTTCTGGGTTGCACTCTGTCACCCAGGCTGGAATGCGGTGGTGTGATCCTGGCTCATTGCAGCCTGACCTCCTGGGCTCAAGTGATATTCCCACCTCAGCTTCCTGAGTAGCTGGGACTACAGGTGTATGCTACGATGCCCAGCTAATTTTTTGTATTTTTTGTAGAGATGGGGTTTCACCATGTTTCCCAGGCTGATCTCAAACTCCTGGGCTCAAGCAGTTCACCCACCTCAGCCCCCCAAAGTGCTAGGATTATAGGTATCTCTATTTTCTTAATCATTATCTTTAAAATTTTTATCCCATATATTTAAACAAAAATTGCTTTCACCCTGCCTTTAGAGGAGCAACATTGTCCAATATAAATTTCTGCAATGATGAAAATGTTCTATATCTCTGACACTGTCTTGTACAGTAACCATTAGCTACATGTGGCTATTGAGTACTTGATGTGTGGCTAATATGAGGGAGAAACTGAAGTTTCACTTTTATTTAATTTTAATTAATGTAAATTAAATAGCCAAATGTATCCACTGACTACTATTGTATTAATTTTCTTGGGCTACCATAACAAAATACTATAGACTGGGGGGCTTAAACAACAGAAATTAATTTTCTTACAGTTCTGGAGACTGGAAGTCCAAGATCAAGGTGTCGGCAGGTCTGGTTTCTTCTGAAGCCTCTCTCCCTGCCTTGCAGATGCCTCCTTCTCACTGCGTCCTCACATGATCTTTCCTCTGTGTGCTTGCATCCCTGGTATCTCCTTGTGAGTCTTAATCTCTTCTTCTAAGGTCATCAGTCAGATTAGATCAGGGTTTATCCTAAGGGCCTCGTTTTAACATAATCAGCTCTTTAAAGGTCCTATCTCCAAATTGGTCACATTCTGAGATGTAGAGAGTTAGGACTTCAACAGAGGAATTTTGTGGGGACACAGTTCATTCCATAACAACTATATTGGACAGCATCACAACATATTGGTCCAGAATTAATCTGTTATTTATTGCTTTCTCACCAGATACACTGCTACTAATGTTAGGACACTTTGATTTTTCTCTTTCCCATCCTTCATCACCATCTGCCATATTGTAATCATCTGGGATTTTAGTTCCCCATTTTTTCTTGCATTCTGCATTATCAATTATTGGACTTCACTAGAAATTTTTCACATTTCTTTTTCATCATTTTTTCTTTTATGCCATACAGTCCTCTTTCTCGAATACCTGTATCTTGTTGCCATAGTAGTGCCCTCCAGTAGTTCTTTCAGAGATGGGCTTGAGGGCTAGGTATAGGATTCTAAGTTCAAAGTAACCTATCTTAATAATTTGAAGACATTTTATACACTGCTGGTGCCTCACTCAGATCCCCTTTACCACCCTAGGTCATTCATCCTTCAACTGTTGTGAGCATTGGCTCACTCTTGCCCCTCTAAAGAATCGCTCTTTACTCAGTGAGAGCTGACTCATTTGGTGAATTACTCACCTATTTCCCCTAGTGGCAGGCTCCAGCCAATTGCTGGCTGATAGAAGAGTACAAAAGGCTTTTCCCTTTGCTTCAACATGGGAACTACCTGAGCGAATGTTCGTGCTCTAGGGTTCTCTGTGGGATAGACTGAAGCTAGACACCTGTGGATACCACTTAGTTACTTCCCCTGCCCTATTCCATTTTCCTTATTCCCTCTCTCAGAGCACTGCCTTCATAGCCATGTATATCCAAATTCCTGTCTCAGGCTCTGCTTCTAGGGAAGATGACTCAAGACAACATTATTTCATTGTCAATTCTATTATTTCATTGACAATTTCTATTGTCCCAGGCCCTCATGCTTAGCCCAGGACGCAAAGCCTACTGTGCCTTCAGAAAATGTTCACCAAATGAACAAATAAAGTCATCTTCCTTGGGCAGCATGCTGATCATATTACACTTTATCTCCAATCCTAACTTCTAGTTATGAAATTAAAATTCCTGATTTTGGCTTTAAATCTTATTCCAGTGGTTGCTCATATCAAGCCCATCTGTTTTTGTTTGTATACTTTGATTTTTTTACTGCTTTTATGATCTCAAACACAAATTTTTACACCCAAATTACATATGAACAGTAATGTACTGCTTGTACATTGTGTCATGTGTCTTATTTCCTTAGCTAAAATACAATTTCTTGGTCTTTATCTTCTCTGTTTTGATTAGGACCTAGCACCTTTCTAGTTGCACTGTGCTCAACCAGTAATTGTATAATTTTATATGACAGCTTAACTAAAAGGGATTATATTTGGAAACAAATTTTCTCTTAGAGAATACCTTTTTTCTTTCTTTATTATCCCTGGATCATTAATTCCTGTTTGGAAACTCTATTTCTATAGCAACAGATTATCGTAAAAGAAAGAGGATGATATAGTCTTTACTTTTAACAATGAGAAAGAGAAGGATTCTGAGAAGAAAACTTGTAATTGCAAAATTATAAATAAAATGAATGAATCAAGAAGAGGGTAACAGCACAGAGAAGGATAAATCATTTCTAACAATGTTAATAGTATTGTTTTACTTCAAGATGATTAAACTAGCCAGCTGGATTAGAGACTCAAACATTAGTAATGTGATAAGCTTCAGAAGCTGAAGGCAAAAAGCATTAGGTCAGTCCCATGGGTCCTTGCTGGCTTCAAAGGAGTGGCCTCTATTTGATCAGTGAGGGCAGAGGTACAGAACCTAAGTTCTTTAATGATTTGCAGTATCATCAAGTCCCCAATAAGCCTCTATTTGAAAGTTGCCTGAGGTGACTTTCTCTTTAATTTGCAAAAAGTGTTCAATATCCAAGTAGTGACAAATTGAATCTGGCCCATAAAGAGGGGAGAAAATAATGTGACATAAAACAAGCTTGTGTTTGGAGACCACAAGGAAAGGGCAGGACAACCTTCAGCAGCTGGAATTCAGTGGGTATTCCTTTAAGCTTTTTGTGGTATGGTTTATGCTTTATGTGGCAAATTTATAGATTACCATCAAACAGACTTTCTTGTCATTGAACATGCTCATCTTTTTTTTTTTTTTGAAGCTGAGAACTTTTGGTTGGAGAAAAGAAGTGCCAAAGGGATGAGACCACGCCTGAAGCTCAAAACTGAACCAGACTTAGGGGTGCAGAGATTCAGAAGAGGAAGCAGTGTGGGTGGGGCACAGGGCATGCCGTGCAGCCTGCCCTGGGCTCCTTGGTTCTTGGCGTGCTCGGCTGTGAAATAAAGAGATTGGGTAGTCAGCATGATGATCTCTAAAGAGCACTGAGTTCAGCGATTCCACAGTTCTAATAAAATCGAAAGCTATTATTCTCCATATTGCTAGTTGGAATTTTTCTTAATTTCATTATTCTTCCTGTCAACTATAGTGCTTTGTATATTCTGAATACTAGTCCTTCACTGGTTACGTATGATGCAAGTATCTTTTCCTGCTCTGTGGCTGCTTTCATTTTCTTATGGTGTCTTTCATGAACAGAAGTTCTTATTTAATGTAGCATAATTTATTAGTCTCTGTTGTTACAGTTTCTGCTTTTTATGTCTTGTTTAAGGAATACTTCTTTATCCTGAGGTCATAAATATATTCTCTTTTGTTATTTGTATGATGTTATGGGGTTTTTCCTTACCATATTTAGATCTTTAATCCATCTGGAATTGATTCTTATATATCATGTGATATAGAGGTGCAATTTAATATTTTTCATTTGAATAACTTACTGTCCCATTTTTTGAAGACCTACTTGTCTTTTCCTAATTAAACTGCCATACTACCTCACTTCATTATAAATTGTCTATATATTAGTGTATCCTTTTATGGACTCTCTCATTTTTTGTATTTGGCTATTTCTGTGCAAATACTACATCATCTTTGTATTAGTCCATTTTCACACTGCTGATAAAGACGTACCTGAGACTGGATCATTTATAAAGAAAAAGGTTTAATGGACTCACAGTTGCATGTGGCTGGGGAGGCCTTACACTCATGACGGACGGCAAAAGGCACATCTTACGTGGTGGCAGACAAGAGAGAATGAGAACCAACAGAAAGGGGTTTCCTCTTATAAAACCATCAGATCTTGTGAGACTTATTCACTACCACCAGAACAGTATGGGGAAAACCGCCCCCATGATTCAATTATCTCCCACCAGGTCCCTCCCACAACACCTGGGAATTATGGGAGCTACAATTCAAGATGAAATTTGGCTGTATGGGAACACAGCCAAACCATACCAATCTGACTTGCTATAGTTTCATAATAGGTACACATCTGTTGGAGCAAGCTCTCCTAGTCATAATTTTTTTAACCATCACAAATGAATGTTAAATGTTGTCAAATGATATTTTTCAGTACCTACTGAGATGTTCACATTGCTTCTTTTACTCTAATCATATAGTAAATTATACCAATAGATTTTTTTTTTGATGGAGTCTCGCTGTGTCACCCAGGCTGGAGTGCAGTGGTCCGATCTTGGCTCACTGCAACCTCCAGGTTCAAGTAATTCATGTGCTTCAGCCTCCTGAGTAGCTGGGACTACAGGTGTATGCCACCATGCCTGGTTAATTTTTCATATATGTATGTATGTGTGTGTGTGTGTGTGTGTGTGTGTGTATATATATATATATATATATATATATATATATATTTTTTTTTTTTTTTTTAGTAGAGACAGGGTTTTGCCATGTTGCCCAGGCCAGTCTTGAACTCCTGAGCTCAGGCAATCCGCCCGCCTCCGCCTCCCAAAGTGCTAGGATTACAGGCCTGAGCCACCGCAACTAGACCAATTGATTTTTCTAAGGTTAAAATAAATTTTCTTCATGGAATAATCTAACTTTGTCATTGTATCAGTTACTTATTGTGGCAAAATAGACAACCCCGAATCTCAATGTCATGTATATCCATATTTATTCCCAGGAATCTTGAGTCATCTAGGTGCTGGCTGATCTACGCTGGGTGGCTTTGTTTCAGGCTGTGGCAGCAGGAGCACCTCAGACTCTCACTGCATACATGTGGCTGTACTGGGGCAACTGTACTCTGCATGTCCCTAACCCTTCTTGGATCAGGAGACTAGAAAGGGCACGTGCTTCTCATGGCATGGTAAGGCACTATCAGGAAGTAAACACTGATCTAGTACTATTACCTAATATTCAGACTTTATCTAAATATCACCATTGGCTCTCTAGTAGCCTATATTTCAAAGGAAAAATATTTTTCTGATTTAGGATCCAATTTAGGACTTGGTATTACATTTACTTGTCATATTTCTTCCGTCTCTTTGACCAGGAACATTTGCTCAGTCTTTCTTTCATGTTCTTAATATTTATGAAGAGTACATGCCATTTCTTTTTTATATACTCTTTTGTGGATATCTTGTAGATAATCCATTTTTTTAAAAATACAGTTGAAAAATATATTTCTTCCACTTAGATATCTATCTCATCCATTTACATTTATTTTTGTAGTTATTAATATGTTTGGATTTATTTCTACCATCTTATCATGGGCTTTTTATTTGTCCTACCTTTTCTGTTTCTTTTTCATTTTTTTCCTTGGATTCTCTAGGATAGAGTATTTGTTTTTCTCATTCTATTTTCCTCTTTTACTAATTTAGAAGCTATATACTTTGTTTCTATTCTTTTAATTGTTATGCTAGACATTTTAGCATACATATTTGGCTTCTCAAGTGCTAAAGTCAATCATATTGTCACCCTCTTCTCTAGCAATACAATTATATTAAAATGTGTGAACTCTAATTATTCCATTCCTGAAATGTATTATTTTTGTCATGCATTGTAGGTTTATTTTATTTTTATTTTAATCCTACCGGATAATAATATTATTTTATCTCTATATTTATTTTAGCTATATATTTATCTCAATGTTTATTTAGTTTTATCTATATACTTACTGTTTTCTTTATTGATCATTTCTTTTTGCATCTTAGATCTTTCATCTGGGATCAATTTCCTTCTGCATAAAATACATTCTTTAGAATTTCTCTTACTGAGTATTTATAGCAGTGAATTAGGATATTTTTTAAAAATATATCTTTCTTTGTCCCACTTTTTGAAAGATGTTTAAAATAATTTTAAAATTTTTTTTTTTCCTCAGCCCTTTGAACATATTGCTCTGCATTCTTCTGGCTTTCATTGTGTCTGTCTTTGTCCTTCAGCTAAAGTTTAGTTATCTTTTCTCTCTGGCTGTTTTTCAGTTATTTCTTTTGTCTTTGTTATTTACAGATTCCCTATGATGTGTTTAGCCATGAGTTTGTTTTTATTATTAAGCTTGGAATTCACTGGGCTTCTTCAATCTGTGGAGAAGTGTTCTATTATTTCTGAAAAATTTTCAGTAACCATTAATCCAAATATTATTTCATGTATCCTTTTTCTCTCTTGTCCTTTTGGAGCTCTGGTTTGACATGTCTTTCGATCTCTGTTTTATAATTTCTATCGTGATCATTCTATGCTGCATTCTGGACGATTTATTTGGATCTATCTTTCGATTTCACATGTCAGCTTTTTCTAATCTGTCTATTGAATTTTAAGCTTTCTTTATTGGATTTTTAAATTTTTAGAATTATATTTGTTTTTTTAAAATCTGCTTCATTTCTATGGTGTCTTTCCCTTTCCTTATATTTTAAATCACTTTTAAATTTATTTAGACATAAAGCCTTTTAGACATTTTTAAAAAGGTCTGTTCTATTGGCTTTTGCTCTTCATACTGTTGTCTCTCTCTCTCTCTCTCTCTCCCTCCCTCTGTGTGTGTGTGTGTGTGTGTGTGTGTGTGTGTGTGTTGATATGGTTTGGCTGTGTCCCCACCCAAATCTAATCTTGAATTGTAGCTCTCACAATTCCCAGGTGTTGTGGAAGGGACCTGAGGGGAGGTAGTTAAATCATGGGAGTCGGTCTTTGCCATGCTGTTATCGTGATAGTGAATAAGTCTCATGAGATCTGATGGTTTTATAAAGAGGAGTTCCCCTGCGCATGCTCTCATCTTGCCTGCTGACATGTAGACATCCTTGCTCTTCTGCCATGATTGTGAGGCTTCCCCAGCAATATGGAACTATGAGTCCATTAAGCCTCTTTTCTTTATAAATTACCCAGTATCGGGCATGTCTTTATTAGCAACATGAGAACAAATACAGTGTTTACTGTGGCCTCATATTTTTGTGAACTTTTTTTGCATGAATTCTTTCAGACTGTGATAAAACTAATACTCCAAAGAGGATTGAATTTGTTTCTGCCAGGAACCCGGAAAACTACCAGCCCAGGACAACTTTAACTGACTTCTTGGCTTGAGATTTCTTGGCCAAGAAGTGTGAATTTGGCATGCAAAACTGCATGAAGACTGACTTATGGTTAGTAGTTTTAGGGACGAGTCCCTCTCTTTCCACTGCTAAATTTCTAATTAGGCAATCTTGCTTTTGGTGTGTTGGGTGGCAGAATGTTTTCCTACTTCACTTTTATGATGGAGGTGTGGCCCTTTGCAGTCTTAGTTTTATAAAGGGGGACCTTGAGTGAATCTTGGGCTTTATTTTCTCTATTCTATGGCTTTATAGAGCTGGAAAGCACAAAGGTGAAGCACATTCAGTTTGAAAAATGGTCCATAAGGCACAAGATGGCTTTATTTCTCTGATTACCTCTTCGGGTCTACTTTCATCAAGTTCCCTTTACTAATTAGCCATGTAATTAATGTATTAAAATCTTTTTATTGTGTTTTACCCAGTATTTTGATTTGTTTTCCGCAGGAGGACCAAGCAGGTACTTTATTCATCATACTGATGGAAATAGAAGTCCAGATACCAATTTGAAATTATATTGGGGAAAACTTTACTAATAATTAGTTAGCAATTGACAACCAGAATGTGAAATGTCTGATAATGCTTTTGATGGGGTTAGGGCTAGGGTTAGTAATAGCTGTAGGATTAATAATAACTATAGCAAACACAAATATTGTAAATATGTAAGAAAAAGAGCAAAGCAGTACCCAATTAGTATTTTTTTTTTTTGGGATGGAGTCTCACTCTGTCACCCAGGCTGGAGAGCAGTGGAGTGATCTTGGCTCACTGCAACCTCCGCCTCCCAGGTTCAAGTAATTCTCTGCCTCAGCCTCCCAAGTATCTGGGATTCCAGGCACCCACCAGCATGCCTGGCTAATTTTTGTATTTTTAGTAGAGATGGGGTTTCAGCATCTTGGCCAGGCTGGTCCTGAACTCCTGACCACATGATCCACCCTCCTCGGCCTCCCAAAGTGCTGGGATTACAGGCATGAGCCACTGCACCCAGTCCCAATCAGTATTTTTTTTAAGAGACAGGGTCTCATTCTGTTGTCCAGGCTGGGGTGCAGTGGCATGAGCATAGCTCACTGCAAACCGGAACTCCTGGGCTCGAGCAGTCTTCCCACCTCAGCCTTCCTAGTAGTTAGGACTACAGGTGCACACCACCATGCTCGGTTAATTTTTAAAAAAATTTTTATTTGTAGAAATGGGGTCTTGCTATGTTTCCCAGGCTGGCCTCAAACTCCTGACCTCAAGCACCAACAAGGATTTTAATGAAAACATAAACATTTGTTTGTGTCATTTAATTCATTGTCTGTGTTAATGATTTTTGTAATAGAAAGAGCTGGGATTTTGTAGGGGTGGCATATTTTATTTTCCTGCCTTCCAGTCTTCAAAGATCCTCTAACATCCTTGGCCTGGCAATCAAAGATCTTCAAAATAAGAGCTTATTTTGCTTTATGTTTCCACCACTCCCCTGTAAAACACTGGTGCCCTGAACTCCAGCCAGAGTTTACCACCAGTGGATCCTGTCTATGTTCTTTGCTTGGCTACTTCAAAGCCTTTGCATCTGCTGTTCCCTTGACTTGAGTTGCTCTTCCTCCTTCTCCCACCAATGCCTTGATTATTTTCTGAAATAACATAGTTTTGGCAAGCAATGTATCTTTTCTTTGCCATCTTTATTTCCTCTTCAAAGTTTATCTAGAAAGCATCCTTTTGAAACCTCACACCAACAAGATGTGATCTCTTTTTTTGCCACTCAGAGCCTTTTGAACCACCCTTACAATCTTTCTATTCTGCCTTCCGTTGTTATTTACCTTTATTTTCTTATTTTCTCTCTTAGAATGTAAGCTTCTTGGTTGCAGACTCTTACTCCTAAGCGTGTTCCCTCCAAATGCCAAAACCAGTGCCAAATATATGTGCTGTAGGAACAAGAAAAGCACCAGATATAATTTTTAAACCCATATATTTATTTATTTTGCAGAAACAGGGTTTCGCTCTCTCACCTAGGCTGGAATGCAGTGGCATAATCATAACTCCCTGCGGCCTCAAACTCCTGGGCTCAAGCAATCCTCCCACCCCAGCCTCCCAGGCAGCTGGACTACACGTGCATCTACAGGCACCTGGGCTCCTGGGCTCAAACTCTTGGGCTCAAGCGATCTTCCCACCTCAGCCTCCCAGGCAGCTGGACTACAGGTGCATACTACAGGTGCCCAGCTACTTAAATTTTTTTTTCTGTAGATATGAGGGTCTTGCTATGTTGTCCAGGCTGATCTTGAACTCCTGGCTTCAAGTGATCCTCTTTCCTCGGCCTCCTAAAGTGTTGGGATTATAAGTGTGAGTCACTGTGCCCAGCCCCATCTGTTGAATTGAATGAAATACACTGGCTTGAATATGGAGCACTCCTTTTTTCAGTGTTAGTGCAGGCGAAATTATGTATGGAGATACAATTATTTGGGGAAAAATGTGTGGCTTATATGTAGACAGGATTTAGAAGCCTTGTACTATGCAGAAGAAAGAGAATCATTATTCAGAAAGTAGATGAAAAAAATAGTTGATTCATTATTGTTAACCTTGTGCCTAAGTCTTTGTAAATGGAGCTAAGTTAAATTTTGCAAGTTTATTGTCATGAAAGAGAATTCAAGGAATTCTTCTAGGACAGAGTTACTCATGGGCTACATGCAAATTTCATAGTTTGAAGTCACCCAAGAGCAGCTTAAATTTAACATGACAATTTCTCAAAATATTATTTTCTTATGTGAAAACCCCAGGCTAAACACAACCATTTTTGCAAACAGCATGTCTTTTCATTTCTGCTCTCTGTTAAGTCTTTGTGTTTTAAAATGCCTTTGCTTTCATGTGAGACATCGCCAGCAGCCTTGTGGCTGGGTGGTAGAATTGCTGCTGCTACATCACAGATTCTGCCTTTTTATATCTTCTTCAAGTATAAAGCACCTTGTATTTGCACAGCTCTTTTAACTTTTTCAAAGTCTGTTTACATCTTTTATGCTTACACCTCTGTGAAGTAGGAAGCATGGGTTTTTCTACCCACCTTGTAGAGATGAGAACAGTGAGCCACACAGAGGTTAAGTGATGGGTTAAAGGCTGCAGCATCCTCCCACTATCCCATGCTGTTTTCCTTCCTAGAGTGAAATTACGTGCGTACACAAGTTCTCCTGAAACAAACACTGAGCAAGGCTGTGCGTGGCTGCTTGATTCACTTGTGTGATTGCTCTCTATGGCATGGACGGAGGGCTGCAGGAAAGCTAATTAATTTGTTCAGAGAAAGCTGTGTATGACTTCACGTGTTTTATCTATTCTGTCATTCAAACTCTGTGGACAAGTCAGTTTTCATAATGACTTTAGATCATTGCACTAAGACTTACTTGTTTTCCAAATGATTTGGTGATCTGTTCACTTAATTTATGCCAGATGCTTTCTTACTGTTTAATTGCCACCTGCAAAATAACATTTAGATATGAAGATTTTAGTTTTAAAATTGTTTTGAGCTCTCAAATCAAAAACTTGCAAGACTGGTTAAGTTGCTTTTTGTTCATAGCAAAGTAAACACACCTCTAGCTGAGAAGCAAGGGCTTTTACAAGTCATTTGCTTCACCTAGAATAAAATCTGTGAATTATCCCAATGGTTACGATGATGTGATTAAAAAATTGGGGGAAGAAATAAAGGATAACCTGTTCGCATCTTCTTTCTCTTTTGATAATTCCTATACAAACATCTTAAAAGATGAGATTTTTCATTGTACATTTGGCAGAGCCTTATTCCTTCTGTTTTAATCCGAGATTTCCATTTAAATTTTTTATCCAGTTTTCTAGCATGTGTTCACAGTTTTGTCATTTGAATCAATTTCATTCCTCAGGAATTAACATAAACCATAATGTTTTCTATGAATAAGAACTTTAATTCTAAAATCTGGTTTTGACTAATGATTAACTTTTCTTAATCCTTTGATAATTCTTACTGTTTTCCTCCAGACCATGTAAGTTTGTTTCCATTTTTCTCATTATGATGCTCTAAATCAAGATGCAAACCAGAATATTCATTTTTCATATAAAATAGGTCTTACCTTTTTATGTTTCTACTAGCTGTATTCAATTGATTCACTGAAAATGATTCCTGGCTTTAGTTTTTGCAGAAAGAAAGTAACAAGGCGAACTCACTAGCAGGCCAGGAAGGAGCTGGGAGGAGACTCTTTCTCAATAAGGCAGTGCTGGAGGTTGGTAACTAGGTCAGCAAATAGGATCTGGGAGGACTAGGATTATCAGTGACCTTTTACTAGTTGAGTGGAGGTTGTGTATTTAAAATGCAGCCTAGTGTAGTGCAGAAGTGCTGAACTTGGGGACAGACTGAAGTTCTGGGCCTCTTTTTGCTGCTTTCTAGCTCTAGAACCTTGGATAAATTTCCTAATCTATCTGAACTTCACATTTCTAATTCACCAATAGGAATAATAATACTATTTCTCAGAATCATTTTGTCTATCAGTTATCTGGTGCTAAGTAATAAACCATCTCAAAACTTGGTGGCTTAAAACAGAATAATTTATTTGCCAACATTTGGACTGGTTTCAGCTGGGTAGTTCTTTTGTTGATCTTTCCTGGGGCCCCTCATATAGACACAGTGATCTGGAGGTTTGACTGGAATTGGATGATCCAAGCTGGCCTTACTCTCATATGGCAGTCAACTGGGACTGTCAGCAGAATACCTCAGTTCTCTATGTGGCTGCTTTTGCAGTGGAGACCAGGTTTCTTACATGACAATGACAATGATTTCAAGAAGGCAAATCCCAGTGTGCAAGTGTTTACCTATCCTCTCCTTGTGTCATATTGGCTGATATCTTGTTAGTCAAAGTAAGTCACATGGCTGAGCCCAGGGTAAATGAAAGAAGGAACAATGCTGAGGGTAGAGGCTTCATTTATATGGAATCATTAGTGTAATAATCCATTCACTGTGTTCGTCAAACATGACAATACATGGGAAATTATTTTTGAAGTGTTACATCAGTGTAAACGTTGTATGGTGTGTGTCTGCATGTCTATGGGTGGTGGCAGTTGGCGAATGGTGATGGGGAGGCATGTACCTGAAAACTTTAATAGACATTGAATTTACAGTCCTGGAAATAATTGTTTAGTTTTACCGCTGGCTTTCATAATTACATTAAACATATTTAACTCAGGTGCACTCAGGAGTGTAGCATGCTGGAACCTGGGTAATGGGATCAGTTGGGAGGGGAAGAGATGTGAAGCTTGGAGAAATGGACTCAGCTACAGAGAACTGGGAATCCAACGCTCAGCGTTTCAAAAATTTACCAAATTAATGGATAAATTGGTCATTCCTCAGAACATAGAGGTTCATTCTAGGTGAGTTAATTTGCAAGTCAGGAGGGTAGAGGTCATGAGAGCTTTTCACACATCCTGACCATGGAGGGAGATTATGGAGATGAGGATCCATCTGAGGCAGAGGAATGGGAACTAGCCCTAGAACCGAGGGGATTAAGGTGAGGACAAGAGGCTTAAGAAAGCAGAGACCAAGGCAAATGCCTATTTCTTTGGACTAGACAAAAATACAGGAAGAGGAGGACAAACAGCATATGAATTTGGGAGTACTGTGCTCAGGGCAGTGTTAGTCAGGTGTGTAGACTTTACCTGTCATGAGTGCCCTTAAAGTTGGTCTTCAAGGAATCTTGGAATGCAGGGTGGTGGGGGGGCGGTGGTGGTTGTGGAAGCTTTGCAACCATCCTGAGCCACTGGGTCTCAGGTTTGAAGGCAAGGCCGACAGTGAGGCTGCGGCTATTAAACACGCTAAGTCGGGACGAACCTGAGGACGAGGTGAAAGTGGCAGGCATTAGTGGGCACAGGTAGGGACTTTTAGAAGGCTGACACAAATGCCTGGTAGGATATTGGTTCTCAAACATCAATAAGCACAGGAACTTCTGGTTAAAAATGCCCATACCTGAGCTTACCTCAGAGATTCTGATTTTAGTATATCTTACATGGTACCCAAGAATCTGTGTTTTCAGTAAACAGCTTAGTATTGATGATCTAACCTGTGTTGTCCAATATGGTACACATGTAGTTATTTCAATATAAATTAGCTAAAGTTAAATAAACTTAAACAATTAGTTGTCTACTGGTCAAATTTCAAGAGCCTAATAGCCACATGTAGCTAGTAGCTACCGCATTAGACAATGCAGAATTAGAACATTGCCATCATTGCAGAAAGTTCTATTGGACAGTGCTGTTTAAGCCATCAACTCTGTGCCTCAGTTTCCTTTGATCACATCTGGTTCTGCTAGGTTTGGTGTCCCTATTCCAGGTCCATAGCCACATCTACTTCCTAGAGAAGCAATCCATAATGTGCATGCTCTTTCAGGACCATGGACAATAGCACACATGGCTATCCCTCCCCTCAAATAGTTTTGCTCACACTGTACTTAAGTCTAGGCAAGTGAGAAGCCAAGAATGGGTGGCTAAAGAAGGCAGCAAGCAAAGTAGACACAAGAGACTTTGACCTGTTCTGAAAACTTCACTCCATAATCCCATAGCCCAGTTGCATTGACTTTGGTCTCTACCCACATCAGCTCTTCTCCTCAAAGAGAAGTAGGGGGAAGGGAAGCTTGAGCTACTATTTAAAATATATCACTAAGAAACACCATACATGTGTAGGTCAGTGAGGTAGGAGATAAACATAGGTAAAGTCAAGCAGGATTAAATTCTGAGCTGCCATTTACTTGGGTGCAACCATGGAAATGTTACTTAATCTCCCCAAGTCACAGTTTTCCAATCTGTAAACAACTATAATAATATTATGATAATATGAAATGAGCCAGGCACAGAAAAGCAAGTATTGCGTGTTCTCACTCTTATGTGGGAGCTAAAAAAAATTGATCTCATGGAGGTAGAGTAGAATGATTATCAGAGGTTGGGAAGGGTAGGGGGAGGACATGATAAAGCGAGGTTAGTTAATGGGTACAAAAATATGGTTAGATAGAAGGAATAAATTCTAGTCTACAATAGTATAATAGTGTGACTATAGTTATCAATAACTTATTGTATATGTCAAGATCACTACTAATAGAGAAGATGTGGAAAGTTCTCAGCACAAAGAAATGGTAAATGTTTGAGGTGATGGGTGTACCATAACCATGATTTGCTTAACAAGAGATGCGTACAACATATGCATGCATTGAAGTATCCCAAGTACCTTATAACTATGTAAAATTATGTACCAATAAAATAAAAATAATATTATGATAATAATTTAATAATAATACAAGTGACAAAATATATGTAAAGCACTTAACATAAGACCAGAAACCTAGTAGGTAATCAACAAATATTAGTTCTATTTCCACTCTTGGTAAGTTGAACTCCATACTCCTAATGAGGCCAGCTCCAACTTATTGTACAGAGTCTGCTCTCTGGTGGCAGTGTCTATATTTAGTGACAGGGATGACTTAGTCATTTTTTTTTTTTGGTCTGGCCCCAAGTAGGGTCTAGTAGAGCAATGTAAATCAAGTACTCAGAAAAACGTGGAGGTGTTCCAAAGATCTGTGAACAGAATTCCAAATGGTTATCTGGAGTTAGACTATCATGGCAGATTATCATTCTCCTGCCTCTTTTCTTCTTCCTTCTTCTCCACTTCCTCTTCTTCCGTCATTCCTTTTCTTCTTCCTTTACCTCTTCCTCTTCTTCATTTTCCTTTTCTTCCTTCTTCCTTTTTTTCTTTCTGTATCCTTCCACTTCCTCCTCCTTATTTTTATTCTCTTCTTCTTTTTTTCCCTTTTTTTTCTTTCTGCTCCTACTGTGAGAACTGCAGTATGTCCAGAATCAGAATCTTGTTTATTACTGGAACACAGGGAGTTTTGTCAGTACAGTGTTTTTCAAAATCTCAAACAGTAATGTGCAAATCTATTTGAAAATGGAGGTGGTTATATTATTTTCCAAAGATGTCTCTTTTATGTAGGATTCTGAGTTTAAACTCATCAAGTAAAGATCAGTTTAAAATTGTGCTTTGAGTTTTAGTGGATATGTAATATCTTTATTGAATATTGTGTTTCTAGTTAACTGTCAGTAATAATATTTACAACTGACTGCTAGTCTAGAACATTCACCTCCATCAACCTTTGTGTTATTGTAAGGGTAGTAGCTATATGGATGAATCTATGTTCTAATCAAGTTTCAAATAGCAGAAAACACTCCTTGAGAGTCGAAACTTTTAAAATGATGGCCTTTTGGAAACATTACAAATTTTCTCATCTGTGGCAGGCATTGCTGTGTTAAAGTTGTTATAATAAAAAAAAACATATGTTTTATTTTTTGAGATGGAGTCTCGTTCTGTCACCCAGGCTGGAGTGCAGTGGCCTGATATCGGCTCACTGCAACCTCTGCCTCCCGGGTTCCAGCAATTCTCCTGCCTCAGCCTCCCAAGTAGCTGGGATTATAGGTGCCCACCACCATGCCTGGCTAAGTTTTTTGTACTTTTAGTAGAGACAGTGTTTCACCATGTTGGCCAGGCTGGTTTCGAACTCCTGACCTCAAGTGATCTGCCTGCCTCGGCCTCCGAAAGTGTTAGGATTACAGGCGTGAGCCACCGTGCCTGGCCCAAAAGCTATATTTTAACTGACATAAGTATAAATAAAGCTCTTGGATTATAACAACTTTAACACATTCCATAATAACATAGGAGTAATAGAAGATCTGGATTCAAATCCCCATCAGGCCATTTGCCAGCAATGCAGTGTTGAGCAAGTTGTTCAACTTCTCTAAGCCTCAATGTCCTCATGTACAAAGTGGGAATAGTTCACCCTTGCATGGATGTTCTAAGGATTAGAGATAATATACAAGGCTTAGCACAAAATGGTAGAATTGATTTTATATTACTTATGTTCCCTATTGTCTAGGAAAGATTTAGGAAATCTAGTATTATATTAATAATGATAACGAGTGTTACTAGGGAATCCTATTTAATACTACTAAAGGCAAACATAAACCCTCATCATATATCTTGATTTTGTTCTTTACTTTGAAAATAGTTATCTTAAGCATATGTAATAGAAAAATCACATGATTTGGGAATGTATTTTTTATAAAATTAAAAAGAAATGGAATATGTCAAGAATATGTCAAACTACCAAGTTTGTTTTTTTAAATTTATTTTTGAGATGGAGTCTTGCTCTGTCACCAGGCTGGAGTGCAGTGACACAATCTCGGCTCACTGCAACCTCCACCTCCTGGGTTCAAGCAATTCTCCTGCCTCAGCCTCCCGCATAGCTGGGACTACTGGCATGCACCACCACTCCCAGCTAATTTTTGTATTTTTAGTAGAGACGGGGTTTCACCATGTTGGCCAGGATTGTCTCAATCTCTTGACCTCATGATCCACCTGGCTCAGACTCCCAAAGTGCTGGGATTCCAGGTGTGAGCCACTGTGCCCGGCCAGACTACCAATTTTTTTGTTCTTTGTTTTTCTGTTTACATAGAAAAAACAGCATGATTAGATCTGAGTTCTAAAACATAACTTTGAGGAAACTGTTACCAAAAAAAAAAAAACACAGTTTGGGAGAAAGTTCCTTGAGATTCAAAGGCCATTTATTTAGAAGGTTGTCTCTTAGAGTTAACAGAGATTGTGAGCTTGGACATAAGACACATTTAAAAAAGAATATTTCAGAAGTATAATCAATAAGACTTAGTGAATCATTGCACATGGGGGTGAGGTAAAGAAAAGTTGATGCCACCAATCTAAAAGGAGGAATACAAAAGGAGGTTCACAAAGAAGGTGAGGTTTTCATTTGGGAATGTGTTGATTTTAGGACATTCAGGTGACTATCCAATGGACTGTAAGCCCTGGGCCAATAGGCTCTCAGTAAATATAAGACACAGTGTTCCTGTGGGGATAAATGAAAGCACCCAAGAATGTAGAGAGAAGAGAGGAGGGCACAGGACCAAATCCTGAGAAGATTCATCCTTTGTGACATGTAGAAGAGGAGTTCAGAAGGGAAACCAGAGGAAGAAGAGCAGAGAGGGAAACTGGAGAAGGTGAGGACAGATTTTACCCACTTCCAGCTTTGTAGAGACTGACACCAGTCTCATGTGGCTTCTAAGATTTATCTTTTTCCTTTTTTTTGCTTTCCCCATTACTTGTTTTTGTTTTTAATTTACAAATTTTATTTTTGTAAATTGGCAAAAACTAATTGTATGTATTCATGGGTGCATAGTGATGTTTTGATGTATATAATGTATAGTGGTCAGATCAGAGTGATTAGCACATCCATCATCTCAAACATTTATCATTTGTTTGTGTTGGGAACATTCAATATCCTCCTTGCCGTCATTTGAAGCTATATAATATATTCTTGTTAGCTATAGTCATCTTACAGTGCTAGAGAACCCTAGAACTTCTTCCTCCTATCTAGCTGCAGTTTTGTGTACTTTAACAAATCTCTCCCTATCCCTTCCTTCCCTTGCCCTTCCCAGTCTCTAGTATCCTCTCTTCTACTTTTTACTTCTATGAAATCCACTTTTTAAAGCTCCCACGTGATTGAGAACATGCTGTGTTTAACTTTCTGTTCCTGGCTTATTTCACTTAACACAATATCCTCCATCCATGTTGCTGCAAATGACAAGATTTCATTCTTTTTTTATGGCTGAATAGTATTTAATTGTGTGTGTGTATATATACCACATTTTCTTTTCTTTTTTTTTCACATAAACATACATCAATTTATTATTAATATATGTTAATATAGTATATTTTTTCATAAGTAGTGAACCAATATTGATGTAGTATTATTAACTAAAGCCATACTTTATTCAGATTTTCTTATTTTTTAGAAAACCAGTTTCTTTCTTTCTTTTCTTTTTCCTTCTTTTTTTGAGGCAGGGTCTTGCTCTTTTGTCCAGTCTGGAGTGCAGTGGCATAGTCCCGGCCCACTGCAACTTCTGCCTCCTGGGGTCAAGCAACTCTCTGCCTCAGCCTCCCAAGCAGCTGGGACCACAGGCGTGCACCACCACACTCGGCTAATTTTTTCCATTCTTAGTAGAGACCAGCCTTCACCATGTTGTCCAGACTGACCGTGAACTCCTGACCTCGTGATCCACATGCCCCAGCCTCCCAAAGCTCTGGGATTATAGGCATGAGCCACCGTGCCAGGCTAGAAATATACACCACATTTTCTTTAGGCATTCATCTATTGTTGGACACCTAGGTTGATTCTATATAATGGCTAGTGTAAATACTGCTGCAATAATCATGGGGATGTAGATATCTCTTCAATATAATGATTCCCTTTTCTTTGGATAAATCCCCAGTAGTGGGATTGCTGGATCATATAGTAGATCTATTTGTAGTTTTCTGAAGAACTTCCACACTGTTCTTCACAGTGGCTGTGCTAGTTTACCAACAGTGTCAAACTGCCAATTTTTAAAAGTTTCAAGAGTGGAGAAAAATACTTTCTTGTTAAATTGCTCTAGAAGCATAATTTTTCTTACCTGATGCATAACTTACTGTCTTATTTTAATCTGGTAGAAGTGTGACCTCCAGGGAATATATTTTAATTTGCTTTGTTTTGACTTAATAGTTACCTGTTGAACTAAGAGCTATTAGGGCCTTTATGTGAGGGAGAGAGAGTTGTAATGTTAAATTCTTCAGTTATTTTGACATTAACTTATTGTTAAAGGGGGAAAAACCCCTAAGAAGTCTTTCTGCTTTGCTTTTATGCCAACAAGCAGAAATAAAATATATTTCACTTGGATTTTTCTAGTTATCATATTTATTTCCTTTGTGGAGTGGAAAACTGATAATTTTAGAAATCTGTATTTGCTCTAGCATATCTATTAGCAAAATAGAATGCATTATTTAAATGCATTGTTTACTTCTCTAATGATTTTGTTTTTCTACACTGGGGCAGTGAAATTTCCCATCCTCTTTCATTACATCTATCTGCAATATCAAGCTATAAACATGTTTTTCCTGTTCTTTGTACATGACAAATATAGACAAATTTACTTACAGTGAAGACTATGGTTACTCTTTCCATATAGATATAATGAGTCTTTTGCTTCTAAAGTAACATATCTCACAGTGGCATTTGGTGATGGTTTAAAAAGTGAGATGCGAAGGAAAACTTGAGAATAATATATTTTACCAAAATAAATTAAAAAATAAAAAAAATGTTCTTTCTTGGAGATTTATTAGAAAAGCAATAACCTATCTTTTTGTGTAACAGATCTTCAAACACATATTAAAGCAGATTGCCCTGGTGTATTAATGGACCTTCGGTGGGAGCTGGCCAGTGTAGGAGCAGGGACATCAATCACCGTAGTGCATCCTGCCCAGTCATGCTGGATGGATGATGGGAAAGCAATCAACAGATAGCTGCAGTGTGGCTAAGTAGCTGTGGGTATTGAAACATGGTAGGAGAATAACTGAGATAGTTAGCTGTGTAAAGAATGAACTTTAGTCAGAAGAAAAACAGTGAAACAACTCCCACCTCGGTCAAGAGATAAAACGCTGTCGTATTCTGGATGCCCCTTGTGTGTTCCTGTCAGATCACATCCGTCTTCTTCCTGGCTGAATTCTGTGTTTGATCACCTTACTTCTTCATAGTTTTATCCTCTATGTTGCATTTAAACTACTATATTGTTCTTTTTTTCTCTGTTTTTATGCTTTATGCAAATGGAATCCTAGCTAGGGATTCATCTTTGGCTTACTCCAGTGTCTCAGTATTAGGTTTCCTTTTTTTTTTTTCTTTTTAGATTTTTTTTTCATGTTACTATTTATTTATTTTTTCTAGATTCAGGGGTACATGTTCAGGTTTGTTACATGGATATGTAACAGATAAATACCTATGATTCCATTTGTATAAAGCTTAAAAACATAAAAAATGAACAATATGTTAGTTAAAATACAACATTGAGGATAAAACTATGAAGAAGTAAGGTGATAAAACATAAAACACAAAATTCAGCCAATATACAGGAATATATTGCATGATGGTGAGGTTTGGGCTTCTAGTGTACCCATCACCTAATTAGTGAATATTGTACCCAATGGGTACTTTTTTTAGCCCTCTCCTCTCTCCTTCCTCTTTGGAGTCCCCAGTGTCTATTATTATTATTGGATTTTTAAGATTCATCCTTGTGTATGCATGCTGTTCCACGTGTTTCATTTTCACCTCTGCATATTCCAGTGTATGAACACACTACCACCTAGCTATCTATTCTACTATTGATTGACATTTGTGTTGTTTCCTGTTTCTTTGGTGTTATTAACAATGAAGTTACAAATACATGTACACATCTCGTTGTGTACATGTGCATGAGTGTCCCTAGGAAATTTATCTGGTATTGGAAATACTGGGTCACTCAAGATATGCTTTTGAATAAGTGTGTTCCAAATTGGTTGTAATGACTGCAACAACGTATGCTTTCCTCAGCTGTGTAGGAGAGTTCCTGTTGCTTCAAATTCTTGCCAATAGTTATTTCTCTACTACATTTGTAATGTGACTGTAGGCTTTACAGTCATAATGAACCTGGCTTCAAATTCAGGTCATAGTTTGTGATGCTGGGCTAATAATCTCTGCTTGCCAAGTTATTGTAATGATTATGTAATGCAATGTATTAAGAGATGCCTCTGTTAGTCTATTTGGGCTGCTATACCAAAATGCCATAGACTGGGTAGCTTATAAAAAACACAAATTTATTTTGCATAGTTCTGGATGCTGGGAAGTCAAAGATTAAGTCACCAGCAGATTTGGTGTCTGCTGAAGGCCTGTGTTCTGGCTCACAGATGACACCTTCTTGTTGTGTCCTCACATAGCAGAAGGGGCGAGGGGGTCTCTCAGGCTTCTTTTATAAGGCATCAACCCTATTCATGAAGGCCTTCATGACTCAGTCACCTCATGAAAGCTTCACTTCTTCTTCTTCTTCTTTTTTTTTTTTTTGAGATGGAGTCTTGCTCTGTCGCCCAGGCTGGAGTGCAGTGGCACAATCTCGGCTCACTGCAACCTCCTGCTCTTGGGTTCAAGCGATTCTCCTGCTTCAGCCTCCCAAGTAGCTGGGACCACAGGTACCTGCCACCATGCCTGGCTAATTTACTTACGATGAAGTAATTTTTGTATTTTTAGTAGAGATGGAGTTTTGCCATGTTGGCCAGGCTGGTCACCATCACCTTGGGGGTGAGAATTTCAACACGTGAATATGATGAATGCATATTCCATACGATGCATACACATATATACATATGGGCAAACTGAGGAACAGAACACTTCCATATGTGCCTGGGAATATTCTTTTTGTTGGGTTAAGAACAGAAATATTCACAGTGAAACCCCGTCTGTACTAAAAATATAAAAAAAAAATTAGCTGGGCGTGGTGGCGGGCGCCTGCAGCCCCAGCTACTCGGGAGGCTGAGGCAGGAGAATGGCATGAACCCAGGAGGCGGAGCTTGCAGTGAGCCAGGATCGCACCGCTGCACTCCAGCCTGAGCGACACAGCGAGACTCCATCTAGAAAAAAACAAAACAAAACAAAACAAAAAAACAGGAATATTAAGGTATGTAGAACTAGTTATCCTTTTTTTATTGAAAAAGAATTTAGTCCAGGAAAATTTCATTCTGGCTTTCCTTAAGTGCAGACGGGGATATCTTTCAGTTCCTGACAGTTTTTTTTAAGGGCATCTGTGGTGAATTAAAGATGACCTCAAGTTATTTAAAATTCCTGCCATTGAGAGATCCATTTCTTCTCCCTTTGAATCTGAGCTGGCCTGGATTACTTTGATCAATGGAGTACAACAGAAGTGACATGATGCCAGTAGTGAGCCTGAATTTTAAGAGGTCTGACAGCTTCCTCTGTTCTTGGCACCTGATCTTACATCAGCCATCAGATAAGAAGTCTAACTACCCTGCTGAAGTAAACGTGTGGAGAGACCCTGATATTACATAGTGAGGGAGAGGGGCTCAGCAGAACCCAGCCTTTTGCAATCTCTGCTGAGACATCAGGTGCATGAAAGAAGCATCATGGGCACTCCGGCCTAGCCCAGGCACCAGCTGAATAGCACGAGTGACCCCAGTTGATGACACATGGAGCAGAAGAATCACCTAGTTGAGCCCTTCTCAAATTTGTGACTTGTAAAATTATGAAACAAAGTGAATGCTGTTTTATGGCGCTAAGTTTTGTGATAGCTGTTACACAGTTACATAGCTAGAAGGGCAGGTTTTCAGGGGATGGTGGCTGGGATGGCACAATGCCCCATAATTCTGCTCCTGGCTAAAGTGTATTCTTACGTCTAACTCTAGAAATGGAAACTCTTTGTATATACAAGGACCAATAGCAATTCTAGCAGTGACTCGTGGGTTTTATTCACATCTTGAAAACTTAAGAACGGCAGTATTTGGCAACACAGATGATCTGTCCAACTCAGCCTTGGAAGTAGTGCCAATGGATACATAGTAAAAAGCTTAGATGACTTCCATGATGTCAGCCTCAAAATGTTTAGGATTTTCTTTTTTCTCAAACACCCTACCTTACTTTAATTATATTTTATTATTTGCTAGTTAAACCCTGCATGAGCATTTTCCTGTTTTTAGCTAAATGTTCTTATAAAGTAGTACCTCCTTTCACTGAGATAAAACTACGTCTTTTAAGCTTTGAGTTGTATCCTCTAGGTCTGGCATATTAGGATTTAGTGAAAAAGTCTATATTACCATATTTACATTTCTATGAATTTACAGCCTTCAAATCTCCAAAATTGCCATATTTTGGTCTCTTGTTGTCATAGATTTTCATTGGTTTTCTTTTTTTTAATTATCCTTCAAGTTTTAGGGTACATGTGCACAATGTGCAGGTCAGTTACATATGTATACATGTGCCATGTTGGTGTGCTGCACCCATTAACTCGTCATTTAACATTAGGTGTATCTCCTAATGCTATCCCTCCCCCCTCCCCCCACCCCACAACAGGCCCTGGTGTGTGATGTTCCCCTTCCTGTGTCCATGTGTTCTCATTGTTCAATTCCTACCTATGAGTGAGAACATGTGGTGTTTGGTTTTTTGTACTTGCGGTAGTTTGCTGAGAATGATGGTTTCCAGCTTCATCCATGTCCTTACAAAGGACATGAACTCATCATTTTTATGGCTGGTTTTCTAATACAATAATTAGTTATCCTTCTCTAATTTTTCTTTAATTTCTAATGTGTATTTTTTGAGGATTGGCAATTAATGTATGGGATGGAATAATTTTGTGTTCCGTGTTGTGTCTGATCCTAGCATTCTGTTGGGTTTATGATTCACAGCAGCCTGTTGGAATGATGTGGTGACCCTCTCCCTTCACACTGATTATGGATATTCCCAAAATATTTCTCATTTGCAGGGGTCCTACAAGTCTACGTAGCCCTTTAATTTCCCCAAGGGTTTGAATACTGTCTTTTAAAGCCTCAGTTTGTGCCTTGTGACTCAGTTCAAATAGCACAGAGCCAGATTAGTTCAGAAGCACAAACCTGTATCCATCAGACTTTGGGTGTCACCTCTGCCAGGGGATACCTGCTGAACTTGCCACCCAGTCAAATTAAATCCTCTGGAGAGACCCTCAGCGTAGAATCGATGAGCACCCCTGGTGATTCTGCTGTCTAACCCATTCCCTTGACCTAAAAAAACACTTTTAGAGAGCCTAGTTTCAACTTATTTTTATTTCCTTATGGACCATGTAGTTGAGTCCAGGGTGACTCCAGGCCAAGCTCATCTAAGTGAAGACAGATTTTTTTTTCCTAGAAAACTAAAAAACAAACAAAGTCAACCTATTATTTTGGAAATGTTCAAACATATACTGTCTTAGTCCATTTTCTGCTGCTTATAACAGAATATCTGAAAGTGAGTAATTTATATAAGAAAGGAATTTATTTCTTACAATTATGGAGACTGAGAAATCCAAGGTCAGGGGAGCCACATCTGGTGAGGGCCTTCTTGTTAACTGGGACTTTCTAGAGTCTGGAGGCTGCACAGGTTATCACATGGCAAGGAGGTTGAGCATGCTAACGTGCTAGCTCAGGTCTCTCTTCTTATAAAGTCACCAGTTCCTCTTCCATGATAACCCATTGATCCATTAACCCATTAGTCAATCAATTCCATTACCTTTCAATAGCCCTGCTTCTCAATACTGCCACATTGGGGATTGTTTCAACATGAGTTTTGGAGGGGATAAATATTCAAACCATAGCATACACAAAATAAAGAAAATAGAAAAGTAAACATCCTGTGCCCATCACTCAGCTTTGACAATTATCAGTACATATCTAATCTTATTGCATCCATGTTCCTAGCCACTCCCACCCCTAACTTCTCCCCACAACCCCACTGAATTATTTTAAAGCAAACCCCAGATATCCTATAACTTCATTTATAAATACTTCAGTATTTACCTCTAAAAGATAACAAATTCTTTTTTAACCAGAATACCATATCATGTCTACAACAGTTATTCATATTTTCAGGAAACGGTTTAACGTATTCCAATAAAATAACTTGAGCCCTTATGATAGTATTAATGTAGGCTTAAATGGCTTTTCCTAAAATGCATTACCTATCTTTATGCACTCAGTATGAAATCATCCAGCAATTCATCTTCATCCACTTGACATACACTATTGAAGGAAGTTTAAAGCTTATCTACAAACTCTGCTTTCTACACAGTCACCTTTCTTTATATTAGCATCAAATAAGATCAATTTGAGCACTAATCTCTAGGGGAAGAAATGTTGTTCTTGACACATCTCCACCCAGGGAAAGTTGTACTCAGTATTTACCCTGTCATCTCCCATCTTTATAAACCAATTCCCCATCCACATCAAAATATTCGCATCAGAATATTTCTTTCATCTGCTATTTAAAAAAATAGAAAAGGAAGTATTATTATCTAGAGGATTTTCAATCAGCTTTATTGAGGTATAATTTACATACAATAAAATCCACCTATTTGATGTGGACAATTCAATGAGTTTTGAAAATGTGTGCAACCATATAACAGCCTCTCCAATCAAGATATAGAATACTTATATCATTCCAAAAGTTCCCACACATGTCCACCAATACTCTACAGCGTGGCCTATGGTAATAACCAATCTGCTTTCTATCATTATAGTTTTGTTATTTCTAGGATTTCATAGAAATGAAATATTTTGTGTCTGGCTTCTTTCACTTAGCCTAATGCTTTTTAAGTTCATTCCTGTATCAGTAGTTTGTTCCTTTTTATTGCAGAGTAGTATTGCATTCTATGAATATACCACAATTTGTCTATCCATTCATCAGTTGATGAATACCTATGTTTGGGTTGTTTCCAGTTTTGGGCTATTATGACTATATATCCTATGAACAGTCATGCCTGTTTCAAAATATCTCATGTAGTCAGGCACGATGGCTCACGTCTGTAATCCCAGCACTTAGGGAGGCAGAGGCAGGAGGATGGCTTGAGCCCAGGAGTTCTAAACCTGCCTGGACAATATAGCAAAACCCTGTTCTCCACAAAAAGAAAAAAAAAAAGACCAAAAAACCCTCATATATTCTGTAAATATATATATCTACCATGTACCCACAAAAATTTAAAAAATAAAAAACAGAAAATCTTATTGATCTTGGGTTAGGCAAAGATTTTTTTAATACAACACAAAAATATATATATGTATATATATTTCTGCTGTGCAGAAGCCTTTTAACTTGATGTGATCCCATTTGCCCATTTTCGCTTTGGTTGCCTATGCTTATGGGATACTGCTCAGGAAATTTCTGCCAGACCAGTTTCTTAGAGATTTTTCCCAATGTTTCATTGTATTAGTTTCACAGTTTGAGGTCTTAGATGTAAGTCTTTAATCCATTTTGGTTTGATTTTTGTGTATGGTAAGAGATAGGGGCCTAGTTTCATTCTCCTGCATATGGACAGCCAGTTTTCCCAGCACTATTTATTGAAGAGATTGTCTTTTCCCCAGTGTATGTTCTTGGGATCTTTGTCAAAAATGAGTTCACTATAGGTAGGTGGATTTGTTTCTGGGCCCTGCGTTCTATTCCACTGGTCTATGTGTCTATTTTTGTGCTAGTACCATGCTGTTTTGGTTACTATAGCTCTGTAGTATAATTTGAAGTCAGGTAATGTGATTCCTCCAGTTTTGTTCTTTTTGCTTAGGATAGCTTTGGCAATTTTGGGTCTTTTGTTATTCCATATGAATTTTGGGTTTGTTTTTTCTATTTATGTGAAGAATGTCATTGGTATTTTTATAGGGATTGCATTTGAATCTGTAGATTGCTTTGGGTGGTAATTACATTTTAACAATATTGATTCTTCCAATCCGTGATCATGGAATCTTTTTCCATTTTTGGTGTCCTTTTCAATGTCTCTCATCAGTGTTTTATAGTTTTCATTATGAGATCTTTCACTTCTTTGGATTAAATTAATTCCTAGGTATTTAATTTTATGTGTGGCTATTGTAAATGGGATTACTTTTAAAATTTCTTTTTCACATTGTTCACTGTTGGTATATATAAACACTATTGATTTTTGTATGTTGATTTTGTATCCTGCAACTTTGCTGAATTTATTAGTTCTAATAGTTTTCTTGTGGAAAACTTAGGTTTTTCCAAACATAGTATCATATCATGTGCAAACAAGGATAATTTGACTTCTTCCTTTCCAATTCGGAAGGAAAGGAAGTGTGTCTTTATAGATTTCTCTTGTCTGACTGCTCTAGTGAAGAATTCCAGTACTATATTGAATAACAATGGTGAAAGTGGGCATCCTTGTCTTGTCCAGATTTTAGAGGAAAGTCTTTTAGTATTTTCCCATTCAGTATGATAGTAGCTGTGGGTCTGTCATATATCCCTTTTATTTTGGTGAGGTGTGTTCCTTCTATACACGGTTTTTGAGGGCTTAATCTTGAAGAGATACAGAATTTTGTTAAATGCTTTTTCAGCATCAATTGAAATGATCATGTGGTTTTGTCCTTCATTCTGTTGATATGATGTATCATATCGATTTACATATGTGGAACCATCCATGTATTCCTGAAATTAATCCCATTTGGTCATGATGAATGATCTTATTAATGAGTTGTTGAATTTGGTTTGCTAGTTTTTTGTTGAGAATTTTTGCATCAATATTCCTCAAAGATATTGGCCTGTAGTTTTCTTTCTTTGATTTGTCTTTGCCTGGTTTTGGTATTAGAGTAATACTCATAGAATGAGTTTGGAAACTTTCCTTCCTCCTCTGTTTTTTTGAAATAGTTTGAGTAGAGTTAATGTTAGTTCTTCTTTAAATGTTTGGTAGAATTCAGCAGTGAAGCCATTGGGTCCCAGGCTTTTCTTTGCTGGGAAACTTTTTATTACAGTTTCAATTTCATTACTTGTTATTGGTCTGTTCAGGTTTTTGATTTCTTCATGGTTCAATCTTGGTAGATTGTATGAGTCTAGGAATTTGTCCATTGCTTATTGGTTTTTCAATTTATTGACATATATAGCGGCTTTTAGTAGCCTATAATGATCCTTTGAATTTCTATGGTATTTGCTGTAATGTCTCCTTTTTCATCTCTGATGTTATTTATTTGAGTCTTCTCTGTTTTTCTTTGTTAGTCTGGCTAAAGGTTTATTGATTTTGTTTATCTTTTCAAAAAACCAAGTTTTTGCTTCATTGATCCTTCTGTTGATGAAATCTGTCAGCTTTTGTTTGTCTGGGAAAGACTTTATTTCTCCTTTTTTTTTTTTTTAATAGAGATGGGAGCTCTCCATGGTGCCCATGCTGGTCTTGGACTCCTGGGCTCAAGTGATCCACCCACCTCAGCTTCCCAAAGTGCTAGGATTACAGGTGTAAGCCAACAGGCTTGGCCTCTCCTTCACTTTTAAAGGATATTTTCACTGGATACACTCTTCTAGGAAACCTTCTCTTTAATGCCAAGAAGTCTTAGATTTGCCCTTTTGAGGTTATTTTTTAGATTTCTTAGGTATGTTTCATTCTTTTAAATCCTTTTTCTTTTGTCTCTTCTGACTGTATATTTTCAAATAACATGTCTTTAAACTTACTAATTCTTTCTTCTTCATCAATTCTGCTTTTAAGGGACTCTGATGCATTTTTCAGTATGTTAATTGCATTTTCAACTCCAGAATTTCGCTTGATTCTTTTTAAACATTTCTATCTCTTTCTCAAATTTTTCTGAGAGGATTCTGAATTCCTTCTTCATGTTATCTTAAATTTCATTGAGTTTCCTCAAAACAGCTATTTTGAATCCTCTGTCTGAAAGATCATGTATCTCTGTCCAGGATTGGTCCCTGGTGCCTTATTTAGTTTGTTTGGTGAGTTTATATTTCCCTGGATAGTCTTGGTGCTTGCGGATGTTTGTTGGTGTCTGTGCATTGAAGAGTTAGGTATTTATTGCAGTCTTCATAATCTGGGCTTGTTTGTAATCATCCTTCCAGATATTGAAGGGACTTGGGTATTGTCATCTAAATTTTTGGTCACTGCAGCCATATCTGCATTAGGGGGCACCCCAAGTCCAGTAATGCTGTGGCTCATGCAGACTTGTAGAAGTACCACATTGGTGGTATTGGATAAGATCCCAAAGAATTCCCTGGATTACCAGGGGGAGATTCTTGTTTTCATCGTTAACTTTCTCCCAAACAAATGTAGTCTTTCTGTGCTGAGCTGCCTGGAACTGGGGGAGGGGGTGACATAAATACCCCGTGGCCACACCACTAGGACTGCACTGGGTCAGACCTGAGGCCAGCACAGCAGTCGATATTACATAAGGCCCATGATAACCACTGCCTGGCTACTGCCTATGTTCTATCAAGGCCCTAGGGCTCTAAAATCAGCAGGTGGTGAAGCCAGTAAGGCTTGTGTTCTTCTTTTCAGGGTAGTGAGTTCTTCTTGGCCCTGGGGGAGTCCAGAGATGCTGTCCAGGAGCCAGAGCCTTGAGTCAGACATCTTAAGAATCTACCTGGTGCTCTATTCTACTGTGGCTGAGCTGGCACCAATGCAACAAGACAAAGTTCTTCCCACTCTTTCCTCCTCTTTCCACAAGTAGAGGAGTTTATCCCTGTGGCCGCCACCACCCCAGGCCCATGGCATGTACTGTTTGGCTCCCACTGATGTTCACTCAAGGCCCAGGGGCTCTTCAATCAGCATGTAGTGAATGCTACCAGGCTGAGGACTCTCCCTTCAGGGCAGTGGGCTCCCCTCTGGCCCAGGGCAGGTCCAGAAATGTCTTCTAAGGGCCAAGACCTGGAATTAGGGATCCCAAGAGTCTGCTTGGTGCTCTAACCCCACTGAATTCAGCCATTTTTGCATTGCTATAAAGAAATACCTGAGACTGGGTAATTTGTAAAGAAAAGAGGTTTACTTAGCCCACAGTTCTGCAGGCTTTACAGGAAGCATGGTACCCACATCTACTCAGTTTCCGAGGAGGCTTTAGGAGGCTTCCAATCATGGCAGAAGGCAAAGGGGAAGCAGGCATGTTACATTGCAAAAGCAGGAGCAAGCGAGACAGAAAGTGGGGAGGCGGATGCCACATACTTTAAACCATCCACATCTCATGTGAACTCAGAGTGAGAGCTCACTTACCACCAAGGGGATGGCTGAAGCCATTCATGAAGGATCCACAACCATGATTCAAACACCTCCCACCAGGCCCCACCTCCAGCATTTGGGATTACATTTCAACATGAGATTTGGGTGGGGACAAATATCCAAACTATATCAACCACTGTGGCTGAGCTGGTACCTAGGCTGCAAGGCAAAGTCCTCTTTACTTGTCCCTCTCCTTTTCTCAAGCAGAAGGAGTCTCTCCCTATAGTGACCACAGCTGGGAAGTTGGTATGTCTCTGAATCTTACCCAAGGCCCACGATGAGCACCACCTTGTGCTTATTCATCAGTGCTACCACTGATGATTATTCAGGGCCCAGGATCTCTTTAGTCAGCAGGTGATACATCTTGCGAGGACTAGGCCCTTCCCTTCAAGGGAGTGGGTTGCCTTCTGGCCAATGATGTGTCTAAAAATTTCATCCAGGAGCTAGGGCCTGGAATGGGGCCTCAAATCCCTGCCTGGTGCCCTATCCTACTGTGACTGAGCTGGTATCCATGTTGCAAGGAAAAGTCCTTTTTACGCTTCCTCCTCTGCCTCTCAAGTAGAAGGAAGGAGTCTCCTGAAGCTGTGAGCTGCACTGCCTGGGGTAGGAGAGGGGTTCCGTATACACTTCCTTGGCTGCCCTGGCTAATGTCTCACTAGGTCACATTCCCCACAAGTCCACTGTCTCTGAGCCCAGGACAGCACCAGGCCTTGCCCAGGAATTTCAGTCCTTATGGCATAGACTGCCTTTCAAGCTTATTTAGAACAACAGAGCATTTTACCTCATGGTGGCAGGACTTGCTGGAATTCAAGTTTTGACTGCTGGGATGGGCTATTACTCTCTGGCCAGGGCTGGTCTAAATCCTCCCTCTGTGGGTGCTAGGTGAATTCTGCTTGGTGTTCCTTTCTGCTGTGACAGGACAACACTGAGTTCCAAAGCCGCACAATTACTGTGTTCTTCCTCCCTCAAGCACACTTATTCTTTCTCTGTGCCACATGGCTGCAGCTTGAGGTGGAGAAGGGGTGGGGCTGGCAATTAAAGACTGTCTTTCCTAGCCTCTTTAGTGCCTCTTTCAGTGATATGAAGTAAAACCAAGTACTGTGACTACTCACCTGATTTTTTGTTCTTATGAAGGTGGATTTTTTTTTTTTTGCATGGATAGTTTTTCAGTTTGGTATTCTAGGGTGAACCATTGATAGAGGCTTCTATTGGGCCATCTTACTCCCAGATTTTCAGTTTTCTTCTAGATATTTTATAGTTTTAGCTTTTACATTTAGGTATATGATCCATTTTGAGTTACTTTTTGTAAAGGGTTGAAGTTCACTTTTATTTTTATTTTTTATTATGTTTTTTTATTATACTTTAAGTTCTAGGGTACGTGTGCACAACGTGCAGGTTTGTTACATAGGTATACATGCGCCATGTTGGTTTGCTGCACCCATTAACTCATCATTTATATTAGGTATTTCTCCTAATGCTATCCCTCCCCCTGCCCCCCACCCCACGACAGGCCCCCGTGTGTGATGTTCCCCATCATGTGTCCAAGTGTTCTCACTGTTCAATTCCCACCTATAAGTGAGAACATGCGGTGTTTGGTTTTCTGTCCTTGTGATAGTTTGCTCAGAATGATGGTTTCCAGCTTCATCCATGTCCTTGCAAAGGACATGAACTCATCCTTTTTTATGGCTGCATAGTATTCCATGGTGTATATGGGCCACATTTTCTTAATCCAGTCTATCATTGATGGACATTTGGGTTGGTTCCAAGTCTTTGCTATTGTGAATAGTGCCACAATAAACATACATGTGCATATGTCTTTATAGTAGCATGATTTATAATCCTTTGGGTGTATACCCAGTAATGGGATGGCTGGGTCAAATGGTATTTCTAGTTCTAGATCCCTGAGGAATCGCCACACTGTCTTCCACAATGGTTGAACTAGTTTACAGTCCCACCAACAGTGTAAAAGCGTTCCTAGTTCTCCACATCCTCTCCAGCATCTGTTGTTTCCTGACTTTTTAATGATTGCCATGCTAACTGGTGTGAGATGGTATCTCATTGTGGTTTTGATTTGCATTTCTCTGATGACCAGTGATGATGAGCAATTTTTCATGTGTCTGTTGGCTGCATAAATGTCTTCTTTTGAGAAATGTCTGTTCATATTCTTTGCCCACTTTTTGATGGGGTTGTTTGTTTTTTTCTTGGAAATTTGTTTAAGTTCTTTGTAGATTCTGAATATTAGCCCTTTGTCAGATGGGTAGATAGCAAAAATTTTCTCCCATTCTGTAGATTGTCTGTTCACTCTGATGGTAGTTTCTTTTGCTGTGCAGAAGCTCTTTAGTTTAATTAGACCTCATTCGTCTATTTTGGCTTTCGTTGCCATTGCTTTTGGTTTTTAGTCATGAAGTTCTTGCCCATGCCTATCTCCTTAATGGTATTGCCTAGGTTTTCTTCTAGGGTTTTTATGGTTTTAGGTCTAACATTTAAGTCTTTAATCCATCTTGAATTAATTTGTGTATAAGGTGTAAGGAAGGGATCCAGTTTCAGCTTTCTACATATGGCTAGCCAGTTTTCCCAGCACCATTTATTAAATAGGGAATCCTTCCCCATTTCTTGTTTTTGTCAGGCTTGTCAAAGAGCACGTGGTTGTAGATGTGTGGTGTTATTTCTGAGGTCTCTGTTCTGTTCCAGTTATCTATATATCTGTTTTGGTGCCAGTACCATGCTGTTTTGGTTACTGTAGCCTTGTAGTATAGTTTGGAGTCAGGTAGTGAGATGCCTCCAGTTTTGTTCTTTTTGCTTAGGATTGTCTTGGCAATGTGGGCTTTTTTTTGGTTCCATATGATCTTTAAAGTAGTTTTTTCCAATTATGTGAAGAAAGTCTTTTGTAGCTTGATGGGGATGGCATTGAATCTATAAATTTCCTTGGGCAGTATGGCCATTTTCATGATATTGATTCTTCCTACCCATGAGCGTGGAATATTCTTCCATTTGTTTGTGTCCTCTTTTATTTCATTGAGCAGTGATTTGTAGTTCTCCTTGAAGAGGTCCTTCATAACTCTTGTAAGTTGGATTCCTAGGTATTTTATTCTCTTTGTTGCAATTGTGAATGGGAGTTCACTCATGATTTGGCTCTCTGTTTGACTGTTAATGGTGTATAGGAATGCTTGTGATTTTTGCACATTGATTTTGTATCCTGAGACTTTGCTGAAGTTGCTTATTAGCTTAAGGAGATTTGTGGCTGAGACGATGGGGTTTTCTAAATATACAATCATGTCATCTGCAAACAGGGAAAATTTGCCTTTCTCATTTCCTAATTGAATACACTTTATTTCTTTCTCTTGCCTGATTGCCCTGGCCAGAACTTCTAACACTATGTTGAATAGGAGTGGTGAGAGAGGGCATCCCTGTCTTGTGCCAGTTTTCAAAGGGAATGCTTCCAGTTTTTGCCCATTCAGCATGATATTGGCTGTGGGTTTGTTATAAATAGCTCTGATTATTTTGAGATATGTTCCATCAATACCTAGTTTATTGAGAGTTTTTAGCATAAAGGGCTTTTGAATTTTGTCGAAGGCCTTTTCTGCATCTATTGAGATAATCGTGTGGTTTTTGTCATTGGTTCTGTTTATGTGATGGATTACGTTTATTGATTTGCATGTTGAAGCAGCCTTGCATCCCAGGGATGAAGCCAACTTGATCGTGGAGGATAAGCTTTTTGATGTGCTGCTGGATTCAGTTTTCCGGTATTTTATTGACGATTTTCGCATCGGTGTTCATCAGGGATATTGGTCTAAAATTCTCTTTTTTTGTTGTGTCTCTGCCAGGCTTTGGTATCAGCATGATGTTGGCCTCATAAAATGAGTTAAGGAGGATTCCCTCTTTTTCTGTTGATTGGAATAGTTTCAGAAAGAATGGTACCAGCTCCTCTTTGTACCTCTGGTAGAATTTGGTTGTGAATCCTGGATTTTTTTTGGTTGGTAGGCTATTAATTATTGCCTCAATTTCAGAGCCTGTTATTCGTCTATTCAGAGATTCAACTTCTTCCTGGTTTAGTCTTGGGAGGGTGTGTGTGTCCAGGAATTTATCCATTTCTTCTAGATTTTCTAGTTTATTTGCATAGAGGTGTTTATCGTGTTCGCTGATGGTAGTTTGTATTTCTGTGGGATCGGTGGTTATGTCCCGTTTATCATTTTTTATTGCATCTATTTGATTCTTCTCTCTTTTCTTCTTTATTAGTCTTGCTAGCAGTCTATCAATTTTGTTGACCCTTTCAAAAAAAACCAGCTCCTGGAGTTATTGATTTTTTGAAGGGGTTTTTGTGTCTCTTATCTCCTTCAGTTCTGCTCTGATCTTAGTTGTTTCTTGCCTTCTGTTAGCTTTTGAATTTGTTTGCTCTTACTTCTCTAGTTCTTTTAATTGTGATTTTTAGGGTGTCGATTTTAGATCTTTCCTGCTTTCTCTTGTGGGCATTTAGTGCTATAAATTTCCCTCTACACACTGCTTTAAAGTGTCCCAGAGATTCTCGTATGTTGTGTCTTCATTCTCATTGGTTTCAAAGAACGTCTTTATTTGTGCCTTCATTTCCTTTTTTACCTAGTAGTCATTCAGGGCAAGTTGTTCAGTTTCCATGTAGTTGTGCAGTTTTGATTGAGTTTCTTAATCCTGAGTTCTAATTTGATTGCACTGTGGTCTGAGAGACAGTTTGTTGTGATTTCTGTTCTTTTACATTTGCTGAGGAGTGCTTTACTTCCAATTATGTGGTCAGTTTTAGAATAAGTGTGATGTGGTGCTGAGAAGAATGTATATTCTGTTGATTTGGGATGGAGAGGTCTGTAGATATCTATTAGGTCTGCTTGGTGCAGAGCTGAGTTCAGGTCCTGGATACCCTTGTTAGCCTTCTGTCTCCCTGATCTGTCTAATATTGACAGTTGGGTGTTAAAGTCTCCCATTATTATTGTGTGGGAGTCTAAGTCTCTTTGTAGGTCTCTAAGGACTTGCTTTATGAATCTGGGTGCTCCTGTATTGGGTGCATATATATTTAGGATAGTTAGCTCTTCTTGTTGAACTGATCCCTTTACCATTATGTAATGACCTTCTTTGTCTCTTTTGGTCTTTGTTGGTTTAAAGTCTGTTTTATCAGAGACTAGGATTGCAACCCCTGCTTTTTTTTTGCTTTTCATTTGCTTGGTAGATCTTCCTCCATCTGTTTATTTTGAGCCTATTTGTGTCTTTGCACATGAGATGTGTCTCCTGAATACAGCATGCCAATGGGTCTTGACTCCATCAAATTTGCCAGTCTGTGTCTTTTAATTGGGGCATTTAGCCCATTTACATTTAAGGTTAATATTGTTATGTGTGAATTTGATCCCATCATTATGATGTTAACTGGTTATTTGGCCCGTTAATTGATGCAGTTTCTTCCTAGCATCGATCGTCTTTACAATTCGGCATGTGTTTGCAATGGCTCATTCCAATTGTTTCTTTCCATGTTTAGTGCTTCCTTCAGGAGCTCTTGGAAGGCAGGCCTGGTGGTGACAAAATCTCTCAGCATTTGCCTGTCTGTAAAGGATTTTATTTCTCCTTTACTTATGAAGCTTAGTTTGACTGGATATGAAATTCTGGGTTGAAAATTCTTTTCTTTAAGAATGTTGAATACTGGCCCTCACTCTCTTCTGGATTGTAGGGTTTCTGCTGAGAGATCTGCTGTTAATCTGATGGGCTTCCCTCTGTGGGTAACCCGACCTTTTTCTCTGGCTGCCCTTAACACTTTTTCCTTCTTTTCAACCTTGGTGAATCTGACAATTATGTGTGTTGGGGTTGCTCTTCTCGAGGAATATCTTTGTGGCGTTCTCTGTATTTCCTGAATTTGAATGTTGGCCTGCCTGCTAGGTTGGGGAAATTCTCCTGGATAATATCCTGAAAAGTGTCTTCCAACTTGGTTCCATTCTCCCTGTCACTTTCAGGTACACCAGTCAAATGTAGATTTGGTCTTTTCACATGGTCCCATATTTCTTGGAGGTTTTGTTTGTTTCTTTTTACTCTTTTTTCTCTAACCTTCTCTTCTCGCTTTATTTCGTTAATTTGATCTTCAATCACTGATACCCTTTCTTCCACTTGATCGAATCAGCTACTGAAGCTTGTGCACACGTCACGAAGTTCTCGTGTCATGGTTTTCAGCTCCATCAGATCATTTAAGGTCTTCTCTACACTGTTTATTCTAGTTAGCCATTCGTCTAATCTTTTTTCAAGGTTTTTAGCTTCCTTGCGATGGGTTCAAATATCCTCCTTTAGCTCGGAGAAGTTTGTTATTACTGACCTTCTGAAGCCTACTTCTGTCAGCTTATCAAAGTCATTCTCAGTCCAGCTTTGTTCTGTTGCTGGTGAGGAGCTGCGATCCTTTGGAGGAGAAGAGGCAGTCTGGTTTTTAGAATTTTCAGCTTTTCTGCTCTGGTTTCTCCCCATCTTTGTGGTTTTATCTACCTTTGGTCTTTGATGCTAGTGACCTAGAGATGGGGTTTTGATGTGGATGACCTTTTTGTTGATGTCAATGCTATTCCTTTCTGTTTGTTAGTTTTACTTCTAACAGTCAAGACCCTCAGCTGCAGGTCTGTTGGAATTTGCTAGAGGTCCACTCCAGACAGACCTTGTTTGCCTGGATATCACTAGCGGAGGCTGCAGAACAACAAATATTGCTGCCTGATCCTTCCTCTGGAAGCTTTGTCCCAGAAGGGCAGCCACCTGTATGAGGTGTCTGTCAGCCCCTACTGGGAGGTGTCTCCTAGTTAGGCTACACAGGGGTCAGGGACCCACTTGAGGAGGCAGTCTGTCCGTTCTCAGAGCTCAAATGCCATGCTGGGAGAACCATTGCTCTCTTCAGAGCTGTCAGACAGGGATGTTTAAGGATGTTTAAGTCTGCAGAAGGTGTCTGCTGCCTTTTGTTCAGCTATGCCCTGCCCACAGAGGCAGTAGGCCTTGTTGAGCTGTGGTGGGCTCCGCCCAGTTCGAGCTTCCTGGCTGCTTTGTTTACCTACTCAAGCCTCAGCAATGGCAGATACACCTTCCCCAGCCAGGCTGCCGCCTCACAGTTCGATCTCAGACTGCTGCGCTAGCAGTATGCAAGGCTCTGTGGGCGTGGGACCCGCCAAGCCAGGCACGGGAGAGAATCTCCTTGTTTGCCGGTTGCTAAGACCTTGGGAAAAGCACAGTATTTGAGCAGGAGTTTCCCATTTTTCTAGGTAGTCTGTCAAGGCTTCCCTTGGTTAGGAAAGGGAAATCCCCCGAACACTTGCATTTCCTGGGTGAGGTGATGCCCTGCCCTGCTTCGGCTCGCCCTCCATGGGCTGCACCCACTGTCCAACCAGTCCCAATGAAATGATCCAGGTACCTCAGTTGGAAATGCAGAAATCACCCGTCTTCTGTGTCAATCACGCTGGGAGCTGCAGACTGGAGCTGTTCCTATTCAGCCATCTTCCGTACCTCATTTTCTTTATCCAGCCCACCACTGATGGGCACCTAGGTTGATTTCATGTCTTTTATATTGTGACTAATGCTGTGTTTAACATGCAAGTGCATGTATCTTTTTGGTAAAGTGATTTATTTTCTTTTTTGTATATAGCCAGTAATAAAATTGCTGGGTTGAATGGTAGTTCTGGTTTAAGTTCTTTGAGAAATCTCCAAACTGCTTTTCACAGTGGTTGAACTAATTTACTTTCCCACCAACAGTGTGTAAGTGTTCTCTTTTCTCTGGAGCCTCACCAACATCTTTTATTTTTTGACTTTCTAATAGTACCCATTCTGACTGGTGTGAGATGGTATCTTCTTGTGGTTTTGATTTGCATATATCTGATTATTATGGATGTGGAGATTTTTTTCATATTTTTGTTGGCTGCTTGTGTATCTTCTTTTAAGAAGTGTCTATTCATATCTCTTGCCCATTTTAAATGGGATTATTTGTCTTTTGCTTTTTGAATTGTTTAAGTTCCTTATAGATTCTGGATGTTAGACCTTTGTTATATGCATAGTTTGTGAACATTTTCTCCAATTTTTTAGGTTTTGTTTTGCTCTGTTCATAGTTTCTTATGTGGAGAAGAATCTCTTTAGTTTAATTAAGTCTCACTTGTGAATTTGTTTTTGTTGCAATTGCTTTTGAGGACTTAGTCATAAATTCTTTCCTAAAACTGATGTCCAGAATGGTGTTTCCTAGGTTTTTTTCTAGGATTCTTATAGGTTGAAGTCTTATATTTAAATCTCTAATTTATCCTGAGGTAATTTTCATGTATGCTTATAGGTAGGAGTCCAGTTTCATTCTTCTGCATAATGGCTAGTGAGCTGTCCCAGCACCATTTGTTGAACAGGGAGTTGTTTCCCCATTGGTTATTTTTGTTGACTTCGTTGAAGATCAGATGGCTGTAGGATATGGCTTTATTTCTTTATTCTCCATTCTGTTCCACTGGTTTATTGTCTGCTTTTGTACCATCCTGTTTTGGTTACCGTAGCCTTCTAGTGTAGTTTGAAGATGGGTAATTTGATGCCTCCAGCTTTGTTGTTTTTGCTTAGAACAGCTTTGGCTATTTGGGCTCTTTTTTGGTTCCATATGAAGTTTAGAATAGTTTTTTCTAGTTCTTTGGAAAATGACACTGATAGTTTGATAGGAATAGCTTTGACTCTGTAGATGGCTTTGGGAAGTGTAGACATTTTAATGGTGTTGATTCTTCTAATCCATGAGCATGGCATGTTTTTCCATTCGTTTGTGTCATCTGTGATTTCTTTCAGCAGTGTGTTGTAGTTCTCCTTGTAGAGATCTTTCATCTCCTTATTTAGATATATTCCTAGGTATTTTATTATTTTGTGGCTATTGTAAACGGGTTTGCATTCTTGACTTGGCTCTCAGTTTGAACATTATTGGTTTATAGAAATGCTACTGATTTTTTACATGGATTTTGTTTCCTGGAACTTTACTGAAGTTGTGTATCAGTTCCAGGAACCTTTTGGTGGAGTGTTTAGGGTTTTCTAAATATAGAATGATATCATCCATGAAAAGAGATAGTTTTACTTCTTCTTTTCCTTTTTGGATCACTTTTATTTCTTTCTCTTATCTGATTGCTCTGGCTAGCACTTTCAGTACTATGTTGAACAAGAATGGTGAGAGTTGGTTTTTAAAATTTTGAGATATGTTCCTTTGATACCTACTTTGTTGAGGGCTTTTGTCATGAAGGGATATTGGATTTTATTGTAAGCCTTTTCTGTGTCTATTGAGATCACCATATAGCTTTTGTTTTAATTCGGTTCATGGGATGAATCACATTTTTTGATGACCTTGCACCCCAGGAAAGAAGCCTACTTGATTGTGGTGAATTAACTTTTTGAGGTCCTGTTGGATTTGGTTTGCTAGTATTTTGTGGAGGATTTTTGCATCTATTTTCATCAGGGATATTGGCATGTAGTTTTCATTTTTATTGTGTCTTTGCCAGGTTTTGGTATCAGGGTGATGTTGGCTTTGTAGAACAAGGTAGGGAGGAGTCCCTCCTCCTCGATTTTTTGGAACAATTTTGGTAATTGGTACGAGCTCCTCTTTGTATGTCTGGTAGAATTCAGCTGTGAATCCATGTGGTTCAGGGCTTTTTTTGGTTGGTAGGTTTTTTATTACTGATTCAATTATGGAACTCAATATTTGTCTATTCAGCATTTCAGTTTCTTCCTGATTCAGTCTTGGGAGATTGTATGTTTTCAGGAATTTACCCATTTCCCCTAGATTTTCTAGTTTGTGTTCATAGAGGTGTTCATAATAGCCTCTGAGGATCTTTTGTATTTCTGTGGGATTGGTTGTAATACCACCTTTGTCATTTCTGATTGTGTTTATTTGGACATTCGCTCTTTTTTCTTTGTTAATCTAGTTAGTGATCTATTGATCTTGTTTATCCTTTCACAGAACAAACTTTTGGTTTTGTTGATTCTTTGTATGGATCTTTGGGTCTCAACTTCATTCAGTTCTACTCTAATTTTAGTTATTTCTATTTTTCTTTTTCTTTCTTTCCTTTTTTTTTGAGACAGAATGCTTTGTTGCTCAGTCTGGAATGCAGTGGCACATATTTCCTTAAATATGTTTTCCAGGTTGTTTACTTTTTTTCCTTCTCTCTCAGGAATGCCAATAGTTGATAGGCTTGGGTGCTTTACATAATCCCATATTTCTCAAAGACTTTGTTCATTTTTTAAAATTCTTTTTTATTTTTGTCTGCCTGGGTTCATTCAAAGGACCAATCTTCAAGCTCTGAAATTTTTTCCCCTGCTTGATCCAGTGTATTGGTAAAGCTTTCAATTGTATTTTGAAATTTCTTAAGTGTGTATTTCATTTCCAGAAGCTCTGATTGATTTCTTTTTAAGATGTTTATCTCTTTCTTCATTGTTTGGATTCCTTTAGAAGTTTCTTTGGGTTGATTTTCAACTGTGTCTTGGATCTCATTAAGCTTCTTTGTAATCCATACTTTGATTTCTCTGTCATTTCTGAGTTTCCATTTTGATTAAAGACAGTTGCTGGAGAGCTAGTGTGACCCTTTGGTGGTGTCACTACAATCAGATTTTTCATGGTGCAAGAATTCTTGTGCTGGTTCCTTCTCATCTGGAGATACTGTCACATCTAATTTTTGTAATTATTTCCATGTGAGTAGGGTTTTTTTCTTTTATTTCTTCCCCTATAATAATATTATTATTTTTTCTTTCATTTCCCTTCCCTCCACCCCAGGAGTGTGACTGTAGAGAATGTTGGGTAGGGTCTTTTGGCTTTGCTTCTATAGCCCTATGCACTTCTTTCAGCAGGTTTTATATTGGGCAGTGCAGTTTGACCTACAGGCCAGTAGATGGCAGTTATAAGTAACAGCTGCTATGGCCAGTGTGGCTGGGTATATATTTGATCCTTGTTTACTAGCAGAAGCTCTCTGTTGCCCTCTGTTGCCCGGGATGAGCAGTGGTCTGAGCTGCTTGCTCAGCCCTGGAGAGGCAGGGTCCATGAAGGGTGGGGCTGGACTCAGCAGGTCCACCTATAGATCTCCTGATGACAGGCACAAGCACCAACACCATGGGGGAATCCAGTAGGCAGCCACCAAGCACCAAGAGGTGTGCCTAGGCATGGAGCAGGGAAACCTCTTCAGTCCCAAGTTCTCTGCGTGGGGATGGGGGGAGTTTAAATTCCTAATCCAGGAGAGTGAGTGTTCCAGATGCCTGAAGATCTGCCTGGATATGGAGTAGAAAGGGTCCCCCCTGCACCAAGGTTTCTGCACAGGAGGGCTGGGGTGACTCAGGCTGCTGAACCAGGCAAGCAGGTGCTCTGAATGCCTGGAGACCTGCTCGGGCATGGAGTGGACAGTCACTCACTCTACCACTATCTATGTCCCGGAAGGGTGTGTGTGTGGCTCAGGCTGCTGAACCAGATGAGCAGGTGCTCTGAATGCCATAGATCTGCCTTGGCATGAAGCAGAGACAGCAGAGAGGCCCCCCTGAACTAGGATCTCTGCACTGGAACAGTGGGGCAGGTCAGGCTGCTCATCCATATGAGCAGGATCCAAATGCCTAGAGATCTGTCTGGGTGTGGAGTGGAGAAAGCTCTGCTGCACCATGATCTATGCCTGAGAAGCATGAGGTGGCTCAGGCTGCTGAACCAGGTGAATGGGTGCTCTGAATGGTAGGAAATCTGCCTTGGGGTGGAGCAGAGACGGCCCCACTGCACCACAGTCTTAGGGGAGCAGTCTAGTATACCCAGCAAGGCACATGAAGATCAGTTCGAGGTCATCAAGCTGGCCCTGGCTGCAAGACTGGTTGCTGAGGAGAAACTGCAGATGTAGCTGCTCTCCTCTGGTTCCAGGCTTGCAATATGGGAGAGCACAATTGCAGCACCTATTGCTGAGGTGTTTTTCACAGTTCTGGCTGTGGAGGCCCCTACCTTTCTCCAGAGCAGGCATTCCAATCTCTGGCTTGAGACTAAAATGCCTGCACAGTTACGCTGCTGAATTGCCTAAGAATGGTTGCCTTTGTATGCGCCTGGATTAAAAATGGCATCCTACTCTTGGTCCTAGGTCTGAGAAAATGTCTGCAGCTTTGCCCACTGTCTTTCCCTCACAGAGTCTCCAAGTCTCTCCCCAAGTTAGCTCCAGGGCTTGGGAGAAACAAAGTTTCTCCTCGACTGGGTTGCTTGGATCCCCAGTGGAAAGGTGAGTCACAGAGAAGGACTCTCTGCCTCCTCACACACTGGGGCTTCACTCACTTTTATCAGCCAGATGCCATTATAGGGGCTGTCCCCACATTATCCTTCACAGATTCTGAGGTGTCCTTCACAATTATGGTGGATTCCCATTTTCCTTCTTAAATTAAAGCTCACAGAGTTGATCTTTATGTACTATCTTGCTATTTTCAAGTGGTGGAGGCACACTAAAAGCCTCTAATCCACCATCTTGGGAAAAAAACCATACTATCTCTTTTAAAACTCAAAGACAGAATATCTGGATGAATCTGTCCAAATTTCATGTCTGCACATGGTATATTTTCACCAAGTGCTAATGAGCCTTCAGCCATCCCTAATAAGACAGGGTGAGATGTCTTCCAAGAAGTTTATAAGGGAAGATGTCAAAATTTGCATGTGTATGACTATTGTTCAATCATTAATTCTATAAATATTTATTAAGGGCATACTGTGTACCAAGTATTGTTCAGGTGCTGTGGCTGCAGCTGTTAACAAAGCAGATGACAAAAATTCTGGCCCTAAGAGAGCCCATCTTCTTGCTTTGTGGAGAACTACCACTCTATAGGCTTGATTAAAAGTAGAACCTTAAAAATTATTCTTCTATCCCTGACCTTCTACAATCTCTTCTAAGAATTAACAACCAAAGAAAATAATGTCAGAAATTTATGTAAAATGTTAATTGCAGCATTTATAATGACATTCTCTAGAAAAAATATAAATATTAGGGCCGGGCACAGTGGCTCATGCCTGTAATCCCAGCATTTTGGGAGGCCGAGGCAGGTGGATCACCTGAGGTCAGGAGTTCGAGACCAGCCTGACCAACATAGAGAAACCCCATCTCTACTAAAAATACAAAATTAGCCAGGCATGGTGGCACATGCCTGTAATCCCAACTACTCAGCGGGGCTGAGGCAGGAGAATCACTTGAACCCGGGAGGCGGAGGTTGTGGTGAGCCAAGATTGTGCCATTGCACTCCAGCCTGGACAAAAAGAGTGAAACTCCATCTCAAAAAAAAATTTAATGGTAGGGGAATAATTAAATAACTAGTGATATACACATTTGATGAAATATTAGGTAATTATGTAAAAATTAAATAAAAATTGTAAGACCATAGGATAGATAATTTAAAATGCCAGATTGTTTTCTAGTAAGGTTGAACCAAGTTATTTGTCTAGCAGTGGTGTTTGAGAGTATCCATGTAACCTTAACATTGTTGCAGTGAGTACTTTAAAAAAACAGGACATGGTATAATCCTATGTGTGTGTGACATAATTAGATGGCAAAGCCAGTTTGGATGGCAGAAATGGTATTTCACTTTAATTTATAAATATTTGATTATTTGTCAACAGTTTTTTAAGGGAATTTGGATAAAATTAGGGTTTGATTTATTGAGAGCATACCTGGTTAGTGAGGTTTTGGTATTAAGAAGTTTACTAATTGTGCCACAATATGGTTTACAAAAGATACTTTAAATTTTTACTTTAAAATTCTTGAAAGTTTTAAAGTATTCTTTAGGTTTACTGGGAAAGTCACTAGCTTACTTTAAATACTTTCAATTTGAAGACGTTCACATCCAAACTAACTTGAACGGTAAGTATTCGTTATTCTCTACCCATATTTCTTTGTTGTTTAAAAAGTCTGTTATTAGCTAGGGCATTGGTTGTTGCATTGTTTATTTTGCTTATTATTTTAGATATTTAAAAATACATATTTCTTGCATATTTGAGTACTATATATTTAACTGCTCTATTCTTCCTGTTCTTGGGAGCATCTGCTTCTATAACTTTTGACATTAAATTTTGGATTGGATGAATAAAAACTAAAACTAATAAGCTAGGCCAAAAGAAAATTGTTAAGTGTATAGCTAAGAAATGAAAAGCATTCACCATCTGTTACTAAATTGTTTTTCTAAAATATAATGACAGGATGTAGAAACATACTACATTATTGAGTTCAAGCACTGAGTCTGGGCATAGCTTCTTGACTTCCCAACTCAGTCATTTGCCAGGAGCTTGAGTAGCAACATAATTTGAAAAAGCAGAGGGCGGGGGAAGGGGAATCTGTTCAGAGGGAGAAAAAGGCAGATAGCTCCAGCAAATGCAGAGTTGGGAGTTAGTATAACACATTTGGGAGGTAGAAGAGATGGATACCAGGAAGGGTGTTGGTACTGAAAAAAGATGAGGGAAATCTGGGTAGAAAAGGTGGAACCAGATGACAGGGGCCATAGACATGCTGAAGAGCTTGAAGTTCTTTCTGTAGGTGATTGGTAGCAATAGAAGCATAAGTTTAGATATAATGAATATAATATAATGAATATAATATAATGAATAAAATATAAACATGTTTTATTGGTGGTCTTGGTTTTATTTATAGCTAGACTGTGAAGGGTCCTTCCTTTAATATCTGGGTTACTCCCTTCCTCTCTAGACCACTTACATTTTTTCTAATTAGTCTAAGCAAAGCAAACAGAATGAGTCCAAGCACCATTCACTTAAGCAAAAGAAGATTTAATGCTTAAAAAAATCCTGTTATAACCCCAAACGTTAGAGAGTCAGAGGTCAGCAAAGAAGAGTTCTAGTTTGTGGTGTCTTTGGTGGATCATCACAGTGATGAAGGCATCAGTGTCTGAGCCTTCATCACACTAGTCTTGTATGATCCTCGATTAACTGGCATTCATCCTCAAGATGAAGATAATTCAAAAACTATTGAATTATACACTTTATTTATTTATTTTGAGGTGGAGTCTCACTGTGGCTCTGTCACCTAGGCTGGAGTGCAGTGGTGCGATCTCAGCTCGCTGCAACCTCTGCCTCCTGGGTTCAAGTGATTCTTCTGCCTCAGCCTCCCAAGTTGCTGGGACTACAGGCATGTACCACCTCACCCAACTAATTTTTGTATTTTTAGTAGGACAGGGTTTCACCATATTGGCCAGGCTGGTCTAGAACTGCTGACCTCAAGTGATCCACCTGCCTTGGCCTCCCAAAGTTCTGGGATTACAGGCATGAGCCACTGTGCTTGGCTGAATTATACACTTTAAATGGCTGAATTGTATCTCAATAAAGCTGGTGTGTGTGTGTGTGTGTGTGTGTGTCTGTGTGTGTATTAAATAAGACTCAGAGGGAAGGAAGAAATAAGGGAAGAAAGAGAAAAGATAGAAAATAAAGAAAGGAGGAAAAGAAAAAAAGAAGGAAAGAGAGAAGAAAAAGAATCCAGTGGGAAGGCCATTACAACAGGAACAAAGAGGAAAAGATGGCAGTGATAAAAAACATACAAAGAAACCAGTGGATTCAGTGCCCAGTAGTGTTCAATTCTCTGTTTCTAGGAGAATGATGTTAATTGATAGAATTAGGGAATGTTTCAAAAGAAAGCTTGTTTGAGTAGAAAAGCTAATGGTTTTAATTTTGAATAAGATAATAACAAGCAAGGGGAGTCATCCTGTTGGGAGCTGAAAATGTGTGAATAAGCATGGGTGAAAAGTTGGCCATGGAGATAGGAATATGTGCCTTATTAGCAAGGTGATGGTGGGTTAAATCATCGTAGTCAGACTGGCTGAATAGAGAACACAGAGTGGAAAGCTCAAAGGTCAAGGACATGCACCTTGAGGAATAAACACTGTCAGGCAGTGGGAGTACAAGCCAGCAGAGAAGGAAGGCAGAGAAATAGGTGAAGGCAAAGTGTCAAGAAATCCAAGAGAGAATTTCAAGGAAAGGGATGATTGACTTTATTAAATGCTGCAGAAAATTAGGGAGAAAGAATTGAGGAAAGTCCATCGCATTTTGTGAGCAGGAGTCGATTATGATATTTCAGAATGTGTTTTGTAGAGTGGCAAGTATGCCAACTAGTTGTTATCCTTTTTCTGTGAGCTGGATCCTTGCCGCTAGAATTTAAATGCATGCCAGTAGCTTCTGAATTGAAAAGTCACACATTGACCTCCATCTCTCCATAGCTACTTCTCTGCCTCTCCCTTCACTGCCAAATTTTTCTGAATTTACACTTGTCTCTACCTCTTCACCTAATATTCACTCCCCAGTCAGGTATTCTCTGATTTCTGTACTGACACTTCACTGAATCTGCTGGAGCCAGGGTCACCAATTGTCCTTGTCAGTTTGGGCTACTTATAATAAAGATGCCATAGATGGGTGGCTTAATCAACAGACATTTATTTCTCACTGTGCTAGAGACTGGGAGTCCAAGATCAGGGTGCCAGCACAGTTTGGTTCTTGGTGAAGGCCGATTTCTGGATTGTAGACAGTTATCTTGCTGAATCTTCATATGGCAGATAGAGGGGGAGGGAGAAGGAGGGAAAGAGGGAGGGAGGGAGAGAGAGAGAGGGAGAGAGAGAATCTCTCACATCTCTTCTTATAAGGACACTAATCTATTTATGAGAGCTGTGTCCTCATGACCTAGTTACCTCCCAAAGTCCCACCTTCGAATCATTATTTTGGGGATTAGAGCTGCAACATATGAATTTCTGGGGACACTTTCACTCTATAGCACCAATGATCATTTTGTTGCTAAATGCAATAAATAGTTGTATTAGTTCGTATACACACTGCTGATAAAGACATACACGAGACTGGGTAATTTATAAAGAAAAAGAGGTTTAATGGACTCACAGTTCCACATGGCTAGGGAGGCTTCACAATCATGGTGGAAGGTGAAAGACACGTCTTACATGGCAACCAACAAGAGAGAAGTGAGAACCAAGTGAAAGGGGTTTCCTCTTATAAAACCATCTGATCTCATGAGACTTATTCACCATCATGAGAAAAGTATGGGAGAACGGCTCCCATGATTCAATTATCTCCCACCGGATGCCTCCCACAACATATGGGAATTATGGGAACTACAATTCAAGATGAGATTTGAGTGAGGACCACAAGCCAAAGGGGAACAGCATGGCACGGTGTCACCATTGCCATGGGAAGAGAAGAATGGACTGGCAGACTGACAGAAGTGGCAGAGATACCTTCTGCTTCTGTCTTTCAGGGGTGCCTCTGTTTCTCTTTGCAAGTCAATGTTTTTCTTAGTTCTGACCTTGCATCACTTCTCTTCTTATTTACAAATATTTCCAAGGCGATCTCAACTAGTTCAGTTGCTTCATTGACCACCAATAAGCTGATGACTCCCAAATCTCTATAGTCAATCCAGATAGCTCTGTTAAGCTACAGATGCTGAAATGTTGATTAAGGGATTATATTGTTGGAAAGGTGCTAGGCAAGGGTCTTACTGGGATGAAATGTGCTATTTTGGCTAAAATATTTATCTATTTTAATGTGTGCATATATTTAAACTGGTGTTATCTAAAATCCATGATAATCACATGAGACAGTTCTAAAGGCCCTGGGAATATCTTTAATTTATACCAGTAACACATAAATACATTCTTGCTGCAAATCCTCCCCACTCCAATTCAACACAGTTTGCCAACAGTAAGCAACATGGGGAGTTGGATGTGTATTCTTCACAGATTTTTGTATACATGTCCATCTATTCCATATGTACATATTGAATTATATCATTTGGTTTGTATTTTTCCCCACAGTGTGCATTTTAAACAGTTATGACTAGCTAAGGAAGAGGACCAGAGGCATTGGCTGCAGGTGGGATCCTGATAGGTGTGGAGAGGAGAAGGAATTTTTTTTTCCTTTTCTTTTATACTGAAGGAGGGGGTCAGAGGAAAGTTGTCAAAGAAATGCCCTGTGGGGAAGACAGTAAGTGAAGGAGCTCATGCTGAGGGCTTCTTTTGGATACCAGATAACTGTTGAGACTGGGGACTTGATGGGAGGGGAAGAGAAGTGAGAATCATTGTGTGGAGTAAAGTACAGAAGGAGCGAACAATTGGTGCTTAGCAGGAGCCCTACCTTCCTCCTCTCTGTAGTTAGAAAATGTCAACCTGTGGAGGTAAAAGGTATTCTTGGTATTTTGTTTTTCTGGTATCTAAGAACAGGAACAGAAAAAGCAGACTGTGAGGCCAAACATGGTGGCTCACGCCTGTAATCCCAGCACTTTGGGAGGCCAAGGTGGGAGGATCGCTTGAGACCAGGAGTTCAAGGCCAGTCTGGGCAACACAAGGAGACCCCGTCTGTACAAAAAATAAATTTAGCCAGGCATGGTGGCATGCACCTGTAGTCCCAGCTACTTGGGAGGCTGAGATGGGAGGATCCCTTGAGCCCAGGAGACTGAGGCTGCAGTGAGCTGAGATTGCACCACTGCATTCCAGCCTGGATGACAGAGTGAGACCCTGTCTCAAAAATAAATAAATAAATAAATAAAAAATAAAATACACCATGAGAATGAGCCAGTTGGGAATTAGCATAGCAGGCATTGGCATTGTAATACTTACACCCAAGGAGCATAGACACTTAAGCTGGTGGAATGAAATACACTTGGACAGGGGCTTAAATATGGAGGGAAGTAGAAACTTGATGAAGGGGAAGAAAACCAGGTTCGCTGTGTACAACAGTGTGAGAAAGATGGCGACATCTGTGAGGGCAGGATTAGCTGTGTCTTGGTTATTGCTACACCCTCGTGCAGAGCACACAGTTGCAGTCCAAATTGCTGGTCAAACAGATGAATGCGAACAGGCGGGCAACTGCTATTTCACTGGGAGAATTCTGAGTTGTTAGATGTGTTTTAGGGCCGTGTGATGACGGAGTCCAGAATGTGGACCATCTGGGGATTGCAAGAGGTGGGAAACAATGAAATTCAGTGGAGTCAAAAAGATTAAGGGGATGAGATTAAGGAGTTATATGGTTCATTACCAGATAACCAGAATTGCAAAGGGTATTAACAGGAATATGAACGTGGGGCAAAGAATAATATCCAAATGCCAGCAGAAGTAAATGTCTTGAAGGGATAAATGTTGGTAGAGATTATTTGGAAGTGATGGTAAAAGTGATATCATGGCCTTCAAATGAGGAGGTGTAGAAAGGGCTGTGGGTAAATGCATCAGACTCAGCTCTGGGTCACTGAGGCTACAGAAGTGAGACCATTCTGAAAAGGAAGTTCCCATCCCACTTGTTAGTGGGTATGCAGCTACAAGTCAGACCTGCTAGGTTACTGGGAGCCCTAGATCTTTTCTCCACTTCCCTAAGATAGATCAGGCTTGGCCATTTGTGGGAGACACTGATCTTACTCCTATCCCAAATTATGCGGCTAAGCCTTCCCCTCTGGTCTGGGAAATTCCTTTTCAATGAGGGGTAGGGACCATGGAGAGGACCAGGGTGAAGACAGATTGGAAAGACACACTGGTGGACAATGGAATGGAGGCAGGGAAGAATACGTCAGCTTTTGATGAAGGAAAATATTTGAGACAGAGAGATAATCTTTGGCCTCTTGAATATGTAAACATAAATCATAAATTTGCTTTCAAAAGCCAAACTCAAAATAATTTATCATAGACTTTTCAAGTGAAATAAACTTTACCTGCTTTTCAAATCACTGTCAAATTTATATACCTACATCATATCATATATTTTTAAAATTACAGTGATTCAAGAAATCCTCCAAATTATTATGTGGGGGATGCTAATAAATACTTTATCAGACAGAAAGCAAAAAGGAAATGGAAACAATTCAAAATTGGGTTTGATACTCTGAGATAAAACCAACATTGACTAATGATGAAAACATTTTTGATGCAATTGGTTTCAAACCATAACGTTATTTAAACTCTCAATTACTATCCATAAAAACAAGGCAAAAAATGACAATCTACTCATTTTCAGCCAGTATGGAATCAGTCCTCACGAATTCCAGCAAAGGTTCCCCACCATGCTCAACCTGGGGTACAATTTACCAGTTTCTATTTCTGGTTGCTGACTCTCTCAGCTTGATATTTTTCTGCCTATAGTGTCTCAATTCCTGCCTCCTCCTATGTAGAAGTTATAGGATTTGACTGAGCTGTTTGCACTTGCGGGGTAAGTTTTTCTTGAAACATATTTATGAGCATGAATTCTGTAATCAGTAGAGCTCCTAACATTTGCCTTTGCACACCGTGCCAGCAGCTTCCAAACTTTGCTGCACATTCCACATTGGAATCTCCTGGTGCTCTTGGAAGTATACTCATGGTCAGCTCCGGCTCTCAGATACCTTGATTTAATAGGTAGGGGATATAGCCTGAACACTAGGATTTTAAAAATTCCCCAGATGATTCTCATGTGCAGCAAAATTTAGTCACTACTGTGCTATGTAATCATTTAAGGAATTTAAGCAGCCTGTGAAGGAAGAGAATTAACCCATGTGAGTCACTAGGACTGGGAGAATATAACTATCAAATTACACAGTAGCCTGTAAAAGCAAGTGGTAAGAGATGGGCCAATGACACCATTTAAACAATTTTTACTACAACTGTTTTCAGTTCTTAATGTATTAAATCCCATTATTCTTAGCTCTGGGCTAAACATTTTCTCTTTCTTCTTGGCATTCATATCTTTTACATATTTTTGTACCATTATCTCTTCATTCTGTCATCTCTTGGCAGGTTCTGCATATTTAATTTCTTTTTTTTAAATGAATGAATCCCTGAAGGCTCCTATTTATATGCTTTGCTAGACCTACTCTTTTCAGGTGTCTTGTGTCCCCAGTTTGAACATTGCATAGGACTAGATGGTCTCAGCAGGCAGTCTTTTGCCTCTATACCTAGTCCAAATCAGCGCTGACCTGTTTTTCACTTACGTCGTTGGAAACAAATCTCAAACTTGTTGTTCATTATCATTCAAAGATCTTACCCTGTTTCTCCATTGTTTTTCCTCCTTGCCATTTGTTGCTTTCCAGGCTTCTCTATTATTGAATAACTATGCAGAAAAGAATTTCCCCAGAGGTATTGGATTGCATTTTTTCCAGATTTAAAAATGTCCATGTTTATTAATGAACAATGTGGGCAGTCTGTGTCTGGGTTGGCCTGTTTTTGTAGCACTCCCTATTGCCTTGCCAGGATACTATTTGAAATATGACTTAATATTCCTTGAACTTCCTTTTGGAAACTGTTAATATATTAAATAATATCAGGCAGGGCATGGTGGCTCACACCTGTAATCTCAACACGCTGGGAGGCCAAGGTGAGCGGATTGCTTGAGTCCAGGAGTTTGAGATCAGCCTGGGCAACATAGCGAAATCCTGTCTCTACTAAAAATATAAAAAATTAGCCGGGCGTGGTGGCATGCACCTGTAATCCCAGCTATTTGGGAGGCTGAGGTGGGGCCATCACCTGAGCCCAGGAGGTCAAGGCTGCAGTGAGCTGTGATTGCACCACTGCACTCCAGCCTGGGCAACCAGAGTGAAACCCTCTATGTCTCAAAAAAATAAAAATAAATAAAAATAAAAAATAATGTCAGAACCAAAGCAACTATAGCCCATATCACAATTGCCTTAAATTGATAGAATTAAGGTTTCTTTATTTTTTCACACACAATTCTACCCAATGCCTGCATTTTCTTTTCTTACCTTTTCTGATTATAAAAATAGCATATTATAATTAAGACAAATTGGAAATTACAGAATTTTTTTCTATAAAAATCAAATTTATTTTTCAGCATGTTTTTAATTTAATTTAATTTTTTTTTTTGAGACAGAGTCTTGCTCTGTCACCCAGGCTAGAGTGCAGTGACACTATCTCAGCTCACTGCAGCCTCAAACTCCCTGGCTCAAGCAATCCTCCTGCTTTAGCCTCCCTCCCAAAGTGTTGGGATTACAGTTATAAGCTACTGGGTGAAACCTGTATTTTTGTTTTGATGAAGTCTTTGATGAAGTATGCACCAATGTGGATATATACATAAAGACTGTTCACCCACTTATTCAGCATATTTTCAGTGATTACAACAGTAGTTATTTGCTTTTTATTTTCTATTTTCTTAAATTATACTTCTGTATAAATATCACTTATACTTTTAAATTATTTTGAATTGAATATGATTTTTTGTGTTGATCTAATACATTTAAATTAGACTTTTCTGGAAAGTGCAATGTCTCTATAGAATTTACCAAGCTTACAGAAATTTATAGCAAAATTTCCTTTTAAACTGATGACATTGATTCTCTGTACTTAGTAGAAAAATATAAGCTGTCAACAATATAATTTCATCAAAGTACTCAGTATAAACAGGTTTAAGTGGTTGTAGTATGAACTTTTGAAAATGATTTTAATTTTATCATAAAAAGTTTAAATATATGTGTAGAAAAAACTATACCCAATATACCAAAATATTGACAGTAGCTACTTCAGCATAATTATAGGCAATTTCCCTCTTGATTTAAAAAAATGTGTTTTTTTTTGTTTTTTTTTTTTTTTGAGACAGAGTCTCGTTCTTTCACCCAGGCCGGAGTGCAGTGGCACGATCTTGGCTCACTGAAACCTCCGCCTCCCGGGTCCACACCATTCTCCCGCCTAAGCCTTCTGAGTAGCTGTGACTACAGGTGCCCACGACCAAGCCCAGCTAATTTTTTGTATTTTTAGTAGAGACGGGGTTTCACCGTGTTAGCCAGGATGGTCTCGATCTCCTGACCTCGTGATCCGCCCACCTCGGCCTCCCAAAGTGCTGGGATTACAGGCGTGAGCCACCACGCCTGGCCAAAAAATGTGTGTTTTTTTTTTTTTTAAAAGAACCAGGATACAATCAAGTATGGCCATTAGGTTGTTATGTTTCTTTAGTCTCTTTTCATGACATTGACATTTAAAAAGACCAGTCTTATATAATACCCTATATTCTGGTGGGTGACTATTTCCTCAAGGTGACATATACCTTGTTTTTCTGCTCCCTGAATTTCCTATCAATGAAGTTAGATAAAAGACCTTGTTTACATTTAGAATAATGTTTTTGGCAAGACCACTTCATAGATGATGCCTGAAGCAATCCTCCTGCATTGGCTTCCTAAAGTGTTGGGATTACAGGTGTGAGCTACCTCCCCTGACCTATACTTCTTTTTAATTAGTACACTAGAGTTAGCATTTTCTCATGCTTGGGAAATACTGACTCATACTGATTTGTAATTTTCTTATTTAATGACTACATACAGTTTTTCCAATAGTGTTGCATCAAAATTTTCTTTACTGTTCTTTTCTAGTAAATATTTAGAATGTTTTCAGTTGGTCAATGTCACAAATAATGTTCTAGAACATTTTGTGACTGAATCTTTAAGTGTTGAATTACTTTCACTGGATAGAATCTTTCTGTTTTCTTAAAATTCCAATTAAGCATATAACTACATAAAGTACCCTGGTTAGTGACTGGCTTATAGACATATAATAGGCTTTAATTAAATGCTAGCTTCTTTTTCTTTATATCTAATGCCCATCTAGTGCCATAGTTTGCCTCATGCTACCTTATATTTTACTTCACTTTTTAATGTATATGCTCTTTTTTTTCAGCAGCCTTAAAAGCTCTTTGAGTTCAGATACTGTGTTTTCCCTACAGCATTGATATGGTTTGACTCTGTGTCCCCACTCAAATCTTATCTTGAATTGTAATCCCCATGATTCTCATATGTCATGGGAGGAACCTGGTGGGAGGTGATTGGATTATGGAGGTGGTTCTCCTATGCTGTTCTTGTGGTAGAGTTCTCACGAGATCTAATAGTTTTATATGTGTTTGGCAAGTTCCTCCTTCCCTCGTCTCTTTTCTCTCCTGCCGCCAGGCAAAGAAGGTCCTTGCTTCCCCTTTGCCTTCTGCCATGATTGTTAGTTTCCTGAGGTCTCCCCAGCCATGTGGAACTGTGAGTTAATTAAACCTGTTTCACTTATTAATTACCTAGTCTTGGGTATTTCTTTATAGCAGTGTGATGGACTAATAAAAGCATGTATTATGTTTTACTCATCATAGACACTACAGAAATGTTTGTTGGTGATAGTGATTTAGTGATATTTAACTTTGTTGTGGCAAATTTAGTAGCTTTAAAATGAGTTTTAAAGTGATTAGGCCCAGGTGCAGTGGCTCACATCTGTAATCCTAGCACTTTGGGAGGCCAAGACAGGTGGATCACTTGAGCTCAGGAGTTCAAGACCAGCGTAGGCAACATGGCGAAACCCTGTCTCTATTTAAAAAAAAAAAATAAAGTGATTAGAACCACCTCTGATTTGGGGGGCTCATGTCTAATGGAAGGCTTGCTTAGGTCTGTTCCTCCTGTTAAAAGGCTTCATCATTTTGTATGTATACAGTGACAATGGGGAGGATGCTACTAATGTGTTTCTTAAATCAGTTCCATGTCCTGGATAAGATATTGTTAACTTTGGTGGTCATAATTCTTTTATTTTAATCACAATCTACCATATATTTTGTGGTATGCTGGTGAGAGGCCCTTGGTGTGGACCAATTAGTAAGTAATATGGCTGGATGTCACCCTCCATAACGTGGCAGTATCTTCTCTTGGGAAGATTTCATTGACAGATGAGTCTGCACAAAAGTGGTTAACATGCATATTGGGACAGCCAAATTAGGGGATGTAAAATCTTTATTAATCTAGAACAGTTATTATTTATTTGATATTGATAGACATTAATGATACCCTAAAACAAATACTTTAAAAACTTTTTTTTTATTTTTAATTTTTTGTAGAGATGGGATCTCTCTATGTTGCCCAGGCTGGTCTCAAACTCCTGGGCTCAAGCGAACTTCCTGCCTCAGCCTCCCAAAGTGCTGGGTTACAGGCATGAGCCACCATGCCCAGCTCCAAACAACTACTTTTTAATGCCTTATTTTTATGAAAGGAGGGTGGACCAGTGGTAAATCTTTCTCTTTGAAGGTCCTTTGGTATTACTTCAATTGAATTAAAGTTGATATTTAATACAATATTATTACTTATAATCTATTAAATAATTTTTCTTGGTTTTAGTTCACATCTTTACAGTCTACAATTTACAGTTTTTAAAATACTTCTTTTAGTTTGAAACATTTTATATTCAGAAATGTTTAGACCAAAAATTACAAATTGTCTTTGAAATTAAAACTGACAATCATTCTTCTCCGTGAGCAAACTATATTTTTGTTGCATAGACCATAGAATAAACTTTGAAATGGATGATTATATTTTATTTTTTAAATTATTTTAGAATGGAAGATAATTTTTTAAAAATATACTTAATCTATATTGATAACAGGAATCATGTTATTAATAAATAGAACTACAAATAAATGCTCAATAAATGTTTCTTGAGTAAATGAATGAAGTTTTTCTCTGCTGATATTGGTAAGGCCTAATGAAAGAACAAGCACACGGTCTATGAATAACATAAAATATTTTGCAGTCTTTAGAATAGAGGATTATAATACCTCCTTTTAACTTTAAAGAAGCATTTAATCTGCCTTTTGGGCCTACAGGATGAATATTGTCATTTTTCTTTTCAAGATGAGAAGTGTTCACAAAACTTCCCCCTCTCTGCCCCCATCGTGGAAAAACTCGTCAAAGCGAATTAACCCTCAGTATTTTCAGTGTTATAAGCATTAGCCCCACTCACCATCATAACATCTTTATAAAATAAGTATTATTATTTTTTGCACATAGGTAGATAAATTGAGGGACCATGTCTCAATATGAATGTATTGACTTATTTAGTGTCATAAGAGTTTTCTCATTCTTATATTCTTATATTAGGTACACAGAATCCATGCATAATTTGATGGAATGCTGTTTTTCATTATTATTAATTGTAGTTAGTACAAACCAGTTTCTCATTCTGCAAAATACCAAAAGATCTTAGAAAGTAAATCAAGTATCTTCCAATGGACAAATGCTTTAATTAACTGGGGGAAATAATACAATGAAATAGAAAGACTAAGCACTAAATTGCATCCCTTCCTGTATTTGTACTTACCTCCAACTACCTTGTCATTATCAAGTTCATTTCAAACTCCTGTATTAGTGGCCTAGGATTATTACTTTTGTACCATTCTCTCAGACCTTCCCACATACATGTTTCTATTTGATTTGACAAACTCCTAGAAGTTGCTCTGGGACCACATCTCTCACACATTTTATAAAGTTCATTCGTTCCTTCCCTTCTAGTACTCCACTTGATCTCCATAAGACGAAGTGACCCTATGTACATCTAAATACATACATGCAAAGTCATGCGTCAGTTTTTATTTCTATCTCAAAATCCATATGTATCCCCAGCCTGGCTTGAGGAGAGAATGTGGCAGTGATTTCTGGAGGGGAACTAGATAGGTTGGACAGATGGCAGTGCTAGGGTGCATTTAAATTTTGTTTTCTTCTGGTATGTTTTTACCGCCAGCACTCCACCTCATCCTAGAAACTCTTCAGTTTAGAAAATCTTCCCAGGCCTGGTTAAAAACTTCAAGCAAGCCACCTGAAAAAGATCACAAGCTGAAAAAAGATAAGGTGTATGTAAAGTAAGTGCAGAGTGTATACGTGGAAATGAGAATGTGTCAAGGACAAATTCTAAGCTCTATTCTGAAGGCAGATTTCATTTCCTGTGAATTATACTCTTTCTATTCCCTTTACTTCATGCTACCTGGGGCACTTGAGTTAGGACAGAAAACAATAAAATTAATTACTCTAAAATTTTACAGCATTACTAGTATATTATTTGTTTTTATAACCTCTGTGATGTTGTTAATGTGACTCCCATTTTACAGCTGAGAAAAGTGGAGTTCAAAGAAGTTAAGCGATTCATAGAATCAGTAAGTGGTGGAACTTGGACTTAACCCAGGGCTTTTTGACTCTATTTCTGTGCTTTCTTTAGTAAGTCATAATAGGAAGACAATAACACAGTATTTGGGAATTGCCAAAAATGAACATATGAAAAAAGACCTTATTTGGAATTTCAAAAGTTATTCTAACAACATTACGTACAGCATCATTATTTGGGTAGGAAATTGTAGAGAAATAGAATGCCAAACTTTCTTCTAGCTCACTAGATTGTTACAAGGCAACCCTGTAAAAGGCTATGCTTCATTGGTTTCAGAAATGACAACCACAACAATAAGAATGGAGACCCATAAAATTCACAGGAAGTACCTAAAATAAATCTAAATGAAAAACATATAAAAATGAAAACAATAGATCTATGTAAAAGAAAACATGTTAAAGAATCAAAGTGAGGAAAATAAAAAACTTCAATCTCAGCTGCAGCAATAAAAAGCAAACAGCTAAAATATGAACTCCCTTTTATTACAGTATAACTGCCAAGCAACCAAAGAGAGGAGCAGCCCATGCATGACAAGGGATTATAGGCAGTGACTCTGTGTATTATATGAAGAATTTCTCTATAGATTCCAAAACGTATTCTTTATTTGGAGTAGGAAATATTTCAATATTTTAACAAATTCAGTTATAATTAAAATAAGTCTATTTGGACTTCTTCTCTAGAATAATTTCTGCCTAATTCTCACCTAATATTATCAGCCCATTCATCACATATTAGAAGGCAAAAAAAAGGTAATGGAAAATAATGTGTTTGTTCAATTCAGTTTATTAAAAATGCTTTTTATGTCAGTTTAAAAAACCTGGGGTAGTGGCAAGATGGCCAAATAGGAACAGCTCCGGTCTGCATCTCCCAGCAAGATCAATGCAGAAGGCGGGTGATTTCTGCATTTCCAACTGGGGTACCCAGCTCATCTCATTGGGACTGTTTAGACAGTGGGTGCAGCCCACAGAGAGCAAGCAGAAGCAGGGTGGGGTGCTGCCTCACCCAGGAAGCGTAAGGGGTCAGGGAACTCCCTTCCCTAGCCAAGGAAACTTGTGTCCGGAATTGGTGGGTTCTTGGTCTCACTGACTTCAAGAATGAAGCTGCGGACCCTTGCGGTGAGTGTTACAGTTCTTAAAGGTGGCGTGTCCAGAGTTTGTTCCTTCTGATGCTCGGATGTGTTCAGAGTTTCTTCCTTCTGGTGGGTTTGTGATCTCACTGGCTTCAGGAGTGAAGCTGCAGACCTTCACAGTGAATGTTACAGCTCATAAGGCTGCGTGTCTGGAGTTGTTCATTCCTCTTGATGGGTTCGTGGTCTTGCTGGCCTCAGAAGTGAAGCTGCAGACCTTCGCAGTGAGTGTTACACCTTGTAAAGGCAGTGTGGACCCATAGAGTGAGCAGCAGCAAGATTTATTGCAAAGAGTGAAAGAACAAAGCTTCCACAGTGAGGAAGGGGACCCGAGCAGGTTGCCACTGCTGGCTCGGGCAGACTGCTTTTATTTGCTTATCTGGCCCCACCCACATCCTGCTGATTGGTCCATTTTACAGAGAGCTGATTGGTCTGTTTTACAGAGAGCTGATTGGTCCATTTTGACAGGGTGATAATTGGTGCATTTACAATCCCTGAGCTAGACACAAAAGTTCTCCAAGTCCCCACTAGATTAGCTAGACACAGAGCACTGATTGGTGCATTTACAAACCTTGAGCTAGACACAGGGTGCTGATTGGTGTGTTTACAAACCTTGAGCTAGACACAGAGTGCTGACTGGTGTATTTACAATCCCTTAGCTAGACATAAAGGTTCTCCAAGTCCCCACCAGATTAGCTAGATACAGAGTGCTGATGGGTGCATTTACAAACCTTGAGCTAGACACAGAGTGCTGACTGGTGTATCTACAATCCCTTAGGTAGACATAAAGGTTCTCCAAGTCCCCACTAGACTCAGGAGCCCAGCTGGCTTCACCTAGTGGATCCTGCACCAGGGCCGCAGGCGGAGCTGCCTGCCAGTCCCACGCCATGCGCCCGCACTCCTCAGCCCTTGGGCGGTCGATGGGACCACAGAGCAGGGGGCAGCACTCATTGGGGAGGCTTGGGCCACACAGGAGCCCACGGCAGCAGGGGGAGGCTCAGGCATGGTGGGCTGCAGGTCCCGAGCCCGGCCCCACGGGGAGGCAGCTGAGGCCCGGCAAGAATTTGAGCGCAGCACCGGTGGGCCGGCACTAATGGGGGGACCCGGCGCACCCTCTGCAGCTGCTGGCCCGGGTGCTAAGCCCCTCACTGCCCAGGGCCAGCAGTGCCAGCCAGCCGGCCGCTCCAAGTATGGGGCCTGCTGAGCCCACGCCCACCCGGAACTTGAGCTGGCCTGCAAGTGCCACGTGCAGCACCAGTTCCTGCCTGCGCCTCTCCCTCCACACCTCCCCGCAAGCTGAGGGAGTTGGCTCCGGCCTCAGCCAGCCCAGAAAGGGGCTCCCACAGTGCAGCGGCAGGCTGAAGGGCTCCTCAAGCGCAGCCCTATGTTGGGCACCCAGGCTGAGGAGGCACCAAGAGTGAGCGAGGGCTGCGAGGGCTGCCAGCATGCTGTCACCTCTCATAGCCATGAGGGACTGTGCCATGAGGAATGGTGCATTCCGGACCAGATACTACGCTTTTCCCACAGTCTTCACAACCACAGATGGGGAGATTCCCTCGGGGCCTGCACCACAAGGGCCCTGTGTTTCAAACACAAAACTGGGCGGCCATTGGGGAGATACCAAGCTAGCTGCAGGAGTTTTATTTTCATACCCCAGTGGTGCCTGGAATGCCAGCAAGACAGAACCATTCACTCCTCTGGAAAGGGGGCTGAAGCCAGGGAGCCAAGTGGTCTATCTCAGCGGAGAGCCCGGAAAGCTGAGATCCACTGGCTTGAAATTCTTGCTGCCAGCACAGCGTCTGAAGTTGACCTGGGATGCTCCAGCTTGGTGGGGGGAGAGGCGTCTGCCATTTTGGAGGCTTGAGTAGGCGGTTTTCCCCTCACAGTGTAAACAGAGCCTCCTGGAAGTTCGGACTGGGTGGGGCCCACCGCAGCACCACAAAGCCACTGTAGCCAGACGACCTCTCTAGATTCCTCCTCTCTGGGCAGGGCAATTCTGAAAGAAAGGCAGCAGCCCCAGTCAGGGGCTTACAGATAAAACTCCCATCTCCCTGGGACAGAGCACCTGGGAGAAGGGGCGGTTATGGGCACAGCTTGAGCAGACTTAAATGTCCCTGCCTGCTGGCTCTGAAGAGAGCAGCGGATCTCCCAGCACAGCACTCGAGCTCTGCTAAGGGACAGAGTGCCTCCTCAAGTGGGTCCCTGACCCCCATGCTTCCTGACTGGGAGATACCTCCCAGAAGGGGTCGACAGACACCTCATGCAGGAGAGCTCTGGCTGGCATCTGGTGGGTGCTTCTCTGGGACGAAGCTTCCAGAGGAAGGAACAGGCAGCAATTGTTCCTGTTCTGCAGGCTCTGGTGGTGATACCCAAGCAAACAGGGTCTGGAGTGGACCTCCAGAAAACTCCAGTAGATCTGCAGCAGAGGGGCCTGACTGTTAGAAGGAAAACTAACAAACAGAAAGGAAAAGCATCAACATCAACAAAAAGGACATCCATTCAGAGACCCCATCTGAAGGTCACCAACATCAAAGACCAAAGGTAGATAAATCCACGAAGATGAGGAAAAACCAGTGCAAAAAGCCTGAAAATTCCAAAAACCAGAATGTCTCTTCTCCTCCAAAGGATCACAATTCCTCACCAGCAAGGGAACAGAACTGGATGGAGAATGAGTTTGACGAATTGACAGAAGTAGGCTTCAGAAGGTGGGTAATAACAAACTCCTCTGAACTAAAGGAGCATGTTCTAACCCAATGCAAGGAATCTAAGAACCTCGAAAAAAGGTTAGAGGAATTGCTAACTAGAATAACCAGTTTAGAGAAGAACATAAATGACCCGATGGAGCTGAAAAACAGCACGAGAACTTCATGAAGCCTACACAAGTATTACTAGCTGAATCAATCAAGCAGAAGAAAGGATATTCCAGACTGAAGGTCAACTTAATGAAATAAAGTGTGAAGACAAGATTAGAAAAAAAAATAATGAAAAAGAACAAACAAAGCCTCCAAGAAATATGGGGCTATGTGAAAAGACCAAACCTATGTTTGACTGGTATACCTGAAAGTTATGGGGAGAATGGAACCAAGTTGGAAAACACACTTCAGGATATTATCCAGGAGAACTTCCCCAACCTAGCAAGACAGGCCAACATTCAAATTCAGGAAACACAGAGAACACCACAAAGATACTCCTTGAGAAGAGGAACCCCAAGACATATAATCATCAGATCACCAAGGTTGAAATGAAGGAAAAAATGTTAAGGGCAGCCAGAGAGAAAGGTCAGGTTACCCACAAAGGCAAGCCCATCAGATTAACAGTAGATCTCTCTGCAAAAACCCTACAAGCCAGAAGAGAGTGAGGGCCAATATTCAGCATTCTTAAAAAAAAGAACTTTTAACCCAGAATTTCATATCCAGCCAAACTAAGCTTCATAAGCAAAGGAGAAATAAAATCGTTTATAGACAAGCAAATGCTGAGAGATTTTGTCACTACCAGGTCTGCCTTACAAGAGCTCCTGAAGGAAGCACTAAATATGGAAATGAAAAACTGGTACCAGCCACTACAAAAACATACCAGATTGTAAAGGCCATCGACACTATAAAGAAACTGCATCAACTAACGGGCAAAATAACCAGCTAGCATCATAATGACAGGATCAAATTCACACATAACAATATTAACCTTAAATGTAAATGGGCTAAAAGCCCCAATTAAAAGACACAGACTAGCACATTGGATAAAGAATCAAGGCCCAGGTCGGGCATGGTGGCTCACGCCTGTAATCCCAGCACTTTGGGAGGTTGAGGTGGGCAGATCACGAGGTCAGGAGATTGAGACCAGCCTGGCTAACATGGTGAAACCCTGTATCTACCAAAAATACAAAAAATTACCCGGGTGTGATGACATGCATCTGTAGTCCCAGCTACTTGGTAGGCTGAGGCAGAGAATTGCTTGAACCTGGGAGGGAGAGGTTGCAGTGAGCCAAGATCGCACCACTGCTCCAGCCTAGGGGAAAGAGCAAGACTCAGTCTCAAAAAAAATAAAAATAAAAAAGAGTCGAGGCCTATTGGTGTGCTGTATTCAGGAGACCCATCTCACGTGCAAAAACACACATATGCTCAAAATAAAGGGATGGAGGATCATCTGCCAAGGAAATGGAAAGAAAAAAAAAGCAGTGGTTGCAATCCTAGTCCCTGATAAAACAGACTTTGAACCAATAAAGATCAAAAAAGACAAAGAAGGGCATTACATAACGGTAAAGGGATCAATACAACAAGAAGAGTTAACTATCCCAAATATATATACAGCCAATACAGAAGCACCCAGATTCATAAAGCAAGTTCTTAGAGACCTACACAGAGACTTAGGCTCCCATACAATAATAGTGGGAGACTTTAACACCCCAATATCAATATTAGATCAACGAGACAGAAAATTAACAAGGATATTCAGGGCTTGAACTCAGCTCTGGACCAAACGAACCTAAAACACATCTACAGAACTCTCCACCCCAAGTCAACAGAATATACATTCTTCTCAGCACCACATTGCACTTATTCTAAAATTGACCACATAATTGGAGGTAAAACACTCCTCAGCAAATGCAAAAGAACAGAAATCATAACAAACAGTCTCTCAGACCACAGTGCAATCAAATTAGAACTCAGAATTAAGAAACTCACTCAAAACTGCACAACTGCATGGAAACTGAACAACCTGCTCCTGAATGACTACTGGGTAAATAACAAAATGAAGGCAGGAATAAATAAGTTCTTTGAAACCAATGAGAACAAAGACACAACATACCAGAGTCTCTGGGACACAGCTAAAACAGTGTTTAAAGGGAAATTTATAGCACTAAATGCCCACAGGAGAAAGCGGGAAAGATCTAAATTCGACACCCTAACATCACAATTAAAAGAACTAGAGAAGCAAGAGCAAACACATTCAAAAACTAGCAGAAGGCAAGAAATAACTAAGATCAGAGCAGAACTGAAGGAGATAGAGACACAAAAAAACCTTCAAAAAATCAATGAATCCAGGAGCTGGTTTTTTGTAAAGATTAACAAAATAGATAGACCAGTAGCCAGACTAATAAAGAAGAAAAGAGAGAAGAATCAAATAGACACAATAAAAAATGATAAAGGGGATAGCACCACTGATCCCACAGTAGTACAAATTACCATCAGAGAATACTATAAACACCTCTATGCAGATAAACTAGAAAATCTAGAAGAAATGGATAAATTCCTGGACACATAAACCTTCCAACACTAAACAAGGAAGAAGTCAAATCCCTGGATGAATCAATAACAAGTTCTGATATTGAGGCAGTAGTTAATAGCCTACCAACCAAAAAAAGCCCAGGACCAGATGGATTCACAGCCAAATTCTCACAGATGTACAAAGAGGAGCTGGTACCATTCCTTCTGAAACTATTCCAAACAATAGAAAAAGAGGGAATCCTCCCTAACTCATTTTATGAGGCCAGCATCATCCTGATACCAAAACCTGGCAGAGACACAACAAAGAAAGAAAATTTCAGGCCATTATTCCTGATGAACATTGATGTGAAAATCCTCAGTAAAATACTGGCAAACCGAATCCAGCAGCACATCAAAAAGCTTATCCACCACAATCAAGTCAGCTTCATCCCTGGGATGCAAGGCTGGTTCAACACACACAAATCAATAAACGTAATCCATCACATAAACAGAACAAATGACAAAAACCACATGATTATCTCATAGATGAAGTAAGAACCTTTGATAACATTCAACAACCCTTCATGCTAAAAACTCTCAGTAAATTAGGTATTGATGGAACATATCTCAAAATAATAAGAGCTGTTTATGACAAACCCACAGCCAATATCATTCTGAATGGGCAAAAACTGGAAGTATTTCCTTTGACAAGACAAGGATGCCCTCTCTCACCGCTCATATTCAACATAGTATTGGAAGTTCTGGCAAGGGCAATCAGGCAAGAGAAAGAAATGAAGGGTATTCAAATAGGAAGAGCAGAAGTCAAATTGTCCCTGTTTGCAGATGACATGATTGTATATTTAGAAAACCCCATCGTCTCAGCCACAAATCTCCTTAAGCTGATGAGCAACTTCAGCAAAGTCTCAGGATACAAAATCAATGTGCAAAAATCACAAGCATTCCTATACACCAATAATGAACAAAGAGCCAAATCATGAGTGAACTCCCATTCACAATTGCTACAAAGAGAATAAAATACCTAGGAATACAATTTACAAGGGATGTGAAGGACATCTTCAAGGGGAACTACAAACCACTGCCCAAGGAAATAAGAGAGGACACAAACAAATGGAAAAACATTCCATGCTCATGGATAGGAAGAATCAATATCATGAAAATGGCCATACTGCCCAAAATAATTTATAGATTCAATGCTATCTCCATCAAGCTACCATTGACTTTCTTCACAGAGTTAGAAAAAACTACTTTAAATTTAATATGCAGCCAAAAAAGAGCCCGTATACCCAAGACAATCCTAAGCAAAAAGAACAAAGCTGGAGGCATCATGCTACCTGACTTCAAGCTATACTACACAGCTACAGTAACCAAAACAGCATGGTACTGGTACCAAAACAGATATATAGACCAACAGAACAGAACAGAGGCCTCAGAAATAATGCCACACATCTCCAACCATCTGATCATTGACAAACCCAACAAAAATAAGCAATGGGGAAAGGATTCCCTATTCAATAAATGGTGTTGGGAAACCTGGCTAGCCATATGCAAAAAACTGAAACTGGGCCCCTTCCTTACACCTTATACAAAAATTAACTCAAGATGGATTAAAGACTTAAATATAAGCGTAAAACCATAAAAACCCTAGAAAAAAACCTAGGCAATACCATTCAGGACATAGGCATGGGCAAAGACTTCATGAGTAAAACACCAAAAGCAATGGCAACAAAAGCCAAAATTGACAAATGGGACCTAATTAAACTAAAAAGCTTCTGCACAGCAAAAGAAGCTATCATCAGAATGAACAGGCAACCTACAGAATGGGAGAAAATTTTTGCAATCTATCCACCTGACAAAGGGCTAATATCCAGAATCTGCAAGGAACTTAAACAAATTTTCAAGAAAAAACCAAACAGCCCCATCAAGAAGTGGGCAAAGGATATGAACAGACATTTCTCAAAAGAAGACATTTATGTGGCCAAGAAGCATGTGAAACAAAGCTCATCACTGGTCATTAGAGAAACGCAAATCAAAACTGCAATGAGATACCATCTCAGGCCAGTTAGAATAGCGATCATTAAAAAGTCAGGAAACAACAGATGCTGGAGCGGATGTGGAGAAATAGGAATGGTTTTACACAGTTGGTGGGAATGCAAATTAGTTTAATCATTGTGGAAGATAGTGTGGCGATTCTTCAAGGATCTAGAACCAGAAATACCATTTGACCCAGCAATCCCATTACTGGGTATATATCAAAAGGATTATAAATCATTCTACTATAAAGACAAATGCACACATACATTTATTGTAGCACTATTCACAATAGCAAAGACTTGGAACCAACCCAAATGCCTATCAATGTTAGACTGGATAAAGAAAATGTGACACATATACACCATGGAATACTATGCAGCCATAAAAAAGAATGAGTTCATGTCCTTTGCAGGGACATGAATGAAGCTGGAAACCATCATTCTCAGCAAACTAGCACAGGAACAGAAAACCAAACACTGCATGTTCTCAGTCATAAGTGGGAGTTGAACAGTGAGAACACATGGACACAGGGAGGGGAACTTCACACACACACACACACACACACACATATATCATATATATATTATATATCATATATATCATACATAATATATATGATATATACATACATACATACATAATATATATATCATATATCATATATAATCATATATATCTATATCTCATATATCATACATATGTATCATATATATCATATATAATATATCATATATATCATACATATCATATATACGTGATAGCTTTATCTATTTGGGACCTTTTGTGGTTCTATATGTATTTTGGAGTTTTTGGAGTTTTTTTATTTCTGTGAAAAATGCCTTTGGAATTTTGATGGAGAAGGAATTAGCTTTGTAGATCACTTTGTGTGGCGTGGGCATTTTAATATTAATTCTTCCAATTCATGAACACGGGATACAATTTTACTTGTGTATTCTACATTTTCTGTCATTAATGTTTTACAGTTTTCAATGTGGAGATAGTTCACCTCCATGGTTAAACTTATTTGTAAAAATTTTGTTCTTCATTAAGAAGCAAACAACAGACACTGGGTTCTACTTGAGTGAGGAGGGTGAGAGGAGGGAAAGGAGTAGAAAATATAAATATTGGGTACTGGGCTTAGTATCTCTGTGATGAAATAATATGTTCAACAAAGCCCCAACATATGTGTTTACCTAATGTAACACACCTTCACATGTACCTTCAAATGTAAAATAAAAGCTAGAAAAAAAAACCTTTCTCTACTATTAAAAGTGTATCTGGCTATAGCTATTATGAATAATGGCTTTTTATTGAGTTTGATAGAACCTCATATTGCTTATTTAACCTTAACTTAATATTTTAAGAAAAAATATTTATATAAAATATTAAGATGAGAATAAAATTCACCCATAATTCCCCTGCTCAGAGATAACTATTGTTAATATCTTGGTGTATTCCTTAGATTTCAGAATACTTAATGGAACAGATAATGTTCCAGAAGGATATTTTTGTAGGAATATCAAAAATTTAAGAAAATTAAGTGCCAATGATTTATAATTACACAACTATTTTTGTGTATTGTTCTCCCTCAATGCTCACAGACTCTTGGTGTTCAAGGGCACCTAAAAGGCCAACATACAGGAATCACTTCCATAGATGGTATTGTGTCTTTGACAGAACATGATTTAACAATTGGTAAGGGTCATTCTGACACCTTTCCCTTTAAAATCATTTATTAAAGATTTCGGAGTTCGGTATTTCAAGACTTTAAAAAACATTTTAGTACCTACGGAGCAGCGTTTCTAACGCATATATGTGTCAGAATCACCTGGAAGACTTATTAAAGCACAGATTGCGGAGTTTCTCATTCAATATGCCCAGGAGAGGAGCTTGAACCTTTGTGTTTCTAAGTTTCCACCTGACTGATAACTGATGCTGCTGGCCTGGGAACTACATTTTGAGGACCACTGAGACGTGAATGCAGCTTAGAGGAGGCAATTTCTCCGGAAACCTAGTTTCATTTTTCATTTGCGATACTTCACACCACAGTCATAAACTGTAGGTTTTATTATGGATTTTTAAAATGAAATTTTATAATCCAGCTTTAATGAGAATGTCAAGAACAAGCTTGAATGTAGACTATAGGAGTTCAATTTAAAGTGGAGTTCAACTTAAAGCTCTAGAAGCATGAGAGAGGAAAAGCAATTCCTTCAAAAGAAACCCTCCTAAATCCCAGAATTTCCTATTTAGGTACCAGTTGTATAAAAGCATTTAGGGTATAAGTGAGCTTATGAATCTGCAGGTATGGTGAAAACTGTTCCTCATCTTCTAAACCCCACTACTTGAATATTACTCTTCAAACCTTAAACCTTATTGGCATGGCCTCTCCTGCTTCTGTTACTTTTGTTCAGCATCCAGACACTCTCACACATGTCCCTAGACCTCGGAAACTTCACACACTTTCCAACGTACTCATCCTTGGATACTCATTGAAATATTTGTAAAGATATTGTAGAGCATGAGGCGGTGGGTCTCACAGCTTTACCAGGCAACGTGTCCCAGCCCATTCACTTTATAAAACTTTGTATTTAAAAAAGTCCTTACAGTAGTTGAGGCAGGATATGGTTTGGGAGTTAGGTGACCTCCATTCTTGGTCTAGTTCTGCTGTGACTTAGTTGTTAACTTTATGCAAATTGCTTAACTCATTTCTATGTAGTGTTCCAGAGTTCAGGAATTTGGTGTCAAGCAAATCAGAGTTTGAATCCAAGTTTCTGGTGTTCACTGGCTCTGGGAATCTGTAAAAATGGGGATGACAGTAAATACAACAGAGTTGATGTAAATATCAGAATATATTATATGTCCCTTACAGTGTCTGTCACATTAAGCACTCAATACTGCTAGTTATTATTACTATACATAAAATGATAGGTTGGACTGAATAATGGATGCTTGGGCACTTTCCAGCTCTACAGTGCCATGATTTGAAGTGAAAATACTGTTGAAAAATAATGATAGCCTGTACTAGTTTGCTAGGGCTGCTGTGGTGAAGTACCCACAAACTGGGTAACTTAACAACCAAAATTTATTTCTCACAGTTATGGAGGCTAGAAGTCTGAAATCAGGATATCAGCAGGACTGGTTTCTTCTGGGGCCCCTCTTCTTGGCTTATAGATGGCTGTCTTCCTCCTGTGTCTTCACATGGTCTTTTCCCCGTGTGTGTCTGTGTCCAAATTTTCATTTCTTATAAGGACAGCATCTTTTGGGATTAGGGCCCACATTAATGACCTCATTTTACCTTAATTGCCTTTTTAAAGACTCTATCTCCAAATACAAGCACACTTTTAAGTACTGGGAGTTAAGATTTCAACATATGAATCTGGGGGACACAGTTCAACCCATAACAATGGCAAAGCATGCAATTTTGGCCTTTTTCCTCTTACTGGGATTGATGAAGGATTATGATGAATTTATCCTTAACTTTTGTTTTTCAGTTTCTGTTTTGGTGAGTCATTTCACGGTGAACTTTTGTCTATACAAGAGCAAAAAAACAAACCAAAGCACCACCACTACCACCATCAAAACCCAGAGGGAAGCATCTGGTTGTGACTTTGCTTTTGTCACTAATATATGTCTCAGAACAGATGTGCTTATTTTCTGCAAATGAATACTGATCATCCACTAATTAAATGCATTAGTGGCAAGAAGCAATGTTTGCATCCCACGTTTTCTGCTGTGTGGGCATTCATTAACCAACAAGGTAATGCCCTGGTGAGTAGTTCCCTGGCAAAGCTCTGAGATCTACTGGACCGCTTGTTCCTGCCTCCTGCTCTTAATTTATGAGGCATTAATGATTGCCTGACCAGTAACTGTGCTTGTTAAGACACATTTACACATAGTCCATTGGCAAACCAATTATTTTATCATTAGAATTGGGAAGAATTCATTGGCTTACCTTGGCTTGGAAGCTATTACAACAAGGAGGTTCTCCTAGGTATGAAAGAGATCGTGTTTAAACGAATGCCAGCCTTAAATTTCTTGAGATATACTTGGTGCTCAGCGAATGTCAACTTATTGAATTTATTATTCATTCTATCAAAAAGTCCCAATTTGTTGTGGGTATAAACATGAAATGGTTTTATTTTTTCAAGTGATGCTCTGTCTTTGGGTAATGGGCTCCTTTGAGGCATAATAGTGCACTTCCACAACTTTGAAGACACACATTTGTTAAAACAGTTTATTAAACATGTTTTAAGATTCAGTAGTATTTGTTTTTAAGTATTAAACTCATGCTAGGCCCAAATCTCTATCCACCCCCTCACATATACCAGTAAGACCTCTGGCTCTAGGCTGCTTGGTACTGATAGTGATGGTGGGGACAGTGGTGGTTGTGGTATGGTAGTAGCGGTAGTGTTGTGGTGGTGGTGGTGGTGATGCTGGTAGTAAAGGTGGCAATGATGTGGTGGTGGTGGTGATGGTGGTGATGATAGTAGTGGTGGTAGTGGTGGTGGTGATGGTAGTGATGGTGGCAATGGTGTAGTGGTGCTGGTGCTGGTGGTGATAGTGGTGGTAATAATGGTGGTAGCGATGGTAGTGATAGTGGCAATAGTGCAGTGATGGTGGTGGTGGTGATGGTAGTGGTAATGGTGGTGGTGGTGGCAGTTGTGGTGGTGGCAGAAGCTGGAGTGGTGGTTTGGGCATGGCTGGCAGGAGTGTGGAGAGAGCACACAAAGTGGATACTATGTGAGACACCTCTCTTCATCCCTCCTTTCTCACTGCTTCCCCTCTGGTGCTGGGGTGGGAAGTGAGTGGGAAAGGTAGAAGCAGAGGTCTTCTTACAGAATGACTTATGGTGAGGTAGTAGTTTCCACTCCATTTGTTGTGACTGAGTTACTGATTCTCTAACACTGACTGGTGCTTAACACATTTGCATTTTTGGTAGCAAGCGCATACGGATTCTCTGAGGTGCGTTTGTTGGTTCCTGTAAGGGTGCTAATAGGGACCTCGTCTTTGCATAGTCCCTGGCATTGGGGATCTGGCTTGGACTCCACAGCTATCATGTCTGCAGCCCCTGTCCCAGTTGGTTCCCGCCACTTGCCTCTTGCTGTTGGGGTCCCATTGGCTCTTTGGCCATTGTTCAGTGGAGTAGATCGCTAAGGATCAGGCTCCTTTAGCAGTGTCATCTTGGCCCACAGGCATCCAAGAATCCTTGTTGCTGCTGATAGTGGAAATGCAGGTTGCCCCTCACAGGCAAACCTCTAAGATCTATCATCAGTCTGTGAAGCAGCATCAGGCCCTTTGCTAATCAAGTTCTTGATCCACTCTTAGATAAGACGCTAGCTCTAGTCCCTAGCTTAGTTGAGGTTGGGGGAGTTTGGGAATCCTCAATCTCTCTGATGAACTTTCTTTGGCTTCCTAGAGGTAAAGGAAGAGAATAGCCTCATTTTAATACAAGTGTAGCCTCCCAAATTGTGACCTCTCCTCTCCCAGGTCTTTCCTCCTTAGTTCTTCAAGAATGGTGGAGCCCTGTGGGATAGTATCTTGGCCCTCAGCAGCTGCAGCTGTGACTCAAAATGTGGGGATTTTCTGGATCTTCTTTTTCAGCAGTGGCTCTGAGCTGCCAGTTCTGTCACTCAGAAGAAGGCCACGCGCTTGCTTTCATTTTGTTACCCTAAGTAGAAATAGAAAATGAAAGGGTTGGATCAGATGGTCTTGAACATCTCAACTAACTTTGAGATATGAAAATCACTTGCTAAAAAAAGAGGATGAAACCTCGAGAAATAGTTTTGCTAAAGAAAGTGTAATATTAGATTTTACAGGGCTGGGACTACCAATACGGTAGGTAATGCTCCAAATATAATCAGAATAGGTGGCTACTTGAATAACAGCTTTTCATTTGTTGGGTGCTCTAGGCTAAGATTTATGCAGTCCAGTCTCTCATCTTTACAACATACTGCAAGGGGGTACGGCGGGGGGCGGGGGTGGGTGGTTACTATCAATTCCATTCATTCCATGGATGGGGAAATTGAAGTTCAGAGAAGTTAAGTGGTTGTCCAAATTATGCAAACCTCTTGACTAACAGCATCAGGAGCATTATATTCTCATTCCAACATTTGTATTATGCCGTACAAAATACTCTTCCTAAATGTGTAAGGGTAGTCTAAGTTTATTTGGTAGCAAATAAACTCAAGTACACAAACTCAGCACAATAGAAGTTGATTTCTCTCTCACATGACAGCCCTGGGCAGTTGTTCAGGTTAGTGGGTGGCTCCCCTTGAAGACAACATGCCAGCTCCTTTAATCTTGTGACCCTGCTATCTTCTAGCAGGGCTGTTTTTTAAAAGTTAAATTTACAAAATTTAGGTATAATTTAGATATATTAAAATTCTGTCTTTTTAAGTGTACAGTTCAATGAATTCTGACAAATGTATACAGTTGTGTAACCACTATCACATTCAAGATATAGAATATTTCCATTGCTTCAAAAAGTACTCGTGTGCCTCTTTGTAGACAGTCCCCTTCCTTCCTCACCGATTTCTGTCCTGATAAGTTTGCCTTTTCCACAGTGTCATTTAGATGGGATCACATAGTAAATAACCTTTTTTTTTTCCTGTGTAGATTTTTTTCTCTTTAGCGTAATCCTATCAGGGTTTCTAAACTTTTTGTGTCATGGGCCATGTTGGGAGGTCTGGTCAAGCCTCAAGATTTCCTTCTTGGAATAATGTTTACAAATGCATAAAATTAAATGTTAAGATGACATAATGAAAACTATGTTGAAATATAGTTTTAAAAATATTAAAAGATCTAATTTGTCATGTATAGTATGTGCTTTTATTTCATGCTTAAATAATAATTAGCAGTGGATCTAATTATTACTCTAATATCATAGTAGTGATGAAAATACATTGTATTTTGAGATGTCTGCAGCAACTGTAATAAAATATGACAGCACTGGTGATTTTTATTGGTTAAAGAGTCAGTTACTGCTCATCACACTGTGCTTTGTTGCTTATATTAATAGTGAAAAGAAATGCTACATCCCAAATACAGATTAGTGAAATAAAAATTTAAAGATTTTTCTCATCTAAATCGTAGAGTCCCTGAATTCTATCTAGAGAATTTCTGGGGTTCCATGTGCCCCAGTTAAGAATTCCTCTTTCTAGGGCCCTGTTATCACCTACAACCAGTCTAAGAAGGGCACCGAGAAGCAGTTGTGGGAGATTTTTCTGGGCCTGGCTTTGAAGTAGCATATGTCATTTCTGGTCACATTCCATTGGAGAGAAATCAGTCATAGGACTCCACCTATCTGTAAGAAAGTCTGGGAAATCTAGTCTATTCTGTACCCAAAGATGAGATGAATAGATTTTGGTAGCTAGCTCATGGTCTCTGTGACACTAACCTTATTCCATTTAGCTGTTAGAGGATACCACCTAATATGAGACGATCATAAGATGGAAAATGCATGGTTTTGTACAGTTTAATGATAATATCATTTCTTTAATGATAAAGTAAGTCTGAAACTCAGGACACAAATCTGGATCTTCTCACTCCAGATCTTCTCACTCCAAATCCTATACTCTTTGCAGGATGTTTTGGTGTCTCTTATGATGACACATGATTGAAGAAATACCACAAAGATCTACTTGTATGAAAACATTGTTCCCTTTTCTGTGGAGTCCCTGCACCTGGGGTTTAATGCTCTGTGGCTGCTGTCTTAAAACTTCAATAATTTTATATTTGATTTTGTGTTTTGCAAGTGAAGTCTGATAGGACAACGGAGCATTTGCTGGAGACATGGGGCCTAGACTTACCCAAAGTGCTGCCTCCCTACCTCCCCTGGACAGGTTCTCTGGCTGCCTGCTCTCCAGCCCCTGGTGCCCTAGGCCTGCCCTGCTATCTCCTTCCTAGTCTTACCTATGACCAGTGCCGCCCTTTGCCTGGGCCAGGAACCAGGTCCCGGGTGCAGGTGCAAGGAGGGCCAGAATCTGGTGCATGCCCTGTGGTATCTCAGGGCAGGACAAGGTGGCAGCTGTCTCCATCACAAGCTTGACACCATTTCACATTGTGAAATGACACAATCCATTTCACAGGTGACTTGGTGGAATCCTCTTGAACACACCCGATCCAGGCACTGAGCATATATTGACATGAAAGTGACAGTCCTTTGGGGTTGCCTGTTGCCCCGGGGTTGGGATGCTGACCATGGGGCCCTGCATTTTCATTTTGCACTAGACCTTGCACATTATATAGCTGACCTTGCCTGAGATTCCCAACTAAAGCCACTATGCTGAATTATATAACAGGGCCATCCCCATTGTCTCCAGAAGTTCTTTCTTTTTGACACATAGATTTACCTAGAAGGTATGGAAGGATCCTGGGTAACTCCTTTATCTGTCTTCCACTACCACATTAGTATGGATCGATTCATGATTTTGCTAATTGTGATCAAAGAAGGCAACTTAGTCTGATCCTGAGGAAATCCAGGGCTGTCAGATTTCTGCAAGTAAACTCATGATAACAAATCCTGAGTGATAGAGGCAGTCTGGGCCAAATTGCAAGGCTGAGGCAGAATAGCTAGAGGACCTCAGAGGATCCTGGCTGGAAAAGGCAAATGAGACACAGTGAAGTGCCCCAGGCATGCTGTGCAAGGAGAGGAAACACAAGAGTGGAGGGAAAGGGGATAGGCAAAAAGGGAATTCTCCTTTGCCTGACGACTTTGCTTGGGCTGAGCTTTGCTTTGAAGATTCTTAACCTTGAGGAAAATGGCGGCTGGAAGGTGAGGTGTGTATCAGCAGTGTTTATAGGCACAAATCTAAAAGAATCTTTGAAGTTTGCCTGGTAATTTTGCATATTCTTCTATGACAAGTAGTTGTAGCTCTATTGGTATTATGTTACCCCTCACACAAAAACAAGCCACTCAGAGTAACTTATAGACACATAATTGTGCCAGACTTCTGGTGTTTTTCTACTTCAGTATCAAGAAGAAAAATAAGCAGGAGGACTAGAAATTGAAACTAGAAGTTGTGGTTGCTATACCACTATTCAAAACCACTATTTTACTTCCTTTTGTATAGCCATACTTTCACAGACAAGGCATTACTGTTTTTAGCAAAAAGGTGTTTTGAGTTGGATCATGTTTCCGCCCCCAAGAAATTTATATGTTGCGTTGTGAACCCACAGTAACTGAGAATGTAACATTATCTGGAGATAGGGTCATCACAGAGTAATTGCTTAAGATGAGGTTATACTGGAGTAGGGTGTGTCCCGAATTTAATATGACTGGTGTCCTTAAAAAACTGGGAAATTTGGACACAGAGATACATACACACAGGGGAAATACCATGGGAAGATTGGAGTTCTGCTCCCACAGCAAAGGAACTACCAGAAGCTAGGAGAGAGGTCTGGAACAGATCCTTCCTTAGTGCCTTCAGAGGGAGTATGGCCATGCTGAGGCCTTGGTTTTTTACTCCTAGTGTCCAAAACTATGAGACAATACATTTCTGTTGTTTAAGCCACTCAATCTGTTTGGTGTGTTGTATTGCAGCCCCAGAAAAGTAATATAGTAGGCAGAAGTATTGCTGAATCTGTAAGATAAGAAGTCTTGTTTCATAAAGATTCTCCATTTTATTAGGAAGTGACTGATTCAAACAAGAGAAAAGAAACAGGAACCATGTGTCACTAAGGTATACAGAATAAACCAGCAATTTCAATAATATAATCCGCCAGTAGATGACTCAAAGAACCCTAAATCTTTCTATTTTAGTTACAGTTCTTAAAGAATCACAGAACCCTCTGTCTGAAATGGACAAAGAAATCCAGTACTCCTGTCCTCTCTATTTCCAATAGACATAAATATATTGAATATTTCCCATGAAAAGATTCTATGATCCTTCTCAGAAATTTTTCTTGCTGGTCATTTGGACTTAGTTATTCCATATCTACAGTTTATACACATTTTCTCCCCAAAATGATTCAAGGCAGTTGATGACCCTATTTCTCTCTAGTCTGGAAAGTCATAGCCATGTTGGTGGCTGGATCAATAATACAATCTTCATTAAACCATTTACAGGGACCAATGTGACTCTTCTTGCTATAAAACCAGGTAATGATTATAGGAGATGTCTTGATATTGGATTTAATTCAACTTTATTGAATCATATATTAAAACAAACACAATGGGAAGATTCAGGGAGAGAAGGCAAGATGCATAAAGCCTCCGTATTTTCCAGTTCATGCAGCAGCAACTAGACTCCTCCCGTTCGAGTCTCTCCCTTTATTAATGAGATGTGCAGAGCCCCAGACCACAGCTGAGCAACTATGTTACTTGAAGATAATCAATATATAAAGTTAGGATATAAAGGAGCTAGATTCTTAACATCATTCCTTCACAGCAGCTGGAGATTATCGTTGCTTCCCACCCTGCTTAAAACATTTATAGCTAGCAATCATTAAAATAATACATTTGAATCTGCCCTTAAATCATGAGTTTTATTGTCTTCCCCCTCTGAAGCTTAGCCTTGAGGCTCACTGCAGTGGGAATGAGAGAATAGTTACTTGACTTCTTTAATCATGAAACTAGGCTTGGGCTACAGTTTATTACCTAAATTCCTTTAGCATATCAAGAACCAAGCCTACTCACCTGAGATCATCGCGCCTGCCATAGTGCAGAGAAAATGTCCTTTTCTTGTGTGACAGCCAGCCCGTGAAGCTTGCAGCACTGGCTTGGATAAAGATACAGTGTTACCAGTGATTTTTAACCCAGAGTCCCATTTTCATAACTAATGTTTTGTAATACCTCCTTTCTAATTCTGAAATGAAAGTCATAGGTAACAGAAATTATCTCTACATATAATTTTCAAAAGTCAACATAATAACCTAAGCCTAATACAAAAGAGACATAGAGGGAAAGCAATTTGTTATAAAATAATAAGTCTTTCAATGTGTAAATGCCTGGGCATGTCTAGACTAGAAGATATAATGAAGCAGTTAGATGCTTCTCTCTTATAATGAAAAAGTTTGAATTTAAGAGAAGTAAGAAACTCTTCTATATAAGAAATACAAGAAAATGAAAGAGCAGAAGTACAATGGAAATGAAAATGTAAACTAGAATTAGGATATGTAATAAAAGATCAGACTTATTTGTATGTGATAAGAGAAAGAGGGGAAATAACCATAATTGAATTGTGGATAACAGCCGAGAAAAATTACAGACAGTTGAAAAGGAGAAAATGAGGAAGTATGATATTTGTACAAATGAGTTTGGTCTTGTTTGTTAGTACAATGTAAAATGAGTCTCTTTATTATGACATTGGACAGATTGTATCACACACGCAGAAAACATATCTCCTGTCTTAAAATCCTACTGCATTCCATTTTTGGTATTTAAAAAGACCTTGGATACTGTATCCTTAGATAGGCAAAGAGGAAGAAGGCAGATTGAAAAAGAAAATAACATCAGAAGAGGCTTCCAAAAGGGTTGCTTGATAGGCTTCTGGGAACAGAGTCAAAGAAAGATTGAAAACCAACAGACCATTAAAAACTACTTAATTTTAGTAATTAAGTAACTTTCACAACATAGGTAACATTTTATACAACATTAAAATATCTAAGTTGGAAATCATATAAAATATTTGTAAACAACCCTTATTGTTAACATTCAATTATAGTTCTGGGTTTCTAAGTCTGTTAAAAGTAGTCTCAAATTCCATCTGTACATATTTGCATCTCACAGCAACAAATGCAGACTGATAAAGAAAAGCATGTTGCACCAGCAATTCAAATACCATGAGGGCACTGCCACTGGTGATGAGGTATTCTGAAATAATGAACAAATCTTGCTAAGCTTCCAAATAAAACAAGGTATAATTGGCACACAATTTAGATGGTGGTTGCATTCCTTGAATTCACTGCATATTAAAACCATGCAAAAATACTTCATGATTCCATGTAAACTGGAGTTAGATTCTAGGCTCAGAAAATGATAAGCAATGTTTTCACCTCTATGAAAGTCTAGTGAGATATTCAAAAGTCAGCCATGATATTTCTTTAGAGAAAGTATACAAATGGCCAATAAACACATGAAAAGATGCTCAACATAATTAGCCACCAGGGAAATGCAAATCAAATCACAATGAAAAAAAAAACACAACGAGATACTACTTCACACCAAGTAGGATGGCTATAATAGAAAAGACAGACAACAACAAGTATTGACAAAGATGTGGAGAAATTGGAACCCTCAATATGCTGCTGGCAAGATTGTAAAATGGTGCAGCTACTTTGAAAAACAGTCTGGTTTTTCCTCAAAAGGTTAAGCATAGAGTTACCATATGACCCAGGATTATGCACCTAGGAATATACCCAAGAAAAGTGAAAACATATGTCCACTCAAACACTTGTACCTGAATGTTCATAGCAGCATTGTTCACAGTAGCCAAAAGTGAAAACAACCCAAATTTACCAATGGATGAATGGATAAATAAAGTGTGGTATATTAATACAATATTGATGTATTTTATCAATATTTTTATGTATATCATCCAGCCATAAAAATGAATGAAACACAACATGGATGAACCTTGAAAACATGCTAAGTAAACGAAGTAAGACATGAAAGGTCACATATTGTGTGATTCCACTTATATGCAATATGCAACATAGATCATAAAGGCAGAAAGTAGATTTTTGGTTGCCTAGGGATAGAGAGTTCAGGGGAAATAGGGAGTGATTCCTAATAGGTATAGGATTCATCTGGGGGTCACGAATGTTCTAAGATTCTGGCGATGGTTGTGTAACTCTGTGAATACACTAAAAACCATTGAATAATACTTTAAATAGATGAATTTCCTGGTATGTGAAATGTATGTTGATAAAACTGTTGCTAAAAAAGCATAAGGCACAATGTTGCAAGGGATGGTCCTAAACACTGTGAGACATCTGGTATCCCTGAACCTGTTCAACTAAGTGTCAGTCACACTTCCCAATCATTGTGCCCACTAATAATACCTCCACAGAGTTCCAAAGCACTCCCTAGTGAGAATCATTGAATTATATAAGACATAAAAAAAATTCTACCAGTTTTGGTGGACTAGAAGGGAGGAGACAGAAATGAGGGTGGGAAGATTGTTGAACAAATTCTCATCTTTGTTCTGAGGCCTTGAAACTCTAAATGGAGAAGAGACATGCTGGCCTTCTCCTAACCTCACCAATTGTGGAAAAATATATTAGATAAATAAATTGAGGAAAGCATCACAATTGGATGAATTATCCTTCCACTCACTGTTCGAGATCCCGGGAGGAAACCGTAGTGCAGGGCAGTCCTGCACCCACTTGGGGGAGTGCATACCATAGTTAAAAGGGTTATGTGGTGTGTTCAGTAAGAGAGAGGTTTAGCTTGCATTCCTGATTCTCTCTCAGTTCCTGTGTGGCCTGGATGCTGAGTTTAGAGCTGGCAGGGCTGCTATGGACGGTCTGAGCCAGGAGCTGGATAGAGTATGTGGCAAACACACAGGTGCCAGCATGATCCCAGGAGAGGCTGAGCCTGGACCATGGGGCAGTAATGGGCTCTAAGCAGAGTGAAAAACAGGCCAGAAATTCATCTAACATAGATGTTAATAGTGAACACTAGCAAAAGATCCACATGACCCAGAAATTCCACTCCTAGGTATACACCCAAGAGAAATTAATATATACATCCACGTAAAAACTGACACACAATGTTCATGCCAACATTATTCGTAATAGCCAAAAAGTGGAAACAACCCAAATGTTTATCAATGGATGAAGAGATTAAAAAATGTGATATGTTAGTACCATACAGAATTATTTGGCATTCAAAAGAAATGAAGTACTGATGCATGCTACAACATGGGTGAACCTTGAAAGCATTAGGCTAAGTGAAAGAAGCCAGACAGAAAAGGCCACATATTCTATGATTCCATTTATATGAAATGTCCAGAATAGGTGAACTCATAGAGCTAGAAATCAGATTAATGTTTGCTAGAGACTGGAGGAAGAGGGTAATAGAAAGCAACTGCTAATGAGTACAGGATTTCCTTTTGGGGTAATTAAAAGGTTCTGAAATCAGATAGTGGGGATGGTTGCACAGCTCTATAAGAGTACTAAACCCCACTGAATTGTTCATTTTAAAAGGGCAACTTTTATTATATGCCAATGATATCTCAATCAAAAAGTGCACACACACATAACAACTCCACATTTTGTGTGCACATTTGAGTTTAGTGAGCAAATCTATATATTTGCTACATACTCTGATGTTTTTACTTTGCTGTTAAGATAAATCACCCCTGTACATGGCCTATAAGGGTCTTCTTGATCTCATCCCTTACCATGCCCACCGTGCAGCAGTCACACTAGCTCTCATTCTTTCATGAAGACTTTTGAACTTGCCAGACCCTCTGCCTAAAACATTCTTTCTACTACACTTTAATTGGGCAATTCCTTATTTCCTTAAGCAAGGCTTCCCTTACCTCCCTGGCAGGGTCAAATCTCTCTGTTATACCCTCTTCTAGCACCATATCTCTTACCACACCACGATCATAGTATGCATATTATATTTGGTGATTTTGGATTAATATCTGTCTCTTCAATTAGACTGTAAACTCCTTGAGGGCCAGTGTAATCATGTCTGGTTTTGTTTACCCATACATACCCTAGAACAGTATCTGACACATAGTGCCTAATCTATGTATAGAAATCAGTCAATATTTATTAAATGAGTGAATGAGTGAGTTATTTTTCTCCTTAGTCCCTGTTATGCCATTTCTGAGTTTACTTCCACTTCTGTCCATTTGTGCCTTCATTCAAAAATGTTCATTGAGGCTGGGCACAGTGGCTCACACCTGTAATCCCAGCACTTTGGGAGGCCAAGGCGGGAGGACTGCTTGTTCAGTCTGGGCAACATAATGAGACCTGTCCCTACAAAAGAAAAAATAAATTAGTGGGTGTGGTGGAGCATGCCTGTAGTCCCAGGTACTCAGGAGGCTGAGGTGGGAGGATTGCTTGAATATAGGAAGTCAAGGCTGCCATGATTGTGCCACTGCACTCTAGCCTCTGGGTGGCAGAGCAAGTCCCTGTCTCTAGAGTATATATATATATATATATATATATATATATATATATATATATATATATATACACATATATATACATATTTTTTTTCATTGAGTACCTAGCATGTGTTAGACTGTATGATTGCCTGTGACCGATTAAATTATAACTGGTCTAATCAACTACTGTTAGGTAGAAGGAATCATTTTACCTGCAAATGATTCTGGATAAGCCCTGGCAAGAATACAGGAATTCATCTCCTTAGAATGTAACTGTGTATATGGCAGAAACTTAAGGCTTCATGGACTATCCCTATGGACTCTTCAGTATATTATTATTGATAATGTTAGTCAACTAGATTATCTAATTTAACCTTGAAAGTTTTTTTTCCTAGCTCCTAACCTAATCCTACTTGCAGATTTCTTGCTCAACTGCAAATTTAGTTTTGTAGCAAATTAAACTATCAGTATATGTAAGAACTAGATAAAATAACCTCAAATGTTTCAAATCCTGACCTAGTCATGTATTACCTATATGAAGACTGCAAAAAGCCAGCTGATTAACTTTCATCAGTGACTTTTGATTATACAAGTAATTGTATTCTCTTAATGAAATCATATTTTAGGCAAATGATGTAGTCTATATAAATGAGTCATAGCAAAACAGATTCTTACATATTATGCATATTTGTACTAACTCCATGAGTATAAGCAGTAAGGTATTTTTGGTAGAAGTAGAGTTTCTCAAATTATGTAAATTGGACACGTCTGGGTGGATAATCATGAATTTTCTGCTGAGTGTTTAATAGAAGGAAAATGCTTTTTTCTTTTAAAAATTATTTTGAAAAACTGATTATTTTTAATCGGAAAGTAAATTACTGAAAACCTAAAAACAGTAGACTTCATATCATCTGTAGGAGACAGCAATTATACTAGACTATAAATGCCATGAAGATGGAGATCACGTTTTTTTGTTGTTGTTCACCATTATATCCCCCAAACTTTAGTACGATGATTGGCATATAGTAGGTGCTCAACCAATTGAATTGTACTTGATATTTATAGAGGATAAACTAGCAATGCTTGATCTCAGTGTTGGTGTTAATAGGTCAAGTTGCTGGCTTGTGTCTCAGTTAATGAAAGAAACCTCAGTACAAAGTATATTCTAACTTTGAATTAGGAAGATCAAAACAGTAAGTCTGACTTCTTATTGCATGGTTCATGTGAGAAAAGTTTATTCAGATTTGTTATATTTCTACATATATGAATTCAGAGGCATGAAGGTTTGGTTCAATTACCAGTCTTATCCCTTTCATTTTTGCAAACTGTCAGGGTCGGAATTAACTTTAAAGCCACCCTTTTTACTCCAAGTTCCCATCAAGTGTTTGAATCCCTTTCACCATACCTGTACTAATGTCCTGGCCAAAGTTTGAACATTTCCTAGTGGTGGGAAACTTAACACCTCCTGAGGCAATACATTCAATTATAGGACAGCTTGGTCAGAAAATTCTTTATTCTGTTGCACTGGAATTAGCATTCCTGTGCTTTTCACACCCCAGCAAGGATGACTATATGGAACACATTCCTTTTCCATACAACACTCTCATATGGAGTTGAAGACTTTGCTGGCCAGGCAAAATCTCCCCACTTCATGCGAACATTCCATGCAGGGCATGGTTTCAAGTCTCCCTCTCCAGGTCCTCTACCAGTGTGAATGTGTATCCATTTGTTTATATCTCTTTTAAAGTGTGGTGTTCGGACAGATCTCAGTATGTTAGGTGTGCTTTATTTGCAGCAACCATGATCCTTGCCAAAATACTGGGTTTGTAGATAGCCATGTGTGTCTCAGACATTTTCTTCTGGGTGCCTAGTGACAATTTCTATGAATCTGCAACAACCTCCTGTGTAAGTAAAGCTAAAGAAAGATTGGAGAAAGTGATTCTTTCCTAGGTCACATAAAAAACTACTGGGGAGACTATGTAACTCCTTTTATCTCCATGCTCAGGGAACATATGAAGGTTAACATAAAGCTGGTTAATGCTTTTGCTTTGTTTTGGATCATATTTCCCTAAGTAAGATAATGGATATAAAGTGTCTGGCCTCGTGTCTCAGACAGAATAGTGACTCAACAAATGTTAATTAGCATTTTCTTTCTCTTAATCTCATATGTATGTCTATATGTATGTACACATCATATATGTACATATAGGTACACATTATTTATGTACATATACACATATATATGCATATATAGGTACACATATATTAATATGTAAATATCACATATATGTACATATATATTTTTTGAGACCGTCTCACTCTATTGCCCAGGATGGAGTACAGTGGTGTGATTATAGCTTACTATAATCTTGAACACCTGGGCTCAGGTGAGTCTCCCACCTCAGCTTCCTGAGTAGCTAGGACTACAGGAAAGTGCCAGCATGCCTAGCTAATTTTTAAAATTTTTATGTAGAAATGAGGGTCTCCCTGTGTTGCCCAGGCTGGTTTCAAACTTCTGGCTTCAAGCTATCCTCCAGCCTTGGCCCCCGCAAAGTGTTGGGATTATAGGTGTGAGCCACTACACCCAGCTTGTCTTCGTATTTTTTCTTTGAATTTTTCTGTCTCTTTTAAACACAAAGATAATGTAGGGATGAACACGTGGACTATAAAATATCTTCTGTAGATGCTTTTAATTATTTGAAGACAAGACGTCTTTGTTTTCTTTAAGTGAAATCATAAGGAACAATTAAATTAAATACAAGCCTAGATATGTTTCAAACATATCCAAATAAAATATAGCACTTTCACAATATTTATTTTTATTTGTATAAATTTAAGGGATACAAGTGCACTTTCGTTATATGGATATATTGTGTAGTCTTGAAGTCTGGCTTTTAGTGAATAATCTTTAAGACATTAATTCTACTTACCTAGCTGACTTGAGCGTTATTTTCTATCTTCATTCATTTGGCTGGGTTGTGTGTTCAAGATGAGTTTCTTAAGACTAGAAAGACAAGAGTTTTAAAAAATGAGGGGTTTCAATGATATCTTTTCACACCTTCTTGAATTATAGTTGTCAATTTAATAAGTGATTAAGAAAAGAGAACTAACATTGATGGGGGAATTTTTAAATATCCTGCAATAGTTGTTCCTTAAAAAAAATCTTCTGAGAAATGTAAAGCTATTTTGTTCCCATAAATGAAACTGCTGTTAATGACAGCTAGGGTACATGGTCTCTTCTAGCAATGAGATCATTATAAACACATTGAACTTTGACCCACTTTTTTTCAAAGGCATTTAGTTTATAAATGAGAGTGACACTAGATTTAGGTATTCAGCCACAAAGAACCAAGAAGAAAATGTCATTCTATGCCATTGGAAACAGTGCTATTAACTCCAGCATCTAGGTGTTATGGGATAATTTAGTACTGCTTGGCATCACAGGTCTTGCCAAGAATGTGGATACTATGGATTCTGTGGGGCTTTCTCCTAACTAGATAAAAGCAAGTCTGCCTGAGTGGAGGAGGTAATTTCCTGTTGTTCTTTTTCAAAATGCTCAGCGATCTACCTTTTCTTTACTCTGTATATGAAGATCACAACACTGAAAATTGCTTTCTAGTCTGTTGACTGTCTGTAGCTGATGACTTGAAAGTAGAAGTAACACTCACGAAGCTCCCTGACTTTTTGTAAAGTACCTTCGTATGCTGTGACTCTAGAGATTTCTCAGATTCAAGATGTACAACTTTCATCTGAATAGAATATAAAGAGTTTGAGAAAAATGAATGTCAGTTGAAAAAAATAAAAAAAGATCAGTTTGTAAATCAGGGTACTACTTGAGAAATTATTTAAAATATTAGAGAGATCATATATGCATATACCAGATATCTAATTAACATTTTAATTTTGTTGTAGGTTATGGTCTGGTACACAGTAGTCTGTGTGTTCAACCAGAATTAAGACTTGAGATATGGGTATGAATTTTTAACTTTTCACTCAGTTCCTATATGACAAAAGTGAGTTTTTTTTTTCTGACACTTTGTCATTAGAGATGAAACATAATCTCATTTTTCCAGAGAAGATTTCGGATTTGCTGGTTGAGAACAGGATGTGATTGAAGTTAGAGTAGCAGGTTCATGCATATAAAAGAGCTGACTTCATTTTATTCCACAGTCTTGAACTGCAGCCTTTTTCTCAGTCTTGCAAGTAAGTCTCCTTGGCCATAAGGAGGAGCAGTTGAAAGAATCAATGAAAAACTCAAAATGCCTTTTGATGATATGATATCAAATACAAAGCTCTCCAATAATTACCTATTCAAATAGAATCACATAGCATTTACAACTTATGATTTAGGAAAAATTACCCTGCTTATATGTAACAATAGATAATCCATTAGTCAGGTGTCTTTAAGAAATAAGTCTTGGTAAAATGACACTATTTACTTGGAAACAAACCCACCTTATTATCATCAGTTATTATTATCTCTTCCCTAATTCAAGTGAGTTTAAAAACTGATGCTGCAAACACTCCTTCCCTGTGTCCAAAAGCTGCTGTTGTCTACTAAGATACCTTATAAATTCCATGGCTTCAATCATCTCTTGTGCCTGGCTTATGTGATTATCATGAAAAAATACACCCCTTACATGCCTCCACTGTTAGGCTGGGAGCACTTCAGTAATTAGACTAGAAACCCCAGGAGCATAGGAACTTCCTGTCTTATTTATGGATGTATTCCTAGGACCTAGCACGTAGGCACTAAGTAAATTTTTGTTGAATAAAGGGAAGAGACCTTGTCTTACTCATCAGTTTCGAATGATGTTTGGAATATAGCAGATACTCAGAAATATTGTTTGAATGGATTTACTGATAATTATCACAGGGTAATGATACGCTTTTTCTAACTTTATCTTACATACTAGTATACCAAAAGGTAGTTTCCAGTTACATAATTGATCATTAGTTTCTAATTATATTACAGATTCGATTCAATTCAGTTTACTCTTTTAGTTTTGCTTTGACCCTGATAATGTCTAAAACCTAAGTAAGATTATCAAGATCATTATTTAAAAGGAGTTTCTGTGATAAAGCCATTGTTTCCTCCTCACAAATTACTTGTTAATAACAAAAGGAAAAATAGTAACTATGCAGTGGAGACACTAAATAACTCCTTAAGCCAGTGATGAAGATTAATATCAAACAGACAGCGCATGCCTGTGGATGTGATACCTCTTTTAAATATGCTGTCAATATTTTTTCATTATCCCAATAGAAATGGAAAGTCATTCACTCAGGCCCATGCAATAACTTTCAATGATTGCCTGTTATGTGCCAGGTACTGTGCTAGATGGTGGCAAAACAAAGGGAAATATGTTTATTGAGGAAATTGAGACTAATGGGAGAGTCAGATATTTAATCAGAATGATGCAGTACAGGAGCAGGAGGATGGAGAAATTAGTTGTCTGTGGGAGCTAGTTTCACAGGAGTCACATCTGAGGTGGATCTTGAAGGGTGGAATAAGAGTTGTCCAGGTGGAGGGGAAAGATATCTCCAGGCAGGAAGAGTAGCATGTGTAAAGGAACAAAGCCTTGAAAATTCAATAATCATGTCTAATTTTATGCCAGTTATAGTTCAGAGGCATTAAAACTGAGTTCAGCTACTTAAAAATACTTTCACTATGAAATATTACACACATAATAAAAGTGCATAAAACAACTATCAGCTTACAGAATTATCATAAAGCAAATATGCATGTAACAATCATTGAGGTCAAAATCTACAAAATGTCTGGTAACCCCAAAATCAGTACCCCTCCACTCAATACCACTTCTCTTCCTCCAAAGGTAACTATTCTTCTATTATTTTAATAGTTGCTTTGGAGTTATAGAAGGTAGTCTACCTTCTAGTGATATACCACTTTGCATGTGGTATAAGACACTATTCTGATTTATTCATGTCTTTACATTTATTTATTTTGAGATGGAGCTTGCTCTGCCACCCGGTCTGGAGTGCAGTGGTGCAATTTCGGCTCACTGCAACCTCTGCTTCCTGGGTTGGAGCCATTCTCCTGCCTCAGCCTCTGGAGTAGCTGGGATTACAGGCACACACCACCACCTCCCTGGCTAATTTTTGTATTTTTAGTAGAGATGGGGTTTCACCATGTTGGCCAGGCTGGTTGTGAACTCCTGACCTCAAGTGATCCACCTGCCTCAGTTTCCCAAAGCGTTGGGATTACAGGTGTGAGCCACCATGCCCGGCCTAATTCATGTCTTTACTATTTAGAAATGCATTTCTGTGCAAATCAAAACCACCATGAGAAACCATCTCATGCCATTTAGAATGGTGATCATTAAAAAGTCAGGAAACAACAGATGCTGGAGGATGTGGAGAAATAGGAATGCTTTTACACTGTTGGCGGGAGTGTAAATTAGTATAACCATTGTAGAAGACAGTGTGGCGATTCCTCAAGGATTTAAAACTAGAAATACCATTTGACCCAGCAATCCCATATACCCAAAGGATTATAAATCATTCTACTATAAAGACAAATCCACACGTATGTTTATTGTGGCACTATTCACAATAGCAAAGACTTGGAACTAACCCAAATGCCTATCAATGTTAGACTGGATAAAGAAAATGTGGCACATATACACCATGGAATACTATGCAGCCATAATAAAGGATGAGTTCATGTCCTTTGCAGGGACATGGATGAAGCTGGAAACCATCATTCTCAGCAAACTAATACAGGAACAGAAAACCAAACACTGCATGTTCTCACTGATAAGTGGGAGTTGAACAATGAGAACCCATGGGCACAGGGAGGTCAACATCACATACTGGGGCCTGTCAGGGAGTGGAGGGCAAGGGGAATGAGAGCATTAGGAGAAATACCCAATGTAGATGACAGCTTGATGGGTGCAGCAAACCACCATGGCACATGTATACCTATGTAACAAATCTGCACGTTCTGCACATGTATCCCAGAAATCAAAGTGTAATTTAAAAAAAAGAAATGCATTTCCAAACACTATTTAGTTAAACATTTTAACAGGTATAAAACATACAGAGAATTATGCACAATCACATATGACAGCTCAATGATTTACCATAAAATGAACATGGCACCATCACACAGCTATTGGAGTAGAACATCACCAATTACTCAGAAGCATTTCTTGTGATCTTTTCCAATCAATTACTGCCACTTTCTTCTTCCTCACAGGAATAAAACCATTCATTAGTTTTGTGGAATCATATAGTCTATGTGTAGAATTATACATTATCTGCATATTTTGTGTTTAACTTCTTTTATTCCACATTGGTTTTTTTAAGATTTCATCCATTGTTTTGTGTAGCCATACTCTTGCATTTTCATTGATCATATTCCAGTGTATAAACTTAACATAATTTATCCATTCAGTTGAAGAACGTTTGAAATGTTACTAGTTTTTGGATGTCATCAATAAAGTTTCTGTGAAGGTTATTGTACCTGTTTTTTGGTGTTTATGTGCATACATTTCTGGTGTGATATATACCTTAGGAGTAAAATTACTGGGTCAAAAGATAGTGGCATCTTCACATTTAGTAGATAATGTCAAAACAGTTTTGTACACTCTCATCAGCAATTTATGAGTGTTTGCATTGTTCCACATCCTCTCAATGGGATTTCCAAATCAGCATTTGGAATTGTCTTTAATTTTAGCCATTCTGCTGGGTATATAGTGGTATCTCATTGTGATTTTAATTTGCATTTCTTTGTTAGTAAGTTTTAACATATTTTCATATTTTTTAACTTACAGAAAAATTTAAACATATGCAAAATAAACAGAATAGTATAATAAATCTTCCTGTACTTATCACACAGCTTCGACTGTTATCAACATTCTGCCATTCTTGTATCATCTATATAGCCACCCATATCCACTCCCACTCTATTACTTTTTACATTTTTTAAAGCTAAATTTGCTTACATTGAAAAATGTTAGTGGTCCAATTTTAACAAATGGATATACTTATGTAACCAACAGCTCTATTATCTTCCCCCAAAATTCTCCTGTGTCCCATACTCCCTCCCCACCCAGTTTATTTTTGCTTTGTTGAATTTCCGCATGGGGTAAGAAATCTAGTGTGTTTGGAACATAAAGTGTGTGAGGTTGTGGCAGGACCAGGTTTAATAGTATTTTTTTTGTGCGTACTCTATTTTAGGTCCTGCTGAGTGCTTTCTTCATTAACTGATTTCTCAAGAGAGGGTCTCACTAGAGTCATAAAACTTGTGAGTGATGGAGATAGGATGCTCCGATTTTTTCTGACTCCAAAATACAATCTTTGTACTAATGCTTTTTGATGATTTGACTTATTAGTCTGTGCAGTTGGCAGTCAAAAGGGATTTTGAAGTGCAGCGTAACGTCAGGTTTGTTTGGACTATAATTCTGTTGATAGTGTGGAATATTGGAGTGAGGCGGAGATCAGTGGTAGGGAGAGCACAGAGGTGTTTATGGCAATGGTTCAGAGGTGAGGTTTGGGACTAGAAGACTGATGGTGCATATGGAGAGAGGAAACTCTCCATATTTCTTAGGCCTTTTTGAAGTATAACCAATAGCTAATGGTTCCAGGTTAGATGTTGGGGATACGTGAGAAGAGAAACCTTGTACACAGGTAATTTTCATTACTTTGCATCTTTGCAGATGCTCCTCTCTATAACTCCAAGGCTTCTACCTTGGGTGCCCGAATCGATAGCAACACTGTTACCAAAATCTGGAAGAGGAAGAACAGGTTTGGTGAGAAGATAAATTCAGTTTTGGTCTGGCTACTTTTGACATGCCTGGGGAAATTTAGATGGTCTGTCTTATGGACAGTTACAAACAGAATTTAGAGGCTCTAGAAACAGGTCTGACCTGGAGATAAAACTTTAGGAATCATCAGAATATATATGTAACTGGAAGCACAGGCTCTGGTCTCAGACAGATTTAGGTTTAAAGATCTAGGTCTAGCTCAGACACTCATTGTCTGTTTCCTTATTGGTAAAATGGGATAATATCTAACCCAGGATCTTTGTAAGGATTTGATGGAAAAATAAACAGCACTTAGCATGCTGTCTGAGTTCAGTAAGTGACAAAATTATCATTAGCTATTATTAGATTGCAATACAGCTAATATTTTTATTATTATTGTAATAGCTAACTTACTATAACAAAAGCCCCTTTTTTCCCCCATGGAATTCGCTTAAATGCTACATGAAATGCATTTAAATGAAAGATCTGTAAGGTATGGTTTGATAGCCACAAGGCAGCATGCTGCATGCATCATTGTGTCATTTGGTAGGCAAGACCTCTGAGTGCCTTTAGCACAGGGAATGGAAGATACAAAGCCATGTCAGCAGTTCTCCAGTAGGCAGCTTACCTCCAGGGTAGCAACTCAGTTATATTCACTCCCTACCCTCCTTAAAACAAGCATTTTAGGGAAAGGATTATCTTCGTTTTTCATGTTATGTTGTTTGCAAAATACTTAGGTGTTATGTTCTACATAATTGATAATAGATCAACAATTTAATATTTGTCCTTCTAAATCAATTTTTCCCTGACACTTTCTACAATCTCAGACCCTATCTTGGCTCATAATTTGGTTTCTGCATCATTTTGGATTTAGTTATGTGTGGTAAAATGCCACATCATAATCAAAGCTGTCAAAATCTGGACCAGAGTACATAGGAACTTTAGGAACTATAATTGCTTCTACTTGATGTTAGGTTCTTATGCTGTGTTTTAGTGGGATCTGCTTAGAATAGATGGAAAACTAAGATTGAATCTTAAAACAACATTTGATGAGAAAAACAAGTTCAGTAAGAAAACTTAAGGAATCTGGAGGCATCACGCTACCTGACTTCAAACTATACTACAAGGCTTCAGTAACCAAAACAGCATGGTACTGGTACCAAAACAGAGATATAGACCACTGGAACAGAACAGAGCCCTCAGAATAATCCCGCATATCTACAACTATCTGATCTTTGACAAACCTGACAAAAACAAGAAATGGGGAAAGGATTCTCTATTTAATAAATGGTGCTGGGAAAACTGGTTAGCCATATGTAGAAAGCTGAAACTGGATCCCTTCCTTACACCTTATACACAAATTAATTCAAGATGGATTAAAGACTTAAATGTTAGACCTAAAACCATAAAAACCCTGGAAGAAAACCTAGGCAATACCATTCAGGACATAGGCATGGGCAAGGACTTCATGTCTAAAACACCAAAAGCAATGGCAACAAAAGCCAAAATTGACAAATGGGATCTAATTAAACTAAAGAGATTCTGCACAGCAAAAGAAACTACCATCAGAGTGAACAGGCAACCTACAGAATGGGAGAAAATTTTTGCAATCTACTCATCTGACAAAGGGCTAATATCCAGAATCTACAATGAACTCAAACAAATGTACAAGAAAAAAACAAACAACCCCATCAAAAAGTGGGCAAAGGATATGAACAGACACTTCTCAAAAGAAGACATTTATGCAGCCAAGACACATGAAAAAATGCTCACCATCACTGGCCGTCAGAGAAATGCAAATCAAAACCACAACGAGATACCATCTCACACCAGTTAGAATGGCGATCATTATAAAGTCAGGAAACAACAGGTGCTGGAGAGGATGTGAAGAAATAAGAACACTTTTACACAGTTGGTGGGACTGTAAACTAGTTCAACCATTGTGGAAGTCAGTGTGGCGATTCCTCAGGGATCTAGAACTAGAAATAGCATTTGATCCAGCCATCCCATTACTGGGTATATACCCAAAGGATTATAAATCATGCTGCTATAAAGACACATGCACAGGTATGTTTACTGCAGCACTATTCACAATAGCAAAGACTTGGCACCAACCCAAATGTCCAATAATGATAGACCGGATTAAGAAAATGTGGCACATATACACCATGGAATACTATGCAGCCATAAAAAAGGATGAGTTCATGTCCTTTGTAGGGACATGGATGAAGCTGGAAACCATCATTCTCAGCAAACTATCGCAAGGACAAAAAACCGAACACCGCATGTTCTCACTCATAGGTGGGAATTGAACAATGAGAACACATGGATACAGGAAGGGGAACATCACACACCGGGGCCTGTTGTGGGGTGGGGGGAGGGGGAAGGGATAGCATTAGAAGATATACCTAATGTTAAATGACGAGTTAATGGGTGTGGCACACCAACATGGCACATGTATACATATATAACAAACCTGCACGTTGTGCACACATGTACCCTAAAACTTAAAGTATAATTTAAAAAAAAAAGAAAACTTAAGGAATCACCAAAATTTATAGAAGGCCATCAAATGGACTCAGTCAGTTGAAAGAATAAGTCTGACTAGTGTTTCCTTGTTTTACTGTTCTTAAAGCATTAAAAAAAATCAGTGGCTTTAATTAGCTAGTATCATTTTCAAAATAAGTATATATTGTGATAGATTAAATGTGAAAATCATCACAATAATTCCTCCCATTCCTGAATGCATATCCTTTTGCAATGTGATTTTGCTGCTTCTCCCAGCAAGAGGCAAGTCTAAGTCTCTACTTCCTGAATTTATGCTGGCTCTTTGACTTGACTAACAAAATGTAGTGAAAGTGATGTCATATACATTCTGAACTGAGGGCCTCAAGAAATCTTGTAATTTCTACTCTCTACTGGCTTGGCATGCTGCCACTGCATGAGGAAACCCAGGCTAGTCTCCTTGAGGTTGAAAGGCTACAAGAAGAGAGGTCTAGCCAACAGCCAACACCAAATACCATGTGACAGTACCCAGTCAAGCCGCTAGTTGACTGTAGCATCTGCATGGGTGACTCTAGACAAGGCCAGCCCAAATTACTAATCTTCAGAATTGAGAGCACATAAAATGACTTTAAGCCACCAATTCTGGCTGGCTATGCAGCAATAATATACTGTATATGTGTATGTATGTATGAGAGATAGTGTCCTCTCACTGAGGATGAGAGAATTTTAAACTATAAAATGGATTTACATGAACCATTATGATGTACTTCTAGACTTTTAAGGATAAAAAAGTAATGTGTCACCTAGGTTGCTGCAGTGAACAACGAAAGGGAAGGCAGATAATTTTTTTGGGATAGTTTGTGTGCATTGTTTTTAGAGGTAGGGTGATAACTCAGATGATGTCTAAGGTTCCTTTAAGTTCTAGAGCCCTGTGAAATTTCAATTAAATTCTTGTAATTTGGCAACTCATTTCCAGTTCATGAACTTGCACATAGCATTTTAATATGCAATACCTTTCACAACTGGCAGGATCTACTGGCTCGTCTTTCACATACAATGTGAACCAAAACAGCTATGGCATAGTGAAGGTAGCATAGTGTAGACAGTACAGTGTGATGGCTAAGTTCATGAGTTCCAGAGCCAAACTGCTTGGGGTCAAATGATGGCTCAGCTACCTATCAGCTTGGTGTATTAGTCCATTCTCACATTGCTATAAGGAAATACCTGAGACTGGGTGGTTTATAAAGAAAAGAGGTTTAATTGACTCATAGTTCTGCGTGGCTGGGGAGGCCTCAAGAAACTTACAATCATGGCAGAAATCACCTCTTCACAGGGCAGCAGGAGAGAGAATGAGTGCCAGCAGGGGAAATGCCAGATGCTTATAAAACCATCAGATCTCATGAGAATTCACTATCAGGAGAACAGCATGAGGGAAACCACCCCCATGATTCAATTACCTCCCACTGGGTCCCTCCCACAACACGTGGGGATTACAGGGACAACAATTCAAGATGAGATGTGGGTGGGGACACAGCCAAACCATATCACTTGTTAAGTCATCTAAACTCTCTTTACCTCAGTTTTCCCACCTGCAGAATGGAAGGACAGCAAAACCTCATTAAATTGTTGATAGGATTAAATGAGCTAATATGGAGCTTAAAAAATATTAACTCCTCAATACATGTCAAATAGTAGTACTGTTAATTATAGTAGGGAGTAATCTAGGTCCTGACCCCAAGTTCCTACTGACTAGCACATTACTTAATCTCTCTGGGTCTCAATTTTTATGATTCTTTCTTTTCTTTTTTCTTTCTTTCTTTCTTTTTTTTTTGAGACAGAGTCTTACTCTGTTGCCAGGCTAGAGTGCAGTGGCGTGATCTCGGCTCACTGCAACCTCCGCCTCCCAGGTTCAATTGGATTATTTCGTTTTTATACAGATATGTTTAATATTTGTTTTACCGACATGCACATTTCATCTTGACTCTAATTCTAATTTTTCAAAGATTGTCTAAACTTACTCTGTTAGCAAGCAATTTTGAGGACCCTCTGGTACTGACCACTTTGCATTCGAATATAAATAACACTACATTTGCTCACAAAACATACTTTTGTGTGTTTTTTTTTTTTTTTTTTTTTTTTTTTTTTTACTCACACCTGGTCAGCAAACAACTGATATATCTGAAGCAAAGCTTTTTCAGGGTTAGAACAATTTAGACTTGCATATTCATTTTTAAGCCTATGATAAATATGTTTATTACATAAAAGTAGGAAAAGATCCTCTGAAAATGCAGAAAATATTTTACCTCACATTTTACCACGCAGAGGTCTCCAGTGTAGATATTTGCATGTTTCTTTCAGTCTTTTTTCACTGCATTTTTTGGAGTGACATTGAGCTTTATTAGTGTATACCATTTTCATATTATTACAGCCTTCTTACTGCGTTTCAAAATTTTTCTGCTTATTAAAGTTTTATATACTTAATTTACAAATTTTGCAAAGTATACAAAAGAATAAAATAAAAATCATTCATAATTGCACTGTTACAGCCCACTGTTAAAATATCACATTTCAAAATACTTCTTTTTTGTTGCTTAAGCATATTCCATACAACTAAATTTTATATAAAATGTGATTTTTATTGGCTGCATAACAAACACTATCACAGAAGTATCATAACTTATTTTACATTAATTTATAAACTGTGGCATTTCATATTTTAGTTTCACGTTGGGTGATGCCTCTTAACTATGGGACAGATATATATGATCATACCACTTATGTGACTAGTTAAAGATCACGTTTCTATCCCTTTCTTGTCATCCCCTAGAATCAAGCTGCTGCAATCCCCGGAGACCTAATGCAAACGCTTCACCTCCTGGACCCAAGCCATCCCGCCCCCCGCCCCCGCCTCTCCCGTAGCTGGGACCACAGGCACGCGCCATCCTGCCCGGCTAATTTTTTTTTATTTGGTTGAGAGGGCGTTTTGCCATGTTGCCAGGCTGGTCTCTAACTCCTGGGCTTAAGCGATCCTCCCGCTTTGACCTCCCGAAGTGCTGGGATTACAAACACCAGCCACTGCGCCTGGCCCAACATTTTTAAAGTAACAAATGTATCAATTTACAAACTTTCCTTTGGATTTTGAAAACTGAACTTTTTCTCTTCTAAACAAAGTCTATCTACTGAACTTCAGTTTTTTCAGGACCCCGCACAATGGCAGCTTAAGTTGGACCAACTGGAAAGGTTTTCAGTGGATCTTGGGGAGGATCGGAGACAAGGCGAATGGGCTTTATTCTCTTAAAATTTCCTGACGGGCGGTGGACACATATTTGCTTGATGTCACCAAGAGCAAGAATTACGTTCCAGGAGCTGGGAGGAAACAACGGAGGCGGCTCTCTCGCCCCCAAGAAGCGGCCCTTGGTTGGCAGAATTTGACAGATGACTGGGATCTTCGAGGATTTTCCAAGCAGGATCGGGGCGCAGAAGAGGAGGGAAAGTGCGTGAGCCCACGTGACCCAACTCCACTTTCAAGTTTGAGAAGCGGAGCTGCCAGGATAAATACCCATCTGCTACCAATAGATGCTTTCCCTCCCTTGGGCCTGATAAAAGAATCCCCAAGTTCCGGGAGGCATGCTTCGAAAATTGTTGGCAGGAAAAAAATGTTCAACTTTTGCCATTTAGCAATGCACTGACAGCCTTTTGGGGATCATCACTACTTATGGCTCATACATCTGCCCACCGCTTCCTAAGTCCTCTCCCAACCCTCCCCGAGTTTCAGTTCCACTGAACAGAGAACAGCGAGAGCAACAGTTTGGTGGCCGAGCAGCCCGTCTCCGTGGGCGCGCACGCCGCATCGCGGGCCTCACACCTCACTTTGGGCTTCGGCTCTCGGTCGGCCCGAGACTCCGGCCGCGGCCCTGGTGTCCCCCGCCCCGGTTCCCTCCCCTCGGACACGGCCCTCGCGCCGGCGGCCCCGGTCCCCTCCCCACCGGCCGCGGCGGGCACAGCGCGTCGCCTACCCACAGGCGGGGGCGCCGGCCGGGCGCATGCGCGCGGCGCTCCCGGGCGTGCCGGCCACACTCCCCCCACCCACTCGGTGAGCTTGTCACTTCCTGCCCTCGCCCCATCTCCGTCCGGGGTCAGTCAGTCGCTCCCTGTCGCTGCCGGAGAGTCTCTGCTTCCCCCTTCCTACGCGCTCCGCGGCGGTAGCTCGGGCTCTCCGGAGGAGGGGGCGACAGAGTAAAAGAGAGGCTGACTTAATAAAGTTTCCTGAAACAACAACTACCACCGAAAAGGCCCAAGGTTGGGGGAGACCCCCATTTTTCTCCGCCCCTCTCCTAAAGCCTGAGGGACCGTTGCAGGTGGAGCGGCGCTGGTGGGACCCGGGTTGCGGCGGCAGCCGTTGCCCCGGCGAGGGAAGCCTCAGGTCCTGCCCGCTCCGGTTCCGGCTCCTTCGGTGGTGGCGGCGGCAGCTGCTGCCGGGCGGTTCCTCCTGTCAACTGCCTCCGCCCGCGCGCCTCCCGCCTAGCCACACAGCGCGGAGGACGCCGTGAGCCGCCGCCGCAGTCGTCTCGGCCCGCGGAGGGACGTGGTGAGCTGTGGCGCTTCCGCGTCAGCGCCGGCGGGGACTCTTTGGGAGCGCGTCGGGCCCGAGTCCGGGTTCCCCCGCGTGGTCAGCGGAGGCTGCGCCAGGTGGGGCCCGCAGCCGCCTCCCACGCCAGGCTGTCCCCGCGGCCGCCCGGCCTGCCTTCCTTCCTTCCGCCCGCCCGCCGGCCCGCCCTAAGAGTTGAGTAAGTTGGGCGCACTTGGTTGTGGGGACGGGGTCTCCGCCAGGGAGACCCCAACGCACGTGCGTAGCGGGAGGGCGCGGCGTGGGCCAGCAGCCGGCGGGAGCGGCACCTCCGTAGTCCCGGAGCCCGGCGGTGCCCGCCGCGCTCTGCGCTCCGTTTCCGCGCGCCCGCCCGGGACGGCGAGGCCGCAGCCGCCCGCGCTGCCGGCCAGGCCTTCGCCCTGCGCTGCGCACCCGAGGCTGCGTTTCCGGGTAGGGCGATGAACCTGTGTGGGGAGTTTGGGCTGCAGGAGGGTTTGTGCGTCTTTCTGTTTTCTTTTCGAGAGGGAGGTGCGGGTCCGTGGAGGGAAAGCGGAGAGCTGATGATGGGAACGTATCTGGAAAATGCAGCCAGTGCCCCCCAGGAAGTTCAGGGCGAGTGACGGGTTTGTGCTTCTTTCAACAGCCACGCCGCAATGAAGAGCTTCTTACAGTGAAAGCAAAGTAGGTCGAGTCCACTGAAAATGCCTTTAAGGGACAAATACTGTCAGACTGACCACCATCATCACGGATGCTGTGAACCAGGTAGACCCCTCTTCGTCCGCAGTTGCTTTGCCCTCCATCAGAGCCACTCTGCCTTCTCTTTTTTTCTAGCTTTTTTTCCTCCTGCCCCAGTAGTCATTCTTAAGCAGGCTATGATATTCCCTAGCATAAGCCAGTTATGAAGCTAAAAGCTTGTACAAACAAGAGGTCTCCCCTGCTTGATCCCTTAAAAAAAAGTACTGCAAGTGTCACCTTAAATCATTTCCACAAGATCAGTCGCTCAGTCTTTTTTCTTTCTTTTTCAAGGCATCCTGCAGTTAATATACTCCTATGGTCTGTAAATGTTTAAAATTGAAGAGAAAGGAAAACATAGAATACTAGATTTGTTGTCGTGAAATTGTTTCACTGAAACTTTAAAAATTAAAAGTTTCTTAGGCATTTTAATCAGCAAGTAGTTCTGAAAGTCTAAAAGTGAGTTTAGTTTGGGTTTTAAAAGTTTGTTGAACTCATTGGGAGAATCAGGTTTTGCTAAGCGCAACCTTTAAAAAAATATCTTGGGCAGAACATATTATATTGCGAAATAAAAGAGAAATCTCTTTTTTTATTTAGGTAGAATACATAATTATTTCCAGGGTATTTTATGGAATGAAACTTGCTTTAGTTGAATTTATCATATGAAAAAGTTTTTCGGAGTCTCATGAAGAATACTAGCAAACTTTAATTTGATAAACTTGATATACTGTTGACAGTTCTACTTAGAACTTTGATATGCTTTGTGACAATCATTAAAAGGTATAACTTAAAAGGGAATCATTGAATGCATACCATCACTAAATCAAATAAAGGCTAGGCTATTCTAGTTTAAAGGCGGATGTTTATCATTATTTTTGACCTAAAAGTTATTAGATTTTTAATACATTTGCTTGCTTTTTGTTGGAGTATTTTAACTGCACTTATGTACTTGGATTTTATCACAGTAGAGTTCATTTTAGGTAATTTTCTGATTAATGGAAAAAAATGTTATCAGTAGAAGGGAAGAGCTTCCATTTTAAGAAAACTTTGCTACAGATGAGGATAAAATTCGTACTACAACCCTATCTCTACTGTACTTTGCTGAGATCAGTAATAACTTACCTGTACTAATAAAACAGGCAATCCTTGGATGGGATCCAGTTTCTATTGAACTGCTCTTGACCTGTTTAACTTTCAGGATCCTTTCACACTGCATATTTTGTGTATTTGAACTGCAGATATATCACTTATGTTTTACTGATGTTGAATGGAGTTTGCTAGTTTTGAACTATACAGATGTGAGTGCCATTTAAACTCATGTTCCACTGACCTTTTAGTCTAGTTTTTTTTTTCTGAGAACACTTTTAATCATTGAAGTTGAATTAGTTAATGAAACCATCTTATTTAGGAAGAAATTTATTGATCATTCATTTCTTTAACAAATTGTTATTGAACATCTATTGAGAGCACTGTTGAAGGCAATGGGGATATAAGTGGTGAACAAGACAGATAAAGTTCTTTCTTTATAAAATGTTTGAGTGGGAAGAGATAAACATAAAGAAGTAAACAAATAAGCTAATTTGTGATTATACCTTATTTAGTATGTTCTGGTAATGAGTTTTCTGAAGACTTTAATGTCTTTAAAGATGTTTTCTAGACTTGAGCTTTTTAACGTGTATTGAAATGTTTTTGCTTGTTTTTTTTTCTCCCCAACTAGCAGGAACTCAGACAAAATTGTATTAGTTTAAAATTTTCAACATCTTTTACTAGAAACTTTTTCCATGCAGGTTAATTTTCAGACTTATCACGTCAACAGTAGTTACTGTTTTCTTGCCTTGTTAGCTTGAATCAAACTTTCTTAGAATTTTGTTGAATGGATAAATAGAACTTTGTTAACTTATAGAGTAGTTCATTGTCATTATTTCAGAGGAAGGTATATGCTGAGTGGGTAGGATATTTCCAGGACTGAAAGAAATATGTTGTAGTGTGATAGCTTTTAAAAGATCATGTCCACAGATGGAGGGAAGATGACATAATGTTTGATAAAAATCTGTCCACATTTGGATTATGAATACTGGGTGAGTCTCCAGAGGAGATCAGTATATTCCTGATGAGGCCATTCTGCCTTGAAGAGATAGGTCAATTTATAGTGAAGGGTGGCACTATAACTCTGGCAGTGTATGTATTTTCTTAGTTATGTTTTAAGATTTTATTAATAGAAATTTCCAAACCTTCAAAACTAGATAATATGAGGAACTTGATGTAACCATCACACAACTCCATCAGTTGTTACATGGACAATCTCTTTTCCTCTATATTCTCTCCTCCCCTCCTCCCCCAATTCCCCTCTCTACCTTCCACTTACTCTCTCTCCCTAATATTTGTAAGCAAGTCCCATACGTCATAAATAGAGTGATCTTTTAAGGGCCTTGTTTTAAGGGAGGAGAGACTCTTACAAAAGTCAATGTTATATTCTGGGAAGTGTGTTTTTGGAAGGGTGTAAGGAAAGATGTTCTGAGGATTTGGGTTTTTTGGTTGGAGAAAGATTTTTTTTTTCTAAATGGTCATGTAACCTGGGTGGGTCTGATCTTGGGAGGATGATAGGCTATGTAAGAAGCAATTTTATAAAGTATTAATATAATAAAGTTTTCTAGAGTTGAGAGTATGTTTTCAAGTGAAGGAAGAATTGTTTCTTTAGAGTGGGAGCTACACAGATGTGTATACCAAGTGGTTGTGTCCAGGCACAGCTAAGCTAATCCTGGGCTTATTTTGAATGTTATCTCAGGATGTGTATGTGTTCTGGTGGTAGCAGTGTTCTGAGGGTGGTGGGTAAGAATATTTAGCCTTAGCTTTAAAATGAGGTGCTGTCATGTGGAAGTGGAAGTTGGTGTATTTTATACAGAAGGAGCACATTTATACAAATGGAACACATTTGTAAATGCAGGAGCTCTAAGGAGAAGAGTCTGTTTTTCCCAATATCCTTCCCTTATTTATTTCTGTTTTTTCATTCTCCAATTCTAGAATTCTTGTAACTGATAGAGGCAGACTTTGAAGCATTTAGTTTTTTACAGTAGTGTGGGTTTTCACCCTCTTTTATGTAGTTACCATTTTTTTTGTAAGTAGTTACCTGTTGCTATAATGTGCAAATAGGAGAAATCAGTTTATTCAAGTAGACGATACTGGTCTGTTTACAAACTTCTGTTTTCGTAAGAGGTTTAATTCTCTTTCTCTAAGATTTTGAAAAAAGATTTTTTGGTTTTTGGTGTCAGGAAAGCAATTGATGGGTACATGTTGATGATAGTGATGGTAGAATGTTTATTGAGCACTTACTATGTCCCAGGCTGTTTTAAGCAGTTGATTTGCATTAGCTTATTTAACCCCTATACAACCCTATAATTTAAGTACTGTGAAAATCTCCATTTTAGACCTGAGAAAAGAGAAATCAGAGAGTTTAATTTGCCCTAATTGTATCTAGTAAATGGCAGAAAAAGAATTTAAACACAGAGAGTCCAGGTCTGGATTCTTATGTTCTTAATCACTGCAGTTAGTGCCAATGTCAGATATTCTCAAAATGAGTGTGTGTGTGTGTGTGTGTGTGTGTGTGTGTGTTCTTAATTAATCTAAAATACACCTAAATTAATTAATTAATTAATTTGTTTATTTATTTTGAGTCAGTTTTGCTGTGTTGCCCAGGCTGGAGTGCAGTGGCGTGATCACAGCTCACTGCAACCTCTGCCTCCCGGGCTCAAACGATCCTCCCAGCTCAGCCTCCCACGTAACTAGGACTAGAGGCATGAGCCACCACGCCTGGCTAATTTTTGTATTTTTTGTAGAGATGGGGTCTTGCCATTTTGCCCAGGCTGGTCTTGAACTTCTAGGCTCAAGTAATCCTCCTGCCTTGGCCTCCCAAAGTGCTGGGATTACAGGCCTGAGCCACTGCACCAGGCCAAGTGTCTCTTAAAATTGGGGAAATTTTGCTTAATGAAATGAGTTGGTCCCAAAACATCATTCCTCTTGTTTGTGTACACTGAGCACTAGACTTGAAGCATAAAGGAGAATCTAAGCCTGTATCTATATACATAGCACAGTAGGCTAGTTTAGCCCCGCTATCAGAAAGCTAAGTACTGTCCAAGCCTAAACCCTGAAGCAAGAGTAGCACACATTGTTGAAATCACCCTTCATTTCTCCTCACACTAAGTGGGTGGTCCTGTGTTACGATGGTCATAGTTGAGTAGAACATTATGGCATATTTAAAAAAGAGATAATTAAAATGGTCAGTTTTTCTCCACCACAACCATCTCTATTTGATAACTGATGAAGAAACCCAGTTTTCCTTTTCTGTTGTCTTTATTCATATTACTGTAATTTATTATGTATCTATACTACTAGTCTGAGAATCTTGGGAATTAGGGATAATATAAACCTCTTTATGTAAAAATGAAATTTTTAATTTTTAAAATGGAAAGATTATTTTTACTTATTGTAAAAATGTGTCCTTTCTAAAAGCCAGACTCTGAAGCAGCATTAAAGTGTGAGGCAGAAAGCAAACATCCCTGAAAATCCACCCTAACAGCATTTATACATATATAAAATATATATTAAATTTATATATTTCTGCATCTACCAATGTATTAATGTAAATGGGATCATATTCTATAACCTATGTTTGTTGCTTAACAATTATTGCCATCCTTTGTTGTGAATACACATAGAACTAGTTCATGCTTTCTAACAGCCATGAAAAAGTCTGTCCTATGGACATTTCACAGTTTATTTAATCTGGTCACTATTAAGAGACTTTTAAGTTGTTTGAAATTTCTCTCAATTATATACAGTGCTGCAGAGCACTACAGTGAACATTCTTCTGCATCCATCATTGTGCACTTGTTCAGTTATTTCTTTAGGCAGTGATTTTTGACATTTTGCTCATAAATATCCAGAGTTATACCAGATTATCCAGAGGATTTTGGAATGGTTTATGAAGCGTGGCTAGGCCACCATTGCCTTAGAATTTTGATTAAATATAGTGGTTCCTCTTCAAGGGGAATAAAAAGGCAAACATGAAGAATGTATACTAAATAATACCAAAATAGTAAGGTCTTTGTATTGAAACCTAATATCTAGCCTTAAGTAGCCTTAAGTTAGCCTTTGAGAATAGTTTTAGTTTTTTTCTCCATTGTTTCATTTTGCCTTACAAAGATGATGGTTAATTATATATATATCTACATATTATATATGCGTGTGTGTGTGCGGGCACAAGTGTGATTATCCTTAATGTAATTGTAGAAAGCCATTGTTTTACTTTAATAGTAAATGATTTAAATAACCCTTTTTTTGTGGGGATTGGGGTGGGTGTTTGTCTTCCATGTAGTTTATATCCTGGAACCTGGAGATCCTCCTTTGTTACAGCAACCACTACAGACATCCAAATCTGGTATTCAACAAATAATTGAGTGCTTTCGATCAGGTATGAATGTTTTAGGATATATTTTTCAATCTTCACATAGTAGTTAAAAACTACCTAGAAGTCCTTAGAAATAATTTTTAAAAAACATTAAAATGTATATGTTGGCTTTCTTTATAGAATATTTAAAATTTTCATATTTTAAAAAAGTGGATGTATAAATACTGACTTGGTCTAGAGATTATTCTTCAGTACTATATATGGTATATTAATTTTAAAATAAATTTGTTTAGTATGATTTAAATAAATATATTATGTGGTGTATTTTCTGGTAAAGCACTTCTTAAAGATCCATTGATATCTTTTGGCATGTTTTGTGTAAACTCTCAAAAGGCAGTAAATTATTCTGGGTCTTCATGAGCTTTGGTACAGTAGATTACTCAGAATGTCTGAGATGTCATTTGTTCTAGGTTAATTACCTTATTTATGTTTGTGTGATCACCTCCTTCATCCTAACCCTTGAGTTTGTGGAGTTTTGGTATCTTTAATAGAGCGCAAGATAGAAGAAAGACAATATTCCAGCCCTGATATCTTCAGGTAGATTTGCTTAGATTTTATTTTCATTAGCTGATAATAAGAATTAGCTTTATAATAAATATAATTGTGTAATTGTAATCCAGTGTTTTAAAATAGGTATTACTTACAACATGTGAAATGATTGGGAACTGTTAGCGCCCCTATGTTATCAGTAAGATGTTAGGTTGCTGTGATTCCTATAATCCACTTGTCCACCCCTTGTGTATTTGGCTTCTCTGACATTACAGAGTATTCACTCAGATGTGAACAAGCAAATAAATATGACTGATGGACACTTAGAGGATTAGAATACCTTGTCATTATTTAAATCTTAACTAACTGAATGAAAAATTTCTGAGGTTCAAAGGAAAAATAATTCATATGTAACTACTTGTTTTGTATTGATGAGATTTTTTGAGTTGCTTGTTTCTAAATTGTTATAAACGGGGAAATCATATATTTGCTTTACTTTAGGATTCTAAGAAATAGAATCTGAATTAAAACATTTATTTTTTCTCTGACTCTCCAAAAGATCCATTTCTTAGACTTTTCATCTGTAGTACTCATGGCATTGCTTTTATCTGTATTTAATTTAGGAAGCATTGCTTGTATACCAAGTGCCTATCCTTATATTGGATGGTGGTATAAACTATTTTAGGGATTTTTTGTTGTTTGATTTTTACTTTTGATAATTGCCCTCGACTAACAGATAATTTATAGGTCAAATTTTCTTGTGATAAGTTCAATTAAAATAGAATTTTACTTATTAGGGACAGTATTTATATTTCTGGCATAACAGAAAAAATAGTGTCTGTTTGTTTTAGCTTCTTTTAGAATAGAGATTAAAGGGTTTTTTTGGTTCTTTCTCATACCATGGAAATGACAGCAATAGCTTTTCATATTTAGTAATATTACTTGTTATAGGTTTCTTTTTTAAAATTCTTAATTTGGAATTAATGAAGTTATACTATGTCAGTTTACTATAGCATTTTTTTATTGAGAAGTTAGAATTAGGCTGGGCGCGGTGGCTCACGTCTGTAATCCCAGCACTTTGGGAGGCCGAGGCGGGCAGATCACGAGGTCAGGAGATCGAGACCATCCTGGCTAACACGGTGAAACTCCGTCTCTACTAAAAATACAAAAAATTAGCTGGGGGGCGGCGGCGGGCGCCTGTAGTCTCAGCTACTCGAGAGGCTGAGGCAGGAGAATGGCGTGAACCCGGGAGGGGGAGCTTGCAGTGAGCCAAGATAGCGCCACTGCAGTCCGGCCTGGAGGAAAGAGTGAGACTCTGTCTAAAAAAAAAAAAAAAAAAAAAAAAAGAAGTTAGAATTAGTTAAGTCATAAGTGCTTTGACTTGTTAAAAAACAGCCTTATCAACAAGAACCTGTACCCAAAATCTGTGTGGGTACAGAATTAAAAAAGATTCCAAAAATCTTTTTTAATTTTAGAAGGCAAATATTTAAAGATTAAATTAATTATTTTCTTATTATGTTGTGATCATATCTGTTCTCTGTGTTTGTCGTATTTTTACTCTCTGAGCTAAAGAAGTGAGGCAGTGAAACGGGTAATTTGAAATGGTAAAATTCCAAAGCCATTTTATGTTGATGTTTTGAACTGCGATCTTTTTAAAATGATATCAGCAAATTTGCCTTTTGAGTTATTTTTTATTTAGGCAAATTCTGAAAATACTATTATTTTAATTTTCTGAGTACCCAACAGTTTAAGTTAGAGGTGATTTAGAAATATGCTGAGTGGTACAAAGAAACTAATCTTGGATTAAAAAAAGAATTATTTTACTTCATTACTGTATCCTGTAACTAAGAAATTTTAGTTTCTTCAAGATAGTAATCTCTTGCATTTCTGGTTAATCTAATGTCTACTGTGGTAGCCCTTCTTTAGCACTAAGGCATTTAAGTTGAGACTGACTAAAACCTTGGGAGAATGGTATGGAAGTCTGGACTGTATAACTTGGGGACAAAGATCCCTTCTAGCTCTGAGGCTCTGTTCTTCCTATTCCACTCTACTCCTAAGCACACCCTCAATGACTCATCTATTTCTAGGCTCTTTCCATTACAATTAGGTCACACACGTTGCATTTAAAGAACTATCCTGGTGGTGCTATATATCTTTGACAGATATTTGAAGATAGAACCCTGAAGTCCATGCTTTTGCTCTTGTTAACCTGTAGGGTATAAATCAGGTTGAATGGTAGTAATATGTTAGGTTATCTACCTTTATCTTCAAGCTCAGATAGTTATCTTCAACTGCTGTATCATCTCCTTTTGTGTCTCACCTTCTGCCTACACTGGGCTGTCTATGACCAGGTATTAATTCCTATGCAAGCTGGAAGTTCATAAAAAGTTCTGTCTTATGAAGGAGTTGACTCATTTTTAATGTCCACCACTTGATGTGTGCTATACTGACTGCTTGACCAGTTTTAACCCATCCTGTTTGCCTGACATTTCAGCTTTTCCTTTGAACTGTTTTCTTGGATTTAAATTACAAATTCTTATTGACTTCTGGTATATCTTTATTAGTCTGCTTAACTTGCAAATTAAGTTAAATGGGTTTTTCTTTTTATAATAAGTAATATGTGTCTGTGGTTTTAAATAGTAAAGTACAAAAGGGTATAGAGGAAAAAATAAGTTTCTATACTATTCTGTCCTTCAGTTCCCCTTTGCTCAGGCAACGCTGCTACATGGTTTATGTGTCTTCTTCCAGAGACCTTTTATACATATACAAACATATATCCCTCATTTTCTTCTTACACAAATGGTAGCTGACTCTACGTACTCTTGTGTACCTTTGCTTTATTAACTGTAGATTCAACTATTTATTGTTGACATCAGTCCATAGATAGATGCCTCATTTTTTAAGAAGCCTGCAGGTTTTGCAGCTGCAGGTTTTCCACTTGGAAATTCCTGATGATTGGCTGACTTGAGACCTGCTGTTTGCTCTGAACCCCTGGTTTCTTCTACTACCTTGACTGTGCCTTACCCTTTGTGTAGTTTGGCTTTGGCTGTGTCATTCTGATAGGATCATGTTTCTAATATGGTGTCTTCAAATTTCCCTCCTCTCTATAACACTTTCAGTTTATCTTCCTTCCTCTTTGACCTCTCTCCCCAAACCAAAACAAAATTTTAAATAGCAGATAAAAAGTGTACTACCTTTACATATTTATTAAATATCTTTTATGTGTTTATTAAATTGGTTTAGTTGAGTTCAATATTCTTTCAGAATTTCTTAGTTGTGTGCTAGAGGCAAAGGAACTATGGAATGCCCCTATGGTTAGAAAGAGAAAAATGAGGGGAAAAGAGAAGGATAATTTTGTCTGGTATTCAAGACTGGTCTTTAATATGAAGCTGACATCTTCTTTTTAAGTTCTTGAAATATATAATATTGTAAGAAGAGAAATATATAATTTGTAGAAAAAAGATTCTACATGTAGAATATGCTAGAGCAGTACATGCAGGGAACTCTTTTTTTGACTCTTAGGGAGGAATAAATTGTAACTTTAATTGTATGGTAATGAAAAATGAGAATTAGCTTCATGTGATGTTTGCTGTCATTATCTTTCTAAATTTGGGTTTGGTCATTTAACTTAGGCTTTTTTTTTTCTCCTTAAAACAACTTTAATTGCAATTAGTTTAAGCTCTGACTGAATGGTGATGCTTCAGTCCTGATTCTGAAGGCAAAGCGTAGGGTGGACGTGATTTTTCTGAGGTACATAGGAGAGTGCCATACCTATGATGGCTTTTTCTTTTTTTGTTGTTATATAGCAGTTATAGGAAATTTAAAATGGGACTTTTTTTTATAAGAAAAAAGTAGATTTGTTTTCCTTACATTCATATTCAAAGCATGTCATCTGGTGTTACGTTCCCAAGACAACAGCCATTTATATTGGTCTGAGTTTCTCAGTGGGGGAAAGACCGTATCTTTCATATTTCCAATGAGTAACAGTGTACCTGGTATTTAATGTGTGCTCAATAAGTGTTTGTTAGATTAAACTAAAAGATTCCCCAAGTAGGCACTGTCCTAAGATAATTGTATTCTACTTAAGTTTATTGTGGTATGTGGCAGTGCTCTATAATTAACATATATATATATTTAACCAGCCCTTACAGGTGATAGTTTTAGGATAGAACTTTCAATTTCTTAAGTTTTCTTTGTATCTTTGAATCCTTACGTTAAGGATGATCAGTAAGAAATTTCCTTCAGGAGTTGTGATGAGGAACGTACATTTATTTACTTGCAGTGTTTTGATGATATTGTAGTTAAGTGGTCATCCTAAAGAAGATTGAGTTTATATTTGAGCCAATAGTAAGCAAGCAGTATACCATTTAAGAAGCATTCTTGTCATCACTTAAAATGGGCATTGACCAAAATGTCAGTGCATTAAGTAAGAAAATGAAACCTTGTCTTTGTCTAGCATAGAAGAGTTAGAATTAATATTGTCATATTGTAATGTGACTGCCATCCAACCTAATGTAAAATTGAATACTGATTCCTTTTGAAAAAATATTTTAAACATTTTCACCAGTACATGCAATGCACTTGCCATTAAAGAATAACACAAGATAAACCCTTGATGAAGTTTAAGTAATTTTTATTGAGCACCTATTAGGGGTGAAAATCTGGAATATACAGTCATTAATCTTTAGCTATCAAAAGCCTTTCCTTTGGAGGGCTGGATGTTTGAAAGGTACTGATCTATGTAAGCAGTAAGTGGTGATTTCTAAGATAATTTAAAACCCTAAGGCAAGAAAGAGAGCAATATAGGAAAAGAAGAAGGAAGTCAGCATGGCTCTCTGTTTCTCAGCATCAAGAGCTGTGGAGGAACTTTATGTTGCTGTCTGGATGACCATGTCTGTTGTCTCAGGTGACAGGAAGTTTTAGCTATTGACAGAGGCACTTAGAGTTGGCTGTGTCCAATTGTAAGTGAGCAGAGCAATCAGAAAATGGTAGCTGACTTTGAAGAAAGCCATTCTGTCTCCATGGGAAAAAATAAAAAAATCTTAAGTGGTGTCTGAAACTAAGGGAAAAACTTTTATTATCTCTGTTTGTGGACTGAGACACACCTTATTTTTCTCATTTGTTAACTATGTAAGTGGAATTAAAAAAGTTTTAAAGTCTCATTTTTGACTCCTCAGTTAACTTCACATAGATTTAAAAAATCTAATTTTTAGAGAAGGTTTTTTTAATACATAGAGCTCTGTAGTATTTCATTTAGCAAATATCAGTCATGCATTATCCTGAGAGCTGGGGTAGCGGTGAGCATCAAGAATATCTTCTCTGTTCTAATCTTCCAGTTTAATGGCGATATGGAAAAGAAATTAATTACAAAACAGTGGATAAGCTAGTATAGATATCTAGGGTGCTATGAGAGTGTAGGTGAAGGATTTTTAACAAACAACAACAAAAAACAAGAGGTTGATTATTGAAGGCTTCTTGGAGGAAGTGACATCTATACTGGGATCTGAAGGATTATTAGAAGTGAGTCAGATCAGGAAAGTGGGAGAATGTTATAGTCAGAGAGGAAAAAACATAGGTGAAGGCCTGAAAAGTGAGGGAAAGAATACATTTGGTGTATCTGTGGACCTGAAAGAAATCTGGACTGCTTGGATCAACGATACACACACTTGCGCTCTCTCTCCCTCTCTCTCTCTCTCTCTCTCTGTGTGTGTGTGGGGGGGGTGGGGGGGTGGGGGGGTGGCAAGGGTAAGGGGAAGCATTTGTGATTGATAATTAAGATTGATTAGTTAAGGTTAGAGGCAAATACTTTTTTTTGGATGTTTATTGAGAATAAATATGCAGTCCCTACTGAATATAACTTAACTGTATAATTAGGACTAATTAAGAAATTGATAGTGTCTTTATTTTTCTGTGATTGAGAAGCTGGTAGGCAAAGTGATGTGTCTGATTTAGGGATGCAGTCTTATATTTTACACTTGACTATTTTTTATGTATAACCTCATGTTTACAGACTGATTATTTTATGCTTTAAATCTGCAGCCATGTACATGTATCCTATTTAAATCTTAAGTTGAATTCTTAAGTTAAACCGAGTTCACATTATTTTGGTGTTCCTCTTCAATCTTTTTTGACTATCCTTAAAGGCAGAATTGAATCTGTATTATGGGTCTAGCAGGTTTTGTAGTTTAGAATCAGTGTGCAAAAGTTTCCTGTTTTCTTCCCACTGCTACTATGCTCACCTACATTTCCTGAGAAATATATATAGGTCAATTAGGCTTAGCCAAAGCATTTTTTAAAATCAGTCTACCTCTCATAGTTTGTCACTCACTTATGAAGTTAACTGTGAACTAAATATATTAGCAGTCCGTTGCCAAGATATTTTGTAATGTGAAATGGACTTCAAAAATATATATATGAGAATTTACTTTTATGTAAAGAATAACACTCAGGCTATTCTCTGAATCTTTTTAAATTTATGTTTTCTGATTTTGTGGTAATAAGGACTAGTGGAGTAAACATAGATTTGGATTTGGGAAATGGTAGAAATTATTTTATTCTATACATTTTTTCCAGTAGAAACTCAAGTATATAATTTCCCTGGGATTTAGGTTCATATTTTCTTTAATAATTCTTCAACTTAGGTTTGGTTAGGTTTGTTCTATTTTACAACATGAGTAAACCAAAGTATAAAGATTATAAAGCTTTTTAAGGTCACACAAGTAGATAATATCAGATTTGGAATCTCTCAAGACTTAGTAAAGTTGTGATAACCTGGTAACTTTTTTGCAGTAGAGTTTTGAATGCTTGGATCAACAATAATTATCTCCCTCTCTCTCTCTCTCTGTGTGTGTGTGTATGTTGTGGGGGTGGGGGAAATGATTTTATCATCGTTTTCAAAATGATAAAATACACTTCAAAGATTAAATGTAAACAGATTGCAAAATATTGAATCTGAGCTATTTAACTTTTATAGACCCTACTATATTAATTATACTTCTAAGATAGTTTATACTCTTTAGTAGTCCCAGAGCCTAATAGGTGGTTAAATGCTTCTTAAATGACACAACACTTTGCACCTAGACAGTCTTAAGGATATTTTTCAGGGTACTTGGGTCTTTTCCTGTTCAAGTCAATATATTGTCATTTTAAAAAAGTTTTAATTTGAGGAAAGTAAAGGTACATTAATTAGTAAATTACTGCAGATCAGTTTTGCCACCTTACCTGTGGCAAAGAGCTGTAGGAAAGTAGTGACTAAAGACCTTCCGTTTGTATTTTATTTCTGGTGGCTGTTTTTATTTTTAAAGATCAGGTGCTTTTTACCATTTATTTTTTCTCTGCCTAAAGATATTCTTTCATAGTACTTAGGTTCCCTAGATTAGTAGCGTTTCTTCAACAAATTGTTTTTGAGCATTGTAAGAGCTGAATACGTTACACTTGTAAATAAGATAGGCTTATTCTTGGCTGCTTTGGAGTGTATAATCTAGTAGAGAAGATAGGCATTAAACTAGTAATTATATCAATACTTAATTGTAATTGGGGTGTTTTAAGGGAGAAAGGCTTTGAATAAATTTATAGTGCTGTCAAGAGGCGTAAGCATAGTTCAAAATTATGTCTCAGTATAGACAAAGATTCTCTACTTCGTAGAGAATCACGCTAAATAGCCATAATCCCATGTTGGCCCAGAACCTGAAGTAATTTGAGCTGAATTTAAAGAGAAAAATCACAGGCAATCCTGTAATACAGTTTTGACCTTCTTTAAGGAATAAGGGGAAAATGTATTGAAAAACTCCTTGCTTACTTCCTAATACAGAAAAGAGCTTCAAAGAACCAGCCAAAAAGTTTGCCAGGGAATAATGGGGGAACATTTAATTTTTCTGTCCTACTCCAAATCTATTAAATCTGAACCTCTAGGGGAGGGCTGTGTACATCTTTATTCCCAGCTCATTGTAATGATTAACCTCATGTCGGAACCACTGCCTTGGGATATATCAAGAATTGATTGGCTGCTGAAGTGGGAACACAGCATCAATTTTAGTTCTCCTGATTTCCAAATGATAGTAGGGTTTTGCTTAGAATTTAGTCTATAACTTAGTTCTAAATATACTGTGGTGGAAATTGGCAATGCCTATATTTTGTTTTCAAAGAGTAACTGCACTTTTGGTCTGTCAACAGTGGTTGTCCAGTTTAAAAGTGCATGTTAAAGTTACCTTTTGTGTTAAGTTTTTCTTTTCTTTTTTCTCTCAGGAACTAAACAACTTAAGCATATTTTATTAAAAGATGTGGACACTATTTTTGAATGTAAGTTATGCCGCAGTCTCTTCAGAGGATTACCAAATTTAATTACCCATAAAAAATTCTACTGCCCACCAAGTCTCCAGATGGATGACAGTAAGTTTTATTCATATACTCAGTTATGCATTTTACAGCTAAGTATTCTTATACTGCAAGTATACATTTGCATTAAAATTGTATCTAGTTACTGATAATTTGATAATGATGTCTAGTTACAGATAATTTTTAGATGGAGATGGAGAATAAAATTAAATACTTGACTCAATGTTACATTCAGTTTCTTAGGTACTTTCATATCAATGCTTTCCACTTGGGTTTTCCTAAAGATGACATATAAGAGGTTAGATTTAAGAGGATATTTATTTATATTAAAATATTGGATATTGTTTTAGAATGTTTATATGGGCCATAAATGGATTTTCTAGTTTATATTACTTTTTACTTCTTTATTCTTTAACAACTTGCAACCAGATGTGATTGATCACTTATTTAGATTCCCCTTAAGTAAATGAGAAGGTTGGGAATAAAGAGCAAAGAATGAGGTAAATTTGTTCATTTCTTGGGAATGGTGGAGAGCATTAAAAAGTCTTTATTAATCTTTCTAGTATTTTCTAGGTCTTGATTTGAAGATCAGTTTTGTTTTCAGAAAAATTTAGATAAGTCATTTTCTCAGAAATTACATTATGTTACAGGCTAACTTGAGATCCAGTATAACTTTATGTGATAAAGGCAGATAGCAGACTAATATAAAGTCTTTCTGGAACAGAATGTTTGTTTTGAATGCAGCATATTGTCTCTGTGTGATGAGGCTGGCAGTGTATCTAATGGTATTTTCTTTCTTTAAAGAATTAATGTAAATTTAAAAAAATTCAATATTGGGCTACCTTATTCTTTCTTGTTTATGGATTTAACTCTTTGTTGACTTACAAAATATAGAACTTACTTTGTCAGTCTGAAAGCGTAGATGCATTGTGGATTCTGTGCATTTTTCAACTTAACCTTTTTGGGATTGGTATGAAATGCAATCTCCAAATAAGTATGGCTTTAATTATAATGAAGCTGGCTTAAAGTTATATTATACAGCATTGATTAAATACAAATTTTATATTTACCTGGAAATATTTCCTACTACTATTTTGATCTTACTATTCTCTCATTGAGATATAAATTAAAAAGCAGTCTAGAGATTCATTTCAAATCTAAACTTTTAATTAAAATACTAGTAGAAAATTAGTTTGTCTTTTGGTAGTTATTTATTTTTTAGTTGTAGAGTTAACTTATAGAGTGAAATGGTAAATGGATTTGCTAGATTACTGTGTACTTGTCTTCGCAATACTCATTCTAGAAATACTTTTGTGAAAGTATTTTTCTTATAGACACTACTTTATTCATCTTAAAAGACAGATGACTAGACTAGAAGAGCTATAATGAATCACTTCCTGATTGGTATAGATACCAGATTTGGTACTAAATTTGTAGCTAGATTTTAGAGTAGTAATACATGGAAACCTAACCAGTGTTAGACAACTCTGTTACAATAGGATAGTTGATTGCCTGTAAAGGGTGTAATTATTGTACAAGGAAATAAAACTACCTATGGTTTTTAAATAAATCTGTATAGTTTTTAATTATTTGTTTTAGTAAAATTGTGTCATGTTAAGAAGACATGTAATAGGACTGAGTTTAGCAAATACTTCTACACATCATCCCATTTATGTTTACATATTTGCTTACAAATCTTTCATTTTCATAAGATGCTCAAATAGACTAGATTAGATTAGACTATTATGGATTAAGTTAATGGGAATGCTGTTATGTTTTCTAAAAAATGCCATTTTTATTTATGTAGTAACATTTTTCATGCTGTTTTATCAATTGAGTTACGAGAATTTGAGTTGCCTTTGCTAGTCTAAAACATTCAGACTAAAAATATGAAATATCATTTTTATTATTTAGGACACCTAAGTGCTTATATATTTTATATTAAGGGCATTTGAAGCAAAAGTAGCCCTTCAGATTATATATGTTCCTTAACATTTTTGTGTATCATGATGAGAATTTAAAGGAAATTTTAGTTTAATAGTAGTCTTTATCTTTGTAGAATACTGAAAAGTAGATAATGCTCTTATAAAAATAAACTGGTAATATGATATATTCTGAGATAGAGGTTCATAATATATCTTAAAATATTAGAGGGCTACAGCAGGCTAATTACTTCAGATTAAAATGTTGTTTTTTCCTTAACAGACCTTCCTGATGTAAATGATAAACAAAGCCAAGCCATAAATGATCTCCTAGAAGCCATATATCCAAGTGTGGACAAACGAGAATATATTATTAAGCTAGAACCCATAGAAACTAATCAAAATGCAGTATTTCAATATATTTCGAGGACTGATAATCCTATTGAAGTCACAGAGTCAAGCAGTACTCCTGAACAAACCGAAGTTCAGATACAGGAAACTAGCACTGAACAGTCAAAAACAGTACCGGTTACAGATACAGAGGTGGAAACTGTAGAGCCCCCTCCTGTTGAGATTGTTACAGATGAAGTTGCACCTACATCTGATGAACAACCTCAGGAGTCGCAGGCTGACTTGGAAACTTCTGACAATTCTGATTTTGGTCACCAGTTGATATGTTGTCTTTGTAGAAAAGAATTCAATTCTAGACGAGGTGTTCGCCGTCACATTCGAAAAGTACACAAGAAAAAGATGGAAGAACTAAAAAAGTACATTGAAACACGAAAGAATCCAAACCAATCCTCTAAAGGACGCAGTAAGAATGTTCTAGTTCCATTAAGTAGGAGTTGTCCAGTATGTTGTAAATCATTTGCTACAAAAGCGAATGTAAGGAGGCATTTTGATGAAGTTCATAGAGGACTAAGGAGGGATTCAATTACTCCTGATATAGCAACAAAGCCTGGGCAACCTTTGTTCCTGGATTCTATTTCTCCTAAAAAATCTTTTAAGACTCGAAAACAAAAGTCTTCTTCAAAGGCTGAATACAATTTAACTGCATGCAAATGCCTCCTTTGCAAGAGGAAATATAGTTCACAAATAATGCTTAAAAGACATATGCAAATTGTCCACAAGATAACTCTTTCTGGAACAAACTCTAAAAGAGAAAAAGGCCCTAATAATACTGCCAACAGTTCAGAAATAAAAGTTAAAGTTGAACCAGCAGATTCTGTAGAATCTTCACCCCCTTCCATTACCCATTCTCCACAGAATGAATTAAAGGGAACAAATCATTCAAATGAAAAAAAGAACACACCGGCAGCACAGAAAAATAAAGTTAAACAAGACTCTGAAAGCCCTAAATCAACTAGTCCGTCGGCTGCAGGTGGCCAGCAAAAAACCAGAAAACCAAAACTTTCAGCTGGCTTTGACTTTAAGCAACTTTACTGTAAACTTTGTAAACGTCAGTTTACTTCCAAACAGAACTTGACTAAACACATCGAGTTGCACACAGATGGAAATAACATTTATGTTAAATTCTACAAGTGTCCTCTTTGCACTTATGAAACTCGTCGGAAACGTGATGTGATACGACATATAACTGTGGTTCATAAAAAGTCATCTCGTTATCTTGGGAAAATAACAGCCAGTTTAGAGATCAGAGCTATAAAAAAGCCTATTGATTTTGTTCTAAATAAAGTGGCAAAAAGAGGCCCTTCGAGGGATGAAGCAAAACATAGTGATTCAAAACATGATGGCACTTCTAACTCTCCTAGTAAAAAGTATGAAGTAGCTGACGTCGGTATTGAAGTAAAAGTCACAAAAAACTTTTCTCTTCACAGATGCAATAAATGTGGAAAGGCATTTGCCAAAAAGACTTACCTTGAACATCATAAGAAAACTCATAAGGCAAATGCTTCCAATTCACCTGAAGGAAACAAAACCAAAGGCCGAAGTACAAGATCTAAGGCTCTTGTCTGGTGAGGAACAGTTAACAGAGTTTTGCTTTTTTCCCCCCATCGAACTAAAAAAAAAATCATTTGACCATAATTTATAGCTGGTTCCATTTTAACACGTTTGCTTCCATATATCTCATGGCAATGGGAACTGCAAGAGTAATGTGCATATTGCATTTACCTCTTCAGTGACCTTTATTCCAGTGGCTTGGGAACAAAAGTTAACTTCAGAACTTATCTTCCACAGGACAATGCAATGTAGTTGTAGGTAGATGGCACAGGGTCAGTGCTTTCCTTTTAATGTTGTAAAATATATACATTTATATTGGCTTATGTTTACAATAGAAGTCTTCTGTTTAACTAACTTTGCACAGGTTTAATTTGATTCAGTGACTTAGTCTACTAATTAATGAATTGTAGGAAAGTTAAATATATTAGAATGAACTTGTGAAGGCGATAACTATAGGAAAAAATCTTTTGAGGCACTGTAATTATTGTAAAAATTAATCTGTGACGGCTAAATAAAATGCTGCACTCAGAAAAAAAAATCCCCGAATTGAATTAAAAATGATTAGCATTTATCATTTACTTTTAACATAGTGCTTCCAGGCAAAGGGGGAAAGTTGGTGGTAAATAGAAGTTTGGATTTTTTTTCCTTCTCCTTGGGAGTGTGTGTTAGTTACTGTTTTTTAGTTTTGATCTATGGAAACAATGCTTATTTAGGTCCCAAATGCTTCCCCTCTCTTTTTAATAAACTTTTTGGTGATCATTTTAACATAGTTAATATTATTAACTAGGGATTTGTTTTTTGTGGTTGTGTGTCGTAAGAAAAGTAAAATTCATATTTGGAAGAAAGAAAAATACTACTTTTTTTTTTTTTTTTTTGAGACGGAGTTTCGCTCTTGTTGCCCAGGCTGGAGTGCAGTGGTGCAATCTCGGCTCACTACACCTTCCGCCTCCTGGGTTCAAGCAATTCTCCTGCCTCAGCCTCCCAAGTAGCTGGGATTACAGGCATAAGCCACCACACCCGGCTAATTTTGTATTTTTAGTAGAGATGGGGTTTCATCATGTTGGTCAGGCTGGTCTCAAAACTCCTGGACCTCAGGTGATCCGCCCACCTCGGCCTCCCAAAGTGCTGGGGTTACAGGCATGAGCCACCGTGCCTGGCCAAAAAATACTACTTGTTAAAGAAGGTTTTGGAACAAATGTAGATTTTTAAAAAATGCAACATAAAATGAGTAGACTCCCTATACTTTTCGCAAGTCTATATATATTTTAAAAGTTCACCTTCTATACCTGTGTCCCCTGTATTAAGGCATTTAATGTATTTAATGAGTATTAAATTAGTTTCAGATTCAGGTTCTAAAGCAAAATATTAGTTTGAGTGCTGTGAGGGTTAAATGTTGTGGTTTGATTATCACACGTTTTTTTATTTGTGTGGAAAACTTGAGATGAAACCATCTTTTAGAAGTAATTTACTGTTGCATAGTTTTAAAAACTAGGTTTTATTAGTAAACTCAAAAGTGTTCATTTATTCCCATTTCTCCTCAGATAACTTCAAGTGATGTACGAAAAGGTTTGGAGTTCATTTTTGTGGAAAGACTTTAAATTGGTGTTAGAACCACTAAACATCTTCAAATGGTACTATGAGGAAAAAAAGAAAAACATTTTTCTAAATATTCAACTATAACTGCTGTTTTCTGACTAAAATAACCATCTAACCACTTGTTTCTAAGGCACTGCCTATTCCAGCACTTTCAAGTAGCTGTGATATTACATGTTGTCATCACAGTCCATCAGCTATCCACCCTTGACCTTGTGCATTTGGTCGACAGTTTCTACAAAAATGTTACAAATTTTGTTTTCTAAACAATTTGTTGATTAAGTGATCAACAACCTGAAGAAAATATCAATTTTTAATTGACAAAGACTTTATATCTTAGTGATTTTAGTTTTGTTTCTCTTTATTTGGCAACATTTTCATCTGAATTGTATAGATATATGATTTTCTAGTGAGTGTATGTTAGGAACAAAAGACAAAATAGTATCAACACATTATAAATATTTAGCTTACTAAATATTTGTAATTATTTTTACATCCATTTATTTCTAGCTTGTTCTCCAGCACTTCAGTGTTTGAAAGTTTCATCCTAAAATATATACTACAGGAAAGCTGCAGTTCATTTTCATGCATGGATCATTACATTTTTCACTTGTAAATGTAGGTTTTTATGAAAATTAAACATTCCCCTATTTTTCTTTAAATTTTATACAAAGCACTTTAATGATAGATGCAACCTTATTTTTCAGTTCCTATTTTTTTAAAGACCACACATTTACTAATGTTAATATGAAGGTAATAAATAGCTTACTGATATTTTATGGATGCAGACAATCCATGCACAACCACTTCTTATGATACTAGTTTATTTCCTTAAATATTGCTACAAAAGGAAGATGCGGGTGTAAGCCCTGATTTTTTTTTCTCCCAAGAAAAATCTTAAAGGACCACTTTAGATAATATTTGATTCCTACTGTAAAATTTAGAAAATGATGAATTCTTGTCCATTTTTGTAATCAAGATTTTAGGAAAAACAGAAGTACATCTATCTTTATGAAATTTTGGGCAGGTTTTTGTGTATCAATATTTTGTACTTTTAGGGAATATTTTATTTTTTAGTTATTTGTGTCAAATTATAATTATAAAAGGTACAGCAGAAAATATACCATGTTTTTATATAGGTTCACACCTGTACTTAGGAGGGACCCTGTCCATCTATATACTTTTTGTATAAAATTTTAAAATGTTAAAGATCCACAAGGTCTTAATAAAATGATTCTATAGCTAGAAAAACATTTACCTTCCCAGTGCTTTGCACTAAAATATACTGTGAAAGGAAACTAGAAAGACTGTAACTATTGCTGGAAATGTTCTATATTGAATGTACATGCTCTTGTTGGAAAAATGTACTATATGTGATGGAAATAAACCAGAATCGAAGTTATTTCAGCTAAATGTGCTTCAGCAAAGGTGCATTGGTTGAAACTTAAATGTTTTATTATCAAATTTAAACTTATTCAGTGACTATGAGCAGCTACACTTGAATTATATTCTGATAGTTTTATTTCTAAGAAATAGAGTAATAATTTCTCTTTAATTTAAAAACAGATTTACTTTCCCACATATTGAAAATTTGTACTTATAGATCTAACTTTAATAACTAATAGTATAATATATTTAGGGAACTAAATGTGTAGGTGGTATTTCATTTATAAGCCATCTTCATTAGTTGCACATTATTAAACCTATATGTTTGACTTTTGCAAGGTGTTATCTTTTATGCATTCCTACACACAAGACATATTCCAAAGATATTTTCCAGATAAATGCTGATAACCCCTGAAAAGATATGAGGATTCCTAAAAAGCTAGGGGTTGCTCTTTGCAGCATCCTCTCATTTGTATGCCAGCCTTTCCCTCTCTGCTTGCTTGTTAAATACTATAGAGAAGAAAGAAAAATTGATATTGGAGGAGGGGAGCCCATTGCTGGAATTCTCTTACTCTACCCACCTATTTCTACAGGACCATTCACAGTGTGTCTCCTCCATAGTAATTCTGGGGCCACAGAATAGGAATCTAGAGGAGGAAATAAATGAGAGTTCCAGGGCTGTCAAAAGATTTCATCTGGGTCATGTAGGAAAAATAGCACTGTGTCAGTACTTGCCTACATTAGACAGACTGGAAACATTTTATCATAATAGCTGAATTAATGGATAATGGCATATATAAGAGAACCTGAACTAGGACCAGTTTAGAAAGGTAGAACAAACAAGTGACCACAAAGTATTGTTCTTCTTATTCCTTTCTGGTCTTCATCCTTCCTGATTTGACTTGAGCTCTGTCACTTCAGGGGCTCAGGCTTAAGGCTCTTGAGAAGAGGCCTAAGAAGTTTGTGCCAGAAGCTTTTCTGCATGTAGGCTACATAAACACATATTTAGGTGATTTTGTATTGTTATAGTGAGGATTACAGCACACAAAGAGCCATCAGAAACTGCTTATTTTATATAAGACCTATCTGGCTATAAATTATATCTACCTTTGCTGCTATTTGATCAATTAAGAGTTTTCCTATGGAATTCAACTTACCTTCCTTCCTAAAGATGCCTTCCATTCCTAAGTGTGGTGGGAGAGGAGAAACAACAGGCGTAGGTTGCTCTTCAACTTTATAAGTTTGAATAGTGCAAATGAGAGCTGAAGTATAGCTGACATTGGGCAGGTGTTCATTAGACATGCCTTGAATACACAACAACCATTTCTTTTTTTTTTTGGTTTATGTCTCCATTCCCTCCCCCTCCCCTTTACTCTTTAAGAAGAAAACCTTTGAAGAGTGTACACATTACCCATTCTTAGGTTTTAGTTTTTTGTCTAGTTTTGTATATATGAATTAAGTTTTTGGTTGACACAGGTTGCTTTAGTTGTTGAAATGTACCTTCAGATTTTTTAGGAATATATTTATTATATTACTTTATGGTCAATAAATAGTCTGTTCTGCTCAGTTTGCATTAAAGAGCCTATGGATGCAGTAGTGGGGAGTTAATGATTTTGCTATGGCATGAGGCTGTGGGTATAGAAAGAGGAGTTTCCCTGTAGGTGTTATGGTAAATACATGTGGAGATAGGTAGAAGTGATTATCATTCCCTGTTGTGAAGTTGCAAAAGATCTCTTCAAATAGCATGACTTCTGAAAATGAGGTAGAGATGCTTCAAAAATTTTGGAAATTATGTTTCCAGGTTTCCTGCAGTGACCCATTGAAGTATTCTAGATCCTTAGTTTGGAGTTGGAGAAGTTATTTTTCTAATGGAATCCATAGATTATCAGGATTATGATTTAGCCATGGCTTTCAGTTGATCTGAAGCCAAGCTCTAAGATATGTGCAGCAGGATATTGGCTGTGCTGTTAGACAAATCCTTCTGTACTCTGTGCTATCCTGTCGTCTCTCTTTAAGAGCTAAAGGGATCCTTGGTATTGAAAAGGAATAAGGATCAGCAATTTCAGGAATAGCTGTTCTGTGGTTTTTGAGGCATTAAACACATGGTAGAATGCAGATTAAAAACATGTCTCACTTAAAACCTACAATTATTTTGGCTTTTCTAACTTTCCAAATTCATTTCTCTTCTCCTAAATTGTTTCTATACCCTATTCCTCTGAGCTTCCAGCTTCTACCTTGCCTTTTCTTCTTCTAGTTTAATAGAAATCATTAGTACCAAGATAGCTAAAGTGTTTTTTGGAAGGGTAAGAGTATGGAAAATGCAGCTCATTTCCTCCTAAATCTTCATTGCTCCACACCAAATTTGGGAGGCTTATTATTTTCAAGCCTCTTCCTCTACATATTTTCACCACTACAACACCACAAACAAAAAGGGACCTAGCATACCATAGGTGCATCTGTTTGAGAAAATGCCCAAAGTTGGAGGTTTTGGTGTTTGCGTCCACTCAGCAGAATTAATTTGCTTGATTGTGTATTTTTGATGTCAGGGACTCTCTTGATAATTTTGTACGGTGCCTAGCACATTTTCATGTATACCAAGACACTTCAAATAAATATTTGATAATGGTATTAAGGCAAGTAAGCCTTTTCCATCTCTAAATTGTACACCATGTATTTTGAGACTTCAAGTCTTAACATTTTATCTTCTCAATATTGATGGATTTCACTTGTTTTTAGGAAATTTCACCAGTGTTGTGTTTATAAAAAAGAAAGATAATTCTTAGTAATAGCTAATAATAATGAACATTTATGGCATGCTTGTTATATGCCAAGCACTCTGCTAAATCTTTTCATGCATAATGTCCCTAATCCTACCAACAACTCTATGAAGTAAAACCTATTCTTTCATTATCCCTGTTTTATGGAACAGAAAATAGAAACTTAGAGAAGTTCAGTGATTTACTTAGGTTCACATAGCTGGTAAGAAACTTACACTAGTCATCTAATTGGCGTGTAAATGCATATGTACCCATAGATACAAATGTTATGTTATGCTCTTTTTTTGAGTTGCAAGCACAGAATTTTACTTGGTAGCTTCTAAGGAGAGTTTTATTAGAAGACTTTATTTGGGGAAATATGGGAGATATAAGTGATCAGGCCTTATAGGATTCCAAGAGTAATTGTACAACTCAGCTTCACCATTCAGATTTCAACTAGGTAGGTGTTACAAAATGAGAAAAAAAAATCAGTGCAACTCTAGTGTCTGGATGTTGCCCTCTGAGCAGCAGAAGTATTGCTTCTCTGCTGCTATTAGCCCTTTTCAGACTCTGCTTTATTTTGTTTTAAACAAATTACCTCACTCTGTATCTTCTCAATATGGTCTTAACTGCCTCGTTCCACCCTCTGCTCTGTGTCCTTCCGCTACTTTCCCCTTCTGTACAGCTTGAGTTCAATCTTCTGTAAGAGGAAATCTAATTAGTCCAGTTAGATTCATTGCCTGTTGGGCTAATCTCTCATGTCAGTCCCCTTCATAGGTTGCTGGCCAGTCTGTAGATTGGCTGCTCTTGGGACAGTTGCTCTCTCTTGGTCCTGTCATTTGTGATCATAGTGGCAGAGTCAGTGGCATAAAACATGGCCCTGGGCCCCATAGAAGGAATCTTTTGGTGGGAATCTCTTAAAAGACCATAGTCCTAAAATGTGATGAGCTTTCCAGTATACATGTTTTTCTTTCTTTTGAAAGGTGACAGAATGAAAGGCAAGTTGTGATCTTGACTGTTAGGTCAATGCAGCATCAGCAATCCTTTCCCTACTGAGAAAATGTGGAAAATAGTGTTTTGATCAGTATCTGCATTTCCTTTTCTAAACTGCCTGATGACATTTCCTTCTTTGGGTTTGTAGATTCATAGACAGCCTGAAGTTTTCCCTCAGAAAGAGCCATTACATTTTTTGTAGCAGCATATTAGGCCACCGCATCAGTTGCTGCTGTTTTCCAGACATCCACAATTATGCTGCATAGTTTGAGTTGGTGATTTAGTGAATCCTCAAAGTATTGTTTCTGCTTTTCTGTTTGTGCTTTCCACATTTGGGCTTACTGTGCAATGGCTGCTTTATATCCTGTCATTCATTCCTTCAATGACAGACACTATCGAGCATCCATCATGTGCCTAGCATCATTCCATTCTTTTGGGGAAACAGTCATACAGTGGTTAAAGCACGGATTTTTTAAGAGTCAAGAAGACCTGAATTCAAGTCCTGGCTTCTTTGCTTACTAGCTCTGTAGTGTGGGCAAGTTACCAAATCTTTCTAAGCTTCAATTTTCCTGTCTGTAAAATGATTATATTAGAAACTACCTTATAGGTAGGTTTATTGTGGGAATTTATAAAAGCTTAATGATGTGTATAGTGTACTTAGCACAATACCTGGCTCAGGGAAGAGCTCAGTAAATATTATTACTGTCGTAGTGATCACTGAACTTGTATCGGTTTCTTTCTGAAATACTTTCTAGCACTTAGCTTTTGGTTATCTTGCTTTGCCATTTGATGTTTGTTGCCTTCTTGTTGGCAATAATCCAACCGTTAAATGAAAAGTCAAATGTAACATCTGTGATAAAGCCAAGATACACAGAAGTTTATTAAGTTAGAGCACTTCGTTATTTTATGGGCCTTTATGCTGGAGTTTGGTGCCATTTTTGGTGGCACCTTTTGCTAATTGTTCACGAATTTGCTGACCTTTTATGATATTATTTTGTTTCTTCATGATTAATGTCTTATTGAACAATGTGTAGTTTTGAATAGCAAAACTCAGGACAGTTTTGTTTTGTTTTGTTTTGGTAAACATTAGGCTGTGGGTACAGGAATGTATTTTGAGATTACAAGCAAGAATTGTCTTTTCTTTGTATCACCAATGCCTCATAGTGTACCTAGCACACAACAGTTGCTAAGAGAATGATGAAGAAAGAAGGAAGGCAGGAACAACACTTCAGTTATCTTCAGGCTTATCTTATCATTAGTCAACAGTCTGTCTTGGGTTTTACTTCTTTTCCCATTACATGATCTAATCTGTATAGCTTCTCTACATGTGAGATTCCTCTTCATTTCTGGTTACTTATGGTTTCTGTTGCCTGCCTTCATTGTGTGAACCTTCTAGCTTCTGCCATTGCTACTAAGTAATAGTGACAGGTTCAGACTCATGGTAGTGCTACATTGACTGTATTAGTATTAGCCCATATATAATTGCATGCTATATGGGTGTGCATTTAGTGATTTTTCTTGATAATTCTTAATACTTACCTTTTTAAATTCATACTTAATCTAATTCCATGAAATGCAGCTTGCCTTCCACTTCATGTTCCACTTCCAGATCCAAACAAAGCATGCCCACAATTGTTGATTGATTGTGCTTTCTCTCATTTACATAATCTTAAGAAGTGGAGTTGATTGGTTATCATTTCATTTATCCTTGCTTGCTTCAAACTTTTCACACTGTTCTTAAGCCTTCAACCCCATCTTTGCTTCCTTTATAAAAGTCAGATCTTGCTTATATCATGACAAAAAGTAGAAGATGTTTGTTTATGCTCTTTTCACATCAGGACTATTTTTTATCTTCTGTCTCTTCTTTGGAGGAAGAGCTGTTTTTCTGTTCCAAGTCCAGCACTTCCACCCTTGCCTGTCTACTTCACTGGACTTTCTTCCAACAACTCCTCCTCTTTACCCCTCCCCAGCTTCTGTCTCCCTGTCCACTAGCTCCTCTTCCTCAACCTACAAACATGCTCAAATTCCTTTCAGTCAAAAAATAAACTTCTCTTCTATACTACCTTGAACCTAGTTACTGCCATCTAGTCTGTCAAACTTCCATGTGCTCTCATACTACCCTGTTTTAGTACTGATTCTGTCACATTGTAATTGTTTATTTCCTTGTTTTCCTTCTATATCAGACTGTAAGCTTCTGAGAAATCTGTCTCTTGATCCTGGTTGATTCACCGAAGCCCAAGCTAGTTCCTAGTGCATCGTACGCATTCAGTAAATATTTTTTGAATGAATGAACAATGTTAGAGCCATGCCTCTGCCATTCACTTTGTGAACTACCTGTAATTTTTTTCTACCCCTACATTTCGGTTGAAAGTTCACTTGAAGGTCACCACATAAATGTGAAATCTAGTGGCTTCTCTCTTTACATCATGCTTGACCTCTGCAACCATTAGTGCTTACAAATTTACCTTTTCCACACATTCATGGTCACGTATACCTGGGTCATTTTGGGCCAGTCTCAGTATTGCATTCAAAAGAAGCAGACAAGCCCCGAACCTTTGGAAAGTAATGAACTTCTGTAATATATTAGTGAAATCTTCTAATGAGATAGAAATATACAATTACATAAAGCTCAGCAAACTTCAAATAAGTTCTTTTTACCCACCTTCCCATATCCTTACACAGCTTGGCACCTTCAATCTCTCTTTTGTAACAGTTCACCCAAAACTTGTACACTTTTGGCCAAAAACCCCTTGTCCTTTGTCCCCTTTTTTCATCTTCTATGTTTATTTTCTTCCAAGAATAGATTATTCTTTCCAGTTTAAATCACTTTAGCCTCTTTTGGCTCCTTCCAACCAAGTTCTTTCCTAAACCAGTTATCTTACTCAGTATTTTAGAAGTCCAGGAGCATTGTCTTGATTTCATTTGGTTTGCCCTTACCAACTTTCTTTGCATCATTTTATTTAATCTTAATGCCTCACATCAGTGAGTATTCCCTGACCTCCTGGGTGTCTCCCTTCTGTGTCTCTGTGGTGCCCCGTTTATAACTCTCTGGAAATAATCTATTTCTATCTCTTCTCTAGGCTATACATTTCTTAAGGGTAGGAGTCCTGTCTTTTTTTTGTACCCCCATATCTAGCATAGTACCTGGAACATGGTGGGTGTTGATAAATGTTTATTGGACTGATGCTTCTGTGAAATTTAATACTTTCTCTTTTGCCACTGGCTTTTGTTTTGTTACTAGGTCTTCAAATATGGATTAAGGTTTCCTTAATGTCTTTTTTTCTTTTTATATACTCTTAGTGATTCCTCTATTCCCGAGGTATCACTTATCACTTCCATAAAGATGACTCCAGGTCCGTTTTCTAGTCTGGCTGTTCTCCTTATTATAAGACCATTTGTTTTCAAAGTTGAATGTCAGACATCTCCACATGAATGTGTCACCAGTATCTTAAATGCAACAAAAAACTCAGTAATCCAAACTTATCTTCCTTTTAAAATTTCTTCCTATGTGCTCCATGTCTCAGTTGTTCTAACCCCTACCCTTCCGGTTACCTATGCTAGTTGGAATCCTGGCAAATGCCTTAACTTCTTTCTTTTATACTCTCCCTAATCTGTGATCAATGCCTATCCATCCTGCCTCTGAATGTTTTTCACGTTTGCTTCCCCTTCCCATCTCCACTTTTAGTAGTTTTGTTATCACTTACCTTCACTATTGCAGTAGTCTCTTAACTGACCTCTTTTCTAATCTGTCTTCCGTGCTGTTGTTAGAAATATCTTCCTAAAACACAGATCTGTTGTTACTGTATGTTCATCGCTTGACTAATTTACTTATCTTTCAGGTCTCTGCCAAATGTCACTTCTAAATAAAGTATGTCTGTCTTCTTTGTTGTTTGTTTCATGTTCCTTTCCTACTGTCATCTAATACTGTTTGTAATTGTGTTTATATTTGTGCATTGATTTGTTTAATGTCTTTCTTCCCACTGGAGAGATTTATGTAAGGGACTGGGGAGAGTTATGTAGACCCTGGGCCTAGCACAATGCTCGGGACATAGTAACACTTAAAACATATCTGTTGAATGAGTGGATGGATAATAGCAAAGTACAGGCAGTGCAGGCAAACAGATACCAAGTAGCAAAGGCAGGGAAATTACAGGGTCCTAGACTCTTAGTACATTCTCACAGACCTTAATCTGTAGTTTAAAATAGTAATGGGCTTCTCTCTTTTGCTTTTTGCATTTATTTCCCTAAGGATGAGAGTGAACAACTTACTACCCCACACTGACACTTCAGTGAGGGCACTGTGGAACCTTTCTAATCAGAAGATGGGACCAGGCTTGACAATGATTCAATCAAAGCAGTTTTAGTGTCACACTTGTCTCATGGAGGCTATTTGTATTTCTGAAGAAATTCCAATCAAATAACAGCTTACTAGATTTTTTTCCTGGTCTAAATATTATTTTTGGGCATTTTCCACAAAAAGCTTTTTGGGAAAGGTGGTTCTTACACTGGGGCTTGGAATAATTGTATCTCTATGCTTGGCCTTGGAATAATTCTGTCTCTGTTGGAATTGTGCACACGTTGAGGCCTGAGGCCTTATCTTTTATAGGGCCTTCACTATGTAGCTTCTCATATATTCAGCATCTTAGGAGAGAATCATATTCAACATAGTTTTGCTTTAAGCTTTTTACTTGGTATCAGCAGTTTTGCCTTAAGTTCTAAAGCTTAATAATGAAACTCTGTTGAATGAGAACCTTTCCAAAAGATATACTTTTCTACATAAGCTGAGTTTATTCATCCAGAGTCATCAAGAATAGATTATATTTAGAACATATGGAATGAATAAATATTAGTGAATTCATCTTTATTGGACTTTTAAATTTCTTTACATATAATTCCATTCACTCATTTATTCAGCCATCTACACTTGAGCAACTACTTTATGCCAAGGACTGTAGTAAACATTTAGGATCTGAAGAAAAATATGACTTGATTACTCTTAAGAATTTTATAAGTCTAGGCTTTTTTTCATGTCTGAGGCCAGATTGATTTTTCTTTTCCTTTTTTTCACTCAGGATGAAGTACATAGTGGTATAATCCTAGTTGACTGCAGCCTCGAACTCCTGGGCTCAGGTGATTCTCCTTCCTCAGCTTCCTGAGTAGCTGGGATACAAGCCTGTACCACCACACCTTGCTAATTTTTATTATTTATTTTCTGTAGAGATGAGGTCTCTCTATGTTGCTCAGGCTGGTGTCGAATCCTGGCCTCAAGCAATCCTCCTGACTTGGCTTCACAAAGCGATGGGATTACAGGCATGCACCACCACACCTGGCCTTAGAGTGATTTTTCTTAAGTGCAAATTCGTGCTCTTTTTTCTAAGGCCTCAGCTTGGAATGTCCTCTTGTATTACCCACCTCTCTTCTTTCAGGACTCATCTCTTAGGAACCTTCCCTGTCCAAGGCAGCTGAGTACCCTTCAGTATACTCATCCTACCCTCTCCCTCTCCTGTTGTGGCAGTTAGTACCATGTTTTGTAACTACCTGTTTATTTGGGTCTCCCCAACTAGACTGAAAAAGGCGCTTGAAGGCAGGGCTGTTTCCGTCCTTGTGTCCTGAGTGCTGAGCACAATACTGAGTACAGTTTGTGACCTATAGAATTTGTGGAGGGAAGGCATTTTGGATGGAGGCTGTTGGTTAAGTGACCTGCAAAACTGCTCCAGTATCATGCCAGGATCAGTCTTCTTTGCTCATTATTGATGAGAAGCAACACTAACTTATGTCTTTATTCCTAACTTAATTATACTCCAAGTACACATTTGCATGCTTCATTACATGCCTGTAGTGATATCAGTGACACTGATAAAGTATTTTTTCATATTTTAGTTCTCATGTTTTTGACTCTTTATTTTAACTTTGTTGTTGATTGAATTGAGTATTTGAGTTGCTGTTAGTATAAATAAAGTTTCCATCTTGGATGACTTACCATGTTAACAAAAAAAAAATCACAAGCAGTATTATGTGCTAGTGATACCTTGTGATTTAAAATGTATTTTGTTCCAGCAAAGAACCAGTTTGGGTCTCTTTGGAGAATGGGCATACATCTGAGTTGACCTCAACTTTTCTGTAGGAGAGATTATTGAATCTCCTATAAAGGATTATATGTAAATATATAAATTAACATTTGTCTGTTTTACAAAATAGAGTGTCTGAAACAAGAATACATAAAATGTTATTTTCAATGTACTAGAGTAGAGGAGTTTGGTATTTAAAGGAGTTCTGTACTTTGGTAAAGCCAAAATTCCTTTGATTACACTAGTGGTTGGTTATTTAATCAGGATGTGAATTCAAATTGCCTACAAAATTTTGAAAAAATGCAGATGTTTGGCTGACTCCACATCTATCAGATTGCAATTTCTAGTGGTAGTGTCCAAGCTCCTATATATTTTGTACCAACTACCTGGGTAATTTGATGGGTTTTCAGAACTACTCAACTATATAAACCAAAGAACCTCAAACCTTAACATATATATGATCATGTGGGACCTTGTTAAAATGCAGATTCTGAGTCAGGAGCTCTGGGTGTGACCTGAGATTTTCCAGTTCCAGCGAGCTCCATGTGATGTCCGTGCTGATGGTGTGTGATCCACACTTTGAACAATAAGGCTATAAATAATAACCATCTACATTTTAAAAGATTTCCTTTTTTTTTTTCATTTAAGTGTGGTGTATCTGTTTCCTACTCTTGCTTATTCTATAAGAGAAGTGTAATGGGCTTTAGATCCAGTCTAAAATAGTTTTGGTTTGGATATTGTCTTCCATTAAAGTTTCAGTACGCAGAGGATGAAACTTTGTCCTTCGTTTTTTCCAATGACCATCAGATAAATGATAAACATGAATCTAAAAGTAATTTCTCATTTCCGATCCTCCTGTCAGCTATGGTCCTCTGAGGTCAAATAAAAGACAAGTAGAGGAAGTAAGTCATCTGTTCAGAGACTCTATTGCCTCTTAAAAATAACACTCAACTCTGAAGATTACACATGCTTAATTTTCATTATGATATTGTTAGGACTAGGTGTGTTTATTGTTTTTAAGGCATTGACTGACAATTTTGTTTTTGAATAAGTTCTATTTTAAAAATAACTTTAATTTCTTTACTTAAAAATATTTTGCTTTCAGGTCCTCTTTGCTAGAATTTTAATTTGGTATGTTGCATACAGAGGTGGAAATAGTGTTATAGCTTTTAAATAACTAAATTAACTTTGTTGGTAAGAATTAAAAATAACCTAAACCTTACTGGGTTGATCATAGGAAGCTGAAGGGATGCTGGGGCTATGATACATGACAGGAGATTTACTGACGTGACTGTAGTTGATTTGGGGGCTGTGGGGTGGTGACAGCTAGATTTGTTTACATGCTGCTGATGTGTAGATGGTGTCCTAGGTATGCAGGCAAACAGGTATTTGCTAGGTTGAATTAACCCAAATTCCTTTTAGTCTCTTGAGTAATGCAAGCCTTTGTATTACATGTTAATTAAAGAGTTTATTACTTGTAAGACTAGTTGTGTTTGAAATGAGGTGTTTGCCTTTTAAAGGTTGAAGATTTCAACTTAGCACACTTTATTGAATAGAAGATGAAAGAAATTATTTAAAAATACGATTGGGGACAGATTAGTAATAATAAGCAAATTAAACAATTTTTTTGGCAGAGCTTGTTCAGTATCAAAAGTTAAAGCATTCCATGAGTATTCTTCAGATTTCACTGTCTTACATTGACTTATTTCATTCAGTCAGTAAACAAGTAAGCTCCTGCTTCGTGCGAGGCACTGAGTCAGGTACAGAGACAAGCAATGCAGTTCCTCTTCAAGTATGATGGAAGAGGAATACATTATAAGGACACAGAAGTGGAATATTAAGGCACACTGAGGAGTTAGGAAAGACTTATAATTCCTAAATTTATTCTTGAGTTTTGAAAGAGATAGGCAGAAAAAGTTTCCATGTAGGTACAGAGACATGAAATCACATGTAGATTAAGGGAAGGAGTATGAGACAGGGAAATGGCCAAATCAAGAAGGCTTTTATGTACCAAGTAAATAGTTTGAACTATATTTCAAAATTAGGAGTACCGTTGAAAGATTATAAACAGGGACATATAATAGCACCAAGGGGACTGAATTGGAGTGGAGGTGGGGATGTGGGATTGTGTGAGGGAAATCAATTAAGAGACTATTTCAGAAGTCTAAGTAAGAGTGATAGGACGTAAATTCGGGTTTTGGCAATGAGACTACAGAAAAGGATACAGGTGAAATAATTATTTCAGAAATGAAATTTTCCAGGCAGTGGAGACGAAGAAAGAATCTAGTATGATTCAGTTTCAGGCATTCTAGTTGAGCAGGTGGGTGGCACCATTCTTCAAGGCAAAGAATACGGGAGGAAGAAGAACACTTTTCCAGGGGGAAATGCTGAATTAAGTTTTAGGTATGTTGAGTTTGAGGTGGTAGAGGGATATCTAATTGGAGATGCTTAATAGGAGTAGAATATACAGGTTAGAGGTCAGGAGAGAAATTGCCCAGGGGCTAGAGATTTAGAAGTCATTAGTATTCATGTAGTTGTTGAAGCCATAGACTTTGAAGGGATTACCAGGAAGAATAAATAGAATCAATGTATTATACTACTACATGGATTCTTTTCATTTATTATGTAATTTAGGATAATACCTACCTATTTCAGTTTTTCATTTGGGAGCAGGTATTTGGCTAGCTCTGATGCTGTCTCTCTCTCTCTCTCTGTTACCCCCACCCCCATATAAAATATGTAATATAACATGTATTTGATTTTACTCTGAGAAGTACTGAATAATTAAATTGTAATAGTATTAGGCAATATGAATTAATTTATGTGTTGTATTCAGAGAGGTTTTAAGATAAAATCTGTAAGACCTATTTTAAAAGATTATTTCTTGAAAAAGGAAAAATCTTATTTTAAAAAATAAAGCAATTGATTAGTGTTCTTGGACCAAATAAGATTTATTTGTTGAGTCCCATAGCTTTGATCTGTCCAGGAATTTTCATGATTTACTCCCCATGCCTCTGATCTAGGCAAGTACTATGTCTGTGTGCCTAATCTAGTCAAGGAAACTAGGAGAAAGCCATCTGGCTGATAAGATCCTGATAGAATTTGACATAATCCGTATGAGAAACTTAAGTAATTTAGTATCCATAGCCAGAGTCTAAGGGAATAAAGGTACTATTAAAGGTTGAACAGATGACTTAAATATATTAATTATACTTTGTAAAGCTGCACTTTTTGGACTGGTGAATATTTAATGAAATGTAGATCCTGCGTTGTCATCCTGTGGCCCTCATTGGTTTTTCCCTTTTCCACCTCCTTTCTGGAGGAAGAACCTAACGATAAAACTGTTTCTGATCTTGCCATCTAGAAAACACTAGTATGAAGTGGAAATTTGTGTCTCCTTAAAAGTGAAATGAAGCAGCCTATTTACCACCACGTACCTCCAGGCCAGTGGGTACTTATGAGGGTATGCAAGATGACTTTTCAGAAATCAGCCCTGCTTGGGATAGAAACCATTGATTTAATAAAGAAAGCATAGGTCTGTATACCACTCAAGATGCCATTGGTCTGTATCCAACTTTTTTGGCATTAACTTTTAAAATATGCCTTTAAAGGAAAGAATTCCCAGGAGACTTTGTCAAGTTTCAATATAGTAAATTTTATGGCTGAGTTATAACTCCTAAAAACTGAAGTCAATAGTAGAAATGACAGACCTGAATTAGAAGAGGATAGCTATAATAAAACAATTTTTTTATTCCCTTATGATCTAGAGTAAAAAAAACACACACACACACATTTTTAAGTTTTTTGTTTTAATGCTTTGAAAATGGTTTCTCTTTCTTGTTATTTATACTTTAATCAGTGATGGGTATTAGCATTAAAGCCTAATATCCACATCAAATAATACAAGGCACACTGCTGTAACACACAATTATATTAACCATAAACTTTTACCTGTTTCCAGTCTCTTTTTGTTTAAACATCATTTTTTTTTTCCTGGCAAGCCTCTATATTCTCATTCACACCCCAGTAAATCACTAAGAGATTATTGATGAAGATATGTGTATTTGGGTGTTTGAAGGATTGTAACAAAAATCAAAAGTAGAATAGAATTTTAGAATATATGCTTTCTGCATTGAGGACTTCATTTGCTTTATAGCCTTCTTTATATTTGTTGATATTCTTTCTTGCCCTGTGCCAACATTTTAGAAATACATTTTTAGAAATTTCTTACAAGATTTATCAGTATGCTACCAATAACAACACACACTCTCTCTCTCTCACACACACATACACACACACACACAGACACAACTTTTTATCCATGTAATAACAAATATCTTGAATTTATAATGTGTATTTTGCCAGAAGTTAAGTGGTTATACATCATTGCTTTAGCTTTACAAAATCACTAGATCACTGACAGATTGTTCTTTTGGTTTTTTTTGTTTTGACATTTTTTCATATAGTTAAAACCCACAGCACTCAATTTCATCACCCAGGCCCAATTCACAAACTTAATCAATGGCAAAGTAAAACTGGCACCTCTTGATTTCCTGGTTTATGTTTTTTGGGTGGAGCTGATTCCTGAGTATGAAAATTGTGTTAGGAAATAATATTAGGTACCTGCAAGAAAATACTGGAAGATGGTTACCAAACATCCTGTGTAAGTGTGATTTTCTCATACCTCAGGGCCCTGCCTATTAAAAAGTTGGATCTAGATGTGTGTTGATCTTGCCTAGTCAGCCAGTTTTGATATATTACTAGCATGTCATCATTCCTATGTAGTAATCTATAAAGAAAATTTGGCAACCCAACATTTGAAAAATAATTTTTAATATTTTTAGCCAAGTTACTATTTAGAATAAAACTATGTCTAAAACTAAATTCATCAGCCTGTTATCTACGATTACTGCTCCCATCCTACTAGAACTGACTCTCCTTGCTTGAATTCTTCATTTTATCCATGCTACCACCACCACTTTGCTTATTACGTAGACTTCAAAGTCTTATTTCTTCTATGAATCTGTTCTTGACAGTTCCAACTCATAGAGACCTCTTCTGATAAACTCACATTTACCTTACCATTTATTTTTCACTTCTATCCTTTGTGTTATTATTGCGTTATTAATTACATTGCCCCCCATGATTAGACTAAGCCCTTTGAGACCCAAGGCTAGCAGTTTTACCCTGCAGCATGTAGAATTATGAAAGAATGGATCACCAGGCCTGTCCCCATTCTTCCTGTCCTGTAAGCTATCAATAAGTTTTGATTTCTTTTTTGTAGTGTCTTCTTCATGTCCTATTTTTCCTGGTCTAAGCTTTCTATTGCTCTACTCTTGGCCTTCTCTGGTTCTTTTAGTATCTTCTGTTTATAAAGATTATGGATGATTTTTAGAAGATTCTTGGGATAATTTTTTGGAGATATATGGGTGATTTTCAGCTTTTTCCTATCTCAGTTTCAATTTTGAAACTCTACCACAAAATTCTACCTCTTTATACTTACATTTAATATTTACTCAATAACTGAAATGTTTTGAGAGTGTGTATCTCAGAAGCAATAGTTTGGATATGTCAAAAAGGTGGGTTAATCACACTTTTACTTTCAATACAGAATAAAAAGACAGAAGAGTAAGTCATTGCAAATTAAGGCTAATAGTTATTTTATTTCACCACCTGATATTTTGTATATACCTTCGATTGAGCCATAATTCTGTTGAGTTGTACATGGAGAATCTAGAGATTTAGTATTTTAAAATGGAGAAAATTGAGGTAAGTGATTGCACAAGGTCAAATGTGTAGCTGATGAAGAAGTCAGGAATAGAAGCCAGCTATCTCTTAAAGATTATTTTAATATGTAATAACATGTTTTTAAAAAGTACAAAAAGGTATACTGTGAAAGGTAAGTTTTTTCCCTACCCCATCTCTCAGTTCTTCCATTACCTTCCCCAGAGGCAAGAAGTTACCAATTTCTTGGACTTTCAAGAGCTATTTCATGTATGTGCAATCAAGGAGATGTATACATTGTCCTTCACACAGATGGTAGCATATTATGCATACCTTTCTGCACCTTGCTTTTTTTTACTTAACAATGTCTGAAAATTGTAGAGCCCGGGATTTTTTTGTTCCTTGGTCCATGAACTTTCCATTTTGCTATACTGCCTATTATTATTAAACAACTGTTTTTTGTTAATATGAATGGACAGAGTATTAAATTATTATTTATTTCTAGCATATTGAGTACCTCACGTGCAACATGATGTAGTATTTCACATTTCTTTCAGGAAGAGAGGGTCACTGATTTATGATAAATAATGTTGAAAGTTAAAAAATAATAAGGGAAATTTATAAATAGCTGTTATTGCTGGTTACCAAAAATAGCTAATTGTATATTTACTTTTCCATTTGAGAAAGAATTGGCAGATGAAGTTTTCAGGGAAATCATTTACCTTCAGACTTGTGTAAAAATTTGTACTGTGTGTACAAACAGTTTATCTCAAGGCCAGTGAGAAGCAATGATGTTAAAATGTCAAACCACAAATGTTTGTTTCATTTTCTAAATTTTAAAATCTCCAACCTCAAATGCATATCACAGAAATAGTCTTTCATTTGTTTCTCAAAACAGCTTGTAACTATATATTTTTATCTTGATATGATTCATGATCATCTATATAAAAATACACCATTAATTTTGATCATTCTGGGTTTTTTTTTTTGGCCAGCTTATCTATCAGTGCAATTATTGCTTTAACTTTCAGAGAAAAATAGAGCCTGTCAGAACCGTTTGATTTTAGATCTTATGGACCAAATTGTGTCACAAAAGACAAATCCATTTAAAAATGTGTCCCATGCCAAATGTCCATGATAATATTCATAGAGGTTGAGTACTTATATTTGAACTTCATGTTAGATAATTAGTCAGTAATTCTGCTTTCTTCCTAAAGATGGCAGGCCTTCTCAATGTATTATTTACTTGGTAATTCTGTCTGAAAATACTATTAGACTCCAACCATTGTTGATTGGAAAAAAAGTTAATCAGACTAAAAATATATTTTCATAACACCATCATCATAGTTAAAATTCAGTTGTTGAACAAGTAAGATCATATTCTTGATGTTCATAGCTTTAGCACAGCTTTTACGTGTGTTATCCTCAACCCTGAACACAGGGTCCTAAGGGTTCTTACTGCATTCTGACTTTGGAATTCTTGATGTAAGATAATGAACAAAAAGTCTTGTCAAGAACTGTGATTAAGTCATGTTAGGATCCTGCCATATTTATAAGTTTCTCTCCTATGGAGATGATGTCAGAAAACAAAAACTGGCCAACAAAACATCCCAAAAGGAAACAACACCCCTAAGTAATGATGTATTGCATATATTTGTGGACATCTGAAATATTTTTATATTTATTCTTTGGTAAAAGTTTATATGTCCAAGTTCTACTTGGACTTTTTCTTTTTGCTTAGGTGACTGATTCTTTTAATAAGCAAAATAAGTACTTATCGGTGCCATTGGGGGGAAAAAACCACTTTGGCCTTATCTGCTGTAAAAACTAAGCTCACAAGTTAGTGCTCTAGAGCATGGAAAAACACTATATTTTGTTCCTTTTCTCATCATTTCCATTTCTAATTAAAATGGTTATTGTGTGTGTGTGTGTGTGTGTAATCGTGGGATTTTGCTGTTTAAAGAAGGTGGACAGCAGGACAGAGGGCAGGCTGGCCTCCCTGCCAGGCCTCACAGGAACTTTGATGTGGCCACTGCTTTCTAAGGCTGACCCTGATTATTGGTTCATCCAGAGAGGTAACTAGGTATTAGAAGACTGTATCCCTTTAACCGGCTTCATAGTAGTGTATAAATTCCACAATTCAGTTCTTTAATTTGAGATGGGAAGTGTCAGGCACAATCATTTCTCATGTTTATGGTTCAGTGCATTTTCTCCCAATAGGCAAATCTACATGAAAAATAAATTATAATCAGAAGGTTGCTTGGTGAGCATTGAATCAGCTCTCAGCAACCAGTGTCAGTAAGCTCTGGTAGTGCAACACACTCATCTTCCCCATAGGAATGCAACTGCCACTCAGACCAGATATTGTTCAATATGCAGAGCATCCTTTCTACTAGACCAGGCTGCAGATGCATGGCCAGCTTTTGCTTTCTTCATTTCTTTTCTTACAGAGGTATTATAGACTTTCTCTTTTGATACTTTTTTTCTATTAGAATTTAATGCAGTTGAGTTGATTAATGTATGTAAAACACTTAGCCCAATTCCTGGTATACAGTAAGTACATGATAACTATTATTATGAATAAGCATAACTGGTTTTGAGTCCAAGTCATCTTGTTACTTGTAATATCAAAGACAGTCTTTTGGGCCATGTTTATAGATGAGTGTGATCCATCTTTTACATTTTGAGTTATTTTCATCCTTTAATTCTTTTCATTTAATTCTTCAATTTTATTTATCCTTAATGTTGAATCCATGAGCTAATTAGGACAATGCCTTTGACTGTATGTGATCTTGCTATTGTTTTAACTTTAAGATTTTTATTCTTTTAAATTTCAGTTTCTTGCTCTGAAATACCCCATTCTCCACATTTCCCCCACCTGTCATGTGAATCTGTTGGAAGAGATGATCTTGAAGTTGCTGCTCAGTTCCAGAATACATTTGATTTTACATCTTATTTGAGTATATGATGTCAGTTGTAGCCATTTCCATCTAACTGTGCTTGCCTTCATTTTAAGCTCTGCTTAAATTCTTTCTCATAGAGTGTGAAGTTATTTTGAAAATGGTAGCAACATCTGAATCCTTAGAAGGATGGCCATGGCACTGGGAGGTTGTGATTGAAAAGTCCATGGGTAAATGTAGGATTTCAGCAGTCAGCAGTGACACTACAGACCTGACAGATACACAACTGACAAATCAAAACATTTGTGTGAAAATGAGTACAGAAAGGAATGATTCAGATGAGTCAGTTGATCACCCCAGCAAAAATAATCATTGTCAGTCTTCTCTCCATCCATCTGGGAAGTGAGTTATTCTTTTAAGAGTTGCAAAGAAGATTCAGGAAAACAGGAAAAATTACCACAGCTCTTTCTGGTGCTTGTAAAAATACATAATATGGTGCATTTTTAAAGGTGGTGGTCTCAGAACCACATTTTGAGAACTGTCAAAGATAGGAACCATTGTCAGAGTTCAGAAGAGAGATCATTTCAGGCTGCAGTAGTCAGGGAAAGCTTAATGAAAGAGACTGGCTTTGGTCTAGGTCTTGAGAGATGGACAGGATTTGAATAGATGAGAGCAGGGAGAAAACATTTTTCGATGGGTGAAATGCCAAGAACAAAAGTACAGAGGTGGGAAACAATAGTGTAAGGGGAGTGCAGAATCAAATAGTTTGACTCAAAGGTTCTTAAATGTGGTCCATGAAAGAAAATTAAGGCCCTACTTCTGTCAAATGACATCACTCACTTCAGACTTGGAAGAAATGGGCAGCTCTGCATATTTCTCTTCAGCATGCAAATGAATGAAACTGTTGATGCCTCTCAGTGCATCCAGCTTCACATTTTCATGTGCTTGCTGATGTCATCAAAGGAGAACTCCATTTAAGAACACCTTTTGGAAACTGGAAAGACTGTCAACATCTTCAAAATATTCGTTCTCAATAAATATTCAAATGGAAGAAGAAAAATTGCACTCTGGGGGCAGCTGGTGCACCTGTGATGTCAGCAACACAGCATGGTTTTCCTGCTTGATGAGGAAAGGATTGCTGCACGTCATTGTGCCTCGGTGCTTTCCATATCAGCAGCTGTTACCACCTTTCCAAAAGGTGTTGCCAAGAAACAGGAGCAGGGTAAGATGTTTTTCTCTAACCAGACAGAAATCTGCTGACTTTCCAGAAGTCTAATTGAACTTGAAGGCAGAGGAAATAATGTGACTTGAATCTAACTTGAAAGTCTTGGAGGAATTTGGTGTTACAGTGTGCAGGCCACCTTAACCTGGCAAATTCCATTCTATGCAATTCTGCTTTCGTTCTATTAAATACGTACCTTTGTGAGTCAAGGATTTCAGCACTTGTTGCCATAGGGAAAAAGTTGTAATGGGTTATCAAAGATGAAGTATATGTTGCTATGTCAAAAGCCAAAGCACAGTTTCAACTCATTTAAACTAGATCTCATTGAGATGTACTACTGAACAGTCAGAATTTTCTAAATTTTTTTTCCAGGAAACAGTCATTTTTCTTTCAAAAGAGAACGGAGGCATAATCCTTTACAAATATTGCTTATGTTCAGTAAATCATCTTCCAGTGCAGTGAAACGAAGTAAATGGTGTATGCACTTCTGCGCATGTTTCTGGAGGAGGAAGTCCATATCTTTAGTCAGAATCTCTATCGATTTAGCTATTGTGGAGGCAGTAGGTTGCTCTGGATAAATCTGAGCAAAGGAATGAGAGGAAATCAGCTCATTTGAAGAATATGGGATGCGAAGCTTTGACACGACAATGGCGAGTAATTTAGGGATTCAGGTTATCCCCCGCATCTGAGTAATCTGAAGGTAATTTTCTAGCTAGAGCTTCTCAAAGGTAGGAACCTTGTGTTATCTTTTTTGTTCATACTGTCTGAGCACAGTGCAGGAGACATAATAGGGACTCCAAAAATGTTGAGTTAAATTGAAATCACTGTATGAATAGTGAAAGCTGGACTGTAGCACCAATAATAAATGCTCTTCTGTCTTATTTGTATTTAACATTGTTTGGTTACATCATTTGGGGAATATTAAGGTTTTTGAGAGAAAATGTTTTATTAAAAGCTCCTATAACCTTCATTTTATTCAGGAGCAGGTGGTTAACACAAACTTTTGGCCTTAAGAGGATTTATTCTCTTTGGACATTTTATTTATTTCTGATAATTTTTACCAAAAGTATGCTTCCAGACACAATAATTGTATCCAGTACCTTCAGGGTGAAGGAAACTTACAGGATGGTGTGATTACTTATGTCATCTGTTTAAGCAACAAAGCAACATTCCAATAAACATCTAATCTTGGATTTGCTCATCATTAGATAAAATCAGCCTGACAACTCTGAGCTCACTTCAGCTTAAAATATATCTGAAACTTACAGAGGATCTTCTATCAATCTAATAACAAAGTCCTGGAACCCCTCTCCTGTGTTATATTATTATAATTTTATTATCACTTTTATGCATGTTCCTGGAACAAGGCTTAGCAAAACAGACTCCCTAGGTATTAACTTAAAATTTTAAATTAATTTATGATTGGGAGACCAGGATGTTAAGCTTAGATTCTAGTTCATTGCCATATTTTAGTTTTGATCCCATTCAATTATTTCAAACTAAAGAGAGATTCATTGAATTACTCTAAAACATTGGTATGATCTAAAACATTTGTCCCACATTTTTCTGTTTTTAGCAAACTGTGTGTTCCCAAGTCTGGAAATTACAAATCAAATTACATTTCTCAAAAGCCCAGATTTTTTTTTTTCTAAAGTGGAAATTATTACTAGAGTTAAATAAGATATAATGTCACAAAAGACAGTAGCTTTGATTAACTGCAAAGTGTTTAAGCAATAAACTCTTCTGTAATACTGTAATTTACGCAGAACTTTTGAGGAAGATAAACTACTTTTGTGGACTCTTCATTTTTTAAAATCTTTTGATGTCCACCACTTTGCTACACAATAGAAAAGAAAGATTTTCATAAATTTGAATTGAGATAAATATAGAATGGGTACATAAGAATGGAGTAAAATTCCTTGTATTATATTTTTTACTGTAAAACAAACTTGTATGAAATTTGGGAAACATAAGTTAAAAAAGCGTTACCTGCAGCTTTATCACCTGGAGATAACTGCTTAACATTTTGATGTGTTTCTGTCCATTATTACATATGTGATGTGTCGTGTGTACACACATGTACACGTAAGTATACACTCACATGGTACAAATGGGGATGAAACTGATTTTTTTCATTGCATATAGTATCAATTCTTTTCCATATCATTACGTATTATTTCACAGCATTATTTCAATAGCAGTTTAGTATTCGCTGTAAGAAAAAGACTATAACCAATACCTTATTGTTGGGTGTAGGACATTCCCATTTTTTTTTTTTTTTTGCCATTTTTTTCTGGCATTTTTTTTTTCTATTATAGATACTGCACTGAACACCCTGTATGAAAAGTTTGTAGGTATTCATAATTATTCCTTAAGGGAAAATTCTCAAGCTAGACTTTCTGGGTCAAAGAGTATTCAGACATTTAAGGGTTTTGATACATTTTCCTAAATTGCCACCAAGTTGTTGCATGAGACCTGAATTGGATCTGTTTTCCTATGACCACCGCAGTTTTCTCTCTTGGCACCCTGTTGGGCGAAAGTGGCACCGCACTGCCCGTGGGTCTGCAGCTCTTGCGGGGCTGAGAGGCGTCGGCGCTCTTTCCTTGGTTTCTAACCCGCATATCTTTGTCTTTCCTCCCTGGGGACCGCTGCCACCCGTGCGGGCCGAAGCCTCGCGAAGCCGTCGTCCCGCAGCGCCGCCGCCCTGCGCCCGGCCGCCCCCGGGAGCCGCTGCCTGCCCGCGGGCGCCGTCACCACGCGTCAGGCCGCTGCCAGCTGCCGCGCCAAGCTCCGCGGCGGCGCCGCCCGAGAGCTCCAGCACGCTGCCCGGGGCCTGGGGAAGCCCGCGGCTCCGTGAGCGCCGCCGCCTGGCCGCCGGCGGGACCTCGCCCTCGCTCCGCACCGCCGTACCTCAGGCGCCTCGCCGCGGCCGTCTCCACGGGCCGACCAGCCGTCCGCAGACCCCTGAGTCCTCTGCCTCGCCTCAAACCCCTTTCACCCCTTGCCCTCGCCGTCCCTGGTTTGAGCCAGAACTCTCCCGCGAAGCCCTCTAGAGGACCACGTGCCTTAGGGACAGGCTGGGGGCGGCCTCCGTGCGAGTCGTGGTTGTTCGCAGAGCAGCACGTCCTCTGCCTGCCAAAATCCCGGCTTCTTTGAGAATCTTGTCACTGGACAATACCATCCTTTTCCTTTCAGCCTGTAATTTATAGATTTCCTATTCCTAGTGAGTTTTGTCATGATTAGTTCTTCAAAGACTAGCTCCTACTTGAACCTTCACCTCAAATCCTGGCATCGACAAACTAGTTTCCCCCCGCCCACCTCCCCACCCCCCCGCCACAACCCCAAATATTGCCATCTGCCAGAAGATTGTTTTAATAACTGTCCAAATCCTCAGTGACTGTGGGGTGCTTGACACAACTTGGAGTTGTGTTATGCACAACTGTGGTTGAACTTGAACTCCAACATCCAGTCCCCTCCTTCCTGTAACTTCATCTCCAGTAATTATTTCTCCCCTTCAGAATCAGTCCTTGCTACCACAGTTCTAGACCATGTCATCATTAGAATCCGCATCCTCTCTACAGTCTTGTCTGTGGTGACCATGGCCTCTCAGATCTCCTGCTCCACGGAGCGGAAGTGACTGACAGGTCCCCCTGCCTTCCCAAGGCATACACTGCTGGGTTTGCACTGAAGCCATGCTTCTCTGGCACTACTCCCAGTCAGTGAGCGGGCACAGCACGGGGTGTTGGTGGTGGCACGTTCATGGAAGATGTAGGACTCCTCTGATGAGCAAGTTTGGCTTGGAAACACCTGAGCCGGCTGGTTGAAACTTTCTGAGAACTATGCTGCATGCAGCCTGAGGCTCTTGGGCCCAGTTCCCCTCTCCTTTCACAGGTGTCAGACCTGTATTATGATATGAAGTCTCCCTTCCCCGCTCCTGCTTCCTTCTGTTTATCCTTCACAGGAGTTCCCTTAATAAAACTCTTGCACATTGAACCCTGTCTTGGTGTCTGCTTCTAAGAGGACCTGAACTAGCACATCATCAGACATTCCATGCTCTGATCACCATCTTCCTATCCTAGATTCCTTGCTCACTGACAGCTAATTCGTTGCTTCATTTTTTCCCCACTGTTTATCAGCCCCTGTCTTGCGTTCTCGTCCTTGCTTAGTCTAGATTCTGTGATCCATTATCATGATCATTCTCCTTGAAATGCATTGCTTTCAGCACTCTTGAACAGCAATTTCTTAATTTTCCTGGCAAAATCTCAACTCTGGAGAAATCTTACCATCTGCCTTCCATGGGCCTTACTGGGACAACTGAACATTTTCTTTGAGAAAAGTACACAGTTCAGCCAATTCATTTTTACTTCCAATCCATTAACTCAAACCTCAAGTTGGTGCTGTTGTTCCTACTGTAGTCTCAGTTCTCCACATCTGAGACTACTCTTCATACCTTTTCATCTCCTCAAAATGTTCTGATCTTTTCCTCCCTGTTTACTTCACATTTGCCTGAGAAAACAGAATTTACTACATACAGACTTTCTCATCTTGTCACCACAAGATCCTCCAACCCAGTTACCTTGGTAACCTTCCTTTTTGTGATAATAGAGGGAGCTTCACAGATTAGCTCCTCCTGTCATGCCCCGAATCCCAGCCCCCTTGCCTTTTCAAGGACTTCTTCCTTAGGTTTTCCCCTTTCTCTCTTTTGCATCATCAATCCTGCCTCCTCTCAATGGATTATTCCCTGCACACATGCTCCAGTGTCTTTCATCTTAACCACACCTTCCCTCGTGCACGTCTTCTCCATCTGTGAACCATCTCTCAGCTCTCCTTTAGAACTAAACTTTTTAATGGAGTTGTCTATTCTTTCCTACCGGGATATTGTGACACCAGTCCCACCTGGTCTCTCTGCTACCACTCTTAACCACTCCAATACGTTTTTGATAGAGTGGTAGCAACAACCTTTCTCACAAATTGAATTAAGCAAATTGTTGCTTTTAGGATAAAATCTAAACCCCTTTACCATGGCTCACATAGCCTTGCACAGTCTGACCCTTACTTATCCTTCCACCCCCGTCTATGCTCCTCTCTTTATTGCCCACTCGAATGCAGCCACACTGCTTTTTCCAATATGCCAAGATATTTTCTGCACCTCAGGGGCCTAGGAAATGCTGTTGTCTCTGTTTAAGCTGCTTTTCACAGCCACCCTCTCTCCCACCACAACCGTATCCTTTAGATAACTGATTAAATATAACATCTTGAGAAAGTTGTTATATTTCTGCACAGAGCACTCTATTGAAAGTAGACCCTCCCTTTCTGTCCTCCCATTTGCTGTATCAGTCCTTTGTTTCCTTCATCACTCTAATCCTGTATCTCAACTTGTAGTGTTATTTATTTTTTTATTTACCTTTGGGGGGGGGGTCTATTTCCCATACTAGAATGTATAAAGGAAGAGACCATGTTTGGATGTCTAGATTCTTCAACATTGTATTCTCCGCCTGTAGCACAATATTTGACACATATTAGGTGCACAAGAAATATCTGTTGAAGGAATGAATGAACATATTTGATATTTTTTCTGTTGAGGGTTCACTTTTCATTGATTTGTAAGAACTTTTTATATATTGAAACCACTAACCATTTGTTTGTTCTGCATGCTGCAGACATTTTGCTCTTTGTCAGATATCTATCAATTTAATCCATGATGTCTTTGATAAACAGAAATATTGCATTTTTTATTTAGATAAATCAGTCTTTCATGATTTCTGCTTTTGGTGTTATGTTTAAAGAGGTCTTCTCTTTCCCAGTGTTATATAAATATCTGTCTATTTTTTATTTCATTTTTTCAGATTTGAATTTTTACTCCAAATGGAATTTATTTTTGATATAGGTGTGATTAAGGGTCTAAATATTTATTTAGTTGTTGTATCATCATTTATTGAAAACTCACTTTTCTACTGTTTTAAAAATTCCACATTTATCAAATACTAAATTCCTACACACACTTGGAGCGGTTTCTGAATTTGTTGTTTGTTTAATTTTTTTATATCCTCTATTCCTTAACCATGCTGTTAATTATTGCCATTTTATCATTTGCTTTACTGTGTGTTAAGTTTCAATGGGGGTAAATGTTACTCTTCTTTTTTAAATATTTTTGGCTATATTTTTTCATGTATTCTCGCAGATAAGCTTCAGTTATGTTTTGGTCACATTCCAAAAGAAATTCTATTGCCATTTTGTTTGGAATTGCTTTAACAATATAGACTAATTTGGGGAGAATTACCAACTTTGTAATATTAAATTTCTTATTCAGGAACTTGTCATGTGTTAAGGTTACTGAAGACAATCTCCAAATGTTCTTTAGTAATTTTGTATGTTTTGCATATTTTTATTAATTGTATTGTTAGATATTTCATTTCTTTGTTGCATTTGAATGGGATCATTTTTCCATCATTTTTTATTAGTGGCTACTCCTTCTGGGGTCAAGCTATTTATTTTTGTGTTTGATAACTTTTTTGAACTCTTTCATTAATACTCCCTAGTTGATTCTCTTCTAAGTAGCCAATCATTCTTAAGTATAATTAATGGTGATTTTTCTCTCTTCCTTTATAATATTTATACCTCATGTGTTAAATAAATGATGGTAATAACTTTGCCCTTATTCCTGATTTGTTAGGTATGCCATTAAATTTTACCAGCTTTTAAATGTTAGCTCTTAGACTGAAATACAGGTCTTTATCATGTTAAAGATGTGGTTTGATGGTTCAAATATACTAAGCATTTTATTAGAAGTTGTTCAATTATATTAAGCATACTCTAGGCAACTAGAAATGATCATGTGATTTTACTTCTCTGGCCTATTATCACAATAAATTATGTTAGTAGTTTCTCAATACTGGATTATTTCTGCATGAGATGTATCCTGTTAAATAATGGTGGTTTTTCCCTTTTTTTCTTGTAACAATGTTGAACTCAATTTCTTACATTTTATTTGGATTATTGCATTTATATTTATGAATAAGATTGGGTTGTAGTTTTACATTTTTGAATTCTACCTTTATCAGCTTAAAAACCTAGATTGGTACATAGCATATGAATTGCCTATTCTTTGGGGTCTGGAGAAACTCACCCATAACATTGTTTAGGCCTCAATCTCTTTAAGGGAGGATGAGTAGAAGACAATTCTCTGAAAACTTAAAAAACCTTTTTCTATGGTTTTACTGTCACTTCTTGAGTATCAATTTAAAAAATCATATTTTTAAAGAAAAACATGCATTTTCAGAGAATTTTAAAATTTGTTGTCTATATATAATTATAATTAAAAATATTTTTCTCTGTATCTCTGGTTATTGCTTCTTTCTCATTTCTGGTCTTTTTAGTTACTTTTTTCCTTTCTTTTATTAGACTTGCCAGTCTTTTTAAGGAACCAGCACTTGAGTATTTCATCAGTTCTATTTTTTCTATTTGTTATAATATTAATATAACTTTTCATCTTTAATTCCTTCCTTATTTTTAATGTTTATTTTGTTGCTTTATGAATGTTTTGTACTAATTGATGGCTTAGTTCATTTATTTTCATTTTTTAATTTAATAATAGGACACGTAAGACTATAACTTTGCCTTTGGGCACAGCTTTGACTGCATCTCAAAAGTTTTGGTATGTAGTCTCTTAATTGTTGCTATTTAAAAATAATGGATTATATTACTGTTTTTATTTTATTTTTGATGTATTATTTAGGATAGTATTGTGAGGTTTTTGTTATTTGTTAATCCTACTTTCTTTTTAATAAAGAATAAACTTATTAATATTTATGTTGCTACTTTAATAAAGAGCTGATTTTGTTTGGAAAAAGTGAAATTATATGTGAAGTGGTCTCATCTGAAGTTGTATACAAGCACCATGGAGAGTTCCTTGTCACACGATTCTACCAATAGCATCAGCTAGTGGCAGCTATACTAATTATTGACAGCAGGGACTTGGTATATCACTAATGCCAATAATTTACAGGAATTCTGATTTTATAAAGTCCTATTTTTCCATATGAAAGTTAAGAAAGAACTTTAAAAATGTTTATTGGACCAGAAATCCTAAAGTATGATAAAACTTAAAAGGTCATCTGCTAACTAGAGCAACTCATCAAAGTTTATGAAATCAGGAAGGATTTGAATATTGTGAAAATGGACTGTGTCTCAAAATGTTGGCATTAGAACAATTTTTCTTTTAGACTTGGCAAAAGTATTTTGAAAAATATTTGTTTTTTATAATTACAGATGTAATTTATGTACAGAAATAAAATAAAAATACCCTGTAACTTCATTACCCAGAGAAAAGCACAGCTAACATTCTGTTGTATTTCCTACTAAGATTGTTCCTGTAAATCTTTCTCTTTTTCTTTCTGTTGAATTGGGCTCATATTCTTTTTCCTTATTTTTTTCACTTACTATTTGTGAGCATCTCCCTATGATGTTGGAAATGAAGACGATTGGGAACTCATTGATCTCAGTAACTGTAGCTCTAGGGCAGGGCTCTTCTTGCTGTGGTTTCTACTGTCCAAGCTGCTTGCTTTTCAGACTGGAGACTTGAAGGCTCCATAATATCCTTCCACTTAATTCCTTTTTTTTTAACTGGCCATAAGTAGTTTCTATCCTGTGTACTCAAGAACTCTGATACAGTGATTTTTTTTTGGATTGATAGCATTTTCAGAATTCTACTGCCAAGAGATATATTATGCATACATGTGCAGGCATGTGTATATACACACACACACAAACAGACATACACACATGCATGCACACACATACACACACATCATACAAGTCTGCGAAATATAACTTACTTTATTTGTCTATTTGGGGATTCACAGGCCACATTCTTATATTAAAGGCTCCTGGACAGGTGCAGTAGCTCACACCTGTAATCCCAGCACTTTGGGAGGCTGAGGCAGGCGGATCACTTGGGTCAGGAGTTTGAGACCAGCCTGGCCAACATGGTGAAACCTTGTCTCTACTAAAAATACAAAAAAAAAAAAAAAAGCCAGGCATGGTGGCACACACCTGTAGTCCCAGCTACTTGGGAGTCTGAGGCGGGAGAATCGCTTGAATCTGGGAGACGGAGGTTGAAGTGAGCCGAGATTGCGCCATTGCACTCCACACTCCAGCCTGGGCGACAGAGTGGGACGCTGTCAAAAAAAAAAAAAAAAAAAAAAAAAAAAAAAAAGCCTCCTAGAAGTTCTGCATTAAAGAAAAAATGTTTGCTTCAAATTATGTATTTCTTTCAAACATTTTGTTTTTGAATACTTTCTTCTAATAAGACCTGTTAATAATTTTTATACAACTTTGGAAACAGTGAGTTTGTTTATTGGCTTAGCAACATACTCATGGGCCTTTAGCTTTGTTTCCACATATCAATGTCAATTAAATTAGCATTAATATCAACTCTCAATTGATTTATCATATGGAGAAAATTTACTTTCTTTTTTTGTTGAGATGGAGTTTCGCTCTTGTCACCCAGGCTGAAGTGCAATGGCGCGGTCTCAGCTCACTGCAACTTCTGCCTCTCAGATTCAAGCGATTCTCCCACCTCAGCCTCCCGAGTAGCTGGGATTACAGTCACGCACCACCTAAATTTTGTATTTTTAGTAGAGACAGAGTTTCACCATGTTGGCCAGGCTGGTATCTAATTCCTGACCTCAGATGATCCACCCGCCTTGACCTCCCAAATTGCTGGGATTACAGGTGTGAGCCACTGTGCCCGGCCAGAGAAAGTTTACTTTCTGATGCCTCTTGTTGCTTACTGATTTGTTGGTTCCAGCAGTGCTGTAGGATGTGATCTCAGGATTGCAGTCAGACTCAGGCAAGACAGGCCTTGCTTTGGACTCATACTTTACAGGGCTCTGCCCTGGCCCTCCTTTGGGTACTCCTGCTTTGCCAGGGTAAAGCATCTATGCAGCCAAGGGAATATGTCCACCTGGAACCTAAGCCTTCTTCTTTAGGCTACATTTTGGGCTCCTGGGGCCCAGAACTCTCAATCCAAACAGCCCTACCTTCAGGTCCATCCAATTGTGCCACCAGTTGAGCACCCCAGGACCAAAGGGAGGCCAAAGAATAGCCATTTTCAGGGGTGTGGACACAGCCTGGTTCTGCAGGCTGAAGAACCACACACAGGCATGCGAGGCCCTTTGGCGAGATGCAGTGGGGGTGTGGGATAGGGATCTATACTTACCAGGCCACCATGTTCTAGCACGGGACTCCAAGGAATGTAAAAATTCTTAATTTGAATTTAGCCTTTTAGGAAATTATGTAGGTATATTTGTCAGCATACAGCAATAGAACACATTTTATTTAACAATTCATTGGCTTGGTTTGCAACTTTGAAAATATTTGGGGCTGGGTGCAGTGGCTCATGCCTGTAGTCCCAGCTACTGAAGTGGCTGAGACAGGAGGATCTCTTGTACCCAGGAGGTGGAAGCTGCAGTGAGCTGTGATGCAGACCCTGCCAGAAAGAAAAAGGGAAGGAAGGAAGGGAGGGAGGGGAAGAAAAGAAAAAGAAGAAAATATTTTGCCATATGGTATATAAGCTTCCATTTTACTCTGCAAATATTAGGGGTGAGATTGGTGCTTGGAGGCTACAAGCAAAAGTTGCAATCACAATGGCACTGGGAAGTCTTGGGGCCTCAAGGGAAAGTGGCTGCAGGGTGCAACTTGAGGGAGAACCCTGGGTGTCAGTCACAACACTCAGCCTGATGGAGCCCTAAAGCTTGGCATGAAGCACCAAAGCCTTCAGTCTTTGAATAGACCATACAATGAATAATCAGTACTTTAGCAGGGACCTCTGACCACAGTGGACTGAAGACTAGAAACTCTTACCGCAAGTCCTAGGCACTACAGAAGCCTCCAGAATTCTGTGCTCTTGAAGGCCTGCCAAAACATGACTGATTTTGATTTTTTTTTCCTACACTGGTGAGTGAGAAGCTCAGAAATCAGATTGAATTTTATTTAGAAAATTAAAGTAATAGCACATCTGTTAAACCCAAGTGTAATGGTATGAGAGTCACAGTAGCCAAATTGTAATAAGTACAGAATAGTACAAAACAAAGCACAGGATGCCTTGGAAGAGTGAAACAGAGGGACCTCTCTTGGTCTGGAAGTTGAGGGAAAAGTTCCTAGAAAGGGCGACATTTAGCTAAGAGGTGGAAAATGAGCAGAGTTTTCAGAGACAGTGTTAACAGTAAGAAAAGAAGAAGAGCATAGCAAATAGGAGAGAAGATCATATGGGGAGGTTGGAGGTTGGAGAGAGCAGGATGAATTAGAACTAAATGGAGGCCTGCAAGGTTTGAGAGTTGAAAGCGAGACTGAGAGTGGATGGATGAGACGCAGAGGAATGACACAATGATGCTCTATCACATCATGGTGCTCTATAAACCGCATCATGAACTTCTCCAGGAAAATAATCAGACCACAATTTTTACTTTCAATGAATGAGCTCATGGTTTAGTGGGAGACAAAATTCTAATGAGAAAATAATTCAAAGAGGTAAGTGCTGCACTAAAGATCTACTCACTGTTATCTGAGAGCATGGAAAAAGGAGCACTTAAATATTGCTGAGTGAATCAGAGAAGGATTTTCAAGAACTTGAGTGCTTAAATTGAGCCTGGAAGTTGAGTGGGAGTTTTCTAGGACACAAATGGGTGGTGAAGGAAAGAGAAAGGGAAAGGGAAGAGCAACAACAAAATCTTAGGGGATAGAAAAATGCATTATGGACGGAGGCTGGGGTGAATGTCTTGCTAAAGAGCTTGGATGTTTTTGTATGGGTGATGGCAAGTCTTTAAAGACTATGAGAAAGATCATTCCTAGAAAAATGTGGAGGATGAGTTTGAGGGATCTGAAACTGGTGCAGCGGGACATGGTAAAAATTGCCATTATATAGGTGAGAGGTGGAGTCCCTGAATGAGAGAACTGGTACGGGGGTGCCGTTGGGGAGAAGATGGTCTCAAGAGATGTTTCACCAGTGGAAGAAACCAACAGGCTTCCCCAGATCTTTGTGCCTCACTCAGCTTGGCTTCATACAACCGGTAAGTTAATAATGGGCCAATCAGTAAGAGAGAAATCTAATGATCCCATTCACACTAACCTATCAATGATAACAGCTCAATGTCATTTCTCAGAGGATGTTGAATTAAAAACAGTATTTCTGGAATGAGCAAAGAGTGTGTTGAATGTTGGAATTTCAGATGCTTTGGGGCTTGATAGGGAGGTAATTACTGGGTGCAGGAAGGGCAGGAAGAAGAGACACTGCTTCCCTTAAATCAGTGCTTCTTGACTAGGGGCAGTTTAGTCCGCCAGTGGACATTTGGCAGTCTGGAGGCACTTCTGGCTGTCATAAACTTGGAGTGGATTTTCTAGAGGTCATTGTCCTTGTAATGCATGGGACAGCTCCCTCACAGCAAAGAATTGTCTAGCCCAATATGGCAATAGTGCTGAGGTTGAAAAACCCTGCCCTAAATCATACTTTGAGTGGCTCTACATGAAGACTTGCCCTATATCTGAGTAATGTAATTATTAGGTTAAACAATCACAACTTGTGGGAAAAAACCAGAAAGTAACTTCCATTCCAGTCTTCAACTGTTCCTTTAAAATGATTCTGTGGGGTTTGTTCTTGACCTGTTATTGGCTGAAAACTTGGACAGGCCTCATGAATTTTCTGGTCACTATTACACAATGAAAAAAGTCTTGAAACTGCAGAGTACATTCTCAATTCAGTAATTAGCATGTCTAGCCTCCTATAATAATAATAAACTTGATTTAAAGTGGAGCCTCTCCCTTCCCCTGGCATGGGGAAGGCTGCGCTGGAGGAAGCGGGAGTGGCAGGCTTTTTCTCCCTTTCTATGCCCAATGCCCCAACTCCTCCCCAGCATGCCAAGCCTCTGGGGTTGGTGCATGGGGCGGGAGTAGGGGAAAGGGCGCCAGGAAAGTTCTTCATAGACTGATAGTGTAGTGAGTTGGCACGGAACTCTGTGCCTGGCAGGTATTTAAAGCTGATTCTATCCTCTTGGATATTTTGGGGAACTTTATTACCTAGAGTTCCCTTTTGTGAATAATACACTCTCTCCTAGCTTGGGACTTCTTGAAAAACCATCTGTGGTAAAGAACCAAGGGATTTTGTTTTTGTTTTGTTCTAATTTCCATTCTGCCATGGATTGATACTTTTGAAAACACATAGTAAAAATGAATTACTGCGAAGATAAAATGAAAAAAAGTCGTACAAAATAGAAGCCCACATTTTAAATCATCACATTGAATAGACATAAAGTTACTGTGAAGCTGCTATAAAATTTTCTAAAAGCTTACTTTCGAGGGATGGGCGCACTGGCTCATGCCTGTAAGTCCAGCACTTTGGGAGGCCAAGGCTGACAGATCACTTGAGCTCAGAAATTTGAGACTAGCCTGGCCAACATGGCAAAACACTGTCTTTACTAAAAATACAAAAATTAGCCAGCTGTGGTGGCCTGTGACTGTGGTCCCAGCTACTCAGGAGGCTGAGACAGGAGGATCACTTGATCCCCAGAGGTGGAGGTTGCAGTGGGCTGAGATCACACCACTGCACTACAGCCTGGACGACAGAGTGAGACCCTGTCTCAACAATAACAACAAAGCAAAGCTTACTTTCAATTTCTGTACTATTCCCACCATAGACCAAGTAACAGTCAGTGGACCAGCCCTGATCCTCGTGCCCTACATGAAGAGCACAGATCTAACTCATTGCTCCTTCCCTTGTTTCCTAATGCCTGGGAGATGGTGATATTTGGCTTTTCTCCTCTGAGGCTTGCCTGCTCTCACAGTGACGGAATCTCTCTCTCTCTCTCTCTCTCTCTCTCTCTCTCTCTCTCTCTCTCATTGTCCACTTCTGATCCATGGAAAACACTAAGGCATCTTTTGCCCTGATGTGGCCCTGGAGCACAGGTTGCCCAATGAGACATCCTCCCATGGCTCACTGCCCAGCTGCTAGCCAGTGGGTGCTCCTCAGGAGTGGTTGGACAGAACAATTGTTCCCTGCAAAGATGTCCATGTCTAATCCCCAGAACCAATGAACACCTGTTGCTTTACATCACAAAAAAGACTCTGCGATAGGGACGTGATTAAGGATCTTAAAACAGGGAGATGATCTCAGATTATCCAGGTGGTCCCAAATGTACTTATAAAGGTTCCTCTAAGTAAAAGGGGATCCAGGAGAATCAGAGAAGAAGATGTGGATAGCAGAAGCAGAGGCTGGAGGGAGAAACCAAGGAATGCCAGCAGCCTCGGAAGCTGGGCAAGAGAAGGGAGGTGATTCTCCTCTAGAGCTCCCAGAAGGAACACAGCCCTGCTGATGCCTTGATCTTATCTATGGATGAACGGAGACTTCTGATCTCCACAACTCTTTTTTTTGAGACTGTCTTGCTCTGTCGCCCAGGCCGGAGTGCAGTGGTGTGATGTTGGCTCACTGCAACCTCTGCCTCCCAGGTTCAAGCAATTCTCCTGCCTCAGCCTCCCAAGTAGTTGGGATTATAGGCGTGTGCCACCACACCTGGCTAATTTTTGTATTTTTAGTAGAGACAGGGTTTCATCATGTTTGTCCAGGCTGGTCTTGAACTCCTGACCTCAGGTGATCCACCTGCCTCGGCCTCCCAAAGTGCTTTGACCTCCAGAACTCTAAGGTGACAAAAATGTGACTCCAGCCTGGGTGACAGAGCAAGACCTGCTCTCAAAAAAATATAGATAATAAACCCACTAAAATTGTGGTAATTTGTTATAGCAGTAGTGGGAAACTAATAGAAGCAAGACTATGACCAAAGTTCACTATAGCCTCAAATTTGAAGGAACGCGTAATAACTAATCTGAGTGGTCCTTTAAAGTCCCTCTACTTTGACTTGTCATAGGTCAGATTTCAGTTTCATTTTTAAACTGCATGGTGCTTAGAACCTTGGCATAACTCTCTCTTAAGCAGCTTCATAGCTCTTTGTGGAAAAAGAAATAAAGCCTCAAGCTTAACTGCCAGTCCTTAATGAGCAGTTTACCAATGTTGAACTGAATGAAAAAGCTTTCCAAAATTACAAGACTTAAATCTGCAGTTTTACTTCTATGTCTTTTTTTAATGATACAGAATACCTGTGCATATTTTGGGGACACGTGATATTTGCATACATGCATAAAAGTGATGATCAAATCAGGGTAATTGGAATATCGATCACCTCAAGCATTTATCTTTTCTTTTTGTGGGGAGGATTTTAGTCCTTGTCTTCTAGCTAGTTTGAACTATGCAATATGTTATTATTAACTATGGTCACCTTACTGGATTATCAAATACTAGACATTACTCCTTCTAATTGTATTTTATACCCGTTAACCAACCTCACTTCATTCCCCCACCCCCTATTCCTTCCCCAGCCTCTGGTAACCACCAGTCAACTCTCTCTCTCCATGAGATCTACTTTTTTAGCTCCCACTTATGCGTGAGAACATGCAATATTAGTCTTTCTGTCCCTGGATTATTTAACTTAACATAATAACCTCCAGTTCCATCCATATTGCTGCAAATGACAGGATTTCATTCTTTTTATGGCCAAATAATATTCCATTGTGTGTATATAGCACGTTTTCTTTATCCATTCATCTGTTGTTGGACACTTAGGTTGATTATCTTGGCTATTGCGAATATCGCTGTGATAAACATGAGACTGCAGATATCTCTTCAATATTTTGACTTCCTTTCTTTTGGATATATACTCAGCAGTGAGACTGCTGGATGATATGGCGGTTCTATTTTTAGTATTTTGAGAAACTTCCATACTCTTTTCTATAGTGGCTGTACTAATTTACATTCCCACCAACAGTGTGTGAGCCTTCCTCTTTCTCTGCATCTTCACAAGCATCTGTTACTTTTTGTCTTTTTGATAAGCCCTTTTAACTTGAGTGAGATGATATTTCATTGTGGTTTTAATTTGCATTTCTCTGGTGATTAGTGGTGTGGAGCACTTTTTCATATATCTGTTGGCTATTTGTATGTCTTCTTTTAAGAAATGTTTATTCAGACCTTTTGCCCATTTAAATTAAATTAAGTAATTTTTTTGAGACAGAGTCTCATTCTGTCACCAGGCTGTAGTGCAGTGGCATGATCTTGGCTCACTGCAACCTCCACCTCCCGAGTTCAAGGAATTCTCGTGCCTCAGCCTCTTGAGTAGCTGGGATTACAGGCATGCACCACCACGCCTGGCTAACTTTTTCATATTTTTAGTAGAGATGGAGTTTTGCCATGTTGGCCAGGCTGGTCTGGAACTTCTGCCTTTTGCCCATTTTTAAATCAGATTATTTGTTTTTTAGTGACTTGTTATTGTTTGTTATATATTCTGGCTATTAGTCTCTTTTCTGATGAAATATTTTCTCTCTGTAGATTGTGTCTTCATTTTGCTGATTGTTTCCTCTGCTGTGTAGAAGTTTTTTAGATTGACACAATCCCATTTGTCTATTTTAGCTTTTGTTGCCTATGCCTTTAAGATATTATCCAAAAAGTCTTTGTCCTGATCAGTTTCCTGAAACATTTCCCTTATATTGCTTTCCAGTAGTTTCTTAGTTTCAGATTTTAGATTTAAGTCTTTAATCCATTTTGATTTGATTTTTTTTGTGTGCAGTGAGAGATAAGGGCCTAGCTTCATTCTTCTGCATATGGTTATTATGTTCTCCCAACACCATTTACTAAAGAGACTATCCTTTCTTCAGCACGTGTTCTTGCCACTTTTGTGGAAAATGAGTTGGCTGTAAATGTGTGGATTTATTTTTGGGTTGTCTTTCTGTTCCATTGGTCTATGTGTCTGTTTTTATGCCAGTATCATGCTTTTGTGTTTACTATGGCTTTATAGTATATTTTGAAGTCAGGTAGTGTGATACCTTCAGCTTTATTCTTGTTGCTCAGGATTGCTTTGGCTATTCAGGGTCTTTTGTGGTTTCATATGAATTTTAGGACTGTTTTTCTCTATTTCTGTGAAGGATGTCATTGGTATTTTGATAGGGATTGCATTGAATCTGTAGATCACTTTGGGTAGTATGGATATTTTAACAATGTTAATTCTTCTAATCTATGAGCATGGGATATTCTATGTCATTCTTTAACATCATTAATTGTTTCTAAGTAAAAGGGATATGCAGTTAGCAATTCCACTTCTTTGATGGTTTTAATTATTTTCTCTGACACTTTTAAAATCCAAATATTGTAAAGTGCTTTGTAGAAATTAGATTTCATTCAAATAATGTCATTTATCCCTCTTCGTAGGTTTTTGTTAGCAGAAATCTGAAAATAATATATGCAAACCCAAGTTTTTTTAGGATAAAGCAACACTTAAAGGAAAATAGAGTTTGCTATTGCTTTACTCAACTGACTCTCACTACTCCATAATATATGATGCTTTATCATTGTGCATAATACATCAAATACAATGGCCTAATGCTAATCTCCTGAAAGCACTTCAGCTATTATAGTGGAGATTCCATTTCTTTAAAGTCAGTAGAAGTTCTGTATTTCATAAGGGTAGGCTGAGGTTCAGAAAGAAAGAACAATGAGGGCAAGACTTAAAGTTCACAGATCTCAGAAATGTTCCTATTCATACTTCATAATGTAGTTATTTGCTGACTCATTAAAATGTAAAATAGCATATTAAATTCAATAGAATGTCAGAAGTTATTTCTCTAGGTTAATTGCCCAGGAAATATCTCCACATAATAGAACGATCATCCTCTTGCATATAACCGTTTCTAGTAGTTGCCCACATCAGCACCATGTCATATACAGAAAATCAAAGGAACCAAATGAGGAACTAGAGATATGTTACTTGAGAAAATCCATTTTGAAAGGACTGATTTTCTGGCTGAAGCAAATGCTTTAGGATAATCATATTTTTAAAAAAGTTACGCTTTATTTATTTATTTTTTCTTTTAGACCTCTGCATTCTCATGTAAGTTGAAAAAGATGACAAAGGAACAAAAAAGAAATGATTTGCTTTTGAGCTGTCATCGTTCTGGAGTCCCCATCCAAAGAACTCAGATCATTTTGATTGAATGAGTTAATAGAAATGAATACAGAGAATTGAAGTACAAATTGAAAGAGAGTGTGACTTGATGGGATAAGCAGGGCTTTGGAACGTGGATCTGACATCTAATCGTTTTTGGTCACAGACACTATTCTATCTTTTGATGCTGACTTCTAGGTTTTGAATAAAGTGGAATACATGGAACTCATTTAACTCAGTGCTCCTGGAAAACATAAGTTAATACAAGTGAAACACTCCTAAAACACACTGAGGTATAGAAAGTTTAACTATTTTATGTATATGGTCAAAGCCTGAAAGAAGGCTTTAGCCTTCACAGCTGGGAAAAGGAAAAGGAAACCTAGAATCTAGGAGTTAAGGTACTGTTTATACTTTGTTTTCAACACTAATCTTTTTTTAAAAAGCTTTTATTTTAAGTTCAAGGGTACATGTGCAGGTTTGTTACATAGGTAAACTTGTATCACGGGAGTTTATTGTACAGCTTATTTCATCACCCAGGTACTAAGCCTAGTACCCATTAGGTATTTTTCCTGATCCTCTCCTTCTTCCCACCCTCCACCCTCTGATAGGCCCCACTGTGTGATTTTCCCTTCTATGTGTCTGTGTTTTCATCATTTAGCTCCCACTTATAAGTGAGAACATGCAGTATTTGGTTTTCTGTTCCTCAGTTAGTTTGCTAAAAATAGTGGCCTCAAGTTCCATCCATTCCCTTGCAAAGGACATGATCTTGTTCTTTTTTAAGGCTGCATAGTATTCCATGGTGTATATATACCACATTTTCTTTATCCAGTCCATTATTGATGGGCATTTAGGTTGACTCCATGTCTTTGCTGTTGTAGTGCTGCAATGAACATACACATGCATGTGTCTTTATAATATAACAATTTATATTCCTTTGGGTATATACCCAGTAATTGGATTGCTGGTCGAATGGTATTTCTGTCTTTAGGTCCTTGAGGAATTGCCCCACTGTCTTCCACAATGGTTGAACTCATATGCACTCCCACCAACAATATGTAAGTGTTCCTTTTTCTCCTCAACCTTGCCAGCATCTGCTATTTTTTTGAATTTTTAATAATAGCCATTCTGACTAGTGTGAGATGGTATCTCATTGTGGTTTTGATTTGCATTTCTCTAATGATCAGTGATTTCAACACTAATTTTTAAATTTGTTTTAGGTAAGGCTTTTTCCCCCTTAATTACTTAGAAACTTGAAGTAATTTATGATGTATTTAAATGTCTACCCATAGATTTGAGTTTCACATTTTTGTATTGTGGAAATGCAAGTCATCAGTACTTTTCTGGCTACCACTGGAAACCACATTTTACGTAGTCCTTTAAGTTAAAAAAAGTCCTCTTTCTTGTTAGAAGAATAACCCTAATGATGGCCTGCTGTTTTTTTCTAGCAATGCACATTGGTATTCATCTTTAAGCTCTACCTGTATTAAATGTATTCTCATTTTAGTTGTATAACAGAAAGAGAAAATTTTAAAGATAATTTTCACTTATGTGTAAAAATGATTCCTGAAATGACAGCTGAATCCTTTCAGAGTACTCAGAGGAGATAAGCCCTGGTATTAATACTTCTGAAATCAGGGCTGTACCTTACCATAGTTTTCCATTTTTAGATGGGTCGTTTTTTATTTTTACATTTAAGATTCCTGACATTGGTGACAGTGGTGATTCTCTTGTCTCAGTGCTACTACAAGAGAGAATCCAGTCTCTAACAAGATACTTAAAGCTTAAAAAGGAGGTAGATTGTCCTAAATTCTGCCTTGTCTGGAAGAAAGTCAGGTTGTTCAGAAGGTAGCCAGTTTCCTCAGAGTTCAGGTACAGGCCTAAACTGGCCAATACAATCCCAAGTCTCCATGAAGATTTTTTTTTTGGAAAAGACAACAAATTCACTGACTGAGAAAAAAGTCTTCAGAAATGATACACTGTGATTCAGCATTGAAAAGTTACTATGTACAAGGAAAGGCACAGAGACAGAGCAATAGGACATACATTTGATACTGGTGAATCGGATATTCATTGTTGGAAGAACAACTTCAATTCCGTACTTCATTTCAAAACTAAGTGTTTTAAGGTACCTAAGAAAGGAAGTCTCTACAAGCAAAGGAAGGTGTGGTATGTTTCATTCCTGAGATATAGGCAAAAGGACAGCCTGTTGCAGCCCAACTAAAACCTCTGAAAACAGAAAAACTTGCCACATCTCTCAGAATAGGTAATAGAATTTTAAAGCAAAGAGAGAAGCAGGTGGGATCAGTCCATGCCTGGTATAACTCTATCGTTAAGGCATCAAACATGAATTTATTGCAGACTTCCTGCTTACCTTTGACTAGACACTCCTTAACTTCAAGTGACATGTGATTTCATTGAGGAAGAAAATTAAACCATGAGTTTAGTCAAGGTGGCAATGCTTGTAAAACCTAGGTGTTCTTTGATGTGTCTTGAAATTATAATGTCAATGCAAAGGTGCTAGACAGGGTCAAGATCAGGTTAGCACAGATTACTGTAAGCCTGTCTCTAAGTATAAAAGCAACTGTTTTAGTAAGTATAAAATAAAAATTCCAAAAGACAAGAAAGCAGTGATATTTACTTCTTAGTAGTACATAAATGAGTGGCACCTTAGATTCCATGACTTGTTCTGCAATCCTATATCTAGCACAGCACCATCATCCTGGGGGAGCTTAGTAAGAGGTTATTAACTTGCTGGCAGAATGAATGGCACAGTGCACCCTGCAATTGGATGCTTTTTACATGGCCACTCAGGAAGTGTGCAAAGAACACCTAGGTTTTATTAGCATTGCCACTTTGACTAAACTCATAGTTTAATTTTTTTCCCTCAACTCAGGTGGGTTATCGCTGGCTGTATGGATTCCTATCATGCTTGGAATGTGCTCCCATTATTCCACATACTAACCAAAGAGGACATGTGTGTCACATTGGAAGAGACTTTAGTTATGTAGAAGAAAGGAGAGGCAGTAGCTCTAGATGTGAATTATTTTCTGTCTTAGCACCAGCTTTAGAATGGGGTATAGCAGAGAGACTAAGACTATGGGCTTTGGAGGAGTCAGGCAGGGACAGGTGGTACCACTGACTTCACAAGTGGCTTTCCTGAAGTTATTATTTAAGTCTCAGTAGCTTCCTCTGTGAAAGGATAATAATAAAGTAGCTCCCATATAATGGAGGTGTGTGCTTAGCACAGTATCTGGCACATTATAAGTGTCCAATGAGTGTTGTAATGATTGTTAAATATAGAAGGAATCAGTTTTCCCTCTCTAAATTATGGGAGATGAAAATAGATGAAAAGTTATATGAATGAATTTTAGCCACCAGACTGGCTAAAATTATAAAAACTGGCAACACCAAATGTTGGCGAGCATATGGAGCAACTAGATTCTCCTATATTCATTGTTGCTGGGAGGGAAAAGTGGCAAAATTACTTTGGAAAAAATTCTGGAAGGTTCTTATAAAATTAAATATGCATCTATCTGATGACTCAGAAATTGTGGCCAGGCTCACAACTGTAATCCTAGCACTTTGGGAGGTCAGGAATTCAAGACCAGCCTGGCCAACATGGCAAAACCCCATCTCTACTAAAAATACAAAAATTAGCTGGGCATGGTGGTGCATGCCTGTAGTCCCAGCTATTTGGGAGGCTGAGGCAGGAGAATTGCTTGAATCCTGGAGGTGGAGGTTGCAGTGAGCCGAGATCATGCCACTGTACTCCCCCTGGGTGACAGAGCAAGACTCCGTCTCAAAAAAAAAAAAAAAAAAAGAAAAGAAAAAAATTGTATCACTAAGTATTTATTGGAGGGAAATAAATGCATATGTCCACTCAAAGACTTGTACAAGTATATTCATAACAGCTTTATTTCTAATAGCTGGCTGGATACTGGCAACATCTGAGGTGTTCTTCAAGAGGAGAATGGACCAACTGTGGTGTATCCATACAATGGAATACTACTCAGCAATAAAAAGAATGGACCTCTGGCATTCCTAAAAACATGGATCAATCTCAAAACACCATGCTGAGTAAAGGAAGCTTTACACAAAAAGTATATAATGTGTGATTTTATTTCAACAGTTTTAGAATGGGCAAAATTGATCTATGGTAAAAAAAAAAAATGAGAACAGTGGTTATATCTGGTGTGGGAGATAGGGATTGACTGGAGAGGGACCTGAGGGAACTTTCTAGAATTATTATAATGTTCTAAACTTTGATAGAAGTTTGGATTAGACAGGTGAGTGCATTTGTCAAAATATAATGAATGACTTAAAATGTGTGCATTTCACTGTATGTAAATTTAATCTCAAAAAGAGGAAAGAATTATAGACAAATATTGAATTCTAGCTGGTGATATGCATGCTGATGTGTTCAGGAGTGACAGGTACTAATGTCTGCAACCTACTTTGCAATGCATCAAAAATAAGTTGAATAGAAGGATGAATAGATGGATGGTAAATATGTTATAAAGAAATTATAGTAAAGTGTAAGGTGTAAATGTAGTAAAATGTAAAAGATCAAAAAAAGATGATTAGAGGGATAGATAGATGGATAAATATATTATAAAGCAAATGTAGTAAAATATTAACTGTCAGATTTAGGTGGGAGAATTCAGGTGTGCATAGTACAATTCTTCCCATTTTTCTGTATATTTGAAAACTTCTGTAGTAGAAAGATGGGGAAATATGGCATATTCGCACTTGTCTAGTGGTGTGTTCCTCTTCCTAAAGTTGAGAGGTCAGGGCATGCAACTCCCAGTTGGGCCTGCTCCTCCTCAGTTTTCCTTCTTCCCAGACAGTTCTATTCTATTTCCATTTGTTTTTGGGGTTTGATTTCTAGTTACTTCCTACACATTAGGCAGAATTCGAATGTTCTGTCTTGGCCTCTCTGCTTCTCAGCTGTTATTGATGACAGTTTCTTAGGCCACTCAAATTCCTGTCCTCACCTAATCTCACCTGTGTTTCCTCAAGTCTTCTGAATTCTCCCAGCCTGCCTGGGGTGGTCCTGCCTCCACAATCCATAGACACCACCTAAGATGGGCGCATGGAGGGAAGAACAAGGTACTCACCTGGTGGCTTGGTCTATCCAATGCCGCTTCTTCATGGATGTATATGTGTGTGCTTGATGGTGCTGGGTGCTTTTTTTTTTTAATTCTAGGAATTGGAATATTTATCCCACAAGAGATAAGGGCTGTCATATTAACCTTCTATAGTGTCAAGGACACTGACTCAGAAGCCAGGAGACTGTTTTCTTGCCCTGCTCTTCCACTAACTCTAGTCATACAACCCTGGGTGAATCATTTGCACTCTAGGCATTAGCCCCTAAATCTGGAAAATGAGAGATTGGAGTAGAGACTGTGTAAGGACTGTTTTAGTTTTAAAAATCTGAGGCCAGGTGTTTAGATCAGTTCTGGGTTAAAATCTTGTTTTATTGCTTTTTAATTATTGGTCTTAGCAAAGTTATTCATATTTTTTAAAAATCTAGTTTTTATCTGCAAAATAGGAATAATACTAACAATGTAGTATTTGTGCTTATTTACAAAGCATGTAAAAACCTCAGCACAGGCTCTGGTACACAGTGAGTGTGCTCCCAATGCTAGCTGCTACCACTGTTAATACTATTGCTGCTGCTTCTGCTACGGCTACTCCTACCATGAGAATAACCTGGAAAGGCTATTGTGAATATATTTAGCTGTAGAAGTCCTCCAAGGGCTTCATGTTTCTTTCTCTCTCTTGGAGAGACCTTTATTGTTATTCTTTTTCCATTTAAATAAAGTGAACTTAAATATTTTCTCTCTGATTTAGAATTGCTTAGATGTATTTTCAGTAACTTTAGGGAGTGTGCTTTTTAAAAAACTATATTTTCAGGAAGGATATCATATTAAAAATAAGGATCCATTTTAATTCCACATGCTTTTCATGATCTTTCACCTTCTAAAGGCAACAATCTTCATATTCTTTGTTCTGCAAATCATAAGGACTAAACTGAAAAATCAATTCTTCCTAAGAAAGAGAAAATAACTGTTATTAAGAAGTAAAGAATAGTCTGAGGATGGTGTGAGCAGAAGATCAATGGAACCATCAGAGATGTCGTTAGTTCCTTACTAAGAACTAAACCATCACCTCGGGCTGTTGATGGTGAACATCTAATCCCATTGGAATCAATCCATGGACATACAGGCAAATACCCATCAGCTTCAGCTCTCAGGATCTCTGCCTTTTTCTTTTCACTCTTAAAAACAAAAACAAAAACAAAAGTCACAACAACTCAGAACATTAACTCCATTAGATAAATGCAATATTTAAAAAATAATTTTAGCATAAGACATAGGATGCTTTTAGCAATCTAATATCCTCTACTAATTCAAAGCATTTAATTAGAACTTTTAGAAGCCAGAGAGTACAACTTTTAACCCCAAAGTTGAGTTATATTTATAACATAAACAATAATACATTATTTCAGAATGCTAGGAATCTAGAATCATGCTTACACACAAGACAAGAGTATTTGATCAGCAGTCCCTGATATATCTATATATAACATTTGTCTTGAAGCATCTTGCCATCCCTTTGAGGGTCTTGTGGGAAACATGGGCGCAGAGGACAGAACCTGCAAATGTACACTTGTTAGCACTGTGACTCCAAATCCTAATGTAAAACCTTACAGTAGAGGATTCCTTTGCTTCTACAAGAAGCATCTGTGAAGTGTGTACTAAGGCAGGCAGAAAGACCGCTCTTTCTTTTAAGCTCATTTTAAAATCTCAGGTCTCACCACTAATGGCAAGGAAAGGCCAGTTTAAAGCAAGCCAGCTCCTGGCCCCCTACCTAGGTCTTCTCAGGCTGGCACAGAAGTTCCTTGGCTGGGAGAGAGCTTGTGTTTCAACTTGGGAGATACTCAGACCCTGAGGCTCTCTGAGCACAGGAGATCCAGTTGGGTAGAAAGAAAGCATGGGGAGGAGGGGAAGGTGAAGATGGCACCCAAGAGCCTAGCAGCTGCCTCCAGGCTGCAAATCCTTAGTTCTATGCACCAGTGGATACAGAATGGTTGCAGCATCTTTTCTGAGGAGACTGAACGGGTGTAAGTTATATTCCTCAGTTGCTCCATCTGTGCAATGAGAATAGTAATTTTCGCATAGGGTTGCAAGAATTAAATGAGCTAATTTATATAGTTATTACTATCTCCTGACATAATTATATCTTCAATAAATGTTAACAATTATTATCATGCACAATCCCACAGAGCATGATGTCAGCGTTAGATTATATGAAAGAATAAAGGTGACATGAAAGGTGCCGAATTGTGTCAAAGCCACTGCTTGGGTAGAACAAGGAGTTAAACTCATTTTCAGAAAGAATCTAAAATTTGCAGTTGTTAAAATTAAATATAGTTGTTGATATTAAATGTTGCCTGTGAAAGAAAACGTTTCATCTTTTATTCCTTAAGTTAAACAGTACACACTATAAATTCCATACTTTATCCAGATCACCATTACCTTTGGAAAAGTATATTCAATGGAGAAGTTCATCCTTCCACCATTAAGGTCTCCAGGGTTCTGAGCCCCAGAACTGTTGTGATAAAGGTGCCCTCCCTTGCATGCCTGACTCTTCCTCACTGCCACATTGGGCATGTGGCTGGGAAAAGATTCTCTGTTGTCCACTATAGATCAGGAACGTAACTTGATTACTAATCCCTTTTATTCCAATTTCCTAAATAACCATGTTGTATCTAAAAATTTTTACCATTAGTTATTCTATGAGAACAAACAGGATAAAATAAATGGGAGAAGCCCACAGTTAAAACGCAAATGTCTGAAGTTTTACAAAGTTAACTGTTCCTCTTGGGGCTAACTGTGAAATTCGAATTCTGAGCCTGCAGCAGCAAGAGAGGTGAAAAGTGAAGAGAAGAAGATACCTGATAAATACCGAATGAGTGTTTTGTTTGTGGCAGGCATGATGTTCACATAGTCACAGAATTCAAGTAGTCAACCCAAAATAATTTTCTTTAATCTAGAACAAAGTAATTAGAAAAAAAATATATTCTTGCCAATTCAAAGTAGTGCAATCACTGTCAAACAGGGTCCTCCTTCCTCCTCTCCTCGCCTGCTCCCTGGCTGTGATCTAAGTCCCTGGGAGGTCTTACCCATCACCCCTAGGGACTTAGATCACAGCCAGGGAGCAGGGGAGGAGAAGAGGGAGGAGGACTCTGCTTGACAAGGATGGGGTCTTACCCACCACCCCTAGGGACTCAGATCACAGCCAGGGAGCAGGGGAGGAGAAGAGGAAGGAGGACTCTGTTTGATAGTGAGGGGGTCTTACCCATCACCCCCAGGGACTTAGATCTCTTAGGTCTGTGCCTAAGAGAACAGATACCACAGGGGAGCAAGACAGCCCAGATTCCCTCCCTGGACACCAGGGCTGTCTTGCTTCCTTGTGGCATCTGTTCTCTTAGGCACAGACCACACATGGCGAGTGTTCCTCAGAAGCTCAGCATTTTCCTCTCCAGATTTAGTCCTAACCATAGCTCTGGTTGGCACTTGCTGTTCTGGGGGTCAGCAACATCCTCCCAGGCTGTACTGGTCCATCCACAGCCTCAGCTATCAGTCTGCTCACCTGGAACCATTCACTCCTTAGTAGCTTTGCTGGCTTTCAATCATCAGCTGCCTTCAATGCCTCTCTGGATTTCTTGGAGGCCTCAAGAATCGAGGTGGGAGAGGGATGTTCATCTCTGACTTAGCTCTGCTTACAGGGCCAGCTGCCAGGGTCCATGCTACTGCAGCTGCATGCTGGTGAGGAGTGCACAGAGGCTGCCTCCTTCCCGAGATCTCTGATGGCAAGCAGGGCACAGTTCCCCTCTGGTCTCAAATCCCCAATCTACTAAAAATTTTCAACTCCCTCCCCTCTACAGCTGAGACGGAGCAGGCAAGGAACAGTGTGTGCCCCTAGGGCCTTCATGAAATTATTATCCACCACAGGACAGCGGCACACCTGAGGGAACCCTATTCACATCATAGACACCGTTGATGATTTGTACATTTATTCTGATGATTTTCTGGAAAATAGAAGTCACGTATCTTGAGGAAGGAGTGCTTTTTTTTTTTTTCTAATTCACACAAAGATACCTCATAGACAAATGGTAGCCCAGGTGCCCTAGCCAGTATGGAAACCCTTCTTCTCCTCTCCAGGCTCCTCTCCCCAGCCCAGAATCTGCTCTTCATGTGTTGGAAACTTGTCACTTACATCAGCACACACCATTTCCCACTCTCTGGATTGTTGTTGAATTGCTGTGCTTGTAGTTCTCTCGGCCTAGTTCTTGGTGTTCAAGCTAAGATCTGGAAATCCATCCTGTCTGACCACTTCCCTTAAGTATTTCCTTTTACAAATACCTGGCTCTTAAAATGAAAAGTCAGAGCTATCGAGGCTCTAATTGGGAACTCAAAGCTGGGAATTTGACTCCATTCATGCTGGGCATGATGTTTCAGCACAGACAAAAGAGATCTTGGTGATGAAAAGATGAGGAACCACAGCTCTTGGCTCAGGGGAGATAGATAAAGAAACCAGCATGATTCTCCACACTTGCTGAACTAGCAGAGCAGGGAGAGAGGCACTGAGAGAGACGCCATCTAGGGACAAAGGTAAAGTGCCATTGGCCGGTGGGATGGCAGGAGGGGCGTCCGTTGTGCTAAGTCTCACAAATATGTTCAGAGTGGACAGATTTGGACCAAGAGTGAAGAACCACCACAGTGGTCCTGTCTCAGCTGAAGTTCTGTATAAGCCTATCAAGCCTTGGGACGTGACCATTAGCTTCTGGGAAGCAGCCCTGTAGGAGAAACATGCCGTAGGATGCAGGCTTTTTCTGGACACAGGTATGAGCTGTGTGAGATTCATGGAGGAACAGCCATCAACAGAGACAGACGGGGCTTGTTACAGCCTCGGAGGCTCACTAAGGGACGCATTAAAAGTGCAAACAGGATAGGGCAGACAGCAGCCTACTTGCAACCTTTGATCTCCTTCTTACCTATTAGAAACCACATTGTCAGATGTTTCTTTTTCAAAGGGGAGGATGATGCGATATAATCACCTTTCTACAAAACCTCTGCAAAAGCACCCAAGCTCAGCACTGCTCAGCCTGCAGCCTGGGTTTGTGAAAAACCCAGCCCTGCTCTCTTCATGTTTGTTTTTTCTGCTTTATTCATCACCTCTTACCTTACCACCGACTCACACAGCTAAGCTACCTCCCCTGGCCATGTCAGCTCCACACCAGCCTGGGAGGAAAGTGAAGTTTCAGAGTTTCATTATTACCTATAATTCAGAGAACTACAAAAGCCCTGCTGTGCTGCATCTAAGGATTGCTGTACGTACATAACAGTTTTTTAAGAAGATAAAAATTTAAAAACAAGAAAGGAACAGAAGAAAGCCTGTAATATTTTAACTATTCTTTCTACAATTTTGATTTCTATTAATCTAGGGAAACAGAGCACTAATCATATGACTTTAAAGGTATGTTTTTTAAAAGACTAGCTAGGAGGTCAACATTAACCTTCTATTCTACTTAAAAAAAAAGAATGACAAATATATAATGAATCCTTGCAAGTCCAGCTTCCACATATTGCTAGCATCTGAGTTTATGTCAATGCAGTCCTTTATGTGAGAGTGAGAGATGCCATCATTTAGGCTTTATTTTTATTCTGGTAATGTAGCTACTTGCACGGTGGAGAGAGAAGAGAACTCTCATGTATCGAGTGCCTAATATGAGTTGAGCTCTGTGCTAGGTGCTTAGTATTTGTTATCTCATTTATTACCCCCAATAGTTTTGTAGAATATGTGTTAGTATCCCCATTTTTTAGGTGAGTAGAAGGAGACTCTGAGAAACTATGTAATTGGATTAAGTGAACATAGCTGGTAAGTAGGATCTGAATCTAGGACCTTCTGATCTAGGACCTTCTGACTCCACAGTCCATGATATTTTTATTATATCTATGACCTTGGATGGTCCAAATGGCCTAATCTGGTACTGGATTCCAGTGCATAGAAGTATTTTACCATTTCTTTGGGAAAAAACTAGTTCCCCCAGTTCTACTTGATTCACAAAATTCATGCTAGCCCCATTCTATTAAATGCTATTCCCTATCCATCCTCTTAGACCCTCCGACCAACCCTTAATTCTTTAAATGCTAATTTAAGCCTCTGTTTATGGCAAACACATGTTCCCATCAAACAGGTTTATGTAATTATCTATAAACCTCACCCAAAGAAAGCTAGTCACACTTCTTTTTAGTTTTTTTTTAATTGGGTCACTGATGTTTCGATATTAATGGCTAGATTTACTTCAGTAATACTCGTTACACAGTAGACACACATTTAATTTCTTTAGTCCAACATTTATAATGCTTCCCCCACTACTCACTTCTGAATCTTGTCAATTTTTATCATGAAGAATGGTCAGCTTTGAATCATTACGTCATAAAGGGCACCCACAGTTACATTGCTCAAGGGACAAATGCTACCTAGGTAATATAAACCGTGATATCTTGTATCTTAACATGAGTAATGCTGCTTGTAAATGAGAGTACCTTGAGATATTTGTTAAAATAAATGGGAAATTGTGAGCAATTTTGATGCATGATCTGTACATTTCAAGTTTATTTATTTGTCCATTCATTCTTTTATTCATTCAGTTAATTGGTTATTTTGTTTTCAAAAGACAATTGTGGTCTGGAATTTTGGGCAGAAGTATAGTAGAAACTTCAGTTAAACAAGCAGGCAAAATATCAGGACTTTTCTAATGAAGTGCATTGACTGTTAAATGGATGGTTCATTGAGTGGGAAGACAATGCTGCCACTAAGCTTTGGACTAAAGCTCTAAAGAAAGAGAATAAAAAAGAAACACTGTTGTGTACAACCTCCACACAGCGCCAGTCTCCAGGATCCTCACTCGGGAGCTGCTAGACGCATCTGCTCACTCTGGTTTCCATTTTTACATATTGGGATAGTGAGGGACCCACTGGGCCATCAAGAGGGACCTATGCTTGATCTGGTTCTCTCAGAAATCTGTGAGTTTTTCCTGTAGGAGCTGAGGCATGCTCTGTTTAGGCCAGTGAGTTTCCAGCTTTGATTCACATAAAAATCAACTAGGGTGCTTGTTGAAAATCTGGATTCCTAGACCACACCCGCAGAATTTAGATGTAGTAATGCTGTGGTGGGACCCAGGAATCAGCTTTATAACAAGCACTCCCTCTGCATGATTTTTTTTTTTTTTTGAGATGGAGTCTTGCTCTGTCGCCCAGGCTGGAGTGCAGTGGCACAATCTTGGCTCACTGCAACATCCTCCTCCTCCCAGGTTCAAGCGATTCTCCTGCCTCAGCCTCCCCAGTAGCTGGGATTATAGGCACGTGCCACCACGCCCAGCTAATTTTTTGTATTTCTAGTAGAGATGGGGTTTCACCATGTTAGCCACTATGGTCTGCATCTCCTGTCCTCGTGATCCGCCCACCTCAGCCTGCCAAAGTGCTGGGATTACAGGCACTTGATCTGCACGATCTTGAAGCGAATGCTTTGGACCAAACTTGAAAAACTCTGTTTTAAGCATTTAGCCTCCAAAGCTGGAGAAGTCCAGAGGTTGGTTTCCTGAGGTCTAGATCCTGCTTCTTCTACTTTCTGTATGACTTTGAGCAAGTTATACAACCATTCTGTGCCTCAGTTTCCCAAATAAAAAGGAGTGAATCTAATTCATGGAGTGAGAATTAAATGTGTTAATCCATTTAAAGCACTTAGAAGAATGCTTGGCACACAGTTGATGCTCAATAAAAGTTAGTTATTGTTAAGAACTGAAAGGAGAATTCATTGAGACTTCTTTGAAACTTCTTTGGACTTCTACTCTGGGACTTATTGGCCTAGAATGAACCAGAGATCAGGCCACATAATGAGATTCATACCTATACACAGCTGTGACTCTACAACCATTTGAGTGCTTCTAAAGTTTTGTTTTTCCTTAGTTCAGGTCCATCAGGGAGAGAAGTAAAAAGCGGTGAGGTTGTCCTGTGGTGAAATGCTCTTCACTGAGCTATCTGACAGAGACATTTCCCAAATGCATTATTTGGGCAAAGTGAAACATTAAACGAATACATACAGAACAAGGTACTGCAAAGAGAATCTTGAAACAGAGTGTCAGTTAAACATGATCTGAAGAAGCACATTTTGTCTCTTCACTTTTCAGAGTCTTCTTGTGTTTGTTTTATAAGTAAAGTCTCGGCATTTCATAGTACTCATTGGAGAAACGGGGAAAAGTATGTCTACTAGATATTCCCAGAAGCAGAAGTTTCCTAAAAACTATCTTTAACACAGAAAATTATTATGTTTAATGCACTGAATGACTACCATATACTAGGGAGTGAAAAGTACTGTTTTCTGACAAGAAGGCCAATAATCACACAGCTTTTCACAGAGCAGTAAAATATCCATAACAAGGCACTTCATTAAAAAAATGCTGAATGCTTACATGGTATGATGGTTAATACTATCAACTTCATTGGATTGAAGGATGCAAAGTATTGATCCTGGGGGTGTCTGTGAAGGTGTTGCCGAAAGAGATTAACGTTTGAGTCAGTGGGCTGGGAAAGGCAGACTCACCCTTAATCTGGGTGGGCACCATCTAGTTAGCTGCCAGCATGCACAGAATATAAAGCAGGCAGAAAAACATGAAAAGACTAGACTGGCTTAGCCTCCCAGACTACGTTTTTTTCCTGTGCTGGATACTTCCTGCCCTCAAGCACCAGACTCCAGGTTCTTTGGCTTTGGGACTTGGACTGGCTTCCTTGCTCCTCAGCTTGCAGACAGCCTTTTGAGGGACTATATGACGTGTGAGTTAATACCACTTAATAAACTCCCCTTTATATAAATATCTATCCTATTAGTTCTGTTTCTCTAGATACACCTGGTCTCTTGCTTTAGTTAAGTAATTGACATATGGCTATAGTCCATCTTGAAAACACTGATGGCATCTACTTTTAACATTATTATTTATCTTTTTTCTTGTAACAGGAGGAAAGAGCTTCTGCTCTTCAGTTCCCATAAATGTGAAGCCCTAGAGTAGGGTAAAGTCCCCACTTTGTCTGCATCCTCTCCACTCATACTCCATACTCTGACTCTATCAAAGAGTATCCTACTCCTACTCTATAAAAGCCCCATCACATGGAGGGTTGCCTTTTTAGCTTCCCCCACAAGAGGAAGCAAAAGCTTAAAAAGAATCCATTATTCTTGGTCTTCCTGTCCATCTACATGGCTATAGAATTATGGAATCAATAGGTCCTGGATTTGCAGTGTTCTGGAAAGAAACTTCTCCTTCTGTCCTCCTACTATTCTCTTCTCCTAAAAAAGTAAAAGTTAGGGGGTATCATTGAATTTTTCTAAAAGCCTCTCAGAATACAGGATAGAGTTGAGAGCTTATAAGGAACCTGTTATTATTTTTTCTAATGTGCTTTTCAAAATTGTGATAAGATATACAAAACAAAACATAATATTTATTTTAACCATTGGTAAGTATGCAATTCAATGACATGAAATACATTCACAGTGTAGTCATCACCACTTTCCATGCTTAAAACTTTCATCATTCCCAAAGAAAATTCTGTATCCATTAAACAATAACTCCCTTTCTCCCCTCCTCCTCCAGCCTCTGACAACCACCATTCTACTTTCTGTCTCTGAATTTGCCTATTCTAGGGACTTCATAAAAGTAGAACCACACAATATTTGCCCTTCTGTGTCTGGCTCACTTCACAATCTGTAATGTGTTCAAGGTCCATCTTTGTTGTAGCATGTGTCAGAATTTTATTTCTTTTTATTTCTGAATAATATTGCATCATACGTATGGACACATTTTGTTTTTCTATTTATCTGTTGATAGACTCTTGGGTTGTTTCCACATTTTAGCTCTTGTGAATCATGCTGCTATGAACATTGTGTGCAACCATTTCCTTGAGACTCTGCTTTCAGTTCTTTTGTGTATACACCCATAAGTGGAATTGCTGAATCATATGGCAATTCTGTATTTAACCTTTTGAGAAACTGCCATACTGTTTTCCACAACACTGCCCTGTTTTATAGTCCCACCAGCAATGCATAAGCATGAGCATTCCAATTTCTACACAATATTGTCAACACTTGTCATTTTCTTTTTATTATTATTGTAGCCATCCTAGTAGGTATAAGGTGATATCTCATTGTTATTTTTAAATTTTTAATTTATTTTAAAATTTTATTTTAGGTTCAGGGGTACATATACAAGTTTGTTATATAGAAAACTCATGTCACAAGGGTTTGTTGTGCAGATTATTTCATCACCCAGGTACTAATCCTAGTACTTATTAGTTATTTTTTCTGATCCTCTCCCTCTTCCCACTCTCAACCCTCAAGTAGGCCCCAGTGTCTGTGGTTCCCTTCCTAGTATCCATGTTTTCTCATTGTTTAGCCCCCACTTATAAGTGAGAACTTGAGATATTTGGTTTTCTGTTCCTGTGTTAGTTTGTTAAGGATGATGCCCTCCAGCTCCATTCATGTCCCTGCAAAGGATATGATCTTGTTCTTTTTCATGGCTGCATAGTATTCCATGGTGTATATGTGCCACATTTTCTTTATGCAGCCCACCATTGATGGGCATTTAGGTTGATCTCATATCTTTGCTATTGTGAATAGTGCTGCAATGAACATATGTGTGCATGTATCTTTATGGTAGAATGATTTATATTCCTTTGGGTTTATATCCAATAATGAGATTGCTGGGTTGAATGGAAGTTCTGTTTTTAACTCTTTGAGGAATCACCACACTGCCTTCCACAATGGGTGAACTAATTTACACTCCCACCAACAATATATAAGCATTCTCTTTTCTCCATAACCTCACCAGCATCTATCTTTTGACTTTTTAATAACAGCTATTCTGACTGGTATGAGATTGTATCTCACTGTGGTTTTGATTTACATTTCTCTAATGGTCAGTATTATGAGCTTTTATTCATATGCTTTTTGGCCACATGTATGTCTTCTTTAGAAAAGTGTCTGTTCATGTCCTTTGCCCACTTTTTAATTATTTTTTTGTAAATTTAAGTTCCTTATAGATTCTGGATATTAGACCTATGTCAGATGCATAGTTTGCAAATATTTTTCTCCCATTCTGTAGGCTGTCTGTTTACTCTGATAGCTTCCTTTGCTGTGCAGAAACTCTTTAGTTTAGTTAGATCTCATTTGTCAATTTTTGCTTTTGCTGCAATTGCTTTTACTGTCTTTGGCATAAAATCTTTGCCAGTTCCTATGTCCAGAATGGTATTATACCTAGGTTATCTTCCAGGGTTTTTACAGTTTAGGGTTTTACATGTAAAACTTTAATGCATCTTGAGTTGATTTTTGTATGTGGTATAAGGAAGGGGTCCAGTTTCAATCTTCTGCATAAGGCTAGCCAGTTATCCCAGTACCATTTATCGACTAGGGATTCCTCTCCTCATTGCTTGTTTTTGTCAGCTTTGTTGACCGTCACATGATCGTAGGTGTGCGGCCTTATTTCTGGGCTCTGTATTCTGTTCCATTGGTTTATGTGTATGTTTTTATAGCAGTACCATGCTTTTTTGGTTACTGTAGCCCTGTAGTATAATTTGAAGTTTGGTAGTGTGATGTCTCCAGCTTTGTTCTGTTTGCTTAAAATTGCCTTGGCTCTTCAAGGTCTTTTATTTATTTATTTTTTGGTTCTATATGAATTTTAAAATAGTTTTTTTCTAGTTCTGTGAAGAATATCATTGGTAGTTTGATAGAAACCTGTAAATTGCTTTGAGCAGTATGGCCATTTTAATATTGATTCTTCCTCTCCATGAGCATGAAATGTTTTTCTATTTGTTTGTGTCATCTTTGATTTCTTTGAGTAGTGTTTTGTAATTCTCATTGCAGAGATCTTTCTGCTCCCTGGTCAGTTGTCTTCCTAGGCATTTTATTCTTTTTTGTGGTACTTATGAATGGGTCCAAATTCCTGATTTGGCTCTCGGCTTGGCTGTTTTTGGTGGGTGGAGAGGTCTGTAGAGGTCTATCAGATCCACTTGGTTCACTGAGTTCAGGTCCTGGATATCTTCGTTAATTTTCTGCCTCAATGATCTAATATGTCAGTGGAGTGTTAAAGTCTCCCATTATTATTGTGTGGGAGAGTATGTCTTTTTCTAGGTCTCTAAGAACTTGCTTTAGGAATCTGGGTCAGCTCTTGTGTTGGGTGTGTATATATTTAGGATAGTTAGGTCTTCTTTTGGAATTGAAACCTTTACCATTATGTAATGAATGCCTTTCTTTGTCTTTTTTTGATTTTTGTCAGTTAAAAGTCTGTTTTGTCTGAAATCAGGATTGTAACCCCTTCTTTATTCTGATTTCCATTTGCTTGGTAGATTTTCTTCCATCCCTTCATTTTGAACCTATGGATGTCACTGCCTGTGAGATGGGTCTCTTGAAAAGTATACCATCGGGTCTTGTTTTTTATCCAGCTTGCCACTCTGTGCCTTTTACATGGGGCATTGGCATGGTTTGGCTGTGTCCCCATCCAAATCTCATCTTGAATTGTAGTTCCTATAATCCCCACATGTCATGGGAGGGACCAGGTGGAGATAATTGAATCATGGGTATGATTTCCTGCATTCTATTCTTGTGATAGAGACAGTGATATCCAGACTGTGGGAAACCAAGTCAAATGATATATGACCTCAAATAGATAAAATGTAAGAAAAAGAAAAAGATGGAAGGGAAAATCTGTAGATTAAAAGAGACTTAAAAGAACAAATAAAATATTCAAAATGGGCAAGACTAAACTATTGAGTCCAAAGATACATGCATGCATGGGCAATAAAACAAACAAAAAGAAACAAAAGACAGTGATTATTATAACATGGAGGTTACTTCTGGAGGGAGGGAGGAAGCTGTGATTGGGATTAGAACATGTGAAGGCTTCTGGAATGGTTGGCAAAGGGCAATTTCTTTTTAAAATATTTTACGTTTAATTTTTGTGGGTACATAGTAGGTGTATACATTTGTAGAGTACATGAGACATTTTGACACAGGTATGCAATGTGTAATAATCACATCATGGAAAACGAGGTATCCATTCCTTCTAGCACTTATCCTTTGTGTTACAAACCATCCAATTATACCCTTTTTATTATTTTAAAATGTACAATTTAATTATTATTAAATATAACCCCCCTGTTATGCTATCAAATACTGGGTCTCTTTCATTCTATTTTTTTTTTTTTGGTACCCATTAGCCATTCCCACATTTCTACCCCACTCCACTACTACCCTCCTCAGCCTCTGGTAACCATCCTTCCACTCTCTATCTCCATGAATTCAATTGTTTTGATTTTTAGATCCAACAAATAAGTGAGAACATGTGATGTTTGTCTTTCTGGGGCTGGCTTATTTCACTTACCTTAATGGCCTCTAGCTCCATCCATGTTGTTGCAAATGACAGGATCTCATTTTTTCTTATGGCTGAATTGTACTCCATTGTGTTTATGTACTACATTTTCTTTATCCATTCATCTGTTGATGGACACTTAGGTTGCATCCAAATCTTGGCTATTGTGAACAGTGCTGCAACAAACATGGGGGTGCAGATATCCCTTCAATATACTGATTGCCTTTCTTTTGATTATCTACCCAGCTATGGGATTGCTGGATCACATGGTAGCTCTATTTTTAGTTTTTTGAGGAACAAAAAGCTAAAAAAAGAACTGTTTTCCATAGTGGTTATGCTAATTTACATTCCTACCAACAGTGTATGAGGGTTCCCTTTCTCTACATCTTCTCTAGTATTTTTATTGTCTGTATTTTGGATAAAAGCCGTCTTAACTGGGGTGAGATGATATGTAGTTTTGATTTGCATTTCTCCGATGATTGATAATGTTGAGCACCTTTTCATATGCCTGTTTGCCATTTGTATGTCTTCTTTTGAGGAATATCTATTTAAATCTTTTGTGTATTTTTAAATTGGATTATCAGACTTTTTTCCCTGCAGAGTTGTTTGAGCTCCTTATATATTCTTGTTATTAATCCCTTGTCAGATGGGTAGTATGCAAATATTTTCTCCCATTCTGTGGGTTGTCTCTTCACTTTGTTGATTGTTTTCTTTGCAGTGCAGGAGATTTTTAACTTGATGTGATCCCATTTGTCCATTTTTGCTTTGGTTGTCTGTGCTTGTGGGGTATTGCTCAAGAAATCTTTGTCCATTCCAATGTCCTTGAGATTTTCTCCAATGTTTTATTGTAGTAGTTTCATAGGTTGAGAACTTAGATGTAAGTCTTTAATCCCTTTTGTTTGATTTTTGTATATGGTGAGAGATAGGGGTCTACTTTCATTCTTCTCAATATGGATATCCAGTTTTCCCAGCATGATTTATTGAAGAGATTGTCTTTTCCCCCAGTTATGTTCTTGGCTCCTTTGTTAAAAATGAGTTCATCATAGACATATGCATTTGTTTTTAGGTTATCTATTCTATTCCATTGGTCTATGTGTCTGTTTTTATGCCAGCACCATGCTTCCTATACCTGTTTTGCTTCCTATATCTCTGTAGTATAATTTGAATCCAATAGTGTGATTTCTCCAGTTTTTTTTTTTTTCCTCAGGATGGCTTTGGCTATTCTGGGTCTTTTTGGTTCCATGTAAATTTTACAATTGTTTTTTTCTATCTCTGTGAAGAATGTCCTTGGCATTTAAATAGGGATTTTATTGAATCTGTAGATTGCTTTGGGCAATAAGGACATTTTAACAATATTGATTCTTCCAACCTATGACCATGGAATAGCTTTCTTTTTTTGGTGTCCTCTTCAATTTCTTTCATCAGTATTTTATAGTTTTCATTATAGAGATCTTTCATTCCTTTGTTTAATTCCTAGGTATTGCATTTTTATTTGTGGCTATTGTTTTTGATTTCTTTTTCATGTTGTTCACTGTTGGCCTATAGAAATGCAACTGATTTTTGTATGTTGATTTTGTATCCTGCACATTTACTGATTTTATTGATCAGTTCTAACCATTTTTTTTGGTTGAGTCTTTAGGTTTTTTCAAATATAAGATCATATCATCTGCAAACAAGGATAATTTGACTTCTTCCTTTCGAATTTGGATGCCTGCTATTTCTTTTTCTTGTCTTATTGCTCTAGCTAGGACTTCCAGTACTATGTTGAATAACAGTGGTTACAGTGGGCATTCTTGTGTTCCAGATCTTGGAGGAAAGGCTTTCAGTTTTTTCCCCATTCAGTATGATACTAGCTGTGGGTCTGTCATACATGGCTTTTATTATTTTGAGATATGTTCCTTCTATACACAGTTTTTTTGCAGGTTTTTTTTATTCTTAAAGGGATGTTAGATTTTATTATATGCCTTTTCAGCATCAATTGAAATGATTATAAAGTTGTCATTCTTCATTCTGTTGATATGATGTACCATATTGATTGGTTTGTATATGTTGAACCATTACTGCATTCCTGGGGAGAAATCCCACTTGGTCATGATGAATGCTCTATTTAATGCAATGTTGAATTAAGTTTGCTAGTATTTTGTTGAGGATTTTTACATCAATATTCATCAGATATACTGGCCAGTGGTTTTCTTTCTTTGATGTTGTCTTTGCCTGGTTTTGTTATCAGGGTAATACTGGCCTCACAGAAGGAGTTTGGAAGTATTCCCTCCTCTATTTTTTGAAATAATTTGAGTAGGGTTGATATTACCTCTTTAAATTTTTGGCAGAATTCAGCAGTGAAGTTATTAGGTCCAGGGTTGGGTTGGGTTTTTTTTTCTTTTTTTAACCGGGAGACTTTTTATTATGGCTTTGATCTTGTTACTTGGCTATTGGTCTGTTCAGGTTTTGGATTTCTTCATGGTTCAATCTTGGTAGGTTGATATGTCTCTATGAATTTATCCATTTACTCTAGATTTTCCAATTTACTGTCATATAGTTGCTCATAGTAGCCACGAATAATCCTTTGATTTTTTGTGGTATCAATTATAATTTCTCCTTTTTTACCTCTTTTTATTTTTTTTATTTTTTTAATTATTATTTATTTATTTTTTATTATTATACTTTAAGTTTTAGGGTACATGTGCACATTGTGCAGGTTAGTTACATATGTATACATGTGCCATTCTGGTGTGCTGCACCCACTAACTCGTCATCTAGCATTAGGTATATCTCCCAATGCTATCCCTCCCCCCTCCCCCTACCCCACAACAGTCCCCAGAGTGTGATGTTCACCTTCCTGTGTCCATGTGATCTCATTGTTCAATTCCCACCTATGAGTGAGAATATGCGGTGTTTGGTTTTTTGTTCTTGCGATAGTTTACTGAGAATGATGGTTTCCAGTTTCATCCATGTCCCTACAAAGGACATGAATTCATCATTTTTTATGGCTGCATAGTATTCCATGGTGTATATGTGCCACATTTTCTTAATCCAGTCTATCATTGATGGACATTTGGGTTGGTTCCAAGTCTTTGCTATTGTGAATAATGCCGCAATAAACATACGTGTGCATGTGTCTTTATAGCAGCATGATTTATAGTCCTTTGGGTATATACCCAGTAATGGGATTGCTGGGTCAAATGGTATTTCTAGTTCTAGATCCCTGAGGAATCGCCACACTGACTTCCACAATGGTTGAACTAGTTTACAGTCCCAACAACAGTGTAAAAGTGTTCCCATTTCTCCACATCCTCTCCAGCACCTGTTGTTTCCTGACTTTTTAATGATTGCCATTCTAACTGGTGTGAGATGGTATCTCATTGTGGTTTTGATTTGCATTTCTCTGACGGCCAGTGATGGTGAGCATTTTTTCATGTGTTTTTTGGCTGCATAAATGTCTTCTTTTGAGAAGTGTCTGTTCATGTCCTTTGCCCACTTTTTGATGGGGTTGTTTTTTTTTTCTTGTGAATTTGTTTGAGTTCATTGTAGATTCTGGATATTAGCCCTTTGTCAGATGAGTAGGTTGCAAAAATTTTCTCCCATTTTGTAGGTTGCCTGTTCACTCTGATGGTAGTTTCTTTTGCTGTGCAGAAGCTCTTTAGTTTAATTAGATCCCATTTGTCAATTTTGGCTTTTGTTGCCATTGCTTTTGGTGTTTTAGACATGAAGTCCTTGCTCATGCCTATGTCCTGAATGGTAATGCCTAGGTTTTCTTCTAGGGTTTTTATGGTTTTAGGTCTAACGTTTAAGTCTTTAATCCATCTTGAATTGATTTTTGTATAAGGTGTAAGGAAGGGATCCATTTTTTTACCTCTTTTTAAAAGTTTATTTGAGTCTTCTTTTTTTTTTTGAGATGGAGTTTCACTCTGTCACCCAGGCTAGAGTGCAGTGGTGTGATCTCAGCCCACTGCAGGCTCTGCCTCCTGGGTTCACGCCATTCTCCTGCCTCAGCCTCCCAAGTAGCTGGGACTACAGGTGCCCGCCACCACGTCCGGCTAATTTTTGTATTTTTAGTAGAGACCGGTTTTCACCATGTTAGCCAATATTGTCTTGATCTCCTGACCTCGTGATCTGCCCGCCTCAGTGTTCCAAAGTGCTGGGATTATAGGCATGAGCCACCATGCCTGGCCGAGTCTTCTCTATTTTTCTTAGCATGCCTAAAGGTTTGTAATTTTCTTTTTTTTTTCAAAAAGCCAACTTTTCATTGGTTTCGGTCAATATCTTCTACATTGTTTTTTCATTTCATTTTCATGTATTTCTGCTCTGATCTTTATTATTTCTTTTCTTCTATTAACTGTGGGTTTGGTTTGCACTTGCTTTTCTAATTCCTTAAAGTGCATCATTAGGTTGTTTATTTGAAGTTTTTCTTCTTTTTTGATGTAGGCACTTATAGATGTAAATTTCTCTCTTAATATTGCTTTTGCTGTATCCCATAGGCTTTGGTATTTTGTGTCTCCATTGTCATTTGTTTCAAGGAAGTTTTAAATTTTCTTCTTAATTTCTTCATTGACCCACTGTTCATTCAGGAGTATATTGTTTAATTTCTGCGTGTTTGTATAATTTCCAAAATTCTTCTCGTGTGGCAAGTTATTGAGCTGTGTCATGGTTGGTTGTAAGAGTGTTTGCTTTATAATATTCACTAAGCTATATATTTGTTATGTGCTATTTTCTGTGTCTGTTTTATTTTATAATATAATGGTAAAGGAAATTCCATGTGGCTATGCCTTCTAAAGTCTAAGCCATCCTATCAAACTTCACCAGGAGCCTCTGATGAAGGACAGGCAAGCCCCAAATTTGAGGCTTAGCAAGTGAGGTTTCTTGGCTTTACCCAGGAAAGAATTTGAGGGTTAAGCAGTGGTGGTAAACAGCAACTTTTTTTGAAGTGGCAGTGTATAGCAGCAACAGAGGTACTGCTCCTTATGGAGCAGAGCTACCTCATAAGCAGTAGATGCCCAGAGTAGCAGCTCAGAGGCAGTTCTGCACTCATATTTATACCCCCTTTTAATTATATGCAAATTAAGAGACATTTTATGCAATTTCTAGGATGAGGGTGGTAACTTCCAGGTTGCTGGGCCCTTACCATGGAAAGGGGCAGTAACTTCTGGGTGTTGCCATGGCAATGGGAAACTGACATGGCATACTGATAGGTGTATCTTACGGGGAGGTGCTTCCACCCTGGGTCTGTTTTAGCTAATCCTCAGCTTGGTCCAGTGTCTGAGCCCCACCTCCAGAGTCTAGTCCTGTCTCTTACCTCATCTCAACCTCAAAGTGTTACTTTTTCCTCAGATTCCATTCTTTGTTTATTTTTCAAGATCTCAGCTCCGGCATAAGCCAGGCCTAATACAACCTGGTTTGCTAGGGGACAAGTCCTGATTTTCCTGGAGTGTTCCCTTTCTTTCTTAAAAGTGTCTCTGTTTGGGCAATGAAGTGTATAGTATAGCCACCCTCCTAATAAATAATGCTACCTCCTTTCTGTCCGGATTCAGACTTATTGAGAAATAGCCCAGGAACCCAAATGATAGAAAGCAAAATATTAGCTTCATAACTGATATAGCTGGTGGAGAATGAAGCTCTAGGTCTTGTTAACTTCTTGCCTCAAAATTAGGCAGATGTACCGCCTAGACACAAGCAGCACTGAGCACCATACCACCACTGCCCTCCACCCCGTCTGCAGTGGGGCCACCTCATGGAACAGCAGACGAATGAGTAATGGAGGGTAGGGGGAAAAAAGGCCAATAGTGTTGCTCTGCAGTGCTTCCTCTGCATGGAAACATGAATCTGCAGAGAAGAAGTTTCCTCTGCAACTGTCACACATTTAAAATGAGGGCAGTTTTATGTACCGTTTTCTACAGCTCTGTTCCATGGGTCGCTTGGGTGCATTGAGCAAGTGCAACAGGTTGGTTTAACTTGACTGGGATTTTGTTAGGTGACTGCTAAGGTCTAATATCAACCAACCATAACCTATAAATTTATTTGGGTCAAAACAATCAACAGTATAAAATATAAACCAAGGGGGGAAATTCAAACATTGACCTTTTTTCAAATTGATAGTGGTATTGTGGTTATGTTAAAAAGAGATACTATCTTTAGAGATGTATAAGGAAATAGTTATGAATGAAATGGTAGCATGTCTGGGATTGTCTTTGAAATAATCTAGTGGGTGGCCACACATGGTGGCTCATGTCTATAATATCAGCACATTGTGAGGCTGAGGTGGGGGGATCACTTGAACCCAGGAGTTTGAAACCAGCCTGGGCAACATCGTGAGACCCCCATCTCTACAAAAACAAAAATCTAGTGGGAATGGGACTAGGTAAAACAAGATGGTCCATGAGTTAATAACTGTTGACACACCTTTTATTTTTTTAAAAGCAGTCACCCATGTTGTCACATTGCGGAAGCATAATGACAGTGAAGACTAAGAAATACCCTTGGATTGAGTTGCTAGGAAGTCACTAGTGACCCTTAAGAGAGAAGTTTTGTAGATTTGTGAAGAATCAAGAGAATGGAAGTGTAAGCTATATTTCAAGTCTTGAAGGAGTGAGAAATTAGGAAGTTGAAGAGCAAAGGACATAGAACTGCTGACAATAGAAAAAAATAATGTGCACTGTCTTTCTTCTTTATTTCACAAATGTACACAAAACAAATTTAGAATTATTTTAATAGTAGGATCAAATTATACATTACTACAGAGTGAAATATACAATTAGTAAAACAAAGAAATATTTAAATACTAAAAGTACTTACTTCAGAGTTTACTAGGGTTTTAACAATCATTGCTCATTTTTTTAACTTTTCACTTAAAAATAATTTCACACTTACAAAAAGTTGTAAAAACAGTACAAAGGATATCTGCAAGCCCTTTGCCCAGATTCCCAAAAGCTTATACCTTACCTAATGATAGTAAAATTATTAGAATCAAGAAATTAACATTGATACAGTACTATTAATAATGCATATCAAACTTCAGCAACCGTTCCATGAATTTCCTTTCTGGTCCAAGACCTAACCCAGGATTTCGTGATGGATTTAGTTATCATGTATCCTTGGGTCTTTTAATCTGTGCTAGTTCCTTGGTCTTTTTTGTCTTCCATCAACTTTGACACTTTTTGAAAAGCATTGACTGACCAGTTATTTCGAAGGATGTCACTCAGTTTGAATTTTTCTGATGTTTCTTCATGATTCAAATTAGGTTATGCACCCTTTTGTCAAGAAGATCATAAAATTGATATTCAGTGCATTATATTGAGAAGCACACGGAATTAACTTATTCCATTACTGGTGATAACTTTTAATCACTTAAGAAGGTATCTACCAGGCTTTTCCAAAAAGTTATTCTTTTTCCATGGTGATTAATATACATCTTATGGAAAGATACTTTGTGACTCAGTAAACTATTCTGTATCTCATCAAACTTTCACTCAGAAATTTAAGAACTTATCAATTATTCTTGTCTGAAGAAAAATGATTACTGTGATATTTGCCAAATTGATTTTCCATTTTCATCATTCCTTTATCCAACATCTATAAGTTGGAAGCCTACTGTGAGAAGATTTTATTTGTTTATTTATATCATTGTGGGCCCTTTGTTTCTTATTTTAGTCTGTGGGTCGTAATCCATTACTATAATTTTTTCTTATTGTTACTTAAATTTCCTCAAATCTGACCATTGAGAGCCCCTCTAAGTTGGTTGCTGTGTCCTTTTGACATATTTTAAGTTGTTCCCATTTGAAATAAAGACACGCTAAAAATATTGGCTTAGATGCTGAGAAGATACAAATCCAGAGACTTTTCTGGAGGCTCATCCCTTCTGCTTTTTCACAAGCTTGGAAAGAAGCTGATTCTTCAGAAGAGTAGGCTATCCAGAGGCTGACCTCAGGACAGTTCCCCTTTCTAAGAAGGTCATCTCCTTTCCATGAAGTTCCCATTGTTTTACAGGTATCTAGAGCTTTCCTGGCCCCTTTCCATGCTTTGATAACTATGTAAAGTGGCACAGGTGTGCGGTCCTTCCTCCAATGTGCTTTCCATGGTATGCCTGGATATTCTTGACTTGAGATTGCCTCACTGCAGGATAGCAAGAGGATGGAGCTCATAACCTCTGATGTTTCTTTGACTGCTTTTTCCTAAAAATCTTATTTTATATTTGTATCGTGTGGTGTCCATGTCGTGTTTGCACAACAGATCACAGAATGCAACCCTATCATTTAGACTATACTCATGTAATAATTTTAAAGACTATTATAATTTTCCCCATGATGAAATTAATTATTGTGAGTACCACATAGACTAATACATACTTACTCTATGTAAGTTTTAACAAAATTATATGTGTCATTTTATACTGATTTACAGTATTTCTATATTTTAATGGTGTAAAAATAAACTACTTAAACATGATATTAGGAATGATTAGAAAATGGATGAAAGTGACAGTAAGTTAACAATTAATCTAACTATAATGTACAATGAAAAATTAGCAAGTCCAAATTAAGTTTTTGGGGCATTTTAAATTAGATTAGTTATGCATTGCTTAATGACAGAGATATCCTCTTCTGAGAAATGCATCACTAGAAGATTTTGTCATAGTGCAAACATCGTAGTGTGTACCTACACAAACCTAGGTGGTATAGCCTACTACACACCCAGGCTATATAGCTTATTGTTCCTAGGCTACAAACCTGTACAGCGTATTAGTGTATCGAATACTGTAGGACACTGGAACACAATGTAAGTATTTATGTATTCATCCATATCTAAACATAGAAAAGACATAGTAAAAATACAGTATAAAAGATAAAGAAATGGTACACCTGCCTAAGGCACTTGCCATGAACAGAACTTACAGAACTCAAAGTTACTCTGGGTGTCAGTGAGTGAGTGGTGGGTGAATGTGAAGGCCTAGGACATTGCTGTACACTGCTGTGGACTTTATAAACACTGTATGCTTAGGCTACACTACATTTATAAAAAGTATTTTTCTTTATTCAATAATAAGTTAACCTTAACTTGTTGTAATGTTTTTTACTTCATATATTTAAAATTTTTTCTAACTTTTTGACTTTTGTAATAACACTTAGGTTAAAACACAAACACATTATATAGCTGTACAGAAGTATTTTCTTTATAGCCTTATTCTGTAAACTTTTTTCTAGTTTTAAAAATTTTAGGGGTCCAGTGTGGCAGTTTGCATTGTAATCCCAGTACTTTGGGAGACCAAGGTGGGAGGATTGCTTGAGCCTGGGAGTTTGAGGCTCAGTGAGCTATGCTGGTACCATTGCACTCCAACCTGGACAAAAACATACTCTAGCCTAGGCCTACACAGGATCAGGATTGTCAGTATGACTGTCTTCCACCTCCACACCTTGCCCCACTAGAAGGTCTTCAGGGGCAATAATACACATGGAGCTACCATCTCCTATGATAGCAATGCCTTCTTCTGGAATACACCTGAAGGATCTGCCTGAGGTTGTTTTACAGTTAACTTTTTAAAAACATATGTAGACATATTACACTCTAAAATGATGATAAGTGTTGTCTAATAAATACATAACCCAGTAACATATTTATTATCGTTATCAAGTGTTATATACTATGCACAATTGCATGTGCTATACTTTTATAGACTGGCAGTGTGGCCCATTGCTGACTGAAACATCATCATGTGGTGCATGACTGTAATTTCAGATATGGGCTATAAAGAAGCAAATATCAGTACAAATGTACAAGTTTTTATGACAAAATATTTTGTTCAGCTTGTTTTTAATTTTTTAAGAATTAAGAATGATCATATTTTGTGAGGTTTTGCTTTAATTTTCCGAGTGACTTCTAGACCCTAATGGATATGCTGTGTTATTGCAGGGGCGTTCTGTAAGGGTGGAGCTTGAGACTCTTGGCATTTAAAAGGGGGCAGGGATTTAAGGTGAAAGGACGCAAAGAGATACGCTAAAAAAGAAAGAAGGAAAAAAGGAAAGACAATTCAAGGAGGAAAATTTAATATCTATTCAGAGTCAAAATCATATTTGGCTCTGATTTGGCGGCTGAAAATAGAGAAGCTCTATTTTTGATTAAATTATGTAGTATATGCAGTGGGAGGGGCTGGTGGAGTAAAGAGTTCATGCTCTGAAATCAGACCAACCTGGGTTTAGTTCCAGTGCCACCACTCATGAGCTGTGTGACATTAGACAAGCTCCTGAACCTTCCTGAGGCTTATATAAAATGACAATGTTTGTAGTAAAGAACTTAGCACAGTGAGTAGACCATAATAAACCCTCTGTTAAGTGTGAGCTATTACTATTATCTGAGACCAAACAATGGGGCAGTCATTTAATTATACATTTAATATCAGTCTGAGACTATTAGGATGAAAGTGATGCCAATGAAAATGATCAATAATTTCGTGGTTTTACAGAAACATGGAACAGCCTCCATTACGTACATAAATGAATCTGAGATTTTAAAAGCTCCCTGCCTGGGGCATTCTCAAGGATCCTGAATCTCATATATCATAATTAACTCCATTGTAACCACTGAGCTGAAGCTGTGGATTCATTAGCGCCTGAAAGCTGACATTTAAAAACCGTGGATGGAGCTAATCTGAGGGTGGAAGAACATTGTATTGAGGTAGCACATGACTATTGAGAAAAAGGTGTTACCTTTTCTCACACAAAGTTTGACCACTTGAAGTTCAAATGAATGTGGGTTGATTGAAAATGCCTGGTGGTGTCATTTAGCTGTTTCTTAAAAAGGTTTTTGAAGACTTTAAGCTGTAACATTTGAGCCTGTGGAACTAGACAGATGCTTTCAGGGACTCGGTGTGAGTAATGTTCTCCTATTATAGCCTGGGTCATAATTCATCAAATATTCCTGTAGTGGCCTGGAAGAGGCAATATATCTCTTGAGTATGCACAGGGGATGTATTCTAATGCTGGAAGATCTGGTTCAGTAACCAAAAACATATTTAGAGCTAAAAATGAAAATTCCAGTGGGAAACCCCATGATTTTAATAAATGTTTAGACTGGGCGCAGTGGCTCATGCCTGTAATCTTAGGCTTTGGGAAGCTGAGGTGAGAAGATTGCTTGAGGCCAGGAGTTCAAGACATGCCTGGGCAACACAGAAAGACCCTATATCTACAAAAAATAAGAAATTATCTGGGCATGTGGTGCATGCCTGTAGACCCAGCTACTTAGGAGGCTGAGGCGGGAGGATCACTTGAGCCCAGGAGGTTGAGGCTCCAGTGAGCTATGATTGCACAACTGCACTCCAGCCTGGGTGACAAAGCAAGACCCTGTCTCTAAAATAAATACATAAACAAATAAATTTCTAGAGGATCTGCTTCAAGTTAGCTAACCATCAGCTTCCAAGATGTTGATGCCATTTGTGCTCAGAACAGAACAAAGCTCTTGTGGGAACAGAATTATTACTAATTTTAATTTTTTAGTATAACCATTAGCATCTTTGCTCCAATCATAGAGCAGCTGAGTCCTGGTGATACGGGTTGATTTTGTGCTGTTGCAGATGACACTGTCACACTTGTTTTAGTGTATTTTTCACATTTTTCCATGAGTTGCCTGAAGTCATTCATTTAGTGGGTTATTGCCTTGGATAGTGTTTAACTGCTCTCAAGACTTCTGGAAATATTTGAAGCATGGGACAGGTGTGGCCAGCCTAGCCACCTTCTTATTCGTATCCCCACAAATGATCAGACTAGCAGTTCAATTAAGAGAAAATGCTTCCTAGCAAACCACCAGCTTGTTTGCTGAATGAGGTACTGTGGCATGGAAAACAAGGCCAGCCCTTGCAGTATTTTAGTTGAATTCACCTGCCTAGTATTAAATAAAATCTCCACTTCTCATCATTGGAAAGTAGAGAGAAGAGAGCAAAAGCAGAAAGATGTCAAAAACACACCAATGAGCAAGCCATATTCTCTAACTTCTGACCCAAGGACCATCACTTTGCTAACAAGAATTTTCAGTGGATTGCACCAATTCTTCCTTCTCATTCTGTTTTCTTGTTTTTTCTTTCAACTTTTATTTTAGGTTCAGTAGGTACGTGTGCAGGTTTCTTACAAGGGTAAATTGCATGTTCCTGGAGTTTGGTGTACAAATGATCCCATCAGCCAGGTAGGGAGCATAGTACTGGATAATTTTTCAACCTTTACCCCCTCTCACTCTCTCATCCTCCCCGCTCTAGTAGTCTCAGGTTTCCATTGTTCTCATGTTTATGTCCTAGTGTACTCAATATTAGCTCATACTTATGAGTGAGAACATGTGATATTTAATTTTCTGTTCCTGCCTTAGTTCGCTTATGATAATGGCCTCCACCTTCATCTATGCTATTGCAAAGGACACAATTTCATTCTTTTTTATGGCTGCATAGTATTCCATAGTGGGTATGTACCACATTTTCTTTAACCAGTCCACCATTGATGAGCATCTAGGTTGATTCTATGTCTTTGCTATTGCGAATAGTGCTGTAATGAACATTCGTGTGTGTGTGTCTTTTTGGTAGAATGATTTATTTTCCTCTGGATAAGATTGCAGGGTCAAATGCTAGTTCTAAGTTCTTTGAGAAATCTCCAAACTGCTTTCCACAGAGGCTGAACTAATTTACATAACAACCAATAGTGTATAAGTGTTCCCTTTTCTCTACAACCTCACCAGGGCGTGTTATTTTTAGACTTTTTAGTAATAGCCATTCTAACTGGCATAAGACAGTATTTCATTGTGATTTTGATTTGCATTTTTCTAATGATTGCTGATGTTGAGTGTTTTTTCATGTATTTGTTGGCCACATGAATGTCTTCTTTTGAGAAGTGTCTGTTCATGTCCTTTTTAAATGAGATTATTTGTTTTTTGATCTTTGAATTTTTAAGTTCCTTATAGATTTTGGATATTAGACCTTTGTCAGATGCATAGTTTGTGAATATTTTCTCCCATTCTGTACATTGTCTGTTTACTCTATTGATAATTTCTTTTGCTGTGCAGAAGCTCTTTAATTTAATTAGTTTTTACTTGTCAATTTTTGGTTTTGTTGCAAATGCTTTTGTGGACTTAGACATAAATTATTTCCCAAGGCCCATGTCTGGAATGGTATTTTCTAGTTTTTCTTCTAGGATTTTAATAGTTTTACATTTTAAATTTAAGTTTTTAATCTATCTTGAGTTAATTTTTGTATATGGTGAGAGGTAGGGGTCCAGATTCAATCTTCTGCATATGCCTACCAAGTTATCCCTGAACAATTTGTTGAATAAATAACATAAGTCAATTTACCATTGCTTTTTATTGTCAATTTTGTTGAAGATCAGGTGGTTATAGGTGTGGCTTTACATCTGGGTTTTCTATTCTGTTCCATTGGTCTATGTGTCTGTCTTTGTACAGTACCGTGCTGTTTTGGTTACCGTAGCCTTATAGTATAGTTTGAAATCATGTAGTAAGATGCTGCCAGCTTTGTTCTTTTTGCTTATAATTGCTTTGGCTATTTGGACTCTTTTATGGTTCCATATGAATTTTAGCATCATTTTTTTCTAATTCTGTGAAAAATGACATTGGGGTAAATAGGAATAACATTGAATTTGTAAGTAGCCTTGAGTTTATGGCCATTTTAACAATATCGATTCCTCCAATCCATGAGCATGTAATGTTTTTTCATTTGTTTGTGTTATCTCTGATTTATTTCAACAGCATTTTGTAATTCTCATTGTAGAGATATTTTACCTCCTTGGATAGCTGTATTCCTAAGTTTTTTTAAAAAATTGTTTTTCTGGTTATTATATATGGGATTACCTTCTAGATTTGGCTCTCAGCTTGAACGTTATTGGTGTATAGAAATGTTACTGAGTTTTGTACATTGATTTTGTAACCTGAACCTTTACTGAAGTCATTTATCAGTTCTAGGAGTCTTTTGGTAGATTTTGAGGTTTTCTAGGTATAGTATTATATTGTCAGCAAAGAGACATAATTTGATTTCTTCTTCTCCTATCTGGGTGCTTTTTATTTCTTTGTTTTGCCTAATTGCTCTGGCTAGAACTTTCAGTACTATCTTGAATAGGAGTAGTAAGAATAGGCATCCTTGTCTTGTTCCAGTTCTCAAGTGGAGTGCTTCCAGTTTTTGCCCATTCAGTATGATGTTGGCTGTGGGTTTGCCATAGATGGCTCTTATTATTTTGAAGTGTGTTTCTTTGATGCCTAGTTTGTTGAGGGTTTTTAACATGAAGGGGTGTTGAATTTTATTGAAAGTTTTTTCTGTGTGTATTGATATGAGCATATGATTTTTGTTTTTAATTTTCTTCACATGGTGAATCACATTGATTGATTTGTGTATGTTGATCTAACCTTACATCCTAGGGATAAAGTGTACTTGATCATGATGAATTAACTTGTTGATATGCTGCTGGATTCAGTTTGCTGGCATTTTGTTGGGCCAGGTTTTGGTATCAGAATGATGCTGGCCTTGTAGAATGAGTTAGGGAGAAGCCCCCCTTCCCTGATTTCTTGGAATAATTTTAATAGGATTTGTACTAGCTCTTTGTTGTATGTCTGGTAGAATTCAGCTGTGAATCTGTTTGGTCCAGGACTTTTTTAGCTCTTAGGTTTTTTAAATTACTGATTCCATTTTGGAACTTGTTATTGGTCTGTTCAGGGTTTCAGTTTCTTCCTGGTTTATTCTTGGGAGGTTGTGTGTTTCCAGGAATTTATCCATTTCTTCTAGGTTTTCTAGTTTATGTACACAGAGATGTTAGTAATGGTCTCTGAGGATTTTTTTTTTTGGTGGGGTCAGTTGTAATGTCATCTTTGTCATTTCTGATTGTGCTTATATGGATTTTATCTCATTCTTTCTTTGTTAACCTAGCTAGTGGTATATCATTCTTATTTATTCTTTGAGAAAACCAAACTTTTGGTTTCATTGATCTTTTTAATAGATTTTTGAGTCTCAATTTCATTCAATTCTACTCTGATTTTGGTTATTTCTTTTCTTCTGCTAGCTTTGGGTTTAGTTTGCTCTTGTTTTTCTGGTTCCTCTAGATATGATGTTAGGTTGTTAATTTGAGATCTTTCTAACTACTTGATGTAGGCATTTAGTACTATAAACTTTCCTTTTAACACTGCTTTAATGGTTTTCCAAAGACTTTGGTGTATTGTATCACTGTTTTCATTAATTTCAAAAAGTTTTTGATTTGTCTTAATTTTGTTTGTTACCCAAAAGCTATTCAGGATCAAATTGTTTAATTTCTGTGTAATTGTATTGTTTTGAGAGATGTTGACATTGATTTCTATTTTTTTTGCACTGTGGTTTAAGAGGGTGGTTAGTATAATTTCAGTTTTTTAAAATTTATTGAGACTTGCTTTACAGCCGAGCATGTGGTTGATCTTGAGTATGTGCCATGGGCAGATAAGAAAAATGTAATTCTGTTGTTGTTTGATGGAGTATTTGGTAGATGTCTATTAAGTCCAATTAGTCAAGTGTTGAGTTTAAGTCCAGAATATCTTTGTTAGTTTTCTGCCTTGATGATGTGTCTAATGCTGTCAGTGGGGCTGTTGAAGTCTCCCACTATTATCGTGTGGCTAAGTCTTTTTTTAAGTCTCTAAGAACTTGTCTTATGAATCTGGGTGCTCCAGTGTTGGGTGCATGTATATTTAGGATAGTTGAGTCTTTGTGTAGGACCCTTTATCATTATATAATGTCCTTCTTTGTCCTTTTTGATCATTGCTGGTTTAAGGTCTTTTTGATCTGATAGAAGAATAGCAACCCCTGCTCTTTTTTTGTTTTCTATTTGCATAATAGATCTTTCTCCATCCCTTTGCTTTGAGCCTATGGGTGTTATGTGTGAGATGGGTCTCTTGAAGACAGCAGACAGTTGGATCTTCCTTCCTTATCCAACTTGCTACTCTACATCTTTTAAATGGGGCATTTAGCCTGTTTACATTCAAGGTTACTACTGATATATGAGGATTTTATCCTATCATTATGTTGTTGGCTGATAGTTACATAAACTTGATTGTGTAGTTGCTTGCTAGTGTCAGTGGGCTATGTACTTAAGTGTGTTTTTCTTTTTCACTTAAAAGACAGTTTTTATTAACAAAAGTTTTTCAGAATCTACATTTCAACTTTAGTATTAAATAGTCCAAGGGTTTCATTTATGAACACTTATTCCAGTTTAGTCCTCTTAAATACATTTGCTGGCTGTGTATTTATGTTTAACAGGTAAAAGCTATCAATTACCAGCTATTTCAAAAAAGGTAACTAACTACACTGGAAAATGAAAATGTATAGAATTTTATCATTAGATCAGAGTTTAAACAAATCAAAGGATATGGATTTGTTTAAAAATCTCTTATCATTAGGGCCTTACACCTTTTTCAGAACAACTGTAATTTGCAGAAATTATACAAGGCAGATTTTCATCAAATATCAATTATTTAGTGATGTTTTATTTAGCTGAAATGTTATTTCACTTGTAAAAACTATCTCTGGTTACAAAAAAGAATCAGAAACCTTATTAAATTTAACCTGCTTTTACAAATGTCCTAAGAATTCTTAAGCTAAACAATTTTTATGTAGAAAAATGATAATTTAAAAATAGTTTGTTATACTATTTCTGTGGTGTACATACATATATTAACTGGTCTCTTTGATAGGAAACATGACTAGAAGTTTATCACATTAAGCACAGTAAAATAAAGGCAAGAGCTAATCATCTTCTAGCGAAAATACTCTCTATGCAACAATTGCAAATGTCAAAGCTATTATTTAGTGGTTGATAATTTCCTGCTACAAAATGTAAACAAAGTACGTTTACTGAATTGTTTTTCAATTTGAAGTTGCCCTCTGACATCTCAAATAAGGAATCCCCATAAATAAAGCTGCAGTGCAATCCACTTAGTAGTTAGTTTCAGGCCAAGCCTCCCCCCCACCATTATCCTCGTTCTTCCCCACTGCCCCCAAATCCTGCAGTGGCCCTGTATTATTAAAAACATTAAGTACCTGGGGTTTATGCTTCAGAGCAAGACATCAGCTGAGTAATTTCAAATGATATACAGCTCCTTCATGTAAAAAAGATGTTTTGTGATCACAATTACTTCAAAAAGTAATTATATTAAAATAATCTGACATATCATACCTTAGCAATTACAAAACCGTGATTTTGACACATGAAAATTTTTAAGTTAGGCAAATGTGAAATGCTAAAAGAAGTGAATAGCTGTTCTTCTGTTTAAGTTAGGGCGCTGCAAAACCCAGGTAATGACTTTATTTTTTTCAGTAAACATAACCAGCCCATGGTACAGCATACAAAATCACAAAGTACAAATCCAAGGAAGTTAATACCTTTACTAAGATACAAAACTTTGGCAAATCAATACAGTATTCTTTAATGAAACCATACTTTTGTTGGAGTCATGTTACTTTAGTGATAATTTTCACTCCAAAAATATTTAAGTACCAAATCAAAACACTGGTTTTGAATGGTGGTTTATAGCACAGCAAGTTATTTTACACAAAATATATTTTAAAACTACACAATTTCTCCTTTTAAGTGAGTTCCCTTGTGCAAGCTGTTGAAGTGTACAGCAGCAGGGCAATGGGCATCTATAGGAGGTGGCTCTGCTCTGTTCTGGGGTTGGTCCAAAGTCAGGTGGAGTTCCCATATATGAAAAGCTTGAAAATTCTACCTTAAGGAGATTCAACATTAATACCAATTTCCAAGGAGTTCTTGTTGAATTTTCACAGAAAGACTGGAACCCTCAACATCAGATAGTAATTTCAAACAACATTAAGTTCAGATGATCCCTTTTATTTAGAGGCCCTGCATCCACTTTGATCAAAAATCACATAGCCTTATGCCAGTTTATTTAAAAAACTACCTAAAATATAGTTGTATTTTTTAAATAACAAATAAATATGTAGTCAGCTTGGAGAGACCTGGGCTACCCAACGTTGTCTATCAACTTTTATGATCACTTGTCTGCAAAAGCTGCTGCTGCCATTGGAGTCCTTATGCTTCCTCTTGCTGAGGCTGTCAGTTCTTCAATCTCAGCATTTAATTTATGTATTACCCATTCTATTGCTTCTCAGCCTTTACTAGTGTTTGAGGATATCATACTTGCCATCAGTTCTTCAAAGTAACTGCTGAGGCTAACTCCTTTCATGGTGATTATGGCTTCTTGAGTCAAAATAGTTTTTTCTGGGTCCCGAGGACGTGGTTTGTATATAAGTCTCTCATCTGCTGAAACCATATCTGTAAATGAAATATTAGTAGATTTAAGTTTCATTGTTTTCTCTACAGGATCAACTACAGAATGTTCTTGCACATATGTTTTCATTCTTGCTGCACCAATAAGAGACTTCACAATGGAAGGTAGTCCCCACTCTGTGCTGAGAAGTCTGTGGCTGTGCAACTTTCCAGAGGGATCTACATGTCTGTCCAACACATCAACTCCAACCACAGTTGGTTCATAGGGTTTGGGTATTTCTGCATTGCAGCTGTTGTAACAGTTTCCCATGAGTGGTCAAAGACATGCTCTGAAGTCCAGATCTTCACGGTGCCGGCAGCCTGAGCGATGTCCGGGTGGTGCTAGGGAGAACGAGGCACAGAGACTACACCGGCCCCCGTCCCCGACATCTGCAAGTGTGTATGTGTGTGTGTGTGTGTGTTTTTTTGATGGCAGAAATCTTTCTTTTGTTGCTATATTTAGCACTTCCTTAAGGACCTTATGTAAGGCAGGCCTAGTGGTAAAACATTTCCTTACCATTTGCTTGTTTGAAAAGGATTTTATTTCTCCCTTGTTTATAAAGCTTAGTTTGGGGGGATATGAAATTCTTGGTTGGAAGTTCTTCTCTTTAAGGACACTGAAAATAGGCTCCCAGTCTCTTCTGGCTTGTAAGGTTTCTGCTGAAAGGTCCACTGTTAACCTGATGGAGTTTTCTTTTTAAGTGACTGGCTCCTTTCCTCTACCTTTAAGATTTTTTTCTTTCCTGTTGGTCTTGGACAATCTGATGACTGTGTCTTGGAAATGGTCATCTTGTATAGTATCTCGCAGGGGTTTTCTGAATTTTTTGAATTTGCATGTCAACCTCTCTAGCATGATTGGGAAAATTTTTGTAAATTATATACTGAAATATGTTTTCCAAGTTGTTTACTTTCCTTTTCTTTCAGGAATGTCAATGAGTCATAGGTTTGGTCTCCTTACATAATCCCATATTTCTTGGAGGTTTTGTTCATTTTTAAAATTCTTTTTTCCATATTTTTGTCTGCTTGCATTGATTTGAAGGAGCAATCTTCAAGCTCTGAGATTTTTTCCTCAGCTTGGACTATTCTGTTGTTAATACTTCCATTGTATTCCAAAATTGCTGTAGTGAATTCTTCAATTCTAGAAGTTCAGTTTAAATCTTTCTTAAAATGGTTATATCATCTTTCAACTCTTGGATCATTTAAGTTGAATATAGTTGATTGACTTCAACTATAAGTTGGAGTTATGGATGTTTTCAGATGGACAAGCCTTAGTATAGCACTCCTGAGCTGTGTCCTCTAGCCCTAGGGGGCTGGGACCATCCCCATGCCTTTGCCATCTGGCCCCTCTAGGCTGAGCACTGGCCATACTGAGGTTGGAGGGTTGAGGTGCTTCTAGGTCACTGGCAAAAGTGCTCTGTTGGTGGCTGCTGGCTAAAGTGTTGCATCAGGGATTACCAGCAAAAGCACTCCAGCAAGACAGTTGGGGGGCCATTGGTGAAAGTGCTCCAGTAGAGCAGTGGGGGCCACCAGTGAAAGTGCTATGGTGGGGTGGCGGGGGCCACCAGTAATAGCACTATGGTGTTGGTGATTGGCAAAAGTGCTCTGGCAGAGCAGGGGAGGCTTCACTGTGTGCCTGATTTCATGGAAGTGGCCAGGCAGGGACCCTGGGAGGGACCAGTGGATGGGTGTGTGTGTGTGTAGATCACACTTTACTTGGTCCCATGGAAAAGACAGCCCTGCTTGCCAGGTCAAGCAGTTAACAAAGGTCAGAGCCACCTAGAGAAGTATGGCAAGCCTTGTGGTATGTCCGTATTCCTTTGCACCCCTTTGTACACCAAATTCCCCAGGTTCTGTGCAGACTGGATCTCTGTCTCTACTGACTCTCCTGGTAGTTTTCCCTGCCAACTTAAATGCTCATGGGGGCCATGCGATCTCCTGCAGCTAGGATCCCAGCAGTCCATGGTAAGAGTTAGCCACTCTGCAATTCCCTCACTCACTCTTGCTTGGGAGCTTTCATGGGCAGGAATGAGACCCAGCACTTGGCAACCTTGTGCAGGGTTCCCAGCTTCCTCCCACTTCAGCCCCAGTATCTGCATCATTTCTCCATCCACTTTCAGTGCATTCTCTCATAAGATCTGTTTGGAATATGCCATGCTACTCTGGCCTCTCTTAGTGGGAGAAGCTCTTCCTGGCTGGATTCAGCCAGCCATCTTGTCCTTTTCCCTTTTTATCCCCATAATATCCTATTTTCTATCTCTCTTTCTTCTGAAGTTTTCTGATGGCCGTAAAAGGAATAAAAAGAAAAAAATAATTGGATGGAAACTTAATTTCCTCATACAAAAAAAAAAAAAAAAAACCGAGGGAAATGCTAACTTTGTAACTTATAGTCTTTCCCCCTGATCAGGGAGATCAGGGCTATTACCTTAGGGGAGAGACAAGTGAAGAAGACAAATTCTTGACTTTTAATTTCCAACAGTTTAATAGTTTCTTGATGTCTATAGCAGAGTCAAAGACTGAAATTGGATAAGTTCAGGTTTTTGAAAGAGAAAAGGTGTTTTGATTTCCCAAAGCCTAAGAGACTGAAGGATTCAGAGCACAATGTTTATACAATAGACATTAGAATGAGAAGACAGTGCGAAGTGACAGCTAATTCTTCCCCTCAACGGGCTTGGAGGGAGATGCTGATATGGCTCTGAGAGAAGTGCCCCATTCTTAGCCTCCACCATGGACCAGCAGCAATAATCATATCCAAACCATGTAGTACTTACTATGTGCCAACCAGTATTCCAAGTGTACATATTTTAATCCATTTACTCTTCTCAACAACCTTATGATGTAGATCCCATTTTGTAGATGAGAAAGCTGAGGCACAAAGGAGTCAAGAGACTGGCCCAAAGTCTCATAGCTAGTAAGTGGCAGAGCCAGTGTTTGCACTCTGCAAGTTTGACTCTAGAGTCCTTGTTTAGCAGTGACCAATTCCTGGGTGAGGTTGAGAGAAGGCTCAGATTGACTTGGAGGGTTCCAAGAGCAGAGAAGAATTGTGCTTGCTTTGTGGGTGAGGCCTGAAGGCACAGTGAACCTCATGGGCACATTGAAGCAGTAGCAAAGCAGAGAGGACAATGAGGCAAATCTAGGTGAGAAGGGCTCTGGCAATTCTGAGACTCCTGCAGCTTAGAGAAGAGCCCACAAGAATTTTCAATGTCCCTAGTGGGTTGTGGACATGGCTGAGAGAGGTTGTGACAAGGGTTTCCAGTCAGGAGCAGCATGGAAAAGCCAGAGGCCATGGTGGACCCAAGCACACCAACAGAGGATGCTATGGAGATAGAGACTATTGACCAAAGATCAGCAGGTGAAAGTGCTGTCATCAGATGCCAGTGGAGAAGCTGCCTCACTTCTCAGCACCATGATGCATGCAGTTCCCACAGAACTGCACTGACTTCCCAAAACAATGAAAGGAAAAGCATGAAACCCTGAATTTGTCTAATTTTATTCTCAAAGTGACTGAAGAACCACTAATTTGAATTAATTTAAATCGGGAAGATTAACTTTCCTGCTACAGAGAAGACTCAGAGCTTGAGATAGAAGTTTAGCTTCATTACAGAGAAAAGTAAAGGTTCTATTTTTGCACTCCTGTTTATTGGCTTGTGAAAACTGTATTCAGTACATAATTCTACTTAAACCATATAAATTCAGCATGAGAAGCCACCATATGAACTTTCTGTTAAGTTTTCAAATATAAAAGTGCTTGGTAGCTGGCCTGAGGAGATGAGATGGACTCTCAATCCTTTGTTTCATGTTCTAGTGCAGACACAACTCCTTGAAAAGCAATTTCCACTCAATTACATTCACGTTGCCTAGGTTGGAAGCAGTAAAGGCAAATGAAGGACATTTCAGTGCCAATGTTATATTGGTTACTGATACCAAATTATCTCTGGATTAGAAACATCGTGGTCCATATTGCGGCAGTAAAAGAACTTCATACCCTAGCTATGGATGAGGCTAATGTGTGGGTTTATAGACCTTGCATTCCCCAGAGTGCCTTATAAATCTGTGAGTTTTTCCCAAGTGTTCCATTTTACATTTGGATCCTTGAAAGAGCTGGAAAATCAGATGAATAAACACACACACATGCTAAGAGCTACCCGGTTAATTATGCATGGCAGGAACTATACTTGTTCCATTTCTTTTTTCTGTTTATTTCACAAAGTTTAAAAAACATTTTTTGTCAGCGAAACATTTTCTGTTGCAAAAGGGGCTTCTATTTTCTGAATAGAGGGGAACATAAAAATCCCTCAATAAGAATTTATTGGCCTTGAAAAGAAGTTTAAATGGGCAAAGTGGGTCTGCAATCAGCTCCTAAACAAAGAACAAGCAGATTCTTATTGTTGCTGCAGTCATTTAATATTTCTTGTGAATCATCAGTGCAAAGAGCCCTATTTCGGACTCACCACATAATTATTTCTTAGTTTTGTTGCTAATAGATAAGTATGTTTGAAGTCTTTTCCATCAGAATGTTCTTCATTGAGTCCAGGCATGGTGGCTCGTGCCTGTATTACCAGCACTTGGGGAGGCTGAGGCAGGAGGATCACTTAAGGCCAGGAGTTCAAGAGCAGCCCAACATAGAAAGACCCTATTTCTTAAAAAATTTTAGTTGGGCATGGTGGTGCACACCTGTAGTCTCAGCTACTTGGGAGGCTGAAGAGGGAGGACAGCTTGAGCCCAGGAGTTTGAGGTTATAATGAATTATGACTGCACCACTGCACTTCAGCCTGGCAACAGAGCAAGACCCTGTCTCAAAGAAAAATGATCTTCATTGAATTTACTTGCATGCTTGTTTGCTAAATCAGCCTGCTGGCTGGGAGCCAGGGGAGGCTCTAAGTTGTTCTATGACTCTATGCTTCCATTTCTTTCTTATTGCTAAAATGAAGATAATATCTGCCGCAGACATGTATCATAGAGATGCTATGGTAATTTGTGAGTTATTACCTGAAAAGCACTTTAAGTAACTTAGGAGAAAAGAATCATAAAGTATAAACCAGCATTACTTTCATATTGCCAAGGACAGATCTCACCCAATAACAGGTTGCCCCAAGAACATCCACTTAGGGCAGAAAGTAGTGATTCAGAAGTCTCTAAATGCACCTCACATTTTTCAGCATCTCCTCATCCCAACACATGGAGCTGCAGGACCTAAGAGGCACAGGCCCTCAGCCTGTGCCACAGTCTCAGCATTTTAATTCTCTTGTCTATCAACTCTGAAAATGCCATTCGCAGGATTGCCTTAGAGAGTAAGTCACCAGAGTAATTAGAAAGTGCTTTACAAATAAAAAGTGCTATATATAATGAAGAATAATATTCAAGCACATGCATTTTGAGTGCAGAGATATGGGTATTTGTCTGTTCAACTTTTTATTTGCAGGAAATGAGTATGTTGGCTGAACTAAAGCTGTCTACAGCTTTTAAGACGACAGCTGTGAGATACTTAAAAACATATGCTGCTCCATATTTTGTCTGCTTGACATTGCCAGATTGAAGATTTAAAATGAGTTTCAAAGAATTTCCATTGTATTGCATATTTTGAAAGCTTTTTCATAAAGAACTCAATTAATAACAGTCTTCCATACTAAGCCACCTCTCTGATGGGCCTGCTGTGGTAAATCCCACCAAGAGAATGGTGTGTCCAGTGGGTGACCAGAGTTTTCTTGGACATTTAAGAACTCTTTCAGCGTACAGCAGGGTCCACTGGAGTCCAAGATCGGCAACAGGCCCCGAACAGTAGCACAAATCTGAACATTGTTAGTTTGGCGGACCATGGCTCATTTTCAATCCCTTTATTGTGTTATAAACACAATAATATTTTCTCCTTTATGCTTCTTTTGAATTGGGGACACACATTGTCTGCATTCTGGATAGCTAGTCAATGCTCGAACATTATGGTTGCCTAGTAAATCCTGAATAGCAGGCCACCACTGATGAAGAGCAGACACAAACAAGTATTTTGTCTCTTTCATATTTTCCAAATTCCCCTGAAGTAGAGTTCAATGCCATTATGAAGATACTTTTTGTTCTCCAATTCTGAATTATGAGTATGTATGACACATACTCCTTAGAGTTCCAAGAGAGTTATTTTTTTTTTTGGTTATGTATTAGATGGAGGTTCCCTGACAGCAGATTCTGGGAAGCCAAAGGCCTCCTGGAAGATCCAGGCTATTCCTGCAGATTGCCCTTGTTTGAGAACTGCAGCCCTGAGCCTAGCAGGGTGGTTACTGATTGGACAGTCATGGCAACATCAAGCCAGCAGGGAAGGAAATGGTGAGTGAGGAGGCAGAGGGACAGATAACCCAGGGTGCTAAAGCTGACATCAGGGCATGACCATAGATGGGGAGAAGACTCTGGAGAGTGGGTGCCAAGATTAGGGGGAGGCTTGAGTACAGAATAAGGGTGGTCTGATAAAAGAAAAATATATCAAACACATGAGAAATGAAGCCAGTTTGGGGAGGGGGAGATGGAAAAGGAATAGGCAGTAGTACAAAATTCGAAAGTAAAATAAAAGAGAGACTTTCCTAGGACCAAGTAAAGCAATGTGCCATGAGTTATGGAAGTCAATTAGCTCAATCCTCTGCTCCTGCTGCTCAGCGAAGGAGGACAAAAACAAAAGCTAGATTCCAGCTCCTGCATCCTTTGTCCATGTAGCAAGGAGTGTTCCCCTGAAATAGTGACTCTCCTTTGTTCCATTAAAGATTTTAAACTTGCTGGGTGCAGTAGCCCCAGTACTTTGGGAGGCTGAGGCGGGAGGATTGCTCGAGGCCAGGAGTTCAAGATCGGCCTGGGGAACATTGGAAGACCTCATCACTACTAAAAATAAAAATAAAAAATCAGCCAGGCATGCTGGCACATGCCAGCTACTCGGGAGGCTGAGGCTGGAGGATCACTTGAGCCTGGCAGATTGAGGCTGCAGTGAGCTATGAAGGAGCCACTGTACTCCAGCCAGAAGCAAATAGACCCAAGTAGGATTGAGACTAAATGACTATTTAGATTAACAGTTGTATTATTTTAAAATTTTAGGCAATATCCTTTTTGAAGATGCCTTAGATTTAGGAGTAGAAGTGTAAACATTAATTAAAGTAGATAAAACCAGATAGAGCAACTCTGTTAAACGGATTTCAAATGGCAAATGAAGACCCATTAAATTACATCTTATATTAATGTAACTCGTGAGCATAGAAATCATGCTTGTGTTGGAACAAAAATGTAAGATTTTATTCTGCGATTTCATTTGAAGTTCTGAATCCTTTTCCCTAATTTTTAGTGTCTCCCACTTTCTTGGAGGACAATTTTATTCATCCTCTACCTTCTTTTCCTTTTACCTCTTCCTATTATTCTCCCTAGAATGCTTTGGGTCATAGACAGAGGTGAATGGGACTAGGGGGAATCAGAGTAAGATAAGAATTTTTTTTTGGTGCCTAATTTGGCTTTTAAAAGTTCCTTTCCATTTCAAACATTTTTTTTTTTAAAGAAACAGTGAAATCTACCTAGGTAGTAAATGGACAATATTATCTTCTCTTATTCATGTGATAGTCTCTCCATTTTCAGGTTTTATTCCATCAAAAGTTGACATTTTAACATAAAGTGAAATTTCCTCCCACTCCCTGCCATACAACTGGGAAAAGGCACCCTTTTGCAAGTAGTGCAATATGCAAGATTTTGTGAAAGGAGATTGTATCTAATACAGCCACAAATTTTAGGTATGTATCCATGTCTTTCTAGATCTGTGAGCAGCTAAAAGTAGCAACATTTATGTTTGAAAATCATAAGAAATCAAAATTTAAACACAGAAACAGTGATTCATAACCATTTCAGTCCTGGGAAGACGGAAATAGTTGCTTCAAGCTTGAGAAGACCACCAGAGCAACTCATTAGGTTCAGTGTAAGCCTGTCTCAGTGCTGTCTTTCTTTTGACAAAGATTTAAGGCATGATATGCAGCAAGTTCAGACTACCTGTTACACAGCCCTCTTGGGTGCAAGAGTTGCATGGGATGAGTCAGTTTTTGTGCCTAATTGTTATCATCTTTGTCTCACTGATAGGTGTAAACTTTATTAACTTGTTCCATGTTCGAATTTTTGATAAAGAGTCAAAAACCTAGTTGAACTTTTATATGAGAAGGAGTTTTGTCGAGTCCACAAGTGGTTCTCCATTGGGAGCTGAAGGCTTCCCACTCCATCTACAGGGGAGCTTTGTGATGTGGGTCAGGACAGTAAGACACATGGATGGATTAGTGAGAGGAGTAACGCAGGGAATGTAACCAAGGTGTCCCAGGCCACATTTGTCATTAGGTAGTAAGCCATGATAGCATGAACCCCCACCTGTCTGACTCTGGTGGCCTCTCAAGGTCACTTGCACTATTTCCGGGTGTTGTTTTTAGGGTGCTTTATGCACATCTATGCACCAGGCTGGCAGCAGTGATTCGTGCACCCTTGATTCAGATTCTATTCTAACTCTGATGTGGGAATGTCACTTGCTGATTTCTCACTGCTGCCGCGCCCAGCACAAGAATTCCTGCAACAAGTCTGGGCTGATTCCACATTTCCAGTGCTTCCAGAGTTCAGGTGTTCCCGCCTTCTTTAAGGGGCTGGGAGAATGGCCCTGCTGCCCTGCCCTTTGTTCCCCCAGCCAAGGGGTGGCTCTGCTACTCTGGAGCTGCACTAAATCTCTCAAATGCTTCAGTTTCGGAGTGAGGGACAGAGATGGAGTAGTTACCTTACCCTTTGCCCCTTCCTCTACATTTGTCTTCTTAATCCTCCTCCCCTTTCATTACACCCACCCCAGTCTCTCCCAGGTAGAAGACATAATGCTATGCATATGCCTGTGAGTGCAGGGATGCAGGTACTGGGGTGGGGACACAGCTTAAGAGAAGGGGGAAGGAAGGTTTGGCTGTCCTCAGTATTTGAGGCTCCACTCAGCCAGGTGAAAATATTGTGAAAATTAATTGGCACATAGTTGGGTAGCTGGAGAGAGTTGTGGGATTCCATCATTGCCCTCTTTCTCTCTCTGCTTCTCTTTATTTTGTCTCTAGTGACCTCTGTGCCAAGATGGGCTTGCAAGGTCCCCTTGCATAGGGTTCCTTAAATTTCTGAAGTGGAGGGAAAAGTCTGGCTGGCAGATTGAGCCATCTCCTCACTGAACATGAGAAAAGAAGGTCTTTATCTCTTCTGCTCAAGCCCAGGCCTTGAGTGAGAGAAAGGGTGCCTTGCGGCCCTCACGCAGTTTAGGGCAGCCCCACAGGCAGCTGCAGGGACTTGGGTTTTTGAGAAAACAGAGTGGACATTTGCCTTGTGGGTCTCAGCAGCACCTAACCCAGAGGCTGGTGGCTGCAAAAGTGCTCAGGGCACCTTGATGAGCACTGGCAGGCATAAATAATATTTCAGAGAGTATGTTGAGACTACTTAAATAAATAAACAAACTTCTCCAGCATCTAAGCAATGCTCTTTTACAGAAAGTCAACAGGCTAATTATCCTTAGCTATTTATAGAAAGAAGTCTCCCAAGGACAGAGAGTGACTTGACAACATTTTGTTGCATTATTACATTTACTTAATAATAAAGAAAACAAAATTTCTTTTAAAAATACCTTAGAATTTTAATTGCTCTTCTCTCAATAGGAGAAAAACTGAATGGCTGGAATTAACAGCTCTATCTTACTTCTGTAGAAATATATGGTTGGCAAAGCACTTTCCAATACACAACCTTGTTTAATCTTTACAACTGTACTGTTTGATGATGAGGAACAGGGCCACTAAGGGCTTTGCCCAGGGTCATACGGCCAGCGGGGAGCAGAGCAGGATCATCAGCTTTCGAATCTTATTTCATGGTTCTTTAGTGCATCTTAAACTTAGAGTGAACTTGAACAAGGTGAATGTAAAGTCCTTAGCACTTCCAAGGCCATTTTAGCCCCTTCAAAAGTCTTTCCCTTTCTTTGGGAAACCCCTCAACTTTCTTTCTCTCTCTCTCTCTCTGTTTTTTCGGTGAAAATGTTTGAGAGATTTTTATGATTTTCCTTTTGAGTTCTTTGGCTATGAATACTCATTTTATTTAAAGGTTGGCTGAGACGTCTTTCTTAGCAAGCACAGTGAATACTCAGGAATTCTTGCAAGTGAGAAAAATCTATTCTACAAGTTGTTTTCAGATGTAATAAAGACTTTACATATATCACATTCAATAACTAATAGAACCTATATAATGTTATGTATGGTAGACATTTTATTAAGCATTTGTTTTAATTTTGCAGCTTGCTTTTCATATCTTTTTAGGGATTATATCTGTTCACAGGTCTTCAAAAAGCACATTTTCAGTTTTCCCATCTATAAATTGGATATAATAATAGCACCTACTTCATAAGGTTGTTATGAAGATTAAATCTCTTTCAGTTAATAAACTTAAATCTCTCAGAATAGCAGCTAGCACATGGCACTCAAAAATCATTAGCTATTATTATTCCTGTTAGACAAAAGAGCTTTTATTATGCACCTCGCCACAGAACAAATTTGTAGGAAGCCAGCAATTCAACCATTGAATCCCAGTACAATCCATCTATTTATGCTAAATATCCAAATAATTTTGGAATATAGCTCTTAGGAAATGATATGGTTTAAGAGAACAGACTATATGGTGTAATCATAGTCAACTATAGCAAAGACATTAATGAGAATATTTTAGTGAAAAGCAAAAATCAGTTCTTTCCAGTAGAGTAGAATAGAATAGAGTAGCATAGTATACAGTGGTTAAAAGCATTGATGTCCTGGCCAGGCCCGGTGGCTCACGCCTGTAATCCCAGCACGTTGGGAGGCTGAGGCGGGCAGATCACGAGGTCAGGAGATGGAGACCATCCTGGCTAACGTGGTGAAACCCCGTCTCTACTAAAAATACAAAAAAAAAAATTAGCCGGGCCTGGTGACGAGTGCCTGTAGTCCCAGCTACTCAGGAGGCTGAGGCAGGAGAATGGCGTGAACCCGGGAGGCGGAGCTTGCAGTGAGGCGAGATGGCGCCACTGCACTCCAGCCTGGGCTACAGAGCGAGAGACTCCATCTCAAAAAAAAAAAAAAAAGGAAAAAAAAAAGAAAAGAAAAGTAAAGCATTGATGTCCTGTTTCAAATCTTGACTTTGACTTTACTATTTGTGTGATCTTGGTAAGTTACTTGAGCTCTCCAGACATCTGTTTCTTCATCCATAAAACAGAGGTATTAACAGTGTGTATATGAAGGTCAGGGAAGGATAAAATGAGGTAGTGCTTAGTCCGGTGCCTGGCGCTCAGAGTGATGGCCAAAAAATGCTGGCTGTTAGAATCATGATTATGAACTTGGGGCCAGAGTCCAAACAGAGAATAGTTCTTTCTTTAGTCCAAGCAGTACTATAGTCGCTTACCCTCTTTCTATCTCCCACATACCCATGTTTTGTAACGCTTCAGATTCTTTGCTTATAGTGGAATAAAAAAATTTTGCATCTTTCCCTTTTTTTGAGATTTCAGTACCTCCCCAGATGTAAACCTCCATTTGAGAATCACTATACATTCTGTATATTTCTTCCAGCCAAGAAAATGTTGCCAAGTATTGATTTGCTTTCTGTAGTTTTTATTATGAAAAATGCACACACACATATTTATATTTTTGTATGTATACAGTTTCTGTATTTGAAAACATAATATTGAATAAATGTTTCTAAAAAAACTTCTACAGCTACATTTTCTCATTCTTCTGTTCAATTTGTCTGTCTGAAATATAGCCTATTAGTGGTAGAAGATAAAGTTCCAAGGATGCTATTCAGTTCAGTTGGCCACAGGTTGGAGAAGAACCCAAGCTTGCCAAAGAAATTTACTGTTGTCTGTGCATACACACACACACACACACACACACACACACACACACACACACGCATTTATATTTAAATGTATAACTAATATTGTCATGAGTCACTTGTTTGAACTCATCAAAAGTAATCTATTTTTCTTTCAAGAGAAATATTGATCATGAATTTCTATTAAGTATTTTTCTTTTTTCCTTGTGTAACAGCTTTTTATTTCAACCCCAACTTCTTTTATTTAAATGTGAAATTTGTAAGTCAAATGTGGCAAATGGTTTACAATGCGAAATTACCTTTAATTCATTCCTTTACAGTTTTATTCATTTCCATGATAGGCTTCATAGTGGGAAAGTATTGGCTTTTAAGCCAATTAATTTAGAAACGATTCCTATTTCTAAGACACAGCACTGGTCATAACCTATTCTATGGTTCATCACTTTTAGCTATGGGTGAGCCTCAAAGAGATTTTGTAAGAGCTGAAAATTTGAAAATGGGGGTAAAAAGAAGTAAGTAGATATTTGTGTTGGGCAGAAATTTGTACATTACCCCTGGGATGTAAGATAAGACAAGTAAAATAAAATGTTCTAGAAAGGAGGAAAGGCAGAAGTCATGGCTTCATGCAGTTGAGTGGGTAGAAAACAAAGGAATGTTAGCATTAGAGGCCCAAACAACATAACTAGACATGGATCACATAGGACATGGAGATTTTTAACCTATGTATGTAAGTCGTTCCAAAAAACTATTAAAGGATAAAAATGCGTAGTTAATTTGTTACCAGAATCCCTCTGTGTTTAAAAATCACATTCACACTAATGTTAAATATAAAAATACCACATATCCTATGTTGATAGGATATGTTCCTGAGCCTTCTCCTAATATATCCCATGCCATAGAAAGGTTATCTCCTCATGAACTTATCTGTAGATTTTACATTTTGTTTTATATAACACATAGTATTCTAAAAAATGAGTGGCTATATATATATATATATATATATATATTTTTTTTTTTTTTTTTTGAGACAGTCTTGCTCTTGTTGCCCAGGCTGGAGTGCAGTGGCACGATCTCAGCTCACCATAACCTCTGCCTCCCGGGTTCAAGCGAGTCTCCTGCTTCAGTCTCCCAAGTAGCTGGGATTACAGGCATGCACCACCACGCCCCACTAATTTTTATATTTTTAGTAGAGATGGGGTTTCACCATGTTGGCCAGGCTGGTCTCGAACTCCTGACCTCAAGTGTTCTGCTGGCCTTGGCCTCCCAAAGTGCTGGGATTACAGACGTGAGCCACCACGCCTGGCCCAAAATAAATTTTTATAAACAAGATGACTTTTAAACATTAGAGGAGCTCTCATTTTATTTTACTTATTTATTTTAAATTAAAACATTTATATATCTGGGGATATAAGTGCATTTTTGTTACATGAATATATTGTGCATGGGTGAAGTCTGGCCTTCTAGTGTACCCCTCATCCAAATAGTGAACATTGTACTCACTAGGAAAGTTTTCAGCCCCCATCTCTCCTATCCTCCCATGTTTTGGAGTCTCCAGTGTCCATTATTCCACCTGTATGTTCATGTGTACCCATTGTTTAGCTCCCATTTATAAGAGAGGACATGTGGTGTTTGACTTGAGGCCATTATTCTCAGTGAAATAGCTCTCATTTTAAAGAACTTGAATAATTATTATTTGATTTGGTAATTCTCTAAGCTCAACTATATTAGGTGTTCAAAACAGACAAAACACAAAGCAAAGACAGAAGAGTTCTGGGAAGAAATAGATAACAAAGATTGTTTATAATCGTTATAAATTGGGAGGGGAGGGCAGATTATACATACATATGTATAGCTGTATAGGTATGTCTATACACATACACACATAGTGGTTGACAAAAGGAAAATATCTATGGACACACAAAAAATTCACAACATCAGTTGTATCTAGGAGGAGAACAGGATGGATGAAGGACAGGAAAATAGATGACTTTTCACTGTACATTATTTTGTACTACTTGACTTTTGAACCATGTGTATATGTTAACTCTTCTATCCCCTCAAAAGAAAGTGACAAAGGCTGCCTTTTGACTTTGTAGCTTTTTGGCTAGATACTGTTTGACTTTGTGAAAACACAGATCATTCCTTCATATATCTATAACTATTTATTGAGTGTCTATCATGTGCCAGCTACTGTTCCAGCCCCTTGATTGATCACAGAAAACCTTTCTGAGGAAGTAACACATGGGCTGGACCAGAGCGTTCTGGGTGGAGGGAACAAACGCAGAACCTTCAGGAGGGAGATGGGTGGAAGGACAAGCCATTTTTGAGTGAATGATCACTGTGTGGGCCAGGGCCATGTTAGTGTGTGTGTGGGGGGGCATGTATAGGAAATAATGCACAACACTCTCTCTGGTTCACTTCGACACTGATCTGCATCCCTGAAGGATGGCAGCATCAGCATTTCACCAGAATGCCAGGGAGCGTGAATCCCTAAAACCATTTCTGGGTTATATTATTCATACTCTTAGGCCTTGCCACTCCGTATTGCCCCCATAAACACCAATAATCCTGGGAAGGAGCATATTAGGTCTTCCCTCACAGAGATAAGCTCAAGATATTCTTCCCCAATAATCAACGAGAACATTCGAAAAAGAAGAGAAGAAATGAGAATGGCAATTTGGCCTCATGTTTAGAATCACCTGTGTGAATACTATCTTTGCAAGGAGGAGAGAGCATGGGCCCCATATCTTTGAGGATTTAGAGATTTAATGGGACCAGCTGGTCTATAGCAAAATAATGCTAGAGGTAGAGGCAGTAATTTACATGTCCCCCACCTCACAAGTTTTTTTCTTTAGAGTAGGTCATAAATATTTTTCCATTTATCGATAGCAACTTATCACGTATCAAATACTGTTCTAAGTGCTTTCATATATGAATTCATTTTATCCTCTTGACATCCTTATTGCTATTTCCATTTCACTGATAATGAAATGGAATTCCAGAGAGGTTAGATAACTTGACCTTATTTACAAAGTTAGTGGGCTCAGGCCTGGGCTTCAAACCTAGGCAGGCTACTTCCAGGGTCCATGCTCTCCTTGACTGTATCAGCAAAAGAATACCTCTAAACTGCTATATTTTCCATCTCAGAAGATTACCATTCGGTTTGAATATTGATGTAAACACCCTTAGACAAATAATAATTTAACAAAACTACTGAGTGCCAGCATTTAGATTACATGACAGTTAGAAGGGAGACAGAGAAGAAAGTTTATTGGCTTGCATGTTCTATCAGAAGATTTGAATTGGTTTAATTCAATTTTCTAGATGAATTTTAAAAAAGAAATTAATACAGGGTAATATTGCACTCCTCTCTTATTAGATAAATATGTTAATAGAGTGCCTTTTGGATATGAAAGTTTAATAGTTAAAGGATCTGTTAAGCTTATCATAGAGGCACTTGGAACAGCAAACAAAGGGTGGTAAGCTGAAGGTCCCTATTCAATAGCCTCACGTTTATCTGTTCCATGGGACAAATTCTACCTTATTGCACCATTACATTTTATTCAGGCAATATTAGCAAGTACAACGACCTGTAAAGAAAAATTAACTTTCAATAAAGATATCAGGAATGAAGCAAAATATGAGAAGTTAATGCCCTTGCTGCTAGAAACCCTAAAATGTACCACCAAGTTCTAGCAGTAAAATTTCTTTGAAATACGTGGTGCCTGGTGACAGGGCTTTTGTGGAAAAATACAATGTGAAAGAATACTGTTTTGTCCTTGCTAGCTGTTTCCCAACCAACTGAAGATGATGTGGTTCCTTCTAAATGCCTGCACAAGAGCTAACATTGTATCTATCATCTCTCATTTAACTATGCAGCATGAAGAAAATGCATAATTTACAAAATCTTTCATGCAGATGTCAAGTTGCCCGAGCTGTGTGTATCTAGAGCTGAAGTTTCATTTATTGCAGAGGCATACTGGCCCATGACTACAGGCCTAGGGACATTACTTTTTCTCAGACTCTGCTCCACACCCAGAAACACAGGTTTGCACCTAAAATATCAGAGTGGGAAGGGACTTGGCATGAGTCCAGTAGGATGGCAGCAGCATTCAGGTATTAGCTTGGGAGCGTGTGAGTGTGTGCCTGCACATACATGTACACACCAAGCCCTCCACATACATGTATGCACACCCTCACCACCACACCCATGCATTCACACACATACACACTTAGACACATTCACACAAACACACGCACACACTCCTCTCCAGAGATGTCATATTTAAAGGTGGTTTTGTGAACATGGAAGAGGCCCTTGGCAAATTTAGTCCTATTTTAAAGTCCTGTTGTAAAAAATAATCCCTGTAAACCCGAGCAGAATATTTGAAAAAGGACTACTCTACTAAAAAGTTTTTCGGACTTAAGGTAAGATCCCAGAATGTATAATTGAAGCACATCATCTCTAATGATAAGTAATTAGTCATAATGCTCATGTCATGCCTCTGTTCAAAATCCTGCATTGTGTCCCTAATCCTCATCACTGCTCAAGGGTCAAAACCAAAGTTGACCCTTGAACGATGGGAGGATTAAGGGCATGGATGCACCAGGCAGTGAAAAATTCATGTATAACCTTTGACTTCCCCCAAACCTAACTGCTAATAGCCTACTGTTGGGTGGAAGCTTCATTGACAGCATAAGCAATTAATGCATATTTTGTAGGCTACATGTATTATATACTATATTCCTATAATAAAGTAAGCTAGATGAAAGAAAATATTATTAAAAAATCCTAAGGAAGAGAACATGTATTTACTATTCAGTAAGTAGAAGTGAATCATCATAAAGACTTTTATCTTTCTTGTCTTCATATTGAGCAGACTGAGGAGGAGGAGGAAGACGGGGGTTGGTCTTGCTATCTGAGGGATGGCAGAGGTGGAAGTGAAGGAGGTGGAAGAGGGGTCAGCAGAGGCAGGCACAGTTGGTGTAACTTTAGGAAAATATGTGGTAATTTATCTGACTTTTTTGCTTTTTCATGTCTCTCAAAATGTTTCTATTTAGTACCAATTCTTCCACCATTTGCTTTAGTTTCAGTGCCCATATACAGAAAGCCCATGTCATAAAAGAAATAAAAAGCAATCTTGGATAATCTGAGCCCTTCTCCCAGATTGTCTAATGTCAATTTGTTTTCTGGCACTGCTTCTTCCACATCTTCTTCCTCATTGTCTAGCACTGGTTCAGAAGAACTCACCTCCATGAAGTCATCTTCTGTTAATTCCTCTGGCATGGTATCTATTAGCGCTTGAATATTTCCAAGATTCGTATCTTGAAACCCTTCACTCCCCAACTTTTTTGCCATATCCCCAATCTCTTTCATAATTTCCTTGATTGGCTCTTTTGTAAATTCTGGGAAGTTATGAACAACGTCTGGATACAGTTTTCTCTAGCAGGAATTTATTGTTTCAGGCTTGATGGCTTGCATGAGCTTTTCTGTAAAAACAGCAGCATCTTCAATGGTGTAAACCTTCCAGACTTTCATGATGTTCTCCCTACCGGGTTCTCTTCCATAGCATTGACACTCCTTTCCATAGAGTACCATGTGTAATGAGCCTTAAAGGTCCTTATGATCCCTTGATTTAGAAGTTGAATTAGAGACATTGTGTTTGGGGAGAAGTAGACCACTTTGACGTTTTTGGCGTTGACCTCATGGGGTTCTGGGTGGCCAGGGACATTGTCCAATATCAAAAGAAGCTTAAAAGGCATTTCTTATTTATTTATTTATTATTTATTTTTATTATACTTTAAGTTTTAGGGTACATGTGCACAACGTGCAGGTTACTTACATATGTATACATGTGCCATGTTGGTGTGCTGCACCCATTAACTCATCATTTAACATCAAGTATATCTCATAATGCTATCCCTCTCCCCTCCCCCCACCCCACAACAGGCCCCAGTGTGTGATGTTCCCCTTCCTGTGTCCATGTGTTCTCATTGTTCAATTCCCACCTATGAGTGAGAACATGCGGTGTTTGGTTTTTTGTCCTTGCGATAGTTTGCTGAGAATGATGGTTTCCAGCTTCATCCATGTCCCTACAAAGGACATGAATTCATCCTTGTTTATGGCTGCATAGTATTCCATGGTGTATATGTGCCACATTTTCTTAATCCAGTCTATCATTGTTGGACATTTGGGTTGGTTCCAAGTCTTTGCTATTGTGAATAGTGCTGCAGTAAACATACGTGTGCATGTGTCTTTATAGCAGCATGATTTCTAATCCTTTGGGTATATACCCAGTAATGGGATTGCTGGGTCAAATGGTATTTCTAGTTCTAGATCCCTGAGGAATCACCACACTGACTTCCACAATGGTTGAACTAGTTTACAGTTCCACCAACAGTGTAAAAGTGTTCCTATTTCTCCACATCCTCTCCAGCACCTGTTGTTTCCTGATTTTTTAATGATCGCCATTCTAACTGGTGTGAGATGGTATCTCATTGTGGTTTTGATTTGCATTTCTCTGATGGCCAGTGATGATGAGCATTTTTTCATGTGTTTTTTGGCTGCATAAATGTCTTCTTTTGAGAAGTGTCTGTTCATATCCTTCATCCACTTTTTGATGGGGTGGTTTGTTTTTTTCTTGTAAATTTGTTGGAGTTCATTGTAGATTCTGGATATTAGCCCTTTGTCAGATGAATAGATTGCAAAAATTTTCTCCCATTTTGTAGGTTGCCTGTTCACTCTGATGGTAGTTTCTTTTGCTGTGCAGAAGCTCTTTAGTTTAATTAGATCCCATTTGTCAATTTTGGCTTTTGTTGCCATTGCTTTTGGTGTTTTAGACATGAAGTCCTTGCCCATGCCTATGTCCTGAATGGTATTGTAAAGGGCATTTCTTCATTAGTAAGGTACTTCCTGATTTCAGGGACAAAGCATTGATGGAATCAATTCAGAAAAAAGGGGTTCTCCCTGTCCAGGCTTACTTGTACAACCAAAAGACTGGCTGTCGGTGTTTATCTTTTTCCTTCAAGGCTCAGGGGTTAGCAGCTTTATAGATATGGGCAGTCCTGAGCATAAACCCAAATGCATTTGCATAGTACAGTAGAATTAGACTATCCCTTTCTGTCTTAAATCCTGGTGCTTACATCTCTTCCTTACTAATAAATGTCTTTTGTGGCATTTCTCCTCACCAGAACATGGCACTTTCATCTGCATGAAAAACCTGTTCAGGCAGATATCCTTTCTCATCATGATTTTCTTAATGATATCTGTTACCTCTTGGTTGGCAGAAGCTGCTTCTCCTGTTATCTTGACATTTTTAAAGCCAAAAATCTCTTTCTAAAATTATCAAGTCATCTTTTGCTGGCATTAAATTCTCTAGCTTTGGATTCTTCACTTTCCTTTAGCTTTAAGTTCTCATATAATGACTTTGCTTTTTCTTGAATCATACTGGAGTCTATAGGTATGCCTTTATTATAGAAATCCTGCACCCACATAAAAGCTGCATTTTCAATATGAGATAAAAAGGTATTTTGCAAAATGTGCAAAGTTTCCGTGCGTGCTTGCATAGCTGCAGCAATGTGTTCACAGATTTTCTTTCTTTTTTCTTTTTTTTTTTTTTACCATGGTACTTATGCTGGATCATTTATCTTGAAATGTTGGGCACCTGCAGCTGCAGAACTCAGTGTAGGGTACATATCAAGCAGATGTAATGGCATGGCTTTTCTCTCATGGCTTTTCTTGGGAGCACTTCCAGCATCACTAGTGGCACTTTGTATGGGTCTCATGATGTTATTCAAGGTTTATGGTATTGCACTAAACACAATAAAAAATATACAAGAACTGCATGAGATAACTTTTTACTGAAATATGCAATTTTCTAGAGATATGAACTGCTTATGTGGAGATGATTAGTGTCACATTTTAAGCACGTACTTGAGCTCACCAATAGCAATAGAAGGTGGCTATGAAATTATTACAGTCTATACTACAGTTAATTTCATGCAGTTATGATTTAATACTGCATTTTTATGTTGGCTTACATTGATCTCAACTGTGAATGGTACCACATAGGGTCTTTGTGTTGTGTGCATACATTCTGATAAATTTTAACTTCCTATAATAAATTTGTGTAAATTTTATGATAGTAAATGATAACATAAGCTAGTATCTACGTATATTTTACACATTAATGACATATCTAACATTTTGTTAACTTTTTGTTTTTTTTGACAGCATCTCACTCTGTCACCTAAGCTGGAGTGTAGTGGTGTGATCATGGCTCACTGCAGCCTTGACCTCCCGGGCTCAAGTGATCCTCCTGCCTCAGCCTCCCAAGCAGCTGGGACTACAGGGGTGCACCACCACACCTGGCTAATTTTTACATTTTTTGTAGGGACAGAGTCTCACTATATGGTCCAGGCTGATTTTCAATTTTGTTTTTTGATATTTCTAGGCAGTGTGGTTTGTCTGCAAGTTTTTTCAATTTGTCTCAAATCTCCAAAATTTGTTTCAATGTTTATTGAAAAAATCCCACGTATAATTGGATCTGCACAGTTCAGACACATTTGTTCAAGGGTCAACTCTACTTCCCATTTCACCCAATGTAGAAGCTGAAGTCCTCACAGTGCCTTTCAAGGCTTCCTCTTCCCTCCCTCCACCTTGAGGCCTTCACTTCAGCTCTTCCCTTGCCTGGAACGCTTGTCCTCTGGCTCATTCTCTCCCCACTCAAGTTAACTTCAATCTCACTGTCTCAAAGAGGCCCACTTTGTTCTGCCTTCCCACCCTGCTATCCTGATCTCATTTACCCGGTTCCCCCCATTTTTCATTGTATTTAACACTTCTAACCTATGGTATAATTTACTTATTGATCTTATTTATTGTTTACCATTTAGCTCCTCTTTCTAAAATTTTAAGCTCCATGGGGACAGGAATCTTTGTTTCACTCTCTTATGGGTCCCAAGGGACCAGAAAAAAGTCCTAAGTGAACAGTGGCATTCAGTAAGTATTTGCTGAATGCATGATTGAATTAATTGAACAACCACATTACAGATATTATCTTTAACAATCCTGAGCACTATGATTCCCATTTACTAGGTGAGAAAACTGGAGCTCAGCTAGATTATCTTGTCCAAAGTGAAAGGGATTACCAAGAGCTAATGACAGGATTTATACCCAGGTCTGCCTTTCACCAAAGCCAGTGTGCTTTCTTCAGTGCTGGTCTCACATCCTCTCAAGTAGGATTATCATAGATAAAAACAGACTGAGTTATGTTTTGTCATAACATGACAGAGGCGACCCCATGCAAACCAAGGGAAGCCTGTGTTTTTTGTGATTCTGGGCTTGAACATGACCCTTCCTGTAGTTTTGAGGTTTTAGGGTAGGGGATTGAGGAGCAGAGAGAGGGTGCTATGGTCTGAAGGCTTACATCTCCTCGAAAATTCATTTGTTGAAATTCTAACATCCAAAGTATTAAAAGGTGGGTCTTTGGGAGATGATTAGATCATGAGGGTGCAGCCCTAAGGGATGGGATTGGTGTTCTTCCCTTAAAAGAGACCCATGGATGTGGTGGTTCACACCTGCACTCCCAGCACTTTGGGAGGCCAAGGCAGGTGGATCACTTGAGGTCAGGAGTTCAAGACCAGCCTGACCGACATGGTGAAACCTTGTCTCTACTAAAAATACAAAAATTAGCCAGGCTTGTTGGTGGGTGCCTGTAATGCCAGCTACCCGGGAGGCTGAGGCAGAGGGAATCACTTGGGCCCAGAAGGCAGAGGTTGCAGTGAGCCAAGATTGCACCACTGCACTCCAGCCTGGGCAACACAGTAAGACTCTTGTCTAAAAAAAAAAAAAAAAAAAATTACGGAATTTGTTCACTCTTTCACCACATGAAGACACAGCTAGAAGGAGCCATCCATGAACCAGAAAGCCCTCACTGGATACTGTAATGAATCTTCCAGCACCTTGATCTTGAACTTCCCAGCCTCCAGAACTGTGAGAAATAAATTTCTATTGTTTAGAAGCCACTCGGTTTAGGATATTTTGTTATAGCAACCTGAAGGGACTAAGAAGAAGGAGATGACTCCAGAAGGCTGAATTACACATTCTTGAATTTGCACGTAAAATACACTAATCTAGAGAAAAAGGGAGAGAGTAGACCTGGGTCCAAAAGGATCTGCAGTAAGCAATATCACACTCTCTTTGGTTTTGATTTTTAGGTCCCTATTCAGTAAACATCTCTTAAGATAGTGTCTCTCAAACTGGACTGTGTTTAGAAATTTCCTGGGCATAGCCAAGTACAGTGGCTCACGCCTGTAATCCCAGCACATTGGGAGGCCAAGGCGGGTGGATCATTTGAGGTCAGGAGTTTGAGACCAGCCTGGCAAACATAGTGAAACCGTGTCTGTACTAAAAATACAAAAATTAGCCGGGCATGGTTGCTTGCACCTGTAGTCCCAGCTACTGGGGATGCTGAGGCAGAAGAATTGCTTGAACCTGGGAGACAGAGGTTGTAGTGAGCCAAAATTGTGCCACTGCACTCCAGACTGGGCAACAGAGTAAGACTCTGTCTCAAAAAAAAAAAAAAAAAGAAAAGAAATTTCCTGGGTAGGATATTAAAAATATAGATTCCTAGGCTCCACTCCAGAAGTGCTGGTTTAGTACGCCTGTGGAGCAGAAGTCTGCATTCTCAAGAAGATCTTCAGCAGTTTCAAAGCAGGTGGCCCAGAGATCACACCAGAAATCTGGCCCTAAGATTCATAAGTGAAAACAAAGTAAGTGACTTGAGGGACTTGTCAAGTCCTTAAGATGTTCAATATTTCAGTTTTTATCTTTTTCCTTAATAATGGAGGATTGTGTCATATTAAGACATTGAAATTGGCTTAACTGCTCCCTCTAAGGAACCTTTGCCATTTGGCTGGTTAGTGATTGGAACCTACTGAAGGGGTGGCCATTGGAATGCACAGTCCCTGTGTGCAACATGTTTTCTGGAAATATTTGTTGACTTAAAATCCAAGTGGTTTGCAACTTCTCCTGAAGAGCTCAATAAATGGAATACAGCAATTATTCTCATGACTATAGTTAAGTTTAGTTGTTAACATCCTAAGTACTTATGTCCCTAAGCTGCTCTCCCAAGTTCCACAATTTATGAGGTAGCTGGAGAAGTGGAAGTATTGAATCAATGCCTTTCGTGGTATAGAAAATTCTTCCTTTTTCTTGACATCTCTTTGTTGTCACCATGTAGTTGGGAGAAGTGCCTCCACAAAGACATGTTTAAAGGGAAGCCTACACAATGAGTTTGCTAATAGCATTTTCCCTGTTTACAACTAACTTCTGATTAAAGCCCTACACATGTACTCTCATTGGAGGTAAGGGTATAGCTGGCTGCTTGTTTCAAGTAGAACCTTAGTGGTTACAGTTTTGGAAAGATATCTATCTCAAGGTTAGAGCTTCATTTTTTAAAGTCATGAAATTAAATTTGTCACTTCGTGAAGCTTAACTTTTCTTAGGGTTAATTAAATCAACACTCATTCATAGAATGCTTTCTTAAACAGGAATCCCAGTGTACCCAATTGCAATGGAAAGACCACCTCCCCCAGCTGGTTGAATAAGCAGTCCATTCTTGGATGGTTTGGCAGCTGTTGCTGAGAATGCTGCCTGGGGACCACCGAGTAAGAGTGAGGAAATACAGTGTTGCTAAAATAATATTTGGTTTAGCCTTATATATTGCCATGTTAGCTTTCTACAGCTTAGGACTATTTTTGTCTAAATAAGTTCTGGTTAACTATATTTAGGGCCCTCTTTTCTTTCTTCTGAACTGAAGTTACATGTATAGTCAGGAGCTGCCCAACATTTTGGTCAACAACAGACGACATAAGTGGTCCCGTAAGATTGTAATGGAGCTGCAAATTTCCTATTGCTTAGGAATGTTCTATACAGTGAAAGGCTTAGTGACACTATGGCTCAGTAACATCTTAATTTCATAGTGCAATGTATTACTCACCTGTTTGTGGTGATGCTGGTGTAAACAAGCCTACTGTGTTGACAGTTATATAAAAGTATGGCACATACAATTATGTATAGTATATAATATTAATACATTTATTATTATTATAGTAAATGACTGTGTTACTGGTTTATGTATTTACTATATTTTTAAGTGTTATCTTACAGGGTACTCCTTTTGCCCTTTTAAAAAAAGTGAACTGTAAAGCAGCCTCAGGCAGGTCTTCAGGAGGGATTCGAGAAGGCATTGTTATCCTAGGAGATGGCAGCAGCTCCATGGGTGTTATGGCCCCTGAATACCTTCCGGTGATGTTGATGATGCTGACCCTGTGTAGGCTTAGGCTACTGTCTGTGTTTTTGTGTTAGTTTAAAATGAAAAGTTTAAAAAATAGAAAACAATTAAAAACAGAAAAAATACAATAAAGATTAAAGAAAGAAAATTTTTGTATAGCTATATAATGTGTTTCAAGAAATGTATTATTACAAAGGAGTAAAAAAGTTTTTTTTTAAATTAAAAAGTTTATAAAATAAAAATGTTATGGTTGGAGAAAGAAAAAATTTAAAATAAATTTAGCGTAGCCTGAGTGTAGAGTGTTTATAAAGTCTACAGCTGCATAATGTCCTAGGCCTTCACATTTACGCACCACTTACTCAGTGATTCACCCAAAGTAACTTTTCTTGTTGCTCCATTCATGTAACCAGCTCTATTCATGGTAAGTGACCTAGACAGGTGTAGCAGTTTTAAATTTTTTATACTGTTTTTACTGTACCTTTTCTATGTTTAGATAAATAAATACTTAACATTGTGGTACAATTGACTACAATATTCAGTACAGTAACATTCGGTACAGGTTTGTAGCTTAGAAGCAATAGGCTATACCATATAGTCTAGGTGTGCAGTGGACTATACCCTCTAGGTTTGTGTAAGTACACACTTTGATGTTAACACAACAATGAAATCACCTAATGACACATTTCTCAGAATGTATCCCTATCATTAGGTGGCGTGTGACTGTATTTATTTTGGTAATCCTGTTACTTTTGACCCCTTTATCAATTACCTCAAAGTTTTATTATAACATTACTTAAACAACATTTAATAATTCATCTTATTGCTACATTTTATCAAGTTACTTTCCGATTCCTAATTTTATCTTCAAACTGCCTAAATTAAATATAGTAATAATGACAACATGTGCTCCATTAGGGACTTCATCTTGAGGATGATCCTGAGGATCAGAGTGACTTACCTAAGGTCATCTAGCCCACGAGTGGTAAAATCTTGACTAAAAATCCCAGTTCTTTGGCCTTCTAGCTATGGACACGGCCTCACATTCCTATGGCTAACAGGAGATATGGGAACTGTAGAATTGACAACTAACTAGCTTACCCGGGAGGACAATCTATTATCCTGGTCTCTTTAACACAGCATTCTAACCAAGAGAACCAGTCTGTGGGGGTTATCCCAGATGATCGGTCCCATTCATCATCATTACTAGAGGGATAATGAAGCAATGCTTGCTTTGTGTAGATCTCAATCTAATTACTCCAGCTAGTGAAATTTGTCTAAGAATTACCAAAAGTTTTCATTACCTCTATTTTATTGAAATGTTCAAATATTGGTGACAGGGTTTTGAAATCATTTCCTCTTTTAGAAAAGCATTAGCCCCTCTGAAGCCATACTTTTACTGTAGGTATGAAATTTCACAGTTTAAACAGAATATACATCCTTCTCATTGTTACATGGCACATACTCCAAAACTGACTACATAATCGGATAAAACAATACTCAGCAAATTCAAAGAACTGAAATCATATCAACCACACTCTTGGACCACAGCACAATACAAATAGAAATCAATACTAAGAAAATCACTCAAAACTGTATAATTACATTGAAATTAAACAACCTGCACCTGAATGACTTTTGGGTAAACAATGATATTAAGGCAGAAATCAGGAAATTATTTGAAGCTAATGAGAACAAAGATACAACACACCAGAATCTCTGGGATACGGCTAAGACAGTGTTAGGAAGGAAGTTTATAGCACTAAACGCCCACATTGAAAAGTGAGAAATATCACAAATTAACAACCTAACACCACAACTAAAAGAACTAGAGAAGCAAGAGCAAACCAACTCCAAAGCTAGCAGAAGACAAGAAATAAAATCAGAGCTGAACTGAAGAAAATTGAGACATGAAAATCCATACAAAAGAACATGAGTCCGGAATTTGGTTCTTTGAAAAAATTAATAAGATACCCCCCTAGCTAGATTAATAAAGAAAAAAGAGAGAGAACCAAATACACACAGTTAGAAATGACAAAGGGGATGTTACCACTGATAACACAGAGATTTTTTTAAAAAACAAATCGGAGACTACTATAAACACCTCTATGCACACAAATTAGAAACTCTAGAAGAAATGAGTGAATTCCTGGACACATATAACCTCCCAAAATTGAACCAGAAAGAAACTGAATCCTTGAATAGAGCAATAATGAGTTTCAAAATTGAATTAGTAATCAAAAGCATACAAACCACAAAAAGAAAAAAAAGCCTAGGACCAGATGGATTCACAGCCAAATTCTACCAGGATATATAAAGAAGAATTGGTACCATTCCTATTGAAACTATTCCAAAAATTTGAGGAGGAGGGACTCCTTCCTAATTCTATGAGGCTGCATCATCCTAATACCAAAACCTGGCAGAGACACAACTGAAAAATAAAACTTCAGGCCAATATCCTTGATGAACATAGATGGAAGAATCCTCAATAAAATACTAGCAAATTGAGTCCAGCAGCACGGAAAAAAGCTAATTCACCATAATCAAGTAGACTTTATTGCTGGGATGCAAGGTTGGTTCAACATAAGCAAATCGATAAATGCGATTCATCACAGAAACAGAACTAAAAACAAAAACCACATGATTATTTCAATAGATGCAGAAAAGGCTTTCAATGTAGTTCAGCATCACTTCATGTTAAGAAACCCTCAATAAACTAGATATTGAAGGAACATACCTCAAAATGATAAGAGCCATCTATGACAAACCCACAGCCAACATCAGAATCAATAGGTAAAAGCTGGAAGCTTTCTCTTTGAAAACCAGCACAAGACAAGGTTGCTGTCTCTCATCTCCGATTCAACATAGCATTGGAAGTTCTGGCCAGAGCAATCGGGCAACAGAAATAAATAAAAGGCATCCAAATATGAAGAGAGGAAGTCAAGCTATCACTGTTTGCAGTTGACATGATTCTATAACTAGAAAACCCTATAGACTTGGCCCAAAAGTTTCTTCAGCTGATAAACAACTTCAGCAAACTTTTAGGATGTAAAATAAACAATCAAAAATCACGAGGATTCCTATACGGCAACAACAAACAGGCTAAGAGTTAAATAAGGAATGCAATCCCATTCACAATGACAACAAAAAGAGTAAAATACCTAGGAATACAGCTAACTAGGGAGTAAAAGATCTCTACAACAGGAATTACAAAACACTCCTCAAAGAAATCAGAGATGACACAAACAGAAAATCATTCCAACTCATGGATAGAAATAATCAATATTAAAATGGCCATAGTGTCCTAAGCAATTTACAGGTTCAATGCTATTTCTATCAAACTACCAATGACATTCTTCATAGAAGTAGAAAAAAACTATTTTAAAATTCCTGTGGAACTGAAAAAAGCGTTTGGAAAGCCAAGGCAATCCTAAGCAAAAAGAACAAAGCTGGAGGCATCATATTAGCCAACTTTAAACTATACTACGGGGTTACCATAGCCAAAAAAGTATGATACTGCCACAAAAACAGACACATAGACCAATGGAACAGAATAGAGAGTCCAGAAGTAAGGCCACACACCTACAATGATTTGACCTTCAACAAAGCTGACAAAAACAAGCAATAGAGAAAGGACTCCCTAGTTCCAAGGTAACTGGATAGCCATCTGCAGAAGACTGAAACTGGACTGCTACCTCATACCACATATAAAAATCTACTCAAGATGGATTAAAGACTTTTAAATGTACAACCAAAATCTATACAAACTCTGGAAAAAAACCTGAGAAATATCATTCTGGATATAGGACTTGGCCAAGATTTCAGGATGAAGATGCCAAAAGCAACTGCAACAAAAATAAAAATTGACATATGGGATCTAATTCAACTAAAGAATTTCTGCCCAGCAAAAGAAACTATCAACAGATAGACAACCTACAGAATGGGAGAAGATATTTACAAACTATGCATCTGACAAAGGTCTAGTATCTAAAATCTTTAAGGAACTTAAGCAAGTTTACATGCAAACAAACAACCCCTTTAAAAAATGGGCAAAGGACATGAACAGACACTTCTCAAAAGAAGACATACATGCATCCAACAAATCTGTGAAAAAAATGCTCAACACCACTAATCACTACAGAAATGCAAATCAAAACCACAATGAAATACCATCTCATACCAGTCAGAATGACTATTATTAAAAGTAAAAAAATAACACATGCTGGCGAGGTTGCAGAGAAAAGAGAATACTTATACATTGCTGGTGGGAGCGTAAATTAGTTCAACCATTGCGAAAAGCAGTGTGGCTATTCCTCAAAGAACTTAAAGTAGAATCACCATTTGACCCAGCAATCCCATTACTAGGTATATACCCAAAGGAATCTAAATCATTCTACCATAAAGACACATGCATGTGTATGTTCATTGCAGCACTATTCACAATAGCAAGACATGAAATCTACCTAAATGCCCATCAACAGTAGACTGAACAAAGAAAATGTATATATATATATGAATATGTCATGGCGTGTGTGTATATATATATGTCATGGAATACTTTGTAGCCATAAAAAGAACAAATCAAATTCTTTGCAGCAAAATGGATAGAATTAGAGGCCATTATCCTAAGCAAACTAACACAGGAAGAGAAAACCAAATACCACATGTTCTCTCTGATATGTGGGAAGTAAATAGCGAAAACATATGGATACTAGGAGGGAAACAACAGACACTGGGCCTAGTTGGGGGTTGAGAATGGAGGAGGAAGAGGATCAGAAAAAATACCTATTTGGTACTATGCTTATTACCTGGGTGATGAAATTATCTGTACACCGAACCCCCATGACACAGTTTACCTATGTAGCAAATGTGAATATGTACCCTGAACCTAAAATAAAAGTTAAAAGAATAAATAAAAATTTTTCAAACTTTAGTTACTTTCAAACAGAAAGGAAATCACTATTTATTCTTTTCATTTGGTGAAAAACTGCAATGGCTTTTCATGTCCCAATTTTATCCAAAAGTACATTGAATTTTTCAAAAAGTACATTTTCCCCATATTTCCTAGTACAGAAATGTGTAATATGGGTACTGAATACATATTGTGAAAAGGATGCACAACTATTTGCTTTAGTCATCAAGACTTTCACAGAGAGAAGCCAAACTGCAAGGGACTAGCCAAATGTCTTCGTGTGTTTTGGGGTCAGAGAACCAGGTAGAACCGCAGTTGAAAGTTCTATTTGCTAAATAACCTAATGTTTCTCTAAGGATGTGTTGTGAAGACCCTTGATACATTTTGCAAAGAGAAAATCATGACTCTCATGCAAATATAGAATGAGCAATTGTCAAAGATTTTATTCAACTCACTAATTAATGAGGAAACTTGAAAGACATTTAAAAATGGTTCCAAGAGCATTTTGAGTTGCTAGGAATTTATAGGCAATGCTAAAATAAGATGGAGGGATTAGATACAAAAGTGGTTAATATTCAATAGAACCATAAACCATAACTTCTCTGGTTATCCATTGTAGCAAGCAAAAATCTACAGGTTAACCACTGTCTCTGCAGAGTTGTAAACTGGCCTTGGCAATAAAATGCCAACCAAGCTCAGCACTTGACTGAAAAGGTTCCCAGTAATCCCCTTTTGCCTATTTCCAAGTTTCAGATAATTTTCTGACACCGTGGTGTGCTAAAGTTTTCTTATCATCATGAATCTCTTACTTCCAGGTCTACTTCTTGCACTGATCCCTTTCTTCATCCTTTTATTACCTTTTTCTGTCTTTAATATGTATTTTCCCTTCTAGTTGAAACTACACGTAATTTTTGTCTTGGGTGAAAGTGAATTGTGGCATTTAATCTGTGACTTCCCTTTCAGTCAACTAATACTCTCCTCTTTTGTTTCATCCATCCGTCTGTCCTTCCATCATCCATCCATGCATCCATCTTTCCATCCATTCATTTTTCCATCAATTTTTATTCATTTGTTTTCACATTTATTCATCAAGTATCTACTGAACCCTGACTACAGGTAAAGCATGTGTTAGGTGGTGTGGAAAATAAATTCTTAACACATCATATTCATACCTTCTCTGAATTGAAGTTTATAAACTAGTTGGTATGAAAAACCATCCATGAAAATTATGAGTTTTTTTTTCACCAAGACTAAAATAATAAAATTTATCATTGTCACAATCCAATAGTTTTTTTGAATAACTACCTGGTCAACCAAGATTGGCCCTATCCAAAGTGAATTAGTATTAATAGAGTTATCCCTCCAAAAAGCAGAGTTTGATTGGGAAATTTTTAATTTTGCCCACAGAACCATATGCCAATTCAACAAAAATTGAGAGTCTGTTTTGCCCTGGGAACTGGATGGGCACTGTGAATACAACCTCACAGAACTTTGCTAAAAGGCAAGATCTTCCCTGGGAGATGTTATCTTTCTACAGTGCTGGTAGTCACTTAAATATTAATGTAGGATTTTTCAAGAGTAGCTTTTTCTTTGGGATAGAGACTGTGAAGGCATTTGAACACTCAAGGGGTAAGAAGAGGAACCCTCTTGAATGAAGGAATGAAGAAAAACGACGACGGAGTTTCAGTCATTTTAGGAATATATGAGAGAGTTGCGAGAGTTAGTTGTGAAGTTGTTTAGTTTCGTATTTTGTTTGTTTGTTTGTTTTGGACAGAAGAAGATTGGTTGGTTATTTGCTGGTTGGTTGATTTGTTGGTTAAGGAGAGACAGAAGAGAATTGAAGGGAGAGAAGGACATCACAGAAATACCACCTGGGCCCTGACTGGGGGAGTGAGAGTAAGGCAGGTGGAAAAAACAAGTTCTAGAAATGCAGAGGGCTTCATCATCTTAGTACATATAGGCACTAAACATGCCACCAGGGTTGCACGGTAAGACACTTAGAAGCCATTCTTGAGAAGCCAAGTAGCTTAACCCTAGTTGAATTCAAAATCTAGAAAATCATACTTCCTTGTCTGTCTAATTAATATGTATATGGCTGCTTTCAGCATTTAGTAATTTGGTTTGACACAGTTTAGTGATCTGAACAGTCCTCTTTAATACGCAGAAGAAATAGTCTGCGTATGTTAAGCATTAAGAGTTTCCATGATGCCACTGTGTTAAAATGTTCATAATTTCACTCCTGGGGGACAGGGTATGAGGGATTGGCAAGAGGAAGACTAAGGACTAAGGTCACATTAGCTGAGGAAGAGGAGCTTTAGCAATCTTTGTCAGTTTGTTGGCATTGCCTAGAATTAATCCTGTTCTCAGGGAGGAGTCAAAGTTGTTATAGGATCCATCCCTTTTATTCACATGTCTTGAAAATAAGATCGAAATAAAAGCTGTTGCTAGGATAATGCTGTGCTAAAGTGGAGGTAATGTTTAACATGTGCTTTTGGAAAATGTAAATAAATGGCCATATTTGCTTTCCTTATCTGTCTCCTCCATTTGAATGTACTTGCGGTGAAGACTTTTGGTCAGGTGAATTAAAAAACTCAGTGAACGTTAGAGCATGGTTTAGTAGAAAACATATTATTGCTTCTATTTAAAGTATACATTACATAGAATAATCAAAGAAATGTGTAATACTGTAAACATATATATTATGTATACATGCTTAACTATAGTTAAAATTTGCATTATATACATATATATATATATATTTTTTTTTTCTGTATATGCATAAGACTCAAACCATTGCCGTAACTCCCACAAAAGAGTCCAACTACAGTCATGGCTAATGCCAAGTCCAATAATCATGGGCTCTTTTAAGAGTCCTTGTGTGTGCAAAGGATGTGTCCAACATCAAGAAGTCAGTCTTCTATTCCCATCTTTTTCTATAACTCACCAGGGGACTTTGAGCAAATTGCTTCCTTGCTCTGGGCATCATCGGTTTTCTCATCATGACATGACGGGTTAGGACAGGATCACTCAATAGTTTTTTCTAGCTTATGGATTCTAGGTGTGACCAAAATTTAAGTTCTTTAGAAACAATTCTTCTGTTTTGGGGGTGACTTTCATTCTTTTCCTTCATTCCAAAGCAATCTTCTGGCCTCCTTTCCTGCCTTAGCTGCCCTACCCTTTCTTCTTCCCTTTCTGTTTTCTTCTCTTTCATCTTCTTTCAAGCCTAGTTGGAAGTTGTAGTCCTCATTGATAGAGGGAAGATTCAAACTTCCTCCTCTCACAGTTTTGAACCTTTATAAAAAGGAATCCCAGACCTTATGTGGTTAATTTTAGCTTCACAAATGTATGTGCTTGAATGCATTTATCTGAAAACAATTCTTCTGAGAGAACAATGCTGGCAAAATGGCTGGTCTTGTCAGATGGTTAGATGACAGCGTATGAACTCTGCTGATTGTGCACAGTGCAGTCTCTGAAGACACGATAGTATTGCCAATCTGTGTACTCAGGAGTTTACAAAATTTTCACCTGATTTAGCCTTGCACACAGTGTATTATCTAAACGTCTTTATGGTAGGACACTGGGTTTGCCTGAAATATTCACCAATGTGAGGGGATGTTTTGGCCTTGCCTGGCAGTGGGGAAGAGTGCAGCCCTGCCTTGTGGTGGCTGGAGCACCATCCAGGGACATGCAGGTGTCTCTGGGAGTTTTCCTAGTCAAGGCACTGCTGTGACATAGTCCGTAAGCTGTGACAGTGACAGGATCACACCTCAGAGTGTAGCATCTGGAGGCCCTCCACATGCTGCTAAAACAGTATCAGAATTGAGGTGAAATGTTTAATTTTAGGCTTTTAAGAGCTAGGCCTTTTTTCTCCACAAAGCCTGAGATCAAATTGTTGCTTATCATCTTTATTTTCCCTGCTGGCAATAAAGTTCTTGACCATCATTCATCAAGAATGGATGCGGCAACAGATTTGCAATATAGACTATTTAAACCAGTTTAACACTGAAAGCCTCTGTTTTTTACTGACTATCTATTGTAAGAAATCTTCAATCCACAGGTCATCTGCAGAGATTTTAAATTTAGTTCAGATTTGAAAGTTTCCAATTGGAAGCCTTGAACTTTTATTTTTGAAAATATCTTTTTCATCAAGGAAGGATTTGCTAAAAAGGTGCTCTTTTATCCTAACAGCCAAGCACATGATACAGACACTGAATCCGACAATTATAGTTTGAGCAGGGACATGAAAATTCTTTTCCATCAAGGGTCACAGGAGAGAAAAATCTATTGAGGGTCACACAAATGAAAAATAACTTAATGGAGTTAAAACATAAGGATTTATAACAAATAAACATCTGTCAAGGTTTTAAATTTAGAAAAGGGAACAGGAAATTCTATTCTGGAAGTAAAACATATAATATCTTTCTATCCTATAATTAGTTCACGTAAGGAGTGAGAACTGAAAGACATGGAAAAAGGAAGATGGAAGAAAGGAAAATGGAAAGGGAAAGGGTAGAGTTAGGAGACAAGGGGAGAAGAACCTGAAGAAGAAGGGAGAGAGAAGTAAGCAGGCACAGAATACAGAAATGGGGTCTTTCTGTAGGCCAGCCTAAAGACCCCTCCCAATTTTGATCATCCAGTACCATGTCTTTGGGGAAAGATTAGTTTCCACCTTTCATTCAAGTCTTCATATTTCATAACTCATAATCTGGACCCAGATCTGCCCTCCAGCTGCTGTTCTGGGCACAGCTCCCTTTCCTCCCTTATGGGTCCACTGCCCTGTGATCTCACTGCTCCCCATGCTGTTGGGCAGCTTTTCCTGCCTGCAGCCCCTAGCGTTCCCACCAGCCTGCACCTGCCTCAGCTCTACCACCACTTCCTCACTCCAAAAACTGTACCCAGAACTTGCTCCTGGCAATCCTCCTGGATTCTGCTTTTCTAGCTCAGAGAAGGGAGCTGGGGATTTCTCCCTCACTTCTAATTTAAGGCAACAAAGACACAGATGGCTAGAGTCTTCTCTGTAGCCTTCATTTTCTCTCCTCTTTCTCCTTTCCTTCCTCCTTATTTGATTTCTTTGCTTCTTCTCTTTCTTTCTCCTCTCAGCTTGAAATGGGTGGAAAATTAGCAAGTGCAATAACTCCTGCAAATTATCCTCTTTCACTCTTCTTCCCTTCAATGAAGTCACCGCTAAGTATGAATGTGGAAGAAGTGAGAAAGAAGTAGGAAGAGAAGAAAGGGAAAAATAAGATTGATGTCAGGTACTGCAGGAGAAATCCTTTAGAGTGCTTTGTGACCACCCAGAAATAAAAGAATAAAATTAAAGCTGTTAAAAACCAGTGGGATCCCTGCCCACTGTTACTTCTTCACCTCACACACTTATTTTTCCCTGTTTGAAAAAATGCAATAACGTATTAACTCTCCATTAACTAGAGTTCTTTATAAATGGTATATGCTGTTCCTTGCTCAAGAGATCTAACTGTAGGTGGTCATGTTAAAAGCTTTACAAGTCCCCTTGTAACAGAGTCTACAGTACCAACTGTAGACCCACCTGTGGTAGGCAGACTTCTAAGGCGGGCCCAATAAGCCCTGCTTCCTGGCATTCATGTCCTTGTGTAGTGTAATCACTTGCTTTCCATTGAGTGTGAGCTGGACCTAGACACCTATTTCTAATGAATAGGATATGGGCAAATGTGATGGGAATGTGGCAAATCTTCCAAGATTAGATTATAAAAGGTGGTGACTTTCATCTTGCTGATATTCTTTTGCTCTCTTTCTCACTTGCTCACTCTAATGAAGGCAGTTACCATGTTATGAGCTGCCTTAGAGAGAGGCCCATGTGGCAAGGAACTAGGATGACCTCCACCCAACAGCCAGCAAAGAACTAAATCCTGCCAACAACCACTGAGTGAGCTTGGAAGCAGATCAGATTCTACCCCAGCCCATTTTCAAGACTCATCTTGAAATGACTGAGGCCTCAGGTAACATCTTGATTGCAGCCTTATGAGAAAACCTGAGCTGAAAACCTAGGTAAGCCATGCCTGGATTCCTGACCAATAGAAACTACAAGATCATAAATATGTACAGTGTAAAACTGTTAGTTATGGGTGTACTTTGTTATGTAGCAGTAGATAATTAATATGTTGCCTTTTAGGTGAACTATTCCTTTAGCAGAGTCCTTTTTGGTATCTCAATACCCTTAGGTGGAATTCATGATTTGCTTACCTTAAGTCACATTTTGCATCTAGAAGATATTTTAGTAAGATTTTTTTGAACTACCTGGGAAGGGGGAAACTGTTTCTCATAAGCACCGGAACACACTCATTGTTTCTTCTCTACCAATTCTTCCTAGAACAGCTTGATCCTATCTTCTCAAAACTTTCCCAAACTCGTAGAGCACCCTGATCTGGCTTATATAATTTAGCTGTTGGTTGTATATTTTCCTATAGTTTCTCTATATGATTGTACATCTGTCAGGCTAAATTGGACCGTCTTATAATGTAGTGGCTATGACCTCATTTGGGTCCCTGAGCCAAACGGGTGCTCAAGAGCGAAAGAATCAAATAGCTTGGCTGGACTCATTATTGAGTTCATGCTCATTTATATCCTTTTGTTTGGCTATTACTACCTGGTCAGATGAAAGGCAGTAGCAAAACAAGCCAGAGAATTCTGTCACTAGAAGTCTCGTGAAATTATTGCTCATTTCTGACATTAAGATTATCACAAGAAGTTTTTGTTATGAACTTAAACTCATATGAAATGTAATATAGATTGTTTTCTGGACAATATCAGCTAGCAGCTAACGTTTACATTCTATTTGCCGAACATTGTCCTAATTGCTTTTCTTACTCAGGTTTCTGAGATTCAGATTAAAAATCTAATGAAATATAAAATAATGTAAGGTTTAAATAATTTTTAAACCTAAAGAGATGAGATAAATGTATGAATCAAAGTCACATTAAGGATTAAGTGACATCCAGCAATTTTTACCAAGTGATTTCCAAATATGATGTATAGTAAGCTTTCTTTAGTGTCACCTTTTGGCCTCAAAGGGAGCTACGCTGTGTTTGTGAGGGATGGTAGTGGTGATGGTGGTGGTGATGGTGACAATGGTAGCGATGATGGTGATTGTGGTGGTAGAAGGAATGGTGGTGATGGTGGTCATGGTTGTTGTGGTGATGGTGGTGGTGATGATGGTGGTAGTGGTGGTGATGGTGGTGGTGGTGGTGATGGTGGTAGTGATGGTGATGATTGTGGTGAAGGTGGTGGTGGTGGTGGTGATGGTGGTAGTGATGGTGATGATTGTGGTGAAGGTGGTGGTGGTGGTGATGGTGATAATGGTAGTGATGGTGGTGGGGGTAGTGGTGGTGGTGATGGTGGTGGTGATAATGGTAGTGATGGTGGTGGTGGCAGTGGTGGTGGTGATGGTGGTAGTGATTGTGGTGGTTGTGGTGAAGGTGGTTGTGGTGATGGCGATGGTAATGGTGGTAGTGGTGGTGATGGTTGTGGTAGTGGTAGTGATGGTAGTAGTGATTGTGGTGGTGATGGTGGCAATGGTGGTGGTTGTGGTGACAGTTGTGGTGAAAGTGGTGCTGGTGGTCACTATGATGGTCATGGTGATGGTGGTGGTGGTTTTTGTGATTGTAGTAGTTGTGAAGGTGATGGTGGTTGTATTAGCCCGTTCTCAAGCTGCTGTAAGGACATACCTGAGACTGGCTAATTTATAACGGAAAGAGGTTTAATTGACTCACAGTTCCTCATGGCTGGGGAGGCCTCAGGAAACTTACAATCACGGTGGAAGGGGAAGCAAACATGTCCTTCACATGGCGGAAGGAAGGAGAAATGCAGAGTGAAATGGGGGAAAAGCCTCTTATAAAACCATCAGATCTCATGAGAACTCACTCCCTATCACAAGAACAGCATGGAGGTAACTGTCCCCATGATTCAATTATCTCCCACTGGGTCCCTCCCACAATACATGGGGATTTTGGGAACTAGAATTCAAGATGAGATTTGGGTGGGAACACAGTCAAACCATATCATTGGTGGTGGTGATGGCAGAAGTTGTGGTGATAGCAGTGGTGGTGGGGTGGCCATTTGACTCTTTCCAGGTTAATCATCAGATAACTCATGATTAGCTACTATGTGCTCAGGGACCCAAATGAAGTCACAGCCAGTACACCATAAGACAGTCTAGTTCAGCTTGACAGATGTGCAGCAATATAGAGAAATGTAGGAAAATAAACAACCAACAGCTGAACTGTGTGGGTATGATTAGGATGCTCTAGAAGTTTGGGAAGGTTTCTGAGGAGAAGACAGGACTAAACTGATCTGAGAAGGATGGGTACGGAAGAAAGTAAGTGTGTTTCAGAGCTTGGGGAAACACAACTTCCTTTTCTCAGGTAGTTCAAAAGAATCTTTTTTTTTTTTTTTTTTTTTGATACTTGAGAGAGGTGATAAAAGAAGAGATGAAAAGCAATTCTCTGCCTTGGCCTGAAGATGTCCCTGGTCTCAGTGAGTGGCTATTCAGTGAAGAGGCAAACACTACAGTGAGGCAGAGGAGCCGCCTTATCTTAGGCTATGCCAGTGATAGGGAGGACTGGGCTCAGGAAGGAGACAAATGTGGCCCTGTTCCTCTGAGTCATAAATGTTATCAAGGAAGGGCACACGACCATGATTACAGCTTGACCTCAATTGGTTCTTCGAGAAGCAGGAACATCTTCCCCCTGTGTTTCCTACGTTAGCGGAGACGGATGTTACCATGTCCATGTTATTAATAACACTAGGTGCTATAACAATTGAATTCCCAAATTTCAGTGACTCGACACAGTGAAAGTTTCTCTTTCACCCAAAAATTCAATGTGGATGTTTCTAGTAGGGATGCAGCATTCCTCAGCTTGGAAATTCGAGGACCCTGGCCCTTGCATCTTGAGCTGCTAATCTCTATCTCCATTGGCAGAAGGAGAAAGAAAGGGTGAGGAGGTGTCTGCTTCTTGACTTCCTTGGCCCAGAAGCGACCTGCATCACTTCTGTTCATACTGTAAGTAAGAACTAGATACTTGACTCCATCTGGATGCAAGGGAGGGAAGGGATATGTAGTTCCTGAGTGTGTGTGGCAGAGGGGACAGCCTCTTTCCAGTAAAAACTCTACATTATTGAAAGGGGAACATGAACCTTGGCTGGACAGGTGTCTTTTTGCCAACCACATGTTATAGGTCAGGAATTGCAGTATAGAAATGTGAAAGGGTCAAGATAATATGACTTATTAATGGCAAAGTTAGGGGTGGAGCTCAGCCTCTTTTTCCCCCCAGAAAATACTCGATGGAACCTTCTCAGTGTTAAACCCCATCTAAAGGGAGAGTGGAGTAAAAGAGAGAAAAGAGAGCTTCTGTGGCCATGGACAGATATGAGCATATAGGCACCCCTTCCCTGGGCTCCTCATTTCTCAGGTCTGCCTCCTTAGGCATTGCAAGCAAGTATTCATATATTTAAATGTGCTGCCTGCTGGCTGCCTGTGAGGAGAATGATTTCCTGAATGTAGTACATTTTAAATTTTAGTGAACGTCATTTCCTGGAACGTTTGCAAAACAGGCAGCTTCCCAGGCCCCATCCCAGCAAGTCTGATTCAAACAGCTCTGGGATAGGGCCCAGAAATCTGTGCTTACAATCAGCACCCCTGTGATTTTGAGGCAGGTGGTCCTTGCAACACACATAGAGAGGCACTGCCTTGATTAGTACAAGTTTTATGAGGTTTGCCTAAACAGGTGTTGCAGAGGCTAACTGTGACCTGCCCTTATTGTCTTGTCCTTGACCCCTGATTACATATCACCTGCCTACTAACTGCCAGCCCCTGCATTTTTTTTCCAGAGGTCTTTACATGATCTCTGGAGGCTGCTTTGCCATCCATGTGATAGGCTAGAATTGCCAGAGAATAAACATCATCTGGTAGCAGTTCTTAACTAACATCTTATAAGTGTTGGTGTATAGATACCCCAGCTCCCTCATCCCTCAGTTGGACCCACTCTCTGCTGTGTGTTTTACACTGACTTCCAGAGTTCCCCACTGGGATTAGGTACCAGGTGCCTACAGTGATACCTAGCTTGATAATGCACCCTTTATTGGCTCACTTCCCCACCTGAGTACTGGGATTCCCTTCACCTCTTAAACTACCTGCTCTTGAATCCTTGTTTCAGGTTGTGCTTCTAGGGGAACCCAAATGAAGCCAGTAGAGATGCCCATATACCATATGTCAGAAATTCTTAAAGAATCTTTCCCATGACTCCTGTATGCAGGTATGAGTTGACTGTGGAAGTGCAGAACACACTCATTCATGACATTGGTGTCATGAATCTCATTGGCTCTATCTGACTGTCAGTCTAACATGTCTGATCTTGCTTCTAGCAGCCAGTGTCTAATAAACTGAGCAAAACCCACATGGTACACTCACTGCCATGTGCAGATGGTCTAGCAAGAAAAATATTGTCTTCGTTTCCAAAAGAAACAAATCCCATTCCCACTTTCCCCTGTCAGCTTTGCTCCATGTGGGAGCATCATGCTGTCGATATTTCTCTTGGGTGAGTAGCCTGCAAAGGTTCTCAGCCTTAATGATTACTCCAAAGCAGGAATTGTGGCATAAATCTCCATGTGTGGAATATGTATCACAGCTTGAGTTAAATGGACCCCAAACATATGGCATTGTTTTTTGCATTTTCTAACACATGGGCAGTTTCTCACATTTTAAATCAACTGAAAATGAGAAGATTATAGGCAAATCTTCCTGGAGGATTAACTACTAGGAAATATACTTGGTTTGAATAAACATTTGGGGTGGGATGGAGGATGAGGTCAGACACTTTCCAAAGACACAGTGTGTATTGCAGAGGGTGGGATCCCAAGGGGAGGCAAGGTGGATGACTCTAGAATAAGCTGCATGTCTGGACGGCCTGGTCTTCAGACACTCTCCCCTGACTCAGATTGCAGCAATGAGCAAGCAGCATCATGGTGTTTGGCCCTGACGAATAGAGGTTGTACAGCCAATAACTTTTTCCTGTGAATGTTACTGATAAGGACCAGTCCCTCCTGGAGACAATCTTTCTTCCTGTGTCCCAGTGTTGCTATCAGTCTGGGCGAATTATAACCTGTACATGGGCAAATTATAACCTGTACAGAAGGCTGTGTCACTTGCTCAGGGGCTACTAGATAAAGCCATTGGAAACACTGAAGAATATATAGAAGGGCTCTATTTCTTATTGACCAGATTCCATGTAGGATTTGAGTGATGGTTCTATTTTGAGTATCAAGAGTTAAAGATGATGCAAAACGAAGCATCGGACTTGCACTTTCCTTAGGAGAGATCAAGTCTAGTTTTCTCGCAGAAGGCTGCACCAAAAAGGGCAGCGATGTGCCTGTAAGACATCAGTTCTCTGCAGGTAATGATCAATAGGGAAAGGAGAAAGGCAGCTCATTAGGCATTTCTTCCCCAAGAGGCTCACTCGGCCTCCTTAGGCTTCCAAAGCCACAGCCAGCCTTATTGCCCTTATTATTAAAATGGGCCCACTAGAGCACCAGGCTGCTGCCCTCTTGGCTCATGCCAGGCAACGACCCAACTGGCCCTGCAGCTGGCCTCTAGCCTACCCTGAAGACGATGTGTGGTCAGCAGTTGTCGATGCCCAACGTATTTGCGGGCCTCCTCTGCCTTTCCCCTCCGTCGTGTCTCTTTTCCCCTCAAATTTATCAATGCACACGTAGTAAATGGTCTAAAACGGACTTATTCATACCTCTACGTTATCTGTGATATCATTGCTCAGACCGGGATCATGGGTCTGGAGTTTGGGGTGGAGTGGGCTTCCTGCTATAGAAATCAGGCCACTGCACTTACTTTACACTTCTGGGGGAGGAGGGATCTCTTCCAGTCCCTAAGAAAAGAAAATCTTTAAAGCGTCTTACACGCAGGCGTGCAACCAGGAAGTCCACCCAGCCCCATCTCCGCATAAATTAGGAGCTCTTCCCTCTTCCCACCTTCCTTGTCCCAAGTGGCACCGGACACTGATCACCCTCTTCAGAGCTGCACTAGACATTCACAGGGAATTGAGGTTCCCTATGCAGAAAGGTTTTCAGACAGAGGACCCAGCCCATTTTCTCTCTCCAAATCCTCCTCCCTCCCTCTTTTGTGGTTGCAGCTATAAAATAATGATTCAACAATCAAAGAGCCTCTCATGAGATGGGAGAAGGAAGGGAACGAAAGGGGAAGAGGTGCCCTGGGCTGAAAACCTGTAGATTTTTTCTAAGTGACAAAGGGCAAGGGTCCTTTTTTGAAATTAGGAGAGAGACAGCTGTTTCCTCAATCGAAACTTCGCACATTACAACCAGCCTTGGGAAAAGCCAACACCACCAGGGAGGAAGTGCTATGGGGTTTTGAAGCCAGACACTGATTTCTGGCTGTAATACTTTCCAGCCGTGTCTCTAAGCCTCGGCTTCTGCCTCCATCTGTAGAGTGGGCTTAATAATTTTGACCATCTCACAGAGTTGATGTGAAAATTAAAATAACCCGAACAGAACAGGCGATATATACAGGAATTAATGAAAGATTCCTGACATAATGCTTATAAGTTCATGATGCTTAGGAAGATAAAATTCATTGTAGAGATGCCGAACGGGGGTCTAGAGCTTGCCTTTTCGGGGTCTCTCCCGTCCTTCTCCATCCTCCTTATCTCCTGGGCTGCCCCCTCTCCCCCCGCGCCCCGCTCTCCCTGGCTCGCCCGGGCCTAGGGCGCCGCCTGCAGTTGCGCGCGGCCGCCTCTAGATGGAACTTTCTCACCAACGCAAGGCCCGGCCGGAGCAGCTACCCGGGAGCTGGGCGGCGAGGGGCTACTTTCTCTCATTCCGGCGGGTGCAGGATCGGGGGGCCTGGGCAGTAACTAGTGGGGAGGAGCGCTGGACTGTGCACGTCGAGCCCGGCAGGTTTCCGCATGCGGCATGCGAAGGGAATCCCGAGGTTTCCCTGCAGAACCCGAGCACGGCTCCCCCGGAGTTTCCTGCCCCGCGTCTGCGGCTCCTTGAATCATCTCAATAAAATGACCGTCCCGGTAGCCACCCATGCCCCTTCCTGCGCAGTGCCCGCAGCGGACCGCGCTGTGTGGTACCTCGAGCCCTGGGGACTCTGTTGCACGCGTCCCTCAGACCCTCGGGGGCGGGGAGTGGGGAGACAATCGCCAGAGCCGCGGGGCGGGACAAATGGCGGAACCGCCGCGCGGCGCCAGGCAAACTTTGCAAGGGAACCGCGCGGCTTGCCGGCTCTACTTTAAGCATTCCCGAAAAGAAAGCATGTGGCGGGACACTTGTCATCTACCATGTGTTATTCTCGGTGACGCTTTCTGGAGCTGTGTTCACCGGGGACCCGGGCTCGCGGGTGCTGCCCGCTGTGCTCGGGCGGGCGTCGCGCCTCCCCGCGCCGGTCCCGGGCTCGCCAGGCAGCCGGAGCCGCTGGGCTCCTCCACAACCATATTCCTTCTTCTACCGCTCCCGCTTCTTCCCACCCTCTCACTCTGTAGTTGGGTCCTCCCCTTTTTCTTGGGGGCGGGGAAGGGGGGATGATTTTTAAAAATCAGAACTATTGACATTTCTGGTCTCCTCGTCGCTTCAGGCTGAAGAGCGGAGGGGGATCCGCGGGCCGAGGGTCCCCCTCCCTGCCCGCGCCAGGGCCGCTGGGTGACACCGAAATCCAGAGGCTCCCGCCCCTCGGGGGTTCCTCCTCCCGCTTCCCGAGGTGACTGGTTGGCGCGAAGCGATTGGCGATCCCGGGCGCGATCCTGGCCGCGGCTCCCCGCGCCGCGCCGGGTGAATGGCCGCGGGCGGAGGATCGGGAGGCGCCGGGCGCAGACCAATCGCGGCCGCCGGTGGGAGTATTTGTTATTCACATGGAAGAGACTTGGCGCCTGCTAGGCCAGCTCAGCCCCCTCAGCCCAGAGATCAGCCACAAGTGCGGCCGCTGTGCTCGCCTCACGCGGCGGCGGCGGCGGCGGCGGCGGCGCTGACATGGAGCTGCGGGCCCCCGGCGGGCTTCCTCACCGCGCCCTCTGCGGGGAGCAGGGTAAGACTCGCCGCCCGGCAGCAGAAAGCGGCTCCGAGGAAAGCAAGTGCCGAACCACGGGACAAAAAGCCCCTGGCCCCCAAACTTCCCCAAAACGCCCTGCTTGTTGGAAAAGGAGAATCCCCCCGTTTTATTCCCCTTTCCGTTTTCTTCTCTAAAACCTTTCAGCGGACAGCCAGGTGCACCATTCCTTCTCATATCACTCTAGTGATTTGTTTTTCCTGAGCACAAGTAGATGGCCCTGCATGTCCGTAGTCTGTGAGAGAAATAGCGGGCGGAGGTGACGGGAATGGGGGGAGAAGGAGAGTGGGCACCAGGGGGCGAGGGGCTGGCCGGGCATTGGAGCTTGATTGGGTGTCTGTTGATTTTACGTTGCAAAGAACAAGGCAGCCACCCCTCTTGTCTGCCCATGATTACATTACAGTAAAGAGGTTCAGAAAAGAGGGAGACTTTACCCGGAACTCCCAAGGCTTGGAGATGTGATCCCCCAAAAGTTTAGTCGGCGAATGGGAGACTGAAGGGTGACGGGAAGGGGGCAGGCGCGCTCGGCGCTCTGACTGGGCGTGCGGCGGCAGGATTTTAAAGCGCTCTGCCTCGGATCGTCTGCCCTGGGTGACCTCCCGGACCTGCCCTGGTGGAATCCGGACTTGCCCCGCCGAGATGACGAGGTACCTTCGTTTCGCGAACCTAACAGGAGGGATTTCTGAAGTTAGCGGCTTCCGGGATGAGTCGGGGTAACCCCCGCCCTCTGAGCGTGGGCTGGATGGATGTCTAACCAGGATCTAGGGAGGATGGGGGTCGCGGGGGAAGCCGGGCGCTTCGGGGTCCTCGACACCCACATCCCCGCACGGCGCACGCTCTGCCTCGAGTTTGCGTTCTCCGAGTTAGCACGGCGAGCTTGGGATTTCCGTGCCCCTCTTTTGTGGCTTTCGAGAAACGCCGGAGTTCCGTGTCCTGCTGGGGGTTGGGGGGATGGAGAAAAGGTCTCGGGGATCTTGTTTAAAAAGCAAAGGCAAACGCACCCCAACAGCTCCTCGGTAGCTCCCGCGGCTGGCGCGGCCCCAGTTTCGGGCGGCCCCGCGCGGGGCGTGGGCGCGGGCGCTCGGGCGGCCAGGTGCGGCGGGGGCGGAGGCTGCATCCCCAGCGCGCCGGAATGCCCCGGGGCGCGGGAAAGGCAAAAGCAGCCTGGCGCTCTCCCCACGGCCCCAGTCTCTATCTACCCAGAACCCGGCTTCAACAGCCCAAGGAACTGAGAAGAAAAAGGAACCTGCGCTGGGAAACAGGGGCTCCTGGCGGGCTGAGTGGTCGCTGTTATGGTAGAGATAGAAACGGAGAGGTAGAGATGGACCGCTCAGCCATGCCAAGCGCGAAGCCCATCCGCCCAGCCAGAAAGCTCGGATATCCCTTGAGCTTCGTACAGTTGGTGAAAAAATAACAGAATCACCAAAAAAGAAAAAAAAATTCCCTTCGTCTGACACGCGCTCCCTTGGTGCAAATGAAATGCGGAGGGACACGCGAGTCACCCAGTTGCGCAAAACCGCACCCCCGCGGTTCCCTGGGGAATTACTTCCCCCGTGGCCCAAACTGTGAAGCCTGGTGTCAGAGAGTGTCTGCGCACCCAAGATAGCGGGGGTGAAAACAGACCCCCTCGCCGGTTGCAGAAACCCTTAAGTCCCCTAAGCAAGTCCCACCCCGGGAGGGAGTGCCTTATTTGCCATTTGGGGGATCCTTTCCCACAAACCTGAAGGTGCGGGAGTCTCTGGAACACCCAAGAATACACTAGAGTCTGGGCTACTACCGCGATTGAATACAAATCCTGCCAACTGACAGAACTGGAAAACAGGGTTGGTGGTGGAGATACAAGAAAAATCATGAACGGGAGAAAAGCATTCCTATGGTAGCTTGTATTTTGCTTGAAAGAAAAATAGAGAAAAAGAGCCACCAGCAGGTAGATCGTGGATAAACAGCTTATTGCACTTGCCTGTAATTTCCACTTTCCGTTATGAAATTGTTTGTCAATAATTGCAAATGGCTACAGAAACCACTTTAGTTTACCTTGGTCACTTGCTTGTGAATAATACCGTGAAAGATCTCTGTAGGAGGCAGAATCAGCTGTGTGCAATTCATTCTCTGGTTCTTGAAAACGTGTGGCTTGATAATTTTGAAAAGAAAAGCTTCCTCCGTCAGGGAAAATGAACCAAGGTTTTTTAAAATGCAATTTTTCCATTTTAGAGTCAACTACAGGTTGTACCATGTCTAAGATAGAGAATTCTTGCTTTTGAATAAGGGATGTGGGGAGAAATAGATGACGGGAGGCTTTGTAGGAGACAATTGACCCGGAATAAAGAAGAAGATACTGAGAACACAGCTGTATACTGTTCCTTAGGCTCAATTTGTTCTGTTTGGATTGTGCTAGCTAGTTCTGCCCTGTTATGCACCGTTCGAAAGTTATGGCTGCTTGAATAATTCTAAAAACATCTACATCCAAAAGGAATAGAGAAAAGGAAGAGCTGAGCTCCAGTGAGTGCAGGAGAAAGTTAGAGGTCTGGAGAGATGTGCTCTTTTCAAAGTTGGCTGAGCAGGTTGAAGCTGCTGCGGGGCTTGTTTAATTGGTATTTATGCAGCAAATAACCCGTCTGACATTCACATTGGCAATTGCGTGCCAATCTTTGTGTATGAATGTTCCATTGTCTTCAGGGCACGATGTACAGCACACTACACACATGTTTTTTTCCTTCCAAGTTTCCTTCCTACCACCTTTCTCAGGTAGTTAGAATGCCCATCATAAAGATGACCTTGCTTTAGTTGGGGGGAGTGGAGTTGCTCTGTCCCAGTGTCTTAAAAGAAGATGCTGCTTGAATTTCTCTCTTCCTGGACCCACAGCCAAGACCTGGCCACATCTCCATGTCTGTCAAGTTGGCTGGCTTGCGGAGGTTCAGGAAACTTGCTGTTTTCTTGATAGACTCTGACTGGGCATCCCCAGACTCACAAATGTGGTTCATTCAATAGGGACGGCCACTTCATGTTGTTCCCAGGAGAGGCTATGAGCTGAGAGTTGGCTGGCTTATTGTTTCCATTTCAAGAGAGGGTTTTCTTTCTGCTAGGAATTGGAATTTAGATTTGGGCTTTCTCTCTTTTTTCTTTGATTTTCATTTCTACTTGGTAATTTGACAAATTGCGACAAACTCACCCACTCACTGGGAGGGACGCTGAGCATAATATTGTCTCATCCCAGGACACCCTTTCTCAGTGGTGGGCAATGCTGTTGGAATGATTTGAGAGGTACTGTTGAGACGCTCCTGACTCCTAGCTCTCTGCTCTGGCTTGTTGCATTGCTAGCCTTAACCATTATTAATGGTGATATTTCTTTGGTAAATAAATTATGGCTCTCCTAGGAATCATTTTGAGAATGCAGATGTTCCATTTGGGGATGACAGTAATGCATCTTCAGGCTTTGATACCTGCTAATGAATCCACTCACTCCCTGGGGAGGGCCAAGGTAATGAAAGAACAAAGGCACTGAGGGAAGGAAGAGACCTAGTTCTGGGGAGGTCAGCGCAGGGCAGGGCAGGGCAGGAGGTGAACAGAAGTAGGAATATCTAGGAGAGCCCTCAGAGGAGTATAGATTGTTGGACACATGTGTTGCCAATTTCATACTTTTCCAGGCAGGGTTATGCCTAAAGCTAGAAAGCTGCTGGCTATTTATTGGCTGACTTTTCCAGTGGTCATGACCCAGCGGTAGAAGCATTATATTGTACCTACAACTTAGGAAGGTTTCCGGTTGTCTTGTTTTCACAACAGGAGATTATCTTGTCACCACTTTCTTCAGAATAGCGATTTAGATGCTCAGTGTCCATGACCTTTAGTTTTCCAGGTCAGGCATGGTAGTTCCATTGACTTCTTCTTGCGTCCTTTCCAGTTTTCCTTCAAGCTCTGTGCTCTCCATATAGGCTTGCCAGGGTTGACTTTTTTTGGACCTGTGACCGTTGTTAAGGTCTGACTAGACCCAAGCGTGATGAGAAAGTGGTTTTCTTAGATCTTCTAAGTACAATACACCAGTAACATATTTTAGTTCTAGGACAGATTGTTAGACTAATAGTATCCCTGTGCATTCTTATAGCACTTGGCAGTTTATAAAGTACTTTGACACACATTATATTGTTGGATTTCACAAACTGGGAGATGGGGGAAAATCATTCCCCATTTTAGAAACCAAGAAACTGAGATCTGGTTAAGTGACTTGCCCAGTGCTATACAGTGAGTACTGGGGGAAGTAAGACTAGAATCAGTGTCTCCTAGGACTCTAGAACATCTCACTCCCAGTCCTCATTATCAAATCAGGGTTAGTTTGAGATCCAGCATGGCCTCCTGCCCCCATGGGGCATGGAGTAAGGGAAGGAACATAATGGCAGTCCTGCATTTGAATTCTCGCCTGAGACTTTAGACACAGTCATATAATCTTTCTGTTTTCAGGTTCCTTAGATCCTGAATGGAGGCTGTGATACCATCCTCATAGTTGTATTTTAGAGGGAAATGAAATAATGTGTCTGCAGCTCCAGGCACACTGCAGGCAATCAGTAAGTGTTGATGTCACCCACTTTCTCTCTTCTTATCTGATACATATTATAAAAAGTAGCTTCTCATTACTTTAAATATGGTCTTTTTGTGCAATAGCTGTGTTATTGGAAAAATAAAGGCACAAATTGAATTCTCCTAAATCAGATTTTTTTTTAAATGCCTGGGATTTAGCTATTTAAAGGAAACCTGTGGTGAATTCTTCTGTAATGCAAATAATTACTTTCCAATTTATCTGTTTAGTAAGTCGAGCTTCTCCTGTATCAGATTTTTTAAAATATGAGGCTGGCTTGTGTAGAAGAGCTTTCACAATCCTCTCACTGATGAAAAAAAGTCACTCAACTTGCAAACAAAATCAGTTATTGTGTTCAGTTGGCAAAGCCTTGCTCTGATGTTTGAGCATAATCTCATATTCCCTTATTATTAAGTAATAGAATCTCAGAATAGGAAGCTGGAAGACACCTTAGAGATCACGTGGTCCATCTCACTCGTTTCACAGATGAGGAAATGGAAGCACATAGGGGTGAGGGGACATGTTCAGTGTTACCAGCCAGTGACTGTCAGACAAAGATCCGATTCCAAGCGTCTGTTGCCAAGGGAGAGCTCTGTCTGCCCCATCCTCACTCTGCCCCACCAAGAATCCATAGACATGCACACATATTGCAGCATGGGAGATGATACAGAAATACGATGCATTTTCAAAACAACCAAAAGAGCTGCAAGTGTGAGCAGTCATATGAATTGATGAGAATATTCAGCTTAACCTTTTTGTTAAAGAGCTGAATGGAATGCAGCATAGGAATGCTGCTTTGGCCTTTTTATGAGAAAAAAATTACAATTCTTGGATAATGGTATTCCTCAGTGAGGATTTTACCCTATCATATTTTAATCATACCTGCTAAATGCCCAAGGAAGATGTGATGGCAGACCCAGAGAGACCCTGCATGCGTTGGTGGGTGTGTTCCACCTGACATCACCTTGACATCAACCTGGCCAGGAGACCTCATTTGGAGCAGAAGTGTTTGGACAAACCGCATTGGATCTTCTCAGCCCTTTGAGAGATTCAGAAATCACCTCCCTGGAAATGCCCCCAGATTGTCCCTTCCTAATTAATATGTTAGTGTTCTTCCAGAGCTAAGCATTGAAGATGTGCACCTTTCTGAAAGATTGCAGTGGAGGGGCAGGGCCATTCCCTTTCCTTGTGCTGCCACAGTGAGTCCCTGCAGCACTGGGGTCTTTCTCCAAGGACAGGACCCACCTTCTGGGACAGATGACTTTGGTGGCACTGCCACTTATCAGCTCACGCTCTCAGGGGTTGGGGCCATATTCAATCCCTCTGAGCCTTCTTTTCTCATTTATACAAGAGCTAATGCCTGGTGTATGAAAATTTATGGAGATACTGTGTTAGATACTTGACACTGGTACAGAGAAGGTGTGTAGAAAATAAAGCAGAATTCTGGGCTCTGGCCAGTGAGGAGGTATCCTTCTGGCCTTTTAGGAAACAGAGCACATTTAGGGGGATACAGGCTCGGGGTCCAGCCAGGGTGCCTGCTTCCAGGAGTCTTAGGCCAGGGGACTGCCCATGGAGGGCCCAATGATGTATGATGTGCCCTGTAAGTAAGGGTGGGCTGGCGGGGGAGTGCACAGGAAGGGCTATGAGGGTTCATGGTTAAGCCTCCCCAAAGGGTTCCACGGCCTCTCCCTGTGGGCCCAGACATAGTGCTGAGAGGATTTGTCCCCCTCTGAGATTGGTTTCAGGAGTCCAGACCTCACGCCTCCTTGAAACAGTCCAGCACAGTCCCCGCTTCTGCCACATGTCAGAGGCAGGTCAGTTTGAGAGAGGAGCTGTTTATACTTTAAATCAAACACAAAACATACAATAGAGGTATTTGGATCTATAGCTCTGAAAGATTGTGATTTGTTTAAAACTCACAGACTCCACTAGGATGAGCTTGGATTAAAGCTCACAAGAATTGTACAAGAGCAAGATAAGTAATTTAAGATTATACAATGAAACCTAACTGATGTAGTTTCTCACAAACTTTCAAATATATTTTTCCTTAGGTTTTTTAAAAGGGGAAACTAAACCTTCTGGCAGTGGAGTCTGATTTTTATGACAATGTATCAGATTTTGAAATAAATGGAAGATTTAAATATTTTATAAGTAGCTCTGATTTTATTTTTTAAAGTGACAAACGAAATTCAGTAAAAGCTCACCAACTGGGCAAATACAGAAAGAGTTGCTCTGCTCCAGTAGAAAATGAATTACAGACTAAGTTAGCAACAATAACTCCTGTTTAATGAGCCAGATACTATGCTTTCCATGTGTGCTGTGTGGCAGGTTCTATCACCTTTACAGACAAGAAAAGCAAGCTTCAGAGAGGTTACATGCAATTAATTCTGTGTTCCAGAGACGGAAACTCCAGCAAAAATTCAAGTGAGCTGTCCAATAAATGAAACTGAAATGAAACCAAAACTGAACCTCTAGTTTTCCATTTCAGTGCATTCAGCCACTAAACAAAACTGATTCCTGCCTCACTGCTATTCATTCCCCAATCTTTTTTTAAAAATTAAAGCTCCAAACAAAGCTATGAGATGCCAAAGAGAGTAAACAATACTGCAATTACCAATAATTTTAAAAGCGACTCAATTTTATTACTTTCTGGACTGTACAGCAAGTGGAACTAGGTTAATGCCACATGGATAGGTAAGGATGCATTGTGATGAACAGATGGGCTGTTTGTATGTTCGTCTATAATTGAAAGCCATTTATTCTCTTAAGTGTTTTAAGTACTTGGGGGATGGCTTGGTGTAAAGAGGAAAGGTGGTCCCAAGACCCATCCACTCCCCCTAGACATTTCTCCTTCACCTTATTTATTCATTTAGTCTGTACTCTGTCAGAACAAGGGTCGGCTCAGCCACGTGGAATTGGTCTCAAATTCTCAACTAGTGATCAGAGTTAATGAGGTTTTACTATCATGTGACTGGTTTTCCTTGTGAAACTGTTAAACACAATCTTACTTCTCTTAATGGGTGGCCGGTGTAATTTATGGCCTATCACTTAAATGGTTTCATCCAGAAAATCAGGTTGACTTTCTGAGTGTTTCCTTTTGTGGAATGCCTGAGGTCAGGCTGTTATTGAATCACAGATTTTCTGAGGGAAAAGCAGCTGCTAGGAGAATCCAGTGTGAGGGACTAAACAGTGAAGTGGTGAGAAAAATCAGAAAGTATTTTGGGGGCAGCACAGAGGAAATCTAAGGCTTAATGTGTGCCCGGAGGCAGGGAATACTTGTCTTAGGCTGCACAGAACTATCTCAGCCGAGTGGGCCATTGGCTGGCTAGGCTGCCAGGTGTTTGCTCAGAAATATGGGGCAGTGGGCTGCTATGAGCCCTCTTTTCTAATCTGCAAGTGCAAAAAATGCAGCTTTCTTTGAAGGTGTTTGGGCATATTTTCAGTTATCCCCCAGGGAAGCACCATCTTTCCTTTCGGGGCAAGAAGGATAAAAAGAAAATTTTATGAACTGGAACTTGAACAAGTGAATGGAAAATACAAGCAGATGTTGGTTGGCTAGGGTACAGGAGAACTGTCCAAATTTCAGGTTTCAAACCCATATATAAATAGGTTAGAAATGAGCATTAGATTAACCATCCTGCCAAAGTAAATTGGTGCTGTTTATTCTCTTAATTAGCTGTGCATTACAAATCTCAGATTCCCTGTGTTAAGTCAGTTCTCATTTTCAGTCACATCTCTTCAAAAGTCGTTTGAAAAAAATCTTACGGAATTAAGGGTGAAGGCCGTAGGAAAAAGGCTTTGTCTGTAGATTTGCGTGTAGCCTTTTTCACTTCAAGTTATTTCTAGTCTTGATGAACTTTTCCCCACTGAGTCAGGCAAAATTAGGCAGCTCTTCAATTGATTGACAACTCTGATTTGCTCCTAGTGATTCTGGGATCAAGGCATGTTTCCCTCAGAACTGTTAATATACCCATTGCTCCCACACCGACAAATTAATTGGAAACCCTGACAATGGTAATAGGAATATCTTCACATGTCACCTTACCTGTGTGTTTCATTTTCAAGTCTTTGTTTTCTTACCAGAGAATAAGACAATTTATATGAAATAGCTGACTTTCTATGTTAATTTTTTTTCACAAGCTACAAAACTTACACATTTTTTAGCTCTTTGGGTGGATTTCTTTCTCTCTTTCACTTTGTAATTGAATAATCACTTTTTCCTACTGGGTAATTTGAGGCACTAAAAAAAAAGTCATTAACAGATGACTGGCTTGTTGAATACATCACAGAAAATAATATTTATTATGATTTTGTTGACAAAATTAGAATGCTAAATTCAGATAGCTGCAAAAAAAAAAAACAGATTTGAAAAGAAATGGTGCCATCAGTTGCAGGATTTTTACCTTCATGGAAATAAGGTTTATTGAAATAAGATGATAAATAAAAGTGCTTTCTGGTTTGGGAGAATCAACCTACTTCCTGATACTGTTCTGTTTCTCTTGCTCCAAAAATATGATCAATCTCCCTGTTTAGATGCAGTGCAGCCAGGTGTTCAGAATCACAGGGGGACAAAAAGAATTAGTTTCTTACTGAATAGGGGATTTTTTTTTTAAGAGGCTGGCGTAAACAGGGCTGCAAAATGTGAAACATGTAGACCCACTGAACTGAACCCCCTTTTTTCCCCTCTTCCCAGGAATAATTCTGCTACAAGGCTGATTTCAAGGACATGAATTGTTGACCTCATCCCAACATCAGAACCTCAGATGTTCTAATTTTTGCACCATTCCAGGCAAGTTGATCTTATAAGGAAATAAAATTGAACCTTAGGGGTCTGATGGAAATTCACTGTGACATTCAAATCAAGAAAACTTGCTAATGCCCACAGAGCCTTTTCCCCATGGGCCCTGATGGTAGCCTCCAGAAGGTGCAGCCTCAGGTGGTGCCCTTTCTTCTGTGGCAAGAATAAACTTTGGGTCTTGGATTGCAATACCACCTGTGGAGAAAATGGTATGCGAGGGAAAGCGATCAGCCTCTTGCCCTTGTTTCTTCCTCTTGACCGCCAAGTTCTACTGGATCCTCACAATGATGCAAAGAACTCACAGCCAGGAGTATGCCCATTCCATACGGGTGGATGGGGACATTATTTTGGGGGGTCTCTTCCCTGTCCACGCAAAGGGAGAGAGAGGGGTGCCTTGTGGGGAGCTGAAGAAGGAAAAGGGGATTCACAGACTGGAGGCCATGCTTTATGCAATTGACCAGATTAACAAGGACCCTGATCTCCTTTCCAACATCACTCTGGGTGTCCGCATCCTCGACACGTGCTCTAGGGACACCTATGCTTTGGAGCAGTCTCTAACATTCGTGCAGGCATTAATAGAGAAAGATGCTTCGGATGTGAAGTGTGCTAATGGAGATCCACCCATTTTCACCAAGCCCGACAAGATTTCTGGCGTCATAGGTGCTGCAGCAAGCTCCGTGTCCATCATGGTTGCTAACATTTTAAGACTTTTTAAGGTAGGTAAAGGCATTGTCTTTCTGACCATTGTGAAAGAACAATGAAATGCTATGACTCCTACTGCAGGTTTAAGAAGAAAGTGAAGATGGTGAAGGTGCTCATAGACCCTTTTGGTGTTACCAGGTTCCTCAAATGGGACATTCTATATGGGGCATTCTACATGTATTGGTTTAGTTCCATTACTTACAATTAACTGGATTAATTTTGACTCTTTTTTTTTTTTCCTGAACAAAGAGAAAGGTGAAAAGTTCTGTGATATATTGGGTCCTTGTCATCTTGGGATAACCTCTTTGTTAGGCTCATTTTAAATTAAACAAGCATTTTTGAAGAGAATAATGAACTCAGCGCATTTATCATGGAAAACATTTCTATGGTATTTGAGCTATTTAATTTACTGAGTGAAACTTCTTTAAGGTGGGATGCTCTGTTATGACAAAAGTTTGTTCATGAAGAAACAGTATTTATTACTAATGTGTAGATGGGAGTGACACTCTGGGAGATGAGATGGTCATAAAATTGTCAGGCTTATTATAACTACAATAGAGCAGAACCTTATTAATTCAGACTGCTCTGATACAGACTTGGAATAATTATATATAATTCTTATTGCATTAAAAGTTCAAATTTAGCAGGATAAATTAGACTTTTTGATTTAGGTTTGGTGATCTATTACCCATATGTTGCATTTACATATTGAATAAAATTGGAAATATGGAATAATATATGTAAAAATACTTTGAAAAGTATAAAGTGCAGTAAAAATAAAGTTATTGTTAACTCACCATTTTCATTAACTTTCTCATTTTATTTATTAATAACCAATATGTAGTCTTTTGTAATAGACATAATTTGTTTAATTGAAAATACTTTCACTCTGGTTTCTTACTCAGGGGGACATGAATTTTTCAACTTAATCTGAATTAATGAGCCTTTGTTTTATATTGTGAAAAATGGTTCCTGGCTGGGTGCAGTGGCTCACGCCTGTAATCCCAGCACTTTGGGAGGCCAAGGCGGGCGGATCATGAGGTCAGGAGATTGAGACCATCCTGGCTAACACGGTGAAACCCCGTCTCTACTAAAAAGATACAAAAAATTAGCCCGGCATAGTGGCACACGCTTGTAGTCCCAGCTACTTGGGAGGCTGAGGGAGGAGAATCGCTTGAACCTGGGAGGTGGAGGTTGCGATGAGCCGAGATCATGCCACTGCACTCCAGCCTGGGCAACAGAGCAAGACTCTGTCTCAAAAAAAAAAAAAAGAAAAAAAAAAGGTCCTATGCACATTAGATTTAGAAATATTAAAAGAATATGGAGAAGTTGGACAGATGACAGGTATTGTGACAAATGTGAACAAAGTGATGGGAAATGTCACACAAAAGATGAAAGGAATTGAATCAAAGGATTTCTGGCTTGGCAGATATCTCAGAGGCACATCTAGTCTGGCCCACTCATGGCACTGGAATCCTCTTTGTAACACCCCCTTGAGTGGCTGTGCAGCCTCTGTATGGATTTCCCTAGTTTAGAAGAGAAAATGGTATGAGGCAACTTAATGGCTATTTTCAGATAGATGAAATTTTCTCAAATAAGGAGGATGCTAAGCAGAAGCTCTCTGCGTCTAAGGAGTACTGAAGAGGCACAAACAGGCTTCAGGGTGTGCTGGAGACATTTGAGCAGGACATTAAGAAGCGCCTCTTGACAGTGAGAAGGACACAATTAAAACATGTAGCCAGAGTTGCTCTAGTTCTCCATTTCTGGAAACCTTCAAGGGAAACTAGGCAGTTGTTAACCATTTCTCTTAGTAAGAGGGACTCCTTGCTTAGAGGGAAGATGTGGAACCAGAATTCTCCAGGCTTCCTCCCACATCTTGGGATCTAGTATTCCTCCCAGCTACCCCGGTTCTGTGCCATATGGCATTTTCTGCTCTGGGTTGGTGTCCAGCTCAGACATTTCTGTAACTCTTCTCTCTGATTTGAACTCCCTCCTCACCTGCTCCAAGGCATCTCTTTTCTATTTTTAACTTAGCAACTGTGGTTCAAAAACATCACTTTTAGAGGAGAGGAAAAGTTTCCTAAGAATCTTCTCCTTTTGGTTTCCCTCTCCTTATAAACCAATTCGGGTTCCTGTCAATACCATTGTAATTCCTGTGAATCCTGGCTGTTTCCTGTAGCCTGGTGCCCAGCCAAAAGTGGGCAAAGATTTGAGGAGTGTGGTGGAGGAGATAAGGTATTCATATGAGGTTTTCCAAGCTTGTTTGCATTTTTTTTTTTTTTTTGCCATAGAATCAGCCAATCTGCAAAATGGGAATAATAAGATTGTGTTAGATTGTTGGGTATATTTAATGAGAAAATGCAGGAAGGCTTCCATCAGGACCTGGTCATGTCCTTTGGTTTTTTGGGCTATTGAAGGAAACTCCAGGCCACCTGAAGGCAAGAGGGTGTTTTGTTTTTATGCAGCGGGGATCTGGCTTCTCTCTTCTCTATTCTTCCCTCACTGACTGGTTAGTTCTCTTAATTTCTTGGGTAATTCTGGAGGGACCCCATCTGACTGGGTGAGAGGGTTACTACTGACTCTCTGGGCAGAGTCCAATGCCCCAGGCCATCTCTTGAGACACCCACCAACACATGAAAGGGCAGCTCTTGCTACCCTTAACTGAAGTGCAGGGAGTGGGTGGGTCACTTATCGCCAGGAGGGGGTGCTGTTATGGTAGATGTCATGACTAACATGATCGGTTCACTGGTCCAGAGTGCGCGTTTAACCTACAGAAGCAAATCTAGTTATTAACCAAGTTATTGGACTTGAAAATCGTCTGTAATTCAAAAGTCCGTCAGTGAGATGTCAGTGCCTAGTCCATCTTACAGGTGATTCTGGAACCATAAGAATGTGAATTAGATAATAGCAACTTATGCTACTTTAGTTTGATTTTTATGTGACTTTCAGGAAGCACTCCATTTGTAGTATTAATTATAAAGCAATTGGGATAGAAAATTGTCTACTCTATGTATGGATGACTTCTGTTTATACATATATGCTAGGATGGACATGAAATATTAGAATAGTTATCAGAGGAATGATTAGCAGTTAATGCATTGGAGATTGGCATATAGCTCCTTTTTGAAAAATAATACTTTTCTTAAATACTAATTTTCCAAAGGTTATGACTTGAGTAAAAGTAAGTTTTAGGACAGTTTTCTCAAGCTTAGGCCCTTTCAGGGTAGCAAAAGACCCACAGAATCTAAAAATATGCCCAGAAATTAATGTATTGCTAGTTATTCCCAGATAATGGAGTTAAAGAAGGTAGAGCATCTCCACTGAAGATATGCAATGAACCTTGATCATAAGGAATACAAACAGGGTCTTAATTCATGAACTTACTCACTGTCCTACTCAACAATAAACATAAATTGGGGTTTTAAGAATGTGATTGCGATGTGTTTAAAATTTTATGGAAAATATTTGGGCCAAATTTGGAAGTGATCCCTAAATGTCTCAGTTTCCTTTTTTTGGACAACTTTAGGAAGGCCATGTATTTTACCTGCAGTATCTTCCTGAACTAAAATGTGAAGGAGACAACATCTTCCATGCAGCCCCATTTACCACTTTCTTCAGTCTTGCTCCTCCTGTGTCAGCCTCTCCAGTCCTTGTATTCCTAAGTGTTCTCCTAATCAAAACCTGATGCAAGGGATCTAGGTGTTGTCAGCTATCTCTATGTTAGTATGTCTGTGTTTAAGTCAGAGGAGCATTTTATTTCCTTCAGGATCACTAATTGTGGAATTAAATGGGATTTGTCTTTGCAAAGGAGATGCTGGCATCAGTTGGGGAGGTTCATTTAGCCCCAACAGAGACTGCACTTAGTGGATAGCCACCTCCTCTGCTGGAATACAGGTGGCCCTGCTCATCTGACCTAGAGGGAAGTGGTGTCATCCTATCTTTGTTTCTTTTCTTATCCAAGCTCAGAAGCAAATGAAAAAAATGGGCCTCTTTAACTTTAGAAGAGGGTTGAATAAGGGCCTGGAGCTGGACACAACCTGGGAACAGAAGATGCCATGTGGCGTAGATCCATAGGATACTGAATGCTTTACTAGATTAGTGATACTCAACCTCGAGTGTACGGTGGGGTTCATACTGCTGTTGCCTCACCCACAAGGGGTGTGGGCTGCATTATTAAAACTACCTGGGAGGCTTTTCGAATGGCAGGATCCAGTGAATGATGTGTGCCTCCCAAGCCCCTCTCTGGGAACTATTTTTATTGAGATGAGTGTCTCATATCCCTCAGGTGTGTTGGGAGTGGAAACAAATTTGAGAGTTACAGAACAAGAATTTAATGATCTGAACTTTTTAGATGCACTAGTGTACCCTAACACACACACACACACACACACACACACACACATGCACACACACATCGTATATCAGCTAACATGGGGCAGAGCAGACCTAGGTGATTGCTTCACTCATATAACATGCTAATGGCTTTAGATAACAGAAGTATCAATTAGGATAATGTGACATGTAACGGTAGAATAGCAGACCCAGAACAGCTCCATCCTATACAGAGGTATAAACGACACCTCAGGGGCTTTTGTACTGCAGACAACCCAGTGAAAAGAGGGGTCCAGCTCCCCATAAGAGATTGTGTAGTTTTGAAAGAATTTAAAAAGGAGAGGGTCTTTGGAAATGTTTGAGAAGCCCATAAATTTGTGTTTTATAAAGAGCTCAAATTTTTTCTCCTTTCTAGAACATTTCCTCTGCTCTCCTTTAAATTAAAGCAAATTGATTACTCCAAACACTAATCATATGTCTTACTTTGAGCAAAGATTGAATATTCTAAGTTAAAAATAGCACATTGATGCTGGAGGTAACTCACATTAATGTCCACAAAGATGCACTGGGTTGTAAGAGGACACTGTCAAATATAATTCCTCTCTCTTTTGTTTTTCTAGTTAACTTTACCTGGATTGTTAATTTTCTACCCTTGAAGGATAGGGGTTAGATAGTCTGTAGTGTATCCTTCCCAAAGCAATCAAATGAGACTTTTAAATAGAAATCCATTTGTGGGTGGGCTAGATAATTTCACCCTATGTGGAAGTGTGCTGATTATAAATGGCTAAAATTGATCTTCATGTGAAGTCAATGAAATACTGAGAAGCAGCTTGTTTCCCTGGCAGTCTTCGCCTACCCTGCTATGTTTATGAAGATATATTTTCTTCCAAGAGACTCCACCAATTGTAGCAACCACTTCTATAAAGCCAAGCATTTTTTTGAGTTATTTATTGCATACAATGGGTTTTATTAGCTTCAAAACTTTGAAAAGGTAAATCTGCCATATCCGGGCTCATCTAGAGATGAACTCATAAATGAGTGCAGTCAGTAAACTCAGTAGGAGGTAAATTTCATGTTCAATCTCATTTGATGGCAATAGATAATGGAATATTGGGAGATGGACTTCTTCAGTCAACTCTTTGGTACTGTAGCAGGGTTTCATTTAACTTTGAAAAGAGCTCACTCTCCTTAGGTGAGAGAGGACTGGTAAGTAGCACTTAAACTCCCAGCTACAGAGATCTTTCAAAATGGAGACTTGGTAATCTCTTTCCCCTTCTTAAAACTCTTTAATGGCTAGGGTTTTACCCAGGATGAAGGTCCACTTCCACTTTGGGGATCCTTTTCTCACTTTCCTTGACTAGATTGTCTCTTTGTTACAAGTAACAAGCAGCTTGTGCTTCCTCTCCTTAATGTCTCTCTCACTGGGTTGTAGTTGTTTACCTACTTGTCTGCATCCCCCACTAGACTGTAAGCACCATGTGGGCAGGGGCATGTCTATCTAGTTTGTTGCTGTATTCCTAGCACCTAGCATGGGCCTGTCAGAGAAATAATGAATGAATGAATAAATCATATCTCTCTACTCTCTCCCTCATCCCAATCTCAATGTTGGAAATATGTGTTGAATAGATAGGAAAGAAGTATAATTTTGTTTATTTTTCTTGTATACTCCTTTAGAAAAAGGAGGGCAATATGTTTAGGCTTTGTGTCCCCACCCAAATCTCATCTTGAAATGTAATCCCTATAATCCCCAAAGGTCAAAGGAGAGACCAGGTGGAGGTAATTGAATCATGGGGGTGGTTTTCTCCATGCTGTTCTCGTGATAGTGAGTGAGTTCTCACGAGATCTGATGGTTTTATAAGGGGCTCTTCCCACTTTGTTTGGCACGCTCCTTCCTGCCACCTTGTGAAGAAGGTTTCTTGCTTCTCCTTTGCCTTCTGCCATAATTATGAGTTTCCTGAGGCCTCCCCAGCCATGCTGAACTGTGAGTCAATTAAACCTCTTTCGTTTATAAATTACCCAGTATCTGGCAGTTCCTTATAGCAGTGTGAAAGCAGACTAATAGGGAGAAGCGGAGAAAGAAGGAAACATGATTATATTTTGAGAGTTGCTATTTTCATGTGCTTTCTCTTTTTCCTACAAATTTCCATTTAAATGTATTTTTAACATTAAGAAATTGCGTGTATATTTCAAAATTGTTGAAAGAGTAGATCTTAAATGTTTTCACCATACACCAAAAAAAATGTGAGATGATGGATTTGTTAATTAGCCAATTTAATCACCCCATATTGTAAACATAAACCATCACATTATGCCCCATAAATACATATAAATTGTCAATCAAAAATAAAGTAAAATAAGCAAAATATATGAACACATTCTCATTTTGGAAGGTTTAAGCAATACATAGTATGAAAGGAAAGTCCACTTCCAAATGCATAAATCCGTTAATAACACATGCACACATGATTTTATTAACAGATATGTGATTTATGACTTTCTTTTTCACTTAATATGTTTGGGAAAATTTTCCATGTTGGTTAATACAGATGTACTGCAGTAATTCTTGATCCTGGCTGCATGTTAGCATTGCCAGCATAGCTTTTAAAAATTATGGATGCCCAAACCCTAGCCAGGACCAGTTAAATTGGTTGGTGTAGAGCCCTGCATTGGTATGTTTTAAAAGATCACCAGGTGATTCTGATGTTTGGTCAAGAATGAGAACTGCAGGACTTTATTTTTTTAATAATTGCTTGGTTTTTAATCATATGGATGGACCATACTTTATTTTACAAATCTCTGATAAACAAGTTACTTCCCTTTGCTCTTCAAATTTGTTTTTTGAAAAACAGTTGAAACAATGCTAGAGCCTCATCCGAATACTATTAGCTCTAGAATGAATTTTGGTGGTGTAGGGCCCTTTCTTGGACCAACAAAGGGGCCAGATGAGTGAATTGCTGAAAGCATCTTGCTGTAAGACAGGGTCACAGGACACAACATTCCAAGTCATGTCTCTTCGAAACATGCAATAACTTAGAATCAGCATGGTGGTCATATGCTCAGACAGTTCAGGGAGCACCATGACTCTTGGGCGGAGCACATTTTAAACTTGGTGAATTTAAATTTCTTTTCTTTCCCCTAGCCTTAAATGGCCTGAAATCCTGAAGTGAATACCGAAGACATCTTAAGAGCGTGCTTTTAGTGATAAATGCCTATGTTTGGGGTGTTTTAAATAATGAGGTTGTTTGAAAAGTAGTGAGAAGTCTTTCCATAAGAATGGTTTGTGACTGGATGTTATATATTTTGGTTTACAAAATTGTCTGAAAACCTTTCTAGAATAAGTCAGGGTCTATGTAAATAAATCTGCATAAGGAAAGTACTGTGCTCTTTCTACCCATTCACCCTAGAGACTGCAGGTTTTTAAATTTTATGGACTTCACTTCAGAGCAGTTTTAGGTTCACAGCACAATTGAAGACTGCAGCGGTTTTAACACAGGTGTCTTCCTGGGCTCTTCTCATAGCTGTTTGCAACCAAAGGTAATGCCTTCCTAGGAAGACTTAAAATCTGAAGGCTGTCCTGTGCTCAGTCCAATGGTTATCACACTGTAGCATGCGAGAAATCACCCAGAGTGCTTGTTGAAACACGCGTTCCTGAGCCCACCTGCAGAGTTTCTGATTCAGTGGGTCCGGGGAGGCCCGGGGTGGGGTCTGAGAACTGCCATTTCTAATGGTTCCCAGGTGATGCTGATGCTGCTCTTTTGCACATCACACTTTGGAAGCACTGCTCCATACAAATTGCTTGCTGGCTGACTTAGCAAGTCAAAGTGTGCAAAACAAAAATGAGATTTAACAGTGTTCTGTCTGGCAGCAGCTTTTTTCTTTTGACACACACCTGGTTGGATTTCTGTTCATATTGGTCATAATCACAGCAGCTGTTGTGTGGATTTATTTTTAATTGTGTTCATTTTTGAGTTGTGTTCCTTATTAAGTAATGCATAGCTCATGAATAATGATCAGTGCAATGGTCACTTAAACACAATTTCTTAAAGTAGGGTCAGGCAGATTACCATTTTACACATTTTTACTACCTGAGACAGTAGAGCAGACTGATTTAAGAAACTTAGATTGTAAGATATACATTAATTGGGAATTGAGAACAGTAAAAGATGAAAGAGGCTATGATTTGTCTCAGCTACCAGCAATTTGTCTTCAGAAACCATGACAGCTACCTCCTGATTTCCATTATGCAATGAGATTGCAAATAACATTCCACAGCAGTCTTAATCAATAGAGGGTCACAAGAGGCCCTTGCTTCCCCACAGTGGGAAAAGGGCTTATTTACCCATTTAATTGATATAACACACTTTCTGGCAAAAGAGACATCTCTTTTAGCTGTAATTGGGGGCTTTTCCTATCCCCAAACACTGTCCTCACAACCTGCGTCTACACATCTAATCTTTATGTATCTTGAATACATAAGGAACACCAGGCTGGCAAGGTGTAGGGGTCTAGGCATAGCATTGTGCACAGCCACTGTTATCTGTTTCTAGAATGAGGTCAGTCTCTGCTGTATTACTTCATTAGGCTCAGCAAGCTAATAGACATGTGTTCTCAATGTTGGCCATTAGTCTCCCTCTAAGACGCTTCAAGGCTCCCTCTGGGATTAGGGAGGCTGGTTTCCTTGGTGTAATACAGCCCTGGCTTAGTCCCAGCTTCAGGGACACCATGGATCTGTCTCTGTATCTCCTGCAGTGCCACTGAGGCTTCTTTGGGACATGTGGATGGTGACTTATTCTTGCTCTAGTGTCTTACTCTTGCTTCCTCTCACATGGATTGAGAGTGACCTCTAGCTTTGACTAGTGCTTGTACTATTTCTTTATGTTGTGGCAATTTTATTTGTTAGTTTTCAGAGTGATTTATCGTCTCATCTCAGAGTGTTTGAACTTATATTATTTCTAGAACAAATACCATGTCATACTGATGTAAATTTCTTAGATATTTGCGACTTATAGATATTATGTTTGTTATTAGGAGATGTCTGTTCAAATTATAGATTATTTTAACGTATTTATCTAGTGGTGCTGATACTCGTGAGTAAAATAGATTAATATGAATTATATGAAATAGGTTGGGCTCTGTAGTCAGACTGCCCGAGTTCAAACTTTGACCTAATGCTTGTTAACTGTGTTACCTTAAGCAAGATAATTTATCTCTCTAATTCTTAAGCTTTCTTATCTGTTAAACAACCCAGGCTGGGTGCGGTGGCTCACACCTGTAATCTCAGCACTTTGGGAGGCCGAGGCAGGTGGATCACAAGGTCAGGAGTTCAAGACAAGCCTGACAAACATGGTGAAACCCCGTCTCTAAATACAAAATTAGCTGGGCATGGTGGCATGTGCTTGTAATCCCAGCTACTCAGGAGGCTGAGGCAGGAGAATCACTTGAACCTGGGAGACAGAGGTTGCAGTGAGCCAAGATCGCGCCACTGCACTCCAGCCTGGGTAACAGCAAGACTCTGTCTCAAAAACAAAACAAAAACAAAAAACCCCAGTTAATAATAGTACCTTTTTCATAAGGTTTTTAATGAAGACAAGTAAGATATAGTTCAGAGTCCTAAGCAAAATCCCTGCTCCATAGGAGGCACCATAAATGTTTGTTATGATGATGATAATGAGGAGGAAGATATTTACATCTGCTATTAAGAGGATATTCATTTTGAGTGGTACCTCTCCTCCAGTTTCTCAGCCATTCAGACTGACTTGCCCTATTTTGTGAACAAAGGCAGATTAGCATTAAAGGTATAGTCATTGGTCAAGAAACAGAACTGATGGGCCAGGTGTGGTTGCACACACTTGTAATCTCAGCACTGTGGGAGGCCAAGGTGGATGGATTACTTGAGCCCAGGAGTTCAAGACCAGCTTGGGCATCTGAGACCAGCCTGAGCAACATGACAAGATCCTGTATCTATAAAAAATACAAGAATTAGCTGGGTGTGGTAGCATGCCCTTGTAGTTCCAGCTACTCTGGAGGCTGAGGTGGGAGGATTACTTGGGCCTGGGTGGTTGAGGCTACAGTGAGCCATGATCATGCCACTGCACTCCAGCCTGGGAAACAGAGTGAGACCCTGTCTGTCTGTCTGTCTCTCTCTCTCTCTCTCTCTCTCTCTCACACACACACACACACACACACACACACAAAGAAGAAACAGAACTGATGGCAGGTCTAGATTGGCTCTGGCATAGGGCAAGCCTATCTAGTTTTCTTGAAGGCCAAACTTGAGACTAGGACTTCATCAGCTCATGTTCCAGCCAAGTGAGCTAAGAAGGTGGTGTACTGCTATCCTTCCAAATCCATGTGTTGGGTGGTAAGAGTCAGTTTTATTCAAAAAATGGAAGACCCAGAGAAACATTAGTTTTCTATTTTTTTAAATAAAGTTGCAGTAAATTTTAATATCGTTTCAGCGCCAAAAGAAAAATACCCTTAGGATTCAATTGTTTAAAAAAAAAAGAAAAAGAAAAAAATCACCAATTCTGGCTTACAGAGGCCACAGGTTTGATGGTGGAGTTGTGGTTGAGCATGAACAGCTGAATAACCCCAGGGGTGGGTGGCAGCCCTCAAGCCTGTCCTTTGGGTTGGAATTCCCTTTCTTTTCCATGTGTGGTAAGGACAGAAACACAGGCCTGCACCAGATGAAGAATGTTACCTTTTGTTGAGGGAATAATTTTTTTTTCTGCCAGAGATGGCTGACATGACACTAATTCCTATCATCTCTGATACAAATGTCAGAAATGAAAGCACTAAAAGGCTTCAGAAGTACTTGTTCTAGAAGTCACATTCATTTTAGGACAATCAGAAAAACAGTGGAACTAAATGTATTCTGATTCACACTATGACCTATCTTGTGCCACCTGTTTAAAATGTGACTAATTCAGTCAAACATATCAATTATGCCCTAGTAAATTCTCATTTCAATCAAATATGGATAATTTGCTCAAATGTAAAAGGACTTCACAGGGAAAGAAATCAGTGCAGAGTTTAATGTGGTCTAGTCCTATCCTAGCATTGTGAGGCAGTGCTGAACAGTGCCTGGTATAGCTTCTAAACCCAGTAAGTGCTAAATCTTTTTTTTTTCCCCCATCAAGAGAAGTAGAATAGTGTAAGAGATGCTAGCATTTAACCCACCTATTCTCCTTCTGTAACTTAGTAATACAGGTAGGCAGGTGATATTCAATCAACCCACCAACAGGTCTATGCAGCATCCCATAGGTATATGCCGCATGTTCGACATTGTAGTGGATAATATGAAAGAAAAGAAGACTCTAAGCCATCAATGTTACTTGTACTGTAGTTGAGGGGAAATGACCAAAATCCTGTAAAATAACCACGAGCAATATAAAACCGTGTAAAAAGGGCTACAGTGTGGTCCTGGGGTTTAAAAGAGAGGCTGACTTCATCCAAGGAAGCTGCAGTTATCAGCCAAGGTTTCTCAATCAGCTCTGTTATAGGCTGCTGCAACAGAATACCTTAGACTGGGTGGCTTAAACAATAGCCTTTTTTTCCCCTCACATTTCTGGAAGCTGGAATTCTGAGATCAGGGTACCAGCTTGGTGGGTTCTTGGTGAAGGCCCTCTCCCTGGTTTATAGATGCTGTCTCCTTGTTGCATCCTCACATGGTGCTGAAAGAGATAAGAAAAGCTCTCTCCTGTCTCTCCTTGTAAGGGCGCTTACAAGGGCTCCACGCTTATGAGTTAATTACCTCTTAAAGATGCCATCTTTAAATACCATCACAATGAGGGTTAGGATTTCAACATGAATTCTGGTGGGGGATACACATTCATTCTATAGCACAAGGCTTCATGCAGTAATATGGGATTGGGCTGGGCTGGGCTTAAAGGAATGGATAGGAGTGTGCAAACTGAGAGGCCGGGAGAGGAGGAAGAGTCTTCCAAGACTGGGAATCCTGTGAACTTTTACCTGATGCCAGCTCATGTTCAGCTATGTGGGGGTGGAAGTATGTGGAAACCTCTTTCCCTCTCACAGCATCTCTCTGCTATGACAAAACTTCAAAGGATTATTTTAGGAGTCTCTAGGAGGATTAAAAATGGGGAAGGTTGGAGTGCTGTGTTCCCAACTTCCATTGGACACAAAACTGGGGGTCCCAGTAAAAACCCAAGCCAGTGAGCACAGAGCACCCAGAGGGCACAATGCTGTACCCTCTTAATCAGCATTGTAGAACAGCTAAACAGGGGTGAATTGCTGTTGAATTTAAGGAAAGTGTTATCAAACCTAGGAGAATCCCTCCCCCCAACCCTTTCCCCATCCGTTGCACTCTGGGAATCCATGTAACTCAGGATAAAACATTTTGCTTTATTTTTCATTTGCCACATGCATATCTTGACTGTTTACACGGTTATCATTCAATGTAGATACACAATTAATTGCTAAGAAAGAAATTAAATGCATTGTCAATGAATTTATTTTATTTACTTCATTCCAATAAGAAAAGCCACCATTCTTGAGGGGCTCACGGTTCTTTTCCATTTTCCTAACCCTTGAGTATACAGGGAGTAATCATACCTACACTGTCTCAGTTTCAAAAGGTGGTCGTAGATCTCAGCAAGGTAAAAATTTGAGATTTGACAATATTCCAAGTGTAAAGGGTTTTGATTTGGAAATAAATTCTGTATTGAAAATGGCATAAATGATTATTTTTCTTCTTTATGCTGCAGCACTTTAACTTGTAATTTCTACCCTGGTTAACCCCACCTATTTAAATGAGAGCTCAATGTGAGATCTTTTGTTGCCTTTGAAACCACTGGATAGAATTTTAAATCCTTGGATATTTTTCCTCTGCCTGAGAAAGGAAGATACAGGAAATTTCATTTTTTAGTTTGGATAGCTTTATTTCATTTATATTCATGTAGCCCAGGCATCTAGTGAGTTTTGCTGGTGTATAAATTAATATTTACAGGTAAAACCTTGCTGAAAATAAAATAGATTAAGTGGAGAATGTTTTTCCCACAGCTTTCGTCTCTAACAAAAATGAAAAAACCCAGCACCACTCCTTTACCGAATGCCCCATCTGTCAGCTCCTTGCTGCTCTGAGCCAACATCCTCTCGGGATTGTTTGGGGCCAAGGGTCTGCATGTGGAGCAGGGTGGGTTTAGCACATGCTGGGAGAATAGGGATTTTAATTAAGACTTATATTTACCCTTAAATATTTCTGTGAATTATGGAGAACTCAAATTAAAACCTGTATCTTTGGACTGAAGTTACAGTAAAATTTCAGCCTCTGCTGATCAGTGGTATGCATAGTATGTGATAAATTTTTTCAGATATTAAATCACTGATCTAAAATATTGTAGTGGTATAGGATTGATGAATAAATATTATTTTAACACCTTATTTTTAAAAAATGTTATGATGTTTAAATTAATAGCGTTAATATTTCATTCCAGTAAAGTGGTACAAGTTTAGATTTTGAAGTAAAATATCTGCATGATAAGAATTCCCTCAAAGAATCTATGCCCATCTAGAAAATGGTTCTTATGAAAGAAGACAGTTTTGCATTGTACTTTGTTTTAAACAACCTAGAATGAAGTTCTAGTAGTAGAGTTCCATGGTTTTCAAATAAAATGGATAATACCCTATGATTCATGGATATTGGACATTTTAAAGATGTTTTAGGAAGCTTGGCACTAAATAGTTTTTTTTTTAAGTGATTATTTTTCCTAATTCTCCAAATGCCTGGAATCATGAAACCTTAGAATTGGAAGAGACTTTTGAGGTTTTCTTCTATAGCCTCTCATCCAAACCAAAGTCTATTCAAGTAAGACCCTTGATAGGTGGTGATTCAATGCTGTCTTTGTTCTTCGATTTGAGTTAAACATCTCTCTGCTCAATTCTCCTGTCTTGTGCATCTCTTTTTCATGAGACAGTCCTTCAGGTGTTTGAAGACCCCGTTCTTCCTGAGCCTTCAGTTCTCCAGGCTAAACATCACCTGCTCCCTGTAACAGAAACAGTGCAAGAGGTAATGTTTATTGACAGCTTCCCATATGCCAGGCACTATGCTAAACATGTAACACGCCTGATCTTATTGGATCCTTACAACAATTCTGTCAGATAGGTATGGTTTTCAGATGAGGAACTGAGGCTTATCTAAGGTTACATGGAAAGTAAGTGGGCATGTGATATTCAAACCTATGTGTCTGATGGACTCAAAAGTCCATGCTTTCAACCATTGCTTTTTACTGCCTTTTAGATGGTATGTTTTCAAATTATTTCTGTATGGTTTCCTTTCTCTAAACACAGTCCTGCTGTTAGTTTAACCCCATTCTAAGTTAAAATAATTTTTCCTTGCTATTCTAAAAGACTGCCTTTGAGCAGGAAAATTAAGCCTTTTAATGCAGAAGACTTCAGCTCTGTAAGCCTCATACTCTCCGTATATCGCTGGCTAGAATGGCAGATGGGCTGGCCAGCACACCCATGGTGGGCAGTGGCCTCAGTACAAGGATGGAGTCTGACTGCCTGTGACCCCATGTATCTTCCCTGCTGCCGGAATGATCACATGGCTTCCAGAAACGTTGTGTTCCTTTAGCAGCATTGATGGGAGCTTCCTATTGTTCCAGATGTTTTCTGAGGAGGATACTGGATAAGAGTTTGTATTATTACAGATGGTCAGAGCAGTTTATGTATCAGGAAGTTTTCCATGGAAGGAAGAATATATCCAAAATTCTATTTTGAAGCTGATGGCAGGATGTGGTGAACTTATTTGGATGTTAGGGAAACACCGTAAACACCAAAATAAATACTTGTGGTTTGCGCTTACTCCTTTCCCAAACTAAAATAGGACCTGTGACAGCATTTCCTGAACACATGAGATCAAGCTCTAGATCAAATGATGAGTTGATAAAATGAACATATTTATATTAAGCTTTTCATTTGCTTCTCGTTTCCATGTCTAGAATCTAGAGTCTAGAATGGTTGGATGGATGTATTAGGACCAGGGTGTGTATGATATTATTTATGTCCGAAGAACAAACTACTCATTTTCACCTCTGTGGGGAGAGACTGGAGTTCTAACCATGTCTCCTGTACCTTGGCAGAGGAAGAGTATTGGGTTCTTTCAGCCACTTTTTTGGGGGTGGACTTGGTCGGCAGCCCGACTTATCCATCCTTGTCCCAGTTTCAGAGCCTCCCAGTGGCGCTGCTGAGTTTTCTCCCATCACTACAGAGTCCGCCTCCTTCCTCTGTTAACCCTTGCGATTCCTTTCCGAGGCTCCTTTAACCTAAACTTAATGTATTTGACTCTACCTTTACTTTGAAAACACTTTTGATCTTTTTTAGAGTTCCTCTAAGTTTTCCTATTAGATAAAAACAGCTTTTTATACCTTTTGTTTCCATGGTAATGAATTCCAGGACTGCTTTAGAAAACCACTAGCTTTGTGTGCCAGTGGAAAGTTGCAGCATTATGTACTAATACAATAAACATCAGCCCACCCGTAGGAGGCGTGCAAGCCGGTAGAAACACTGTAGCACCACAGTCATGAAATGATGTGAGCATATTATTTTTTACTGCAAAAAGCAGAATTTGGAACATGAGCCCTGCATTGCAGGCAAATGGTTTGGGAGCTCTAGCATGAATTCTAGTGTTCACTAATCAGCTCAAGACAGAAAGAGCCAAATTAACTTGAGGCGTTAATTTTCAAATTTAACGTTATATTGAAACCATGGAACCCCATTTCCAATTTTTTTGCAACCTTCCTGAGTTTTTACAAGTGCCAGTTCTGCTCTTAGGAAGTCCTAGGTGGGAGAGGCTTCCTTGGGCAATTTACTTTTTGGTGTAAGGAAGATTGTTTCCAAAAAATTCAGGGAAATCTTCCTGGTTTTGTCTGCAAATATACCTCTTAAGAATCTCAGGTACAGATCAGAACTCAACAGAAAAATCTATTAGAGTTGGCTAAAGACAGGGCAAACATAAAAAGTAGATTTCCTGGGAAAAAATCGAAATATTTTTATAAAAGGCTATAGGTTTTTGAATACGTGCAAGGAGAAGGAATAATTGGAATCTGTTTTTTGTCAACCCTGACTCTGCCCTCTACAGCCTTCTCTTTGTTATATCATGGGCTGGGGGAGTGAGAAGCAAGAGAAAAGGCAGAAAGAACATGAGAGGTTGGAAAGAAAGGTTAGAGGTGTGTGCTAAGTTGATTGTGCTAATTTGAAAAGAGACAATGAATCAAAGCTCCTTTTTTCCTATTGTAGATTTTAATATTTAAAGTTACCAGTGCCACTACTGATTATATTAAGATGCTTTTATGTTGATCTGATTAAAATTACATTTGAAATAATGAATGACATGTAATGTACAAATACCCTTATATTTGGAATAATGAATGACGTGTACAAATACCTTCCCAGATATATGTATTTTTTAAAGTGTAAACATTATCAACAAGTGTAATGAAAGTTTTTAGAAGCATTCTTCTAGGAGGTACAAAGTTAAGGGTCTAGAAACACAGCAGCACACGGTTTACTACAAGACTGTGGGGCTATCTTCTTGCCTGGAAGGATTCAGGACTCCTGTCCCTAATAAAATTAAAGGGAGGTTCTCTGGAACTTAGTATCTGTTTTGTCTTAGTATTTCTAAGTCAGAAAATGCCTATTATAAAATATCTATATAATATATAGTATATATATTATAAATATATAATCTATCTATTATAAAATAGATATTATATCTATCTATAGGTAGAGTTTACCAACGCTGACTGATTTGTACCCAGCTCATTTAAGCGTTTGGGGCACTGCTCCAAATTGTTGCGTTTCTTTCTTCCCCCTGACCTAGCTGCATCAGATCATTCTCAAAGACACCTTAGTTCCATTTTTTTTTTTTTTCCAGCAGATAGGTTGCACACAAAGCATAGCTTTTGGCTTTTTGTAAACAGAGTGCAAATGTACTGTTCTCCCCCAGGAGGGAAACTCCACCATGCTGAAGGTGAGCTGAGACCCTGAGCCTTGACAAGGAGCCACTTTGGGTGTGCTGGCAGGTCAGCCTGCGGGCTTTGAGAAGAGCCTTCCATAAGCACCAGGGCACACATTCACCAATGCAAGGCAAAGCTCTGTGGAAAAGCCTGGTGGGTTCATCCCTGTCCCACCCTAGATGTACCCCCAGAACAGCAGAAATGACTGTGCTCCCCACCTTGTGAAAAGGGTCTAGTTTTAAAGTGACCCTGGCAGAAGGAGGGGCAGATGCCTCCATTCCTCCTCTTCAGTTTCTCCTTGGACCTTTTCCTGCTGTTCTGTGGGTTCTTTGAGCATTTTATAGAATCCAATTTTGATTTATCTATATTGCTTTAGAGTGTATCTTTTGACATGGCTTTTTAAACATGTAGACATACATGATTTATCATTGCCTACTATTATTGTCATTTTATTAGGTCCAGCGAAGTATAGAAACCTAGACATGGGCCAGGCACAGGGGCTCACACCTGCAATCCCAGCACTTTAGGAGGCCAAGGCGGGCAGATTGCTTGAGTTCAGGAATTCAGACCAGCCTAGGCAACATGGCAAGACCTTGTTGCTACAAAAAAGTAAAAGAAAAAGAAAATTACCTCCCTTTACCCTTCCAATTATATGATTGTCTTATTTCTTTTGCATACCTTGAGAACTGCATTAGACAGTGTTATGATTTTTTAATCATCAACTGAATCTAGAAAACTCAAGAGGAGAAGCAAAGCAAACTCGATTGTATTTATATATATTTTTGCCATGTTTTTTTCTTCCTTCCTGATGTTCTGAGACATTCTTTCTTTTATCTTTTCCTTTTTGTTTAGAGAACTTCCTTTAGTCATTATTTTAGGGCAGGTCTCCTGGTGACAAATCCTCTTAGTTTTTCTTCATCTGAGAATGTCATCCCTGAAGAATATTTTCTCTGGATATAGAATTTTGGATTGATAGTTCTTTCTTTCAGCACTTAAAAAATGTTGCACTGCTTCCTACTGGCCTCCTTGGTTTATTTTGCGAAATCCTCTGTCATTCAAATTGTTCTTCCCCTATGGCTTCATGCATCATTTCTCTCTGGCTACTGTCAAGGCTTTTTCCTTTGTCTTTTTGTGGGACTGTGATGCATCTTGGTGTGGATTTCTTTGGGTTTATCCCATTTGGTGCTCAGATTCTTGATTCTGTCTTTTGCCAACTTTGGAAAGTTTTTAGCCATTATTTCTTCAAATGCTTTTCTAGCCCTACCCTCTTTTTCCTCTCCTTCTGGGAGTCAGATGACCTACCTTTAACATCTTTTTTTTGTAGTTCAACACGTCTCTGAGGCTTAGTTCATTTTTTTCCCCAGCCTAATTTATTTTGATTGTTTATGGGTAATTGTTTTATCTGTAAGTTCACAGATTTTTTTTGGCCTCTGTTCTCTTTATTCTGCTATTGAACCCATCCATTGAGTTTTTTTTTTTTTTTTTACATTTCATTTATAATATATTTCAGTCCCAAAGTTTCTACTTGGTTCTTCTATCTTCTGTTTCTTTGCTGATACTTCTCATTACTTTGCTAGTTCTTTGTAGTTTTTTGTTTCAAGAACATTTATAGTTGCTCTTTGAAACCCATATCCATCTGGCTGCCAGGAGGAGGAGTCCTGTTATGGTTCTCCATGTGACCTCCACTCCCACGGTTGGAATGGCTTCATTACTGCTGAGTGGTGGCGGGTAAGACCTGATTCTCCACCAGCCTCCTCTGACACCTTTGCAGCCACATTGCCACCTAGCAGAGATGAAAGGCCAGCCTCCACACTCAGCCTCTCAGAAACTATCCTGGTGGAGGTGTTGGGGCTCCTCACTACTGTCTAGGTTCCCCACTAGGTCTTTGCTTGTATGGGTGGGTCCACAGTTTTGTGTGTGTGTGTGTGTGTGTGTGTGTGTGTGTGTGTGTGTGTGCGTGTGTGTGTGTGGTGTGTTTCGAGTAGAGTGGTTATTATCTAAAAGTTTTCATTTTTTTCTTCAATCTAAAAGAAGCTAGGCTGCCCCTTTCCTGGTTCTTTGGACAAAGAGAGGAGCTTTTTTTGCTTATTTGTTTTTGGTCTATGTGTATTGGTGTTTCCAGGTTGCTGGCTTTTCAGGTATAGATGAGGAAATACATGAGGGAAAAAGAAAATTCAGGAACTCGTTGCCATGTCATTCCCTGGGTCCTGAGGTCCTTAACCCACTTGGCAGCTCCCCACCTTTCGGTGTCTTCTTATGCTTGTTTTAGATCTAATGCTCAGTTTTTAGCTAGACTTATGGGAGAAACAGGGAAGAGAACATTTACTCTGCCTTCCTGTCAAAGCCCCTCTTGATCCTTACATTTGTCTACACCAGATGCTCTTCTTCTTGTTCCTCTCTCAAGGTCAGAGAACAGGGTGTACTTTTGAGAACGTCCATTAATTCTTGTACGAAGCTTAGCTTGGAACAGGAACTGCTGCAGGGTAGAACCAGTCTCAAGCACTGGAGAACAGGAGGTAGAGGTGGTGAAGTGGCCCAGTCACTTGCTTTGTGGGTAGACAGACCTGGGTTCAAATCCTGTTTCTACCATGTATTTGTTGCTTAACCTTGATCAAGTTATTTAACTTCTCTGACCAGTATTGTCCCCACCTGTTGCAAGGATTAGAAGGGACATATTTCTGGTGCCTGGAACATATTGGGCACTATACATGAATAGCCATTATTGTTACAAAGCAGGTTATAAGTTCTCCGGATATTTTGTCAATAATCTGATCTCTGCTGTGAAAGAAACCAGTGCAAACTCATTTTCTAGGATGCTGTTTTATGTAAACAAGTCATAGTTAAATAATTACTCCAGAGTGACAAACCTTTTTAATTTTGTATCCAGATAAGAACATCAGTTAGAACATGTAGCAAGAACAGTGATTCCTCTGAGAAAGTAGGGTAGAGTATCTTCAAAAGCAATGGGTGGCTTGTTGGTGATTTATGTTTTGAGACAGGGTATTACCCTGTCACCCAGGCTGGAGTGCAGTAACGTGATCTCAGCTCCCCACAGTCTCCGCCTCCCGGTTCCAAGGGATTCTCATGCCTCAGCCTCCTGAATAGTTGGGGCCATAGGTATGTGCCACCACGCCCAGCTACTTTTTATATATTTTTTGCAAAGATGGGATTTTGCCACATTGGCCAGGCTGGCCTTGAACTCCTGGCCTCAAGTGATCCACCTGCCTTGGCCTCCCAAAGTGCTGGGATTACTGGCATGAGCCACTGCATGTTGGTGATGTTAATGCTGTAATGAAAACCCTCATTCTCTGTTTAAGAGATTTCACCATTTAAGAAGCAAATTAAGGGACACTGTGGGGGCATTTCTCTGCTCCCTAAGGAGCACCGAAGACTAAATATTTTAGGGAGTGTTATGCTGCTGATGACCTCAGCTTGATGATTCACTGACTTCAGAGTTTCTTTCAGATCCTAACTACAAGTCAGGTGAGAGCTTGAGAGGGCAGGAGGGAGGGACTTGGTGCTTCTCTCAGGAGGAAGAGTGGACTTCTAGGCTGGAAGGGACAAGGGATATTCCTGACTGAGGGACTGGATTGAATGTTGATGGGCTCTGGATAAAGATTGTCATGGAGGCCATTTGAGCACTGTGGGGCCTGGACCAGTATACTTGCTTGGAATGCTCAGAGAGAACCCCAGTGTCAGGTTAGATTCCCTAGAAGCAGAGCTGAATATAAGAGAATCTTAGCAAAATGAGTTATTAACGAGCATTCTCAGGAGAAAGGATGCACTTTCAGGTGAGGCCCATTCTGAGCCTGATCCTGTGGATGCTCTGAAGCATCAATCATAGCAGGGTGTGTTCTTCCTTGAGGCAGGAAAGTAGGAATTTTGTATCTTTGCATCAACCAGTCTTGAGCTACGGGCAACCTGGTCCTAAGTGATAATTCCCGGGCATACTTGGGCAAGGTGGCTATATCACCCAAGAGTGGTTCTCTCGAGAAGATTAGAGGTGTGAGGTTAGCAGTAGCACTGGTGACAGGTGGAAAAGGAATACTGGGCAGGGCTCAACGGGGTCTACAGCCCCAGGCTTCATCGGTGGTACCATGTGAAAACCACTGGCCTGGGTAACAGGAGGCTTGGCTTGTACTCCTTAATTTTCTTTATGACCTTGAGCAAGTCATTCAGCCTCTCTGCCTTACATGTAAATGACAAGATTGGCATAGGTAGACTTTTAAGGCCTGTTTGACTCAGGTGAGTTGATTGAGAACACTTGATTTAGTAAGAGCAGGGCTTCCTGGCCTATGGTTGGACAATAGGAACCTTCAAGAAGAGCAAAACAGGGAAGTATGAAGTTACTGCTGCATGGCTAGTGGCCCAGGCAGGTGACTTTGGGGACTTGGAAGTGAAGAGGCTTCCTTACCTTGGGGGCTAGGGACCAGAATTATACCTGCATGGGCCAAGGGTGGAAGGGCTGCATGGCTTGGTGACCAAGGGGACAAGAAGGAAGACCATGTGAAGGACTGAGCCTAGAAAGCAGATTCTGGGAGGAGCCAAGCTTGCCTCAGTGGTTACAATGGGATTTACTCTGGTAAGAAGTTTGACTAAATATGTTCAGCGGCTGGGGCACAGTGGCTGACACCTGTAATCCCAGCTACTTGGGAGGCCAAGATAGGGGGAGTACTTGAGCCCAGGAGTTTGAGACCAGCCTGGGCAACATACTGAGACATTGTTTCTACAATTTTTTTTTTTTAAAATTAGCTGGACATGGTGGCATGCACCTATAGTCCCAGCTACTTGGGAGACTGAGATGGGAGGATCATTTGGGCCTGGGAGGTAGAGGCTATAGTGAGCCATGATTGCACCACTGCACTCCAGCTTGGGCAACAGAGTAAGACCCTGTCTCAAAATAAATAAATAAAACATTAAAAGAATGTGTTCAGCATCTGAACTTCAGCTTTTTGTATTCTGTCAACATTTTTTCTTGATTTTCATTCCATTCTTCATTAGATGGAAGGCTTATTAAAGATCCTTTTTTTGTAATTTGGTAATGTTATTAGTAATATTTTAAGATAATTCCTTGACTTGATAGTTCTTTTACTGCAGCTTTTGCCCTGGTCAGTGGAGGAGGCATATGATATTGTATTTTCATATATGTCCATGTGCTGGAACTGGACAGCTCTGGGGGCTAGTGAGAAAAGATAAAGTTGGGAAGACCTTAGCGATGTCAGTCCTGGAGCTGTTCGAAGTTAGTGGAGCTCCTCCCTCTACTGCAGACAGTTTCCTTCTCTAGGATAGGGTTTCTGATGAGAATATTTCATTGTTCTCTAACACAAGTAGTCAATGTTTTGCTCAGTTTCTCTTGCTGAAATAATGGTATAGATTCAGTAGGTTGGGGCGGTAGGAAGATTCCAGTTTGGTGCAGCAAAAGGAAAGTCTTACCAAGGAGTGAGGTGCTTGTTTGCTGGCTCCTGCAAAGTTCAGGTATTGCTGAGTGGGTAGATCTTTTAAGAGGAGGAGTCTGTTTGCTCCCAGGTCAGCAGATCCGTGGTGGTCTGCTGGGGCTTGTGCCCCTCAGATGCCTTGTCTCCCCTGGGTGGAGCTTTTGGGGTGGGTATAGTGGTTCATGGGTACATCGCTGAATTTGCATAAGGCTAGCATGGCAATGGACTCTCAAAATATCTGTGGTCATAAATAGGAACTTACTTAAAATTTTAGGCCTGGGCAGGAACATCACTTGAGGCCAGGAGTTTGAGAACAGTCTGGGCAGCATTGTGAGACCCCCACCTCTACAAAAAAATAATTAGCTGGGTTTGGTGGTGCATTCCTGTAGTTCAGTTGATCAGGAGGTTGAGGTGGGAGGACCACTGGAACAGGATTTCGAATCTACAGTGAGCTAGGATCATGCCACTGTACTCCAGCCTGGATGACAGAGTGAGACCCTGTCTCAAAAATAAAAGAATAAAATATTATGCATTACTCTAAAACTAGTTTTATTTACAACGAAAAAGTAATTTTAAGTACCTCCTTAGAAGATTTAGTAAAAATATGACCTATGGAATAATTTCTGTCATGAAAGACAAAAGTTCTTTACTATATTTCTATCTTGAGGTAACTATTGCTGTATTTCAGTCTTGAGGTAACAGCTGACATTCTCAGGATGTGGCTTCCTTCCTTGGCTGAGATGTCACCTGGACAGATACAGATATCACCATTTGCTACTAATGATGATTGATGTTGTAAAAAAAAAAAGTTCTTCTATGTCAAGAGGGCACTTGGAAAGCAGGCCATAAAGAGCAGTTCTCACCATCGGAAAGCATTTGTTATCACTCATGCTTTTATGTGGCAAACACATTGCAGTTCTTGGCATAATGAGAGGCAGGTTTCAGGAGTTACTGCTGCAACCAACTCTTACCTGCCAAACTATAAAGACAAACTATTTTGAGGATTAAAGGATGGGATCCCTTTGTGCTTTGTGGAAGCAGAGCTGAAAGGTTCATAATGACAGACAGAACCATTAGGAGGCATGAAAGAAAAAGAAGCAGCAAGGCTGAAAGTGTTGTGTGCTAGAAAGGAGTTGATGCCCTTTGAACATTCAAGTTCAAATAATGTGCCATACTTTATCTCCAAAGACAACACTACTGACCCACTGTCAGTAGACCATGGGCTGTGGGTTGCTTTCCAGCAGAGAGGATGGATTTTCTTCAGTTCCGTCTACTCATGCTTGACAGAGATTTCCTTTGGGACAAGTACCACGCCCCAAGGAGCCCAAGCCTGGAGAAAGGGAGGCTGGATCATCATGGCTGACGCTCACTATGCACCAGGTTCCCTTCTCAGCATTTTACTCAGTTGTCCTTCACAACCAAGCACCCTATGAAGTAGCAATGCTTATTATCCTCACCTTACATTGAGGAAACTGAGGCTGAAGGAGGCAAAATAACTTGCCCAAGGCCACACAGCTAGTAAATGGTACAGCTGGGATTTGAACTCATCAAGTCCGATGCTAGAGCTGAATGAGGCTCTTAAGCATTGTACCCTGCTGTAGTGTAGTTAGCAGTTGGAAACATGGATGCTGGAGTCCAAAGAACATGGATTCAAATCCTCATTCCCCAGCTGGTTGCTATGTGAACCTGGGCAAGTGATTCAACACTGTTGGGGCAAGAAAGGAAGTCAGAAGCCTGGGACAAATCACGACACATAAGAAGCACTCAATGCATGCTGGCCACTGTTAGTGTTTTGGTTATTGTTTTGTTTTTATCCTGGAACAGAGCGAAGCTAAGAGGTAGTGGTTCTCTCCTTGAGGGTGAATAAGAAAGAATTAACTGGGCATTACCAATGTTGACAATGTGGATTTCTGGGCCCCACTCATGAGAGATGCTAATTCAGTGGCTCTGGGGGGTTGGATGGTAAATGGTTGGACCCAGTCACCTGCATTCTAAAGAAGGGCTTTCAGTGATATGGAGCGGTGGACTTCAGACTGGCCAGAGGCGGCATGTGCAAGGCTTTGGAATTTACCAAAATTCAGAGCTTAATTTTATAATTGATTTGTTTAGCTATAACTGAGTGACAGAGTGGAACACTGATATTCTGTAGACTATCTCTTAATCATTAAAAAACAAAAACCAGCACAAAAGAAATCACCAAAAGGAATCAATATGTTTTACAGTTCCAGTACTGGCCAATTCAGAATGTGTGCTGGAGCAAACACGGGAGTATCTAACAGACCTGCAGAGATGGAAGGGATATGAGAGACCTACGAGCCACATCCTGGTTTTATAGCTGCTGAAGGTGGGGGCCCCCAGGGGTAGAATGACTCTCTTAGAAACCATATGATTAGTTAATGGGAAAGTCTGAAACAGGACTTTGATATTTGGCCACCTGGACATCTCTGGACAAGAGGCCAAAACTGGAACCCTTTGGGAAGTTCTGATTCCCTGAATTCAGGGTGATAGCATGAAGTAAGGAGGAATCTCACAGCTGCTTGTTGCTGCATGTGCTTTTTCTGTCTGGATGCTTTTTTCCACCATGCCTGCCAGTAACTTCCAGCTTTTCTTTAGGGTCTTTGGTAAGCTGCCTTTTCAAGGACAGTTTCCCTGCCTGTGTCCTTCACTTGCTCCCAACAGAGTTCATTATGTCCCCTTTCATCACTCCTGAACCTAACGGCATTTTTTGCACTTAGTTGATGTTTTTTGTTACTGTCACCTTTCCTCTGATGCACTTAGGTAGTACAAGTAGAGCCACCCTCCTATTTTGCATGCTTGCAGACATCACTGACCATTTATCCATTTATGTATTCATCCATATGTATACCACAGAGCACCCATTACATATGCCAGGTACATTTAGAGAATATAGAGAAAAGTAAAGAATAAATGAGAAAATATACAAATAACTTGATAATTTAAGATACTGATATGGACTGTGAAGAAAATTTAAAAAGGGTGATGTGACAGATAAATGATATGGTGGGAGAGATCCTTTTTACAGGGTCTTTAGGGAAGGGCCCTCTCAAAGTGTGTCTCATTTAAGCTGAGACTCATGATGAGAAGTGGGACCCATGTAAAGAACTAAGAATATTCTAGGTGGGAGGAAGAATATGTGCAAAAGAGCTAAAGTGAGAATGAACTAGGCACCTTTGAAGAGCAGAAGGAAGCTAGTATGGATAGAATGGAGTGAACAAGAGGAAGACTGGGAGACAGGCAGGGCCACATCTGGGAGGACCTCCTTGTAGGCCACAGAGTTTGGATTACAACCTGGGAGTAATGGGAAGCTATTAGAGGTGCTTCAACAGGGAAATGGCATAGTGGGGTTTGTATTTTAACAGATGACTCACTAGTTTAGACTTGTCCTCAGCTTCTTCTTTTTTTTTTTTTGTTTTTTTTTTTTTTTTTGAGACGGAGTCTCGCTCTGTCGCCCAGGCTGGAGTGCAGTGGCGCGATCTTGGCTCACTGCAACCTCCGCCTGCTGGGTTCAAGAAATTCTCCTGCCTCAGCTTCCCAAGTAGCTGGGATTACAGGTGCATGCCACCATGCCCGGCTAATTTTTTGTATTTTTCGTAGAGACAGGGTTTCACTGTGCTGGCTGGAATGGTCTGAATCTCCTGACCTCGTGATCCTCCCGCCTCGGCCTCCCAAAGTGCTGAGATTACAGGCGTGAGCCACCATGCCTGGCCTCAGATTCTTAATACAATGCTCCAGGCAATCTCTACTTATTGATCAATTTGCACTTAAGGCAAGAAAATTTTTAGGCATTCTAGCTAAACTCTTTGAGGGCCAAGTTCCTGTTTTAATCACTTTTGTTTGCCTAGCACTTTGTACCTTGCAAAGAGCAGATTCTTGGTGAATATTTATTGTATGAATGAATGGTTTCTGCATTATTTGATCCTTTGGCATAACAAAGTGGCAAAGCTCTCTCTGCTAGGTGACTTTTTAGCAAGTCCACTGAATAGTAGGTGGTAGCATATTGTGAAAATGGATTGATTGACACCTCACCTCACCTCTGCTCATGTTAAACATTTTTTTTAGTTCTAGAAAATTCAGTTGTAATTAAGCTGGGAGGTAACAGAGTAGGACCTCTCCAAAGCCCTGAAATGACTGCCTCGCTAGCTTTTAAGCATCAGATAGAGAAGGCCTGTTGAACTTCTGCTTCTAGTATTATGAAGAATAGATATTTGGAGAAACTCTCCCAATTACAGACACTGAGAAATGCTGAATGTAATATAAAAAACAACCTTTTAAATATGTAGCTAAGCTCACAAAAATTGAATGTAAGTCTCTACAGAGGCAAAAATGGAGAGAGAGCTGACACCAGGGTGGTGAGTGAGGATCTAAGATATGGGCTGCCTTGGGAGTGTGTGCAGATAACAGAAACTGAAAGCTTCAGTTTTAATTGCCATACAACAGGGATGAGTAGGGAGGGGTGCATTGTGGAATGGGAGATGAGGACTTGGGCGCTGTTACAAGGTCAACGGAACTGATTAAGAGTCTGCAAAAGCCAGGAATCTTGAAGATCTACACCCTCAGTGAAAAGATGGACTAGAAAAATCCATTTGGCAAAGAAAAACTGCTATGAGAAATTGTTCTGGCCTTGGCTGGGGGTGGGGAAATGTCTCTGCTGAGAATTCTGAACTCATGAAGGTTTAGGGCTTAAACTCACATTATCCACATATGCCGTCCAGGAAACCTCAAGCAAAAGAATTGTTAAGATAATTCCAGTTTGAGAGAGACTCAGGATTCCAGCAGAATCGGAAGAGAATCAGCTTTGTAGGAATGTTCCCACAGCTGGGGCTCTTTAGAATTCTCACAGATTAAAATCAACCACATATGACTTCACAATGAAAAGTTTCCAGTTACACAGAGTAAACAAGCCATCAGTGGAAACAACAAACAGTAGAATTAGACTTCCCAAGAACTTGAATTTAAGAATTATCAGTCAGAATATAAATGAAATGTCCTAAAATGTTTCTAGAAATAAAAGATGGATTTGAAAACATGAGCAAAATGCTATTAAAAATGTCTAGGCAGAATTTGAAAAGGAAACAAAATGAAATTTTTGAAATAATTATATTCAAAACTGACAACTCAAAAAGGAAAAAAAAGGTTTTAACATCTGATATGGTTTGACTCTGTGTCCCTGCCCAAATCTCATCTCGAATTGTAATTCCCCACCTGTCAGGGGAGGGACCTGGTAGGAGGTAATTGGATCATGGGGGCAGATTTTCCCCATGCTGTTCTGTGATAGTGAGATCTCATGAGATCTGATGTTTAAAAGTGCGGCACTTCCTTCAACACGCTCCTTCTCCTGCCGCCATGTAAGACGTGACTTGCTTCTCTTTCGCCTTCTGCCATGATTGTAAGTTTCCTCAGGCCTCCCCAGCCACTTGGAACTGTGAGTCAATTAAACCTCTTTTCTTTATAAATTACCCTCTCTCAGGTCGTTCTTTATAGCAGTGTGAAAACAGACTAATACAACATCCAAATATTTTTCTGAAAATCACTGATTAGAGTTTGAGTTTGTTATACTGTTAAATTATATACAAAGTTTAAAAATCATAAGGATATACCATGATGAATTTCCATAAATTAATGTACTATGTAACCAGTATTCAGATCAAGGAACAGAACATTACCAGCATCTCATAAACCCCCTTTCTGTTCCCTTCATGTAATCTTTTACTCCAAGGTCAACTAGTATTACTCCAAGGTCAACCAGTATCCAAAAATAGGGGTGTGACTATTATGCAAGTATCCTGAATTCTTATACCATTTTAATTTTGCCTATTAAAAAGATTTTATTCATGGATTTATATACTATATAATCTTTTGTATATGACCTTTGTCTCTCAACATATGAAAAAGGATAAAAGAACTTCATATTTTTCCATATAGTTATACTTTTCTTATTTAATTTAGTATTCTATTGTGTGAATATGCCACATTCTACAGCTGTTGGGCATTTGGGTAATTTTCAGTTTTGGGCTATCGTTTTTTCCTGTTGGGTTTATTCCTAGGAGTAGAATTGCTGGTGACAGAGTATGCATGTATTCAGCATTAGTAGAAATTGCCTAATGGTTTCCAATATTTTTCTAAACCAGATGAAATCTTGTCTGGAAGTTCAGTAAACAAAACCATATTCAAAACATCAAAACAAAGTAAACATAAAACCTAATGTAATGGATGGATGGATTAACAACAGATTAGACCTAGTGAAGAAAGAATCAGTGATTTGGAAGATAAATATGAGATATTACCCAGAATGCAGCACAGGAAAAACAAAAGGATAGAAAAGGAGATTAAGAGATAAAGGATAAAATTAGAAGACCCAATTTATGTGTAATTGAAGAGAGCTCAGTAGAATGGAGTCAGGGAAAGAGAGCCTAAAATTAGCCAACTCAATATTATCCAATAATGTGAGCTACACACATAATTTAAAATTTTCTAGTGTATAATATGTATGTTTTTATTTAACCTGATATATGCAAAATATTTCAGCAGGCTGGTATGAAAATTATTGAGGTATTTTACATATGTCATACTAAGTCTTCAAAATCTAGTATATAATTTTGTACTTACAGCACATCTCAGTAGTTTAGGCTAGCCACATGTCAAGTGCTCAGAAGCCACATATGGCTAGTGGCTACCATAATAGTGCACATTTAAGGTGCACTATCTAAGGTGACATCTAAGGTGTATAAGGGAAGGTAAATTGAGTGAAGTTCCAGGCATTCGGAGAAGTGAGCCAGTTGAAGTAAGAGGACTGTGTCATGACAGTGGGAGGAATGTGGATAAGTGTATCACCGTAGAGACAGCACTGGGCTTTGGGTTTACACACATTCATATCCCTCGGTACAATTATTATACCCTTCAACATCCAGTGAGTTGCAGAATTACAGCTGTTGAGTAGTTCAGAACAATACCAAACAATAGCTTAGTACAAGAAGAGAAATCTATCTGTTGAATTTACAGAGGAGATTCAGGACCTCAGAATTTAATTGGCCTCATGCAAATTTGACCAGAAGCCTAAAGTGAACATGTGTGACATTTACGTCAAAGATCACTGTGTGTATTAATAGAAGCAGGCTGGTTGGAAGTGGTTTTCCTTTCTTTGGCTATAAGGATATGAAAACTTAACAATGAATACAAGTAGATTGTTACTTTGGTTTTTATGTCTCAGTTAAAAAATAACACCATGTCGGCCGGGCGCGGTGGCTCACGCCTGTAATCCCAGCACTTTGGGAGGCCGAGGCGGGCGGATCACGAGGTCAGGAGATCGAGACCATCCCGGCTAAAACGGTGAAACCCCGTCTCTACTAAAAATACAAAAAATTAGCCGGACGTAGTGGCGGGCGCCTGTAGTCCCAGCTACTTGGGAGGCTGAGGCAGGAGAATGGCGTGAACCCGGGAGGCGGAGCTTGCAGTGAGCCGAGATCCCGCCACTGCACTCCAGCCTGGGCGACAGAGCGAGACTCCGTCTCAAAAAAAAAAAAAAAAAAAAAAAAATAACACCATGTCCTAGTGTGCTCATATAGCACAAAAGCTGTATTATCAGGCTGTAGATCAAATACCGTATGAACTTGACCCAAATAACCTCAGACTTCCTGCGAAATTCTATGTCTGTCTTAGATACGTGACTGTAGTCAGTTGATTCATTTTCTTTGACAGCTCAAAAACAGCGAAGCAGGGCACTTGGAATCTCTGTCTAGCCTCAGCTGTTTGAAAAATAGTAATAGAATTGAAAATATATTTCTGTCCTTAAAAACACCTCTAAAGTGCTGTATTTGTGTAATGATAACACTTTTTATGCTGGCTCTGCCGGTCCAAAAATAGGGGTGTGACTATTATGTAAGGGAGATCATTATGTAAGGTTGTGACCTTTATAATGGAACAATTCTTATTCCCATACTCTAAGCATGAAACTCAGCCAAATAAATGCTGCCATTATGTTTGATTATGGGGTAATAGTGAAATTATTAGTTTAATCCAATTATCCCAAATACTGAAGTATAGGGTTGTGTTAGTCTGTTCCCGTTGCTATAACAAAACACCTTAGACCGAGTAATTTGTAAATGATAGAAAATTATTTCTCAGTTTTTGAGATTGGTAAGTCCAGGATCAAGGTGCCAACAGATTTGGTGTGTGGTAAAGACTTGCCCTCTGCTCCACAGATGGTGTCTGGTTGCTGCATCTTCACAGGGTGGAAGGAGCCAAAGCGGGGGTAAACTTGTTCCCTCAACCCATTTAAAAGGGCAGTAATCCCAGCCATGAAGGTGGGGCCTCCCAGAGTCCTCACCTCTTAATAACATCACCCTGGGGGTTAAGTTCTGTGATGGTTAATACTGAGTGTCAACTTGATTGAAGGATGTAAAGTATTGTTCCTTGGTGTATCTGTGAGGGTGTTGCCAAAGGAGATTAACATTTGAGTCAGTGGACTGGGAGAGGCAGACCCACCCTCCATCTGTGTGGGCATAATCTAATCAGCTGCCAGCACAGCTAGAATAAAGCAGGCAGAAGAATGCGGAATGACTAGACTGGCTGAGTGTTCCCGCCTTCATCTTTCTCCCATGCTGGATGCTTCCTGCCCTCAAACATCAGACTCCAACTTCTTCAGCTTTTGGACTCTTGGACTTACCCTAGTGGTTTGCCAGGGGCTCTCAGGCTTTTGACCACATACTGAAGGCTGCACTGTCAGCTTCCCTACTTTTGAGGTTTTGGGACTCAGACTCGCTTCCTTGCTCCTCAACTTGCAAATGGCCTGTTGTAGGACCTCGCCTTGTGGTTGAATGAGTCAATACTCCTTAATAAACCTCCCTTCATATATACATCTATCCTATTAGTCCTGTCCCTCCAGAGAACCCTAATACAAGTTCCAATATATGCATTCTGGAGGGACATGAAGATTCAGGCCATGACAAGTGTTCTAGAAGGTTCTACCATACTAACTCTGAGATGTTCTTTGTATTGGCTTTCAGAAGTTTACAAAACAGTCTGTCTAATGTACCTATGTGGTACCTATAGTAACTTGGTACCTATGTGGTACCTATAGTACCTTGGTACCTATATGGTACTAAATTGATCTTCTTATAAAATATGGGAAAGCATGTCGGTCAGATGTTGAATCTTTTATTTGTGCTTATTTTCTATGAAACCAAAGGGACAGTGCCAGTGTTCCCCTGGTGTCTTGGGGCTGAGTACTGGTGGTGGTGAAGACCATCCAGTGGAAAGAGTGTTAGGCTAGAAGCTGGAGGGTCTGGTTGTGTGACTAGGGAAAGTCACTGGTCACTTTCTGTTTGGGTGCTTTTTCCACAGAAAAAATTTATCATGTATGCTAGGATTGGAAGACATCTTAGAGATTATTTATTCTCACCTAACACCTAAATTATTAGAACTCTTTAAAGCATCTGCAACAAATAATTATCCAGTTTTGACTTGAATGGGCCAGAGGCTACTCCCTTACAACACCACTGCTCCATTGTTTGGTGTTTCACAGGCGTGGAACATTCTTCTTTGTACTGAGCCAAAACCTTTTTAGCCAATGCCCAGCTCATAAGGGGCTTGGGAAGTAAAACATTATTAAATGTTAATTTAAAAAAACACTATGCAAATCTGTATCACTGTTTACTGGTGTGGTGTGGACCTAATGAATGGATCTAGTCTGAATTGTAATGCCTAAATTCTTACTTTCTTTTCAGCAACAACCCAAACTGAAAAAACTAACATCTTTGTGATGTGGCCTCATAATCCAGGCATTGAGCTACTGTGGGTTTGTCTTGATAGGAGGGAAAAGAATTCTGCCTATCTAGGTTAACTAGGAATGCTCACATTTTTTAAAGCTGGTTTTCAGGCTTATCTTTAGAGTTTAACATTCCAACTCTTAACAGGGTTAGGAATTCTCCCACTTCTACTTAACAGCTTGCTCCCCAGGACACGAGAGCCTCCTAGGTTTCTCTAGTATGGGGTAGTGGGTGAATTATATGTTGTGGGGATGCTGCAGGTCCAGAAGCTCTCATTGAGCCATGGGGTCGGGGGTAGGGGTTGTCTGATTTGTTGCTTTGTTTTATAGGATATTCATTCATTTTTAATTCACTTGCTAGTATTTGCTGAGAGTTCATGTGTTTAGCACAGCTTTGTCTCAGGAAGCCCTAAATATCCTCTTCAACATGATGTGTTATCACCAGAGGAACTTCAGTGAAGATGGAGCTACATCAGGCTAGCTGGGGAGGGCCAGAGGACTGAACCTGGATCTCTGGGATTTCCCCTTGGGTGCATTACAATCCCCAAAGGACCCTGCCCCTTTTCCCCGCCAGTCTTAGTCCCTACATTTGAGGAGGATGCTGGGATCCCCCTGGTTCACTCCACTCCTGCCACCCTGGAAACTCTGACTCTAGCTCTGAAGGTGTGGAATTTAGACTGGAGCAGTGAGGGCGGTGGCAAGTCATGGAGCTGGAGACCAGGTAGGGGCTGCTGGATTCTCAGGGTTTCTGGAATGAATGTCCTTCTGTCACTTTCATGTTCCTCTTTCACTGAACAGTCAACAGCTGAGATCTTGGCTGGGTTTCATACTGGACAGTGTATTATTGACTTTACAAAAGGTGGTGGGGTGTTAATGAGGTTCCTTCCTGATTTCGTACTTGAGTAATTTCTTTCCAGCCACTGCTGTGTATCCCTGCTCCTTATCCAGTGCAGTTTCCAGATGGATTTACTTCCTAGCAATTTCGGAGTGCAAACTAAAGGTGTAGTGTCTTGTTCTAGGTGCTAAATCTTGTTGAGGTAGAGAGAAGGGAGAAACCTGAACTATATTTAAACAAACACAGTAAGTCCCTCAGCTCATGATTGGCTGGCCCTTGGTTCTTGCAGCCGTGCAGCAGCACCAAGCAGAACTTCATTTTACCTATTTATATCCCCGATGTTGAAACAAACACACACTATTAGACATTCCAGAGTAAAGCTCCTGTGGGAAATGGAACTGGGAACTATGTATCCCCAAGGAAAAGCCAGACATTCAAGGCAAAAGCTCAACAGGAAAACAAATTTGGGCTGCTTATAAACTGGAAAACTCAATGCTGCTCTGTAATGATATGACTGAAAACAAGTGACTGCTACAATTACAGGCAGCATGTGGTGGAGGAGAGACTGGTAATGCTAGATCACATCAAGTGTACCGAATCAAGTGGTTAGAGGACTGAAGAAAGTGGCAGATCTGCGAGAGTTGAGATGAACAAGCAAGGTGATCATTGTAAAAGCTTTCTAATGACATGTATGGTCTGCCTCCCAAGAGGATCCTGACTTCCTTGAGGGAAGAGGCATGGCAGAGACCGGCTCTAGAGTCCCAGGGTTTGGTATAAACTTTGGTTTCCTACTCATTAGCCAAGTTACTCAACACGTTGCTATGTCAGTTTCATCATGGAAAAATCACAAGATCTTTAAATCTGTGAAGGAGACTTTATTTCTTATAAAGGGTTATAGCCTGTGGTCTGGCCATTTTTGAAGGCTGGGAAGTGTAGCCTCTTGCAGAGGCTATTAACAGACACTTTGAGGGAGGAAGGGGTGGAACAGGGATTTATGCTGAGGTTGGCCAAGTATACATATTCAATAGGTTACAGGAGGAGCTATGAATAATCATGAAGTGGGAGAGGTACACGTGTGATAAGCAAACATGCGTATTACCTGCATCCCATGTTCACTTTGGGGTGGAGACTTAACATTTAAGTGTCTTACAATTAGGCCTTATATGGCAAAACGTAAGGCAGGGACACGAAGGCCCTCAAGTTTACAGCCTCTGTAAACCAGCCAGATCAGTCCATGGTCCATGGTCTCTTATTAGGAGAAAGTTACTGAACCACAGCTGTCTCTTTTCCAATCAAAAAATGTGGGTATGGCTTGTGGAATCGGCCGGGGGTCAGCATCTGGTGGTGAGAGTGCTGCAGTTGTTTCAATAGTGCTTATCTTGAGGCCGGTGCTGGTTTAACTGCTAGAGAAAAAGAAAAACTTGTGGCAGTTGGAACAGAATTTACTCTTTAAGTGTGGAGGGTGCATGACTTAACCCTTGCCTGGCATGGCCTTAGGCAATCTTTATAATTTGGTATCTTATTGCCACAGAGTCCATTTTGTTAGTCTTAGGATCTCTATGTTAACATTGATGCTGGTCAGTTGTTGCGTCTAAACCACAAAAAGGAGGGGATGTAATGAGACGGGTCTGGCTTCCCATCGCACCGTGGCCAGGAACTCAGTTTCTAAGGTTTCTCTGGGGTCCCCTTAACCAAGAGGGGATTTGTTCAGCCAGTTGGGGGTTTAGGATTTTAGTTTTAGTTCTCATCATCTATGGAATAGTCATTGTAATAACACCTTCCTAGCAGGATTATGATGGGGATTGTCAATGGCAGATGACGTGCTTATTGTGGTGGCTGGTACTCCTTATGTGTTCAGTATCATTGTTATCTATGTTTCTGTCGTTCACATTGGTACTTGGCTCATTGCCAACATTCAGTAAGCATTTGTCGAATAAGTAAATGAGCATTTATGATTAGTGTTTTAATAAAAATTTCATCTTCACTTAATTACTTCCCTCCCTTGCTGGTTAATATTATTTGATGAATTACCGAGACACATAGAAAACTTGGGAATAAGGGTCCTGAAAATAAGGGTTCTGATGGTTCAAATGCATAGATAGTAAATACAAATATTTTCTCTTAAGAACATAATCAGCAATTTAATAAAAATAAAAAATTGCTCTCCATGTGCTTCATCATTTTGCAAATATAAATTAGTGTGCAGTTAACCATATATCTCCCCAAGTCTGCTCTTCCTCCTGTGTTTAATAAAAAGTGGCTGCATCCTCTCAAATATCTAAGCCAGAAACCTGGGGAATCATTGCTGGGTCTTATTTTTCCTTCATTCCTCACACGCATTCATGTTTGTGGTCACACAAGCCATGTCCCATTTCATCTCCTGGTTAGCTTCTGAACCTGCCTTGTGTGTCTGTCTCTGCTATTACTGCCTTAGACCAGCTGCTGTCAACTCTTGTCTGCATTAATGACATAGTGCTCTGGCTGATAATTAAGGAAAAGTCTTCTAGGAATGTCCGAGGTAACCAGTGGTTGAATTTCCTGCTGACAATCTCTTTAGTGTTTTTGCACAGAGGATTTATGAAGGATTTAAGCAGCTTGGATTACTGTGAGTCTGCAGAACACTGGAGGTGCTTGCTTCTTCCCTGGGTGAATTACAGATGAGAAGATTGCTGTGGAAGCCTATTGGACATGCATTTGACATGCATGTGCCTGGGAGTTTTCTGAAGTTTTGTGTTACGGAGGCACACTAATTCTGAGGAAGTAAAACTTCTCATGAGAACAGGAGATGTAGCTGTGGAAAAGTCCAACACAGATGAGAAAACCATTTTCATATATATCAGAAAAATGTTACTTATTTTATCAAAGTTTATTTAGCAAAGCCCACACATATCTTGAGGCTAACCTACTCAGGGCAGTTGATAGCCAGGGAATGCCATACAGGAGTATGGAATCAATCCTTCAGAATTCAGAGGCTAAACATTTCCATATTGATTAGGAAAACCCAGGTTAAATGGATTAATATACTCCGGCTGTTCTGAGAGAGGTCTTCACCGCATTTGGGCAAGCTTATTGATAGGCTTACCAGAATGGTTAGGGAATCCAGCCTGGCAAGGAATCGCAAAGCACATTGCTGGACTGGTGTGACTGTACCTCACCCACAAGAGCTGATCATCCTCTCTGTAGGTAGAGGTTGAGGAAGAGCCTGGGATGCACAGCATTTGGGTGGAGAAATACATTCATTAGGAAATAAAATTGAATAGTTCAAAGACTGGTTCTGGTGCTGGTGTCCTTGATGCTGGTAGCTCAGTTCTCCCATCTATACCTGGCAGGGCTTCCTAACGGAGTCCAAGGTGGACTGTGGCTCTTTGAGCATCAGGTTAGTCATCCCTATGGGGATGTGGTTGTAAGAGATAATGGTCATATACATTTCTGCTTCTGGTGAAAAAAGAGGAACCTATTTTGTGGATAGGTGCCTGGAGAGAGATGAGGGAAAGAGATGAGAATACAAGGGAATACATGGAGCCTGGGTGAAGAGAAAGGTGAAGGTCAGAAGGGGAAAAAGTCGTGTTTGTGAAAGACCATGTGAAAGTTTGGGCACAAACAGAACCATAGGGCCGAGGTAACCAACTGTAATATTAGCAGGTGGGGGAGCCTCCAGCTTTCTCTCTCTACCCTGCCATAGACCCCAGGTGAGGTTTCTTACCCTGGACCCTTCCAGTGGCCTCTGCAGAGCGGTAGAGAGTGGCGAACAGTGGTGGAGATGCTGACTCTTATGTCAGTGACCTGGTGGTAGCCCTGTAGATGTGGCAGTGTGTCAGGTCTCTTACCTGCCCCACAAGGAGACAACTAGCAAGAAGGCCAAAGTGGAGGAAAATGAGTGGTTGGTTTTGTGCATATTACAGGACATCTGATAGTGCCCTCAAATTGGCTGGGGAAGGCTTCAAAGAAAGCCCGAGTCTTGGTAATTCAGGCATTAATGTAAATGTGACTACATTTGTTTTCGTATGTTGGTGGCTCCTCCCATCTCACCGCCTTGAATGAAAGTTCTATGAGGCCAGAGGTTGTTTTGTTCACTGTTATATGCTTGGCACTTAGTAGGGACTCCATTCATATAGATTGAATCAATGACTCCATTACTAATGCTGGAAAAAAATAACATACAGGGCCAGCTGTAGCAGTGGCGCGTCTGTTCTCACTGAAAAAGAAACTAAGGCAAGAGTACCACGTAAAATAGAATTGGCTGGATTTTCTTGTCTCATACAATCAGGATCAGCACAGTTTTGTCTTTCCGCAAACCAACAAATGGAAAAGGCGAAGGCTATTGAAACGAGTGGGTACTGCCTGTGTGACCGCTGTCAGCGTCATCCTCTAGCTCCTGTAACTGTGGTTCTTGAGGCTCCCACAGCGAAGGGGAATGGAAATGAAGCCATTTGTACATAAGCTACATTTGGTGAAGAGTAACGACTTACTGATTCAGGCTGTCCAGGAAGGCCATGTTTCTTCTCCATGCCTTTTCATTTCTTGTCTGGGTTGCATTGAAAACATAAATTGTACTCAAATGTATTAATAGCTTTCTAATGTGAGCTCTCAGTAACAAAGAAATGAAAAGAATTATTTGAAGCACTAAAAAAGGCCAGGGTTTCAAGCTGGTTTATTTTACTTGATATGTTATAAAAAAAAAAAAATTTGGACAGTAATGTCAAATCGGAGATGCCTCAGTATGGTTTTCTCAATAGAACTGAATAATATATTAGTGAGTGCATCTAACTAGCAAATGGGATCAGGAGCATCATGGAAATAAAGACAGAAAAGTGCCTTAACAGCTTTAAAATTCACAGATGGCAAATCAAGTAAAAGATCTGTTTATCACCCTCTGAACACTCTGTAAAGTGAACATTGGAGGGTTAGGAAGTTTCTAATGGCAACTGCTGTGCTTTGGGAAATCTTGGTGGAACCCTTGGCTCTCTGACATTTAGCTGCTGCAGAACGGGGAAGCTGCTTTCCTGACCACATTGCTTTGGTACAGTAAAGTTGAGAATCTGTTGTCCTTTGCTGGGAGTATCCGAAGGCAAAAGTTAGATATGTATAATAATGCACTGGAGATTGTTAAGCCGTGTGCTGTGTTTCATAAAGTCTTGTACAAACAGCTTGATAAAGAACATTACAGAATATTAAAAGCTGCTTTCTAGTGTTTAGCCTCTTTGTGTCTACAATTCAGTGAATGTTGTGTACATTAACTGCATGGCTTGAGTCCTGCTATTTTTATGCCATGAAAATGTAAATTAATAAACTCCACAGTTAGATTCTATAATACATTTTGACTACAACTCTTAAATTTAGCATATTTTATAAACATTTCAATTTGACCTGTCCTTATTTGCATGACATACGTTTATATAACTTTATGAAAATAACATTTAAGAAGTTCTACAATGCAGGCATTTATTTTCTAGTTATGGAGTTTTTTTTTCTCTTTCTTCTGTCTCTCCCACTCCCTTTTTCTTCCTTTGGTAAACCAATGCATGCAAAGTTAAACCTTTCAAAACTCACCCCCACCGCCTCACCCCCCTTTTTTTTGAGGTTTCAACAGTTGGTTCTTATTTTTTTCAATTTATTTTATTTTATTTTATTTTATTTTGAGATGGAGTCTTGCTGTGTCGCCCAGACTGGAGTACAGTGGCACAATCTTGGATCACTGCAACCTCCACTTCCCTGGTTCAAGCGATTCTCCTGGCTCAGCCTCCCAAGTAGCTGGGATTACAGGGTCGTACCACCATCCCTGGCTAATTTTTGTATTTTTAGTGTAGACAGGGTTTCACCATGTTGGCCAGGTGAGTCTCAAACTCTTCACCTCAGGTGATTCACCCGCCTTGGCCTCCCAAGGTGCTGGGATTACAGGCCTGAGCCACTACGCCTGGCCTCAACTTTTAGATTCAGGGGGTGTATGTGCAAGCTTGTTACAAGAGTATATTGTGTGATGCTGAGTTTTGAGTGTGATTGAATCTGTTATCCAGGTAGTGAGCATAGCAGCCAATAGGTAGTTTTTCAGCCCTATGCCTGCACCCCTTATAACCCCCAGTCTCTGTTTCCATTTTTACATCCATGTGTACCCCATCAAAACCCCAAATTTAATCACTTGGTTTCCTAACGATTTGCTATGTAATATGAAAATGTAAACATGTACTTGATAATATTTACCTATCCATAAATGGTTGTTTCATTTATAACATGATCTCTATTAGATATCCAGTATTAATATGGATTCAACCATGTTCTCATGAAACATAATTCATGGTGAAAACTTGGTATGTAGCATTTGGCCTCAAAGACAAGTCTTAGGTCTGTCTTCTAATTAAATGTGAGGAAATTGTCTACGTAGTTAGGCCCCAACATTCTGGCTTTATCAAGCTAAAAAGATGAATGTATTCGGAAGATGAGGATTCTTGATCCTACCTACTTGATCCTCTGTGAATCACCCTTAGGTCAGAGGGACTTCAAAAGATGAGAATGACTAATTTTTTTAGAGGATTAGGATGAAACCGGCATATTTAAAGAGGTCAACAATCTTATATAAGTGAATAAATGGATATTTTCCTTGTGTGGTGGCAGGCTTTGGAATTATGTGAACTTGAGTCCAAATTCTGGCTCACCCATCTAGTAGGTTTTGAATGACATTAAACTTCTCAGTCTCAGAGCCTTTACCAGTAAAATGAGGATCAGTAAAAAGTACCATGTAGGATTATTGTGACAACTAGGAATATGTACAGTAAGTGCTTAGCTGCCTGGCACCCAGTAGGTATTCAATAGATGGTAGCTATTAGCAATATTTATTTGTAAATACGTAGAATGCATTAAGAATCTGAAAAGAGTCTGGGTGAGGTGGCTCATGCCTGTAATCCCAGCATTTTGGGAGGCCGAGGCAGGCAGATCACTTGAGTCCAGGAGTTCGAGACCACCCTGGCCAACATGGCAAAACCCTGTTTCTACTAAAAATACAGAAATTAGCCAGGTGTGGTGGCACACGCAGGTAATCCCAGCTACTTGGGAGGTTGAGGCATGAGAATTGCTTGAGCCTGAGAGGCAGATCATAGTGAGCAGAGATGGCATCACTATACTGCAGCCTGGGTGACAGAGTGAGACCCTTTTTTTTTTTCTTTTTTGACACAATCTGAAAAGAAAGTTCTGTTATCATGGTATATTTATAATATAAGGTAGAACTGATGGTGTTAAGTATAATCACATACACAAGTATATACATGTACATTCTAAATCCAAGATTGTTTCTGAGACAGATTCAAGAAGGAATCTTTCAGCAGTGAATTTTGGCTTCTCTGAAGATACAACTCTTTAAAGGCAGCATCAAAATAGTTCATTTTCTCCAATGGTTCATAGGTGGGTAGAGTATCCTTAACAAGTATACTTTACTTGCTGCTTTGAAACATTACAGCATATTCAAGCCCACATTTGGAACAATGGTTTTTCCCACTTATTCTTTCTTAAGGTTATGATAACTTCTTTTCCTTCATTCTCATGATTTGGGCCATCCACAGAATGGTGGAGTCATTTTTTGACTTCACCCTATTGGTACTCACAGAGAAGAATAAATGAAAGTCCTAGAGGGTTACTCTAGTTGAGGCTATTCCAAAAGTGGGTAAATTTTTGACGATTCTTACCACCACAATTCTTCCTCTATTTTCAAAGTTAGGAAAATTTTGCATTTTATTGCAACATGAAGGATAACTACAAAAAGCATAGTCCCCTGTATGTGTCATGTTAAGTGGCCTAGATCTCTCCGGTTGATCCTTTAATGAGATCACTGAGTTTGTCATGACTTTCAACCACCAAACATATTTTAGCAAATTCTAACCATGAACAAAGTTAAAGACTTGTTAGGAAGAAGGCTTAATTGAGAAGGAAGAATGGAAACATGATGGACTTAGAACACAGGTGCATTTGAGCGGCAGCCCCAGATCTGTTACTTACTAGCTGTGTGTGACCTTGGGTAAGTTATTTAGTGCTATTTTATGCTATACTCTACTTCAGAATGGGAATAATACTACTTACAGTAACCTTTGAGTTTTTTATATAGATCAAATAAGACAACTCATGAAGCACTAGTAACAGTATCTAGCACAGAGTAGTTATTTGATAAAAGGTAAGCTTCCTTCCCTTCTCCCTCACTTTATCTGTAAAAAGAGACCAGTCACCCTGCCTACTTGTGTGAGAATGAGTATTTGTGCTTGTGAGTATCAAATGAAGCAATATGAAAAAACTTTGTAAATATAAAGCACAATATCAACATAAGCAAGAAAAATGACAGATTTTATGATCTTGGATATAATAAAGCTGTGCACTTGTTGAGAAGTTGGTGAAGATTTTAAATTAATTTGACTCCCTTAGAAATTCCTTGGTAAAGGAAAGGTGAGTAGTTTTGCACTCCATATGTACAGGGTTAAATAATGTTCCCCAAAATTTGTGTCCACCTGGAATCTGAGAATGTGACTTTATTTTGAAATAGGGTCTTTACATATTTAATTAAATAAGTTAAGGTGAGATCATACCACATTAAGATGGGCCCTAATCCAATGACTCATGTCTTTATAAGAAGAGAAAACACACACACAGGGGCGAAAGCCATGTGAAGATGGAAGCAGAGATTGGAGTGATACATCCAGGAGGCAAGGATTGCCAGTGACCACCAGACACTGGAGGAGGCAAGGAAGGGTCCTCTCTAGAGCCTGCAGAGAACATGGGCCTGCTGATGCCTTGATGGCAGACTTCCAGCCTCCAGGACTGTGAGATAACAAATTGCTGTTGCTTTAGGCCACCCAAGAAGGTCCTTCATTATGGAAGCCCATGGAAACAAATACACACCATACTTCTCCTGTTTTTATTGGTTAGAAGTTTGTATAATTTAAAGTGATGTAAAGATGTTGCTTTAACTTAGACAAAAAGTATATGAGGTCTTATAACTTTACTGAAATCCTGCCACAAGTGGAAATTAATTCTGACATTATCTACATGTAAGAGTTCCCAAAATATTGGTTTTTCTTTGTTCTTAAAAAAAATCTAAAGAAGCTGGGATGAACTCAGAGCTGGGGGAAAGCTTTGAGTGTCCAATTAGTCAATCCCATCCCTTTGCTAAACAGGTGAACTTACATAGACCAGAAAAGGTATGTGTGGGGATGAGCCTGAGGAAACTTGGTAGATTTTTATAATGGAATTCTCCCTTTTAAAATTAAAATCATGTTGGGTGTCTTGATTATTGCCACATAACTGATCTGAAAGTTTTGTTTTACCTCCCAAACAATTTTGGGTTAGTCCATACCAAAGCTTTATTTCTCTTCTCTAAGAAAAAATATATATGATAAATACTTCTACAAGTAACTTAAAGCACTGCTGGTTATTTGACATATATCCGCAAAAAAAGCAAAGCTGAAGAGTATTCTAAAAATCAATAGTATAATAAACTGAATAGTATTTTGTCTGAAGCCTTTTAGGTTTTTCCCTTTAGAGCATCTTTCTGCTTAAAATAGGCACTGCCATCATCGTGTTCCTCTAGCTAATGAAGGTCCTGTACAGTTCTTGGACTGGGGGAAAACGGGAGAATGGTTTGTGCTTTTCTGAAAGGAGGCACAATTTGCATCATTTTTAACAACAGTCAGTGTGGTTTCAGACAAGGCTGCTGAAAGGTGAAATGAAAAGAAATCTTGTCCTCATGTGCCCCTGTTCTCTCATGATATAGCACAAACAATGCAGGGAACTGGGGTGGTTGTAATCCTGAAGGGGCAATCAGCATCCAAGCCAGTGGAACCTGACTTTTATCATGTGCCATCTCTGCAAAGATTTGAAAAGGCCTTGCTTCTTTTGTCACACAGATGGGCACATCTGTAAAAGAAGGGACTAACTAGTCACAATAGCTGAAAGGTTCTTTGTCTTTTATTTGTAAACTTGCACTAGGACCAACTCTTCATCTGTGACATATGTTCTCATTATTTGAAAGCAAGTTTAATTTCTACTTAATAAGCATTCAATTGGCTGTGCATTAGCAATCGTCTTTAAACAGAGTTGAAAATCCATTCTAGGAAAGGTGCCAGTGGCCCATGCCTGTAACACCTGCACTTTGGGAGGCTGAGGCAGGAGGATCACTTGAGGTCAGCCTGGGGGCAACATAGTGAGACCCCTCTCTCTTAAAGAAAAAAAAAAGCCGGGTGCGGTGGCTCACGCCTGTAATCCCAGCACTTTGGGAGGCTGAGGCAGATGGATCACCTGAGGTCAGTAGTTCAAGACCAGCCTGACCAATATGGAGAAACCCCATCTCTACTAAAAATACAAAATTAGCCAGGCATGGTGGCATATGCATGTAATCCCAGCTACTCAGGAAGGCTGAGGCAGGAGAATTGCTTGAACTTGGGAGGCGAAGGTTGCAGTGAGCCGAGATTGCGCCATTGCACTCCAGCCTGGGCAACAAGGGCAAAACTCTGTCTCAAAAAAAAAAAAAAAAAAAATTAGGCACGGTGGTGCTTGCCTGTAATCTCAGCTACTTGGGAAGCTGAGGCAGGAGGGTCACTGAGCCCTGGAGTTTGAGGTTACAGTGAGCTATGATCATATCACTGCACTCCAGACTCTATCCTGGGTGACAGAGCAAAACCCTGTCTCTTTAAAAAAAAAAAAAATTCATTTCTATGAAAAATAGCACTGGACAATACAAGCCAGAGGTCATATTCTGACTTGGCTAATGGACAAACAAAACAACAAAAACCCACCACAAAACATCTCTCAATGAAAGGAACAATAGCAACAGTAGCTAGCATTTATTGAGGGCTTACTATGCACAGGGTGCTTTATAAGAATTAGCCCATTTGGCCTTCCCAGCAGCTGTACAAGGAGATGCACCACAATTACTGTCATTTTCATTTCATAGGAAACTCGCTCAGGTGAGTTCAGTAACTTGACTAAGGCCACAGAGCAGATTTGGGAATCAAATTCAGTACATATCTGTGTTCGTGGTGACAAAGACTTTTGTCCAGTTTATGTGCATCTTATTGTGATCTGTGCCTAGTATTCAATAGCACAGTAAGGAAATTAGTTTACAATAATGTAATTTAAAAATAGCTAAAAGAGAAAATTTATAATGTTCCCAACACAGATAAATGAGGTGATGGATATCCCAATTACCATGATTTGATCATTATACATTATATACATGTATCAAAATATCACATGTATTCCCCAAATTTGTACAATTATATCAAAAATACAAAAGTATGAATATTGGTTAAACAAATGAACTATTTGATAATCAAGAATCAAAGACAACCTCATTAGGCCTAGATAAACCAAAAGGTCCTTTTTTTTTTGATTCCACATCTAGAAAGCAAAAGACATAGAGTATGAACATGATTTGGGGTTTGCATTTCAAATACGTTTTGCTAAAGAAACGGCACTGGGTGTACATGTATTATCACCCAGAGGAGGTAAGTTTATAGAGTATGAGTGTTTCCTTTGCCCACTTTCTGTGCCCCACATCATTTAGTAGTAGATGCCTCTGAGATAAGAACAATGAAGAATAATGTTCTCCCTTTTACCTTATGCCTAATCTATACTTGGTTCTCCTTCAGTGTTTGTTACTTTGTTCTCACAAACAAATGGGCAATATCAAAGAAATCCCTGGTTTGTTTACCTTTATATTGTTCACTCCTTTCTCTGAGGGATGTTTTCCCTTTGCTGTTCCCCCTTTTTTTTTTTGACAGACATGTTTCCTTTCATTGAAAGAGATGAAAGAAACTAGGATTGTTTAGTCACAACAAAACAAAACAAAATATACATACGAATCAATGAATTTTGAGTTGTGAAGCACAGTAGGAAAAAAGTATTGTTTCTTTGGTCACAACCCTCTCCCTCTTGCTAGGATGTGCATAGAGATAGTAACTTAGCAACTCCTCTGAGATGAAAAGCTTCAAGTACAAACTAAAATGTTGGCCCCTTCCAACTTCTTTGACAATTGTCTATCTGTGTAGGTTGTCGAGATTTTGTGAAGTATCTTCTTAAAAAGTAGTTTACACATATAAAATTAAGTAATTTTTACATGAGCATTTAAAAAGTAGATTAGAAGCCCTTTTGGAAATTAGTTAGAAATCTTGAGAATTTGAAACAAAACCAACTACCCAAGAAACCATCCTCAAATCCATATGCTTAAATGTGCTAGTGTGATGCAAATAATATAGAAACAACCTAGACCAATATTAGTGAATTCAGAATTACAATAAAAATATATAGCTAATAGTTAGAGCGTTTGTACCATGTATCAAGAACTCTTCAAGATGGCCTCCCTGTAATCCCAGCTGCTTGAGAGGCTGAGATGGGATGATTGCTTGAGCCCGAAGTTTGAGACCAACAGGTTTGAGACCAGCCTGGGCAACATAGTGAGACCCAGTCTCAAAACAAAACCACCTCTTATCATCACTTTAAATGTATTAGCTCATTTAGTCTTCACCAAAACCATATGATAGCACTCTTATTATCATCTCTATGTTACAGGATGAGGAAACTGAGGCACAGAGAAGTTAAGTGACTTATCCAAGATCAAACACTTGCAAAGTGAGAGAGTCCAGATTTAAACTCAGGCAGCCTTGCTCAAGGCTCTGCTTTATTGCCTTTAAATTATGAATAAATTAACAGGTTATTTGGCAAGACTAGAGATAATTATGAGGGAAGTGTAACAATGTGGAAGCATGTGCAGAATAATATGTTATCTAAAGGATACTTGGCTGGTAGGGGCATGTGTGGTTTTTTGCTTGTTTTTTTTTTTGTTTGTTTGTTTGTTTTTGAGATGGAGTCTTGCTCTGTTGCCCAGGCTGGAGTGCAGTGGTGTGATCTTGGCTCACTGCAACCTCTGCCTCCTGGGTTCAAGTGATTCTCCCACCTTAGCCTCCAAGTAGCTGGGACTACAGGCATGCAAACCACACCTGGCTAATTTTTATATTTTTAGTAGAGATGAAGTTTCACCATGTTGGCCAGACTGGTCTTGAACTCCTGACCTCAAGTAATCTGCCCTGCCTCAACCTCCCCAAGTACTGGGATTATAGGCATGAGCCACTGTGCCCAGCTGGGCATGTGTTCTTGTTATATAATGACTATGTAGACAGAGACTGAAAACTATTATTTAATAATGGTAGATATTAGGGTATAGGAATCCCCCCAAACTTGAATGTCACATTATTTCTTCATAAATAAATTAATGAAAGCACATTAAAGTGCTCATTATCTATGTTTTTATTTTGCCATTAATACTTGTAGGTGATGTCATTTCATATATCCTTCACTAAGAGGTTATAATAATGTAGAGAGAGACTTAAGCTTTTTGTTTATTTTCCATCCATTCATTTATTTATTCAATATTTATTAAATGCTGGTAGTTTACACCAGGCTGTATTTGGGTGTCGGGGAAGACAAAGATGTATAAGGAAAAACAAATACCTACCTTTAAAGATAAAAACCAGGCATTTTGCGGAAGGGGGTGGATAGGCAAGTACACAAGTAGCCCCAAAACAGTGGCAGGAATGCTGTGAAGAGAGATGCTCAGGGTTTGGTGGGAGCAGAGGGAAGAGCACCTCATTTTTCTGGATAGGCTCATAAAGGAGGCCCAGAGGAATCACCTGAGTTAAGTCTGGAAGGAAGAGTAGGAAGTGTTCCTGGGAAAATGGTGGGGAAGGCCCTTCTAAGTTGACAGGAGAGGGAGGTGAAAGTGCATAGGTCCGGAGGGGATAGAACTGGCCACATTGAGTACTTTAAGTAATTCAACAGGTCTGAAATGGATAATTAGGGTTGCTGAATCTAAAAGGCCTGACTTGACAAGGTAGAATTCTGTAAGGTATGCGGCTTAACTAGTTTTGTTCATTCTGAGCTCTAATAATTATTAGCTAATTTTTAACTTAATGATTAGTTAAGATTTTCCCCCGTCCAGGTAGTCATAACAATATCTAGACTCTGGAATTTTTGAAGATGACAAAATTATTTGTTTTGAATGACTGATCCCATGTTCCATAAAGAAAACTACATATAAAATTAAATGGTGTAAGCATGTGTAGGTATGTTTTTCTCTCTATATCTACATTAAAATAGTAATAGAGGATAAACTAATTTTAAAGAATAGATAGTACATTTAAAATTTTTAAAAATTTATTTTTAACTGACAGAATTTGTACATATGTATCAGATACAATGAGTGGAATGAAAGTTGAAGCACCCATTGTGGGAAGGATGGCAAAGAGAAATGGGCAAGGACCAAGTTGCTGTGGGAGTGATCTATAATAAGATCACTATTTGATCCCTATAAATAGCCCGACAAAACTAGAGAAGTCAACATGAAACTTTATTTTCACGTTTTAATATTCTACTTGATATTTCACCTGGAATCTGGGGTGGGGGAAGGGGGATTTAGACACCTGTTTGTAAATCACCATGTGACCTGGAAGTCCCTGGAAAACATGACTTGACTGGTATTTATTAATCCTTTTGATATAAAGTCTCTTAAAATGATTTTCCTATGTAAGTGTGACTAAGGAGTAATTTAGGCTGATTTCTCTGATGTCTTGCCAAAATCAGTCTCATTACTTGGTATTCACATTTTCCATGTCCCCCATACAATCAGTCCATCAGGAAAGCTAGTTAAATGAGAGTTCAGATGACTTCTTACGGATTAAACATTAAGGGTTTTGTTGGAATGGGGCCATTTTCCAAGTATTATTTATTTTCTTAATTTTAAAAAGTATTTGGTGCTTGAACAGATATGCCCTAGGATCCGCAAGGTACCTTGTCCTTTCATTATTATGCAGAAGGAGCAAATTAATCTTTAGGGTTATTAAAGGTTGAATGGGGGCTTTATTCAAACTCTATTTTATAAGCCTTGGAAGTAGAATGGATATTTAGAAGATAACCTAATCTGACACCCTGATAATAACAGTACTCATAATGATAATAGCTAACATTTACTCTCACCTGTGTATTAGCTTATTTACGCCGCAGTCCTGCAAACATTGTTCTTATTTTACAGATGAAGAAACTAAAGCTAAGAGAGATTGATGAAGTTATCCAAGATCATAACCTTGGTTTGTTGGACTCCAACTCTAAAGCCCACATTTTTCTATCATCCTCTACTGTTTTGTTGTATACTCGAGGATGCTGAGGCAGAGAAAAGCTAGTTATTGAAAACATAGGACTAGTTTTGAAAGAGTGAGGGGAAGCTACATCTTTGGACTCAGTCATTGGAGGAGCTCAGAGCCTGTGGGTCAGCTGGTGGTAAATGAGGGTCTTGCTTCTCTCTGGGTGCCCTCTATCACCAGTAGGGGTGGCTCATCTTTGAGATAGGGCCTCATGTGTCTTGCTCATGCTTCAAGTATAATTCATGTAATGACAGTGATTGAATGCTGATGCTTTTGGGATCTTATGTTGTATTTTTATGTTTGTTTTTGTTTTCTGATGCTTGGATCAATGATGAAAATGTTTCCTGAAAACAGATACTGCAGAAAGAGCTCTTTGGATGGGCTGGAATCTAAGTTTTAGAGATGCCAAAGCTTATGAAAGCAGTTTCCTAAACTGTGAGAGTATTTTTTTCCATCTTTTTCTGTCACTTGCAAGACTCTGTAACATTTGAGAAGGTGATTATTAGGATATGTTCCATAGCTACCGTTCTTGACCCAAAGTATTACCAATTGCTCAAAAGAAGCTACTACCTCACTCTTTAAGCCTCAGAAAGACTCAAAGCCTCTTGAAATGCCATGGGAGTCTTGCTGCAAATTAGAGTTGATATGAGAATTAACCGACCTCACATTTGCTTAGAAGCTTTGTCCTGCGGAGTTGACCTACCTGCTAGGGGATTCATTCCAATAAAGAAAAGTAGGTTTTGACCTAATTGGGTCATCCAGCAAATAAATGATATGAAAATTTCAAGCTTCACCACAGCCTGAAACATATGCTTGGGTCAATGGTGTAAACTCTCTCTTCCATTGACCAGCACTTTGATTGGACATTGATGGAGGTTATGGCTTTTACATTCTCATTTATGTTTGAAGGTTGTATGTATGATGATGTTGTGTTCTTTTGTCGAGAAGAAAAATATTAAAAATACCAACATGTATTAAAAGCATAAAAACAAATTTGTGTTATGCATTTACTTTGAGTAAGGCTCAATGTTAGCCACTTAGGAGCATAACTGGACATTCAAATATGGTTTTATCCTTAGAAAATGTGTAATCTATTAGGGAAACAGTGAATACTTACATAAGTCTTATGGTAGCTATATGGACAGTAGAGAAATTAAAAGTATTGTTTCTCTCTGGAGATCGCACTGACTTTGGATTTGGAGTACTCTAAGAAATTGGACCTTAAAAGATGAGTAAAATATAGGTGTGGAGAGGCTTGAAGGTGGGAAACATGAGATACCTTTAGGGGAAGGGGATAAATAGGTCAGTCTGGCCAGAGCAGGGTCAGAGTGTGCATACAGAAAGTGGGAGTGGGTGAAAGCAGAAGGTGTGGACTTGCTGTGTTCCAGCTTGATATCTCTTCGCCAACAAGGCTTTGGGCAGCTTCAGGCATGATTAGACATTTTGTTTTAATAACATGAAGAATGTAAGGATGGCAGCCCAGTCCTTGTACTTGCGTAGAACATGACCTTCATGTTCAGTGGTACCAGGGGTTCCTTTGCTGTGTACAACGTAAAGTGCTCCCTGGCTTGGAGTCATATATTTTTTATGTGTCTCAGACTTCTTTCCTTTGTGAGCCCTGATGGGCTCCCTGAGACTCGTGATAAAGCACAAACCTATCGGGTGAGAGCAGATATGTCATAAATTAACACACAGGAGCTCAGAGAGCTTTCTTTGGAATAGTCTAGAATCTGAGACCACAAATTGCAGTATCTCCCAGAAACAAGATTTTAGAGTTCATCTCCCTAGAGAAGTAACTTCCTCCACTCACACCCCTGCCTGAGGAATTTTAAACAACAATGACAAACTGCAAATGGACTAAAATTTAAACGAAGCTTTAGTATCTGTAACAAACTTTGGTTAGCTATTCAAAATAATGATGCATAATTTGGTAGCATAAAACATATGTTCTTCTTTTATGCATTTGCTCTGTTTACTTCCTCCAAGTTTTTATTTGAAAAGGTATTTCACATATATTCTGTGCCCCAGGTAGAATTTCTTAATCAGAATATTGTGTAGATCTCTTCATGTTGAGTTTACTTATAAGGTGGCAATACATTAATAGGAGTAGCAGTTGTTAAACACCATTTTACAAAAAAGGGGAGAAACGTGTTTCATCAGTTTGCTACCACAAATTGAAACATACATGCAAAACCAAGAGTTGTAATAAATATGACATAAGTTAACAGAGCATGGAAGATAGAAAAATGGAAAATGGTGTCCCTAAATCAATTTAATGCGGTACCAGCCCCAAATAAACAACAGATTGGGCCTCTTCAGCAAAACACCCTAGAAAAACGAAGCTTGTCAGAAATTCTTCACAGTATATTCTTCATCATATTACAGCAGAGATTATCTGACAGAATTAAGCAGAAAGTCAGTTATGAGAAATTTGTCCTCTTGGTAGCTAATGTTGAAAATATTATTTATATTAACAGGCAAAATAGGCTGGTAGTACACAAGCAATTTTCTAAATTTTATGGATGTGGTTCTGCCCATAAATCTGTGTGATGATGGCATATCTCTTATGAGACTACATTACCTTTCAGGTTACTATAATTGCACTGAATGAAGAGAATGTCCACTTGAAGATTAAGGCATCAGAGTGATAGTCACTAGCAGATAGACAGGAAAAAGGTCCTGGTCTTCAGCAACAAAAGAAACTTTCCAATTAGCTATAAATGAATATAATTTGAACACTGACCCCTTTTATATTCATTATATTCTCTGGAACTATTTCATTGCTAGAAGGTTAAGGGATTGAAATTAAAACACTCTCCTTTTTTATATGATAAAAACAATGTAGGTAGTTAAACTGTCAAATGCATTGAACCCAGAAATAGAGACTCTGACTTTTGTAGAGATGAAATGTAATTTCATTTCAGCATTCTTTCAATGTGACGCTTCTTCTGATATTGCAGAGTTATTTAGTCTTGGCCCTGATGTAAAGGAGTTGGCATTTCTAAAATATAAGCTTACATAATTGAATCAGATGAGAAATACAAATCTAGGAATCAGAATCTAATACTTTTCATTTTGTCAAACCTGTTAAATGAGAGTATTAAATTTAAAATACTGAAATAATTTTTTAATCTATTCATAATCCTTGTTATATCAGATAGGATATTTTAATTCTCCTCTGTAAAAATTGGAAAAATGTACTGTTGTCATAGACTTACATAAACGTTCAAAGCTTTTAGTAGCTCATAAAAGTGTTTTACCAGACCATTTGACTAAAGAATACCCATAGAAGAAAGAAATCAATTCATTCACAGCATGATTTTTTTTACCTCAAGCTAATATTTAACTAATTATAATGACAATAAGAATGAGTTAAAAAAATAATGTCTGAGCTAGATATTTATTAGAAAAAATAAGCACTGTCTTTTAGTTTGGTTACTTCAGAATCTATAAATATGCATGGGTTCCATCTTTGCAATTCATAAATTCATAATACTCTGCTTTTTATTTTTATGTAAATATACCTGGGGTAGACTGCATCACTGGTCTTAATTCTCCATCTCTCCCTGTACCACTTCCTTTGCCATTTAACTTTACAGTTCATTTCCACTGAGGGCAGGACATTTTTTTTTTTTTTTAAGACCGAGTCTCGCTCTGTCGCCCAGGCTGGAGTGCAATGGCACGATCCCGGCTCACTGCAACCTCTGCCTCCAGGGTTCAAGCAATTCTCCTGTCTCAGCATCCTGAGTAGCTGGGACTACAGGTGTGTGCCACCACACCTGGCTAACTTTTGTATTTTTAGTAGAGATGGGGTTTCACCATGTTGGTCAGGCTGGTCTCGAACTCCAAAGGCAGGACATATTAACAATTCTCTGTTCCTGGGCTCTGCTGTGTGGCTTGCTTTGGCTACTAGAATGAGGTAGAGATGAGGGTATACCAGCTCTGAGCTTAGACCTCAAGAGCCCTTGTGTATTTCTAGTGGCAAGCTTCTCTTCCATCACCATGACAACATGTCTGCATAGCCTGCTCTAGAGGATGAGAGATACGTGGAACAGGGCAGAGGAATCCCTGTTTCCCCAGCCAAGGCCAGCTGATATCAGCTAACTGCCAGCTGACTGCAGACGTGAACAAGTCTGGCCAAGATTAGCAGAGCCATCTAGCCAGCCCTCAGCTGGCCCAGGCATAAACAATACATGCTTATTGCTGAATGCTACTGAGGTTTTTGTGGCTCTTTGTTATGCAGTACTATTATGGAAGTAGATATCTGATACATTAGTTTTGCGGCTCTACCATCAGAGGTCAAAATATGTTGACTTGTATTTTTCCAGCAGTGGGGATGAGTTGCTGTAAGCTGGTTGCTTTCTTTCAAAAGGTTCTCCTAACAGTATAAATTTGAGGGGACTGATTGGCTCCTGGGGGTCACAGAATAGTTTTAACCCTGTAAGGCTCAGTTGTTCATGAACCAGACAGAGATGCAGGCTTTGACCTTGACTTCTTTTCACCCACAGTTATCAGTTTTACCTCCTTTCCTTTGTTTCTATTTTTTCCTTTTTTTAATTGTTCAGCAAATATTAACTAAACATTTAGTGCTTCCTATGTCAGACAGTCATTAGGCCACAGACTAGACTGAGGGAGGATTTGCAAAATGCACTTAATTTGAGCCAATTAAGAAACAATTTAGGTAAAACATCAATTTGGGGATATGTGCTGAATATTTAGGCGTACAGTCCTTCTATCAGGAGAACGAAAAAGAAACTGGACCTGCTGTACAGGGCAATGAGAGAATTCTGCAGATCCTCTATCAAACTGAATATAATGATGCCCATCCCCCTCTGGCCAGTCCTAAATAAAGCCACTTCTCTGCACTGGAGATGACTCATTGTATTCACAATAAGGCACTTGAGAATTACTGTTTACAGAAAGCATCACCAGCAGCAGGGTTTAAGAATACCCCACAGTGAAAACACAAACACATTTGTAATGATGAGTGATGGAAAAATAGCTCAAACCTGCTTAGGTCTGCAGGTCTTCCTACCATACTGTGTATACTTGTATTAGGTGGTAGGGAGGAAATGCCACACTGGAAAGAGAACACTGAGGGTAGATGTTTGACTACAATCCAAATTCCTATAAAAGACACTTCTGAAGCTTCTAACTTTTATGGCAGTTTTGGATTTACGATACAATAGAAGAAGCTGGGAGATGGAAACCATGAGAAAATAAAAGTTCCTTTCACTGCTTTGGAGGCTCAGTGTTTATGTGATCGTTTAATACAAGATAAAAGTCACAGGGATAGGAGTGTGGAGAACTGATTGGAGGAGAATTGTTGTCAACTCAGCCCTGGTGGATTGATGGGGGAGGCTCTGCCAGGTCAAGGTTAGTGAATGTCATCAAACTTGTCTGGAGGGTTTGGATTTGACTCCCTGGACAAAGTGAATTGCTTGATTTATTAACAAGCTTTGCTTGCTATTTGATAAGCACTATACCAGGCTTGGCTGGAGGTGTTCTTGATAGATTGGTTGGGGAGATTAAGCATGGCATGAGAACAAGTTAAAAAAAATTATGTCAAATGTAGTATATGTACAAAGTAACAATCTTATGTACAAAATAATAAAGCACAGATGGCAGTCCATTCATTGAAGATGGTTTTTTTCAAGGTGAGTGTTTGTCTTTTGCACAATGCTTGAGATGGAAATGACTTGGCTGAGACTATGTGATGAGTGCTCCAGATGGGGCATGGCATCGGCATGGGGTAGGGGTGGAAAGCTTCTTGGAGCTCAAGTAGCCCTTCATCCTAGAAACTGCAGCAAAGCTAAGATCTTCCTGTTCAGTATTTTATTAATGTCTTTAAGAACTTTTCACTGTAATTATTTCAGAGGCATAATCATTTAGAACCAATGACATTTGGCTCAGTCACTTACTAGTTATATGACTTGGGCCATGTATTAACCTGTGTTTCAGTTTTCTCATCTATAAAGTGGAGTTATCAATAATGCTTCTGTCATAAGTTTATTGTGAGGATACAATGAGCCCTCCTGAAATACTCCATGTAGAAGTGCTCAGAAATGATAACTGCTATTGCATGTCAAAGAAAGGAATTTTTAATTTTATTTCTAGAACCTAGCACTTGTGTTCTTCCATTGCAGGCACTCAGTAAATTTTGTTAGATGAATGTGTGAAGAGTGGCTGACAGCAAGGGGCCAACCACAAAAAAGATTGTTACATGAGATCAAATGAGTTCGGTGGAGGAATAATGAGATCAGAGATAAAAGAGACCTTTGATTCTTTCAGCCCCATTGTAGTATCATTTTTACAGATGAGAAAACAGGTCTGAGTACATTCAGTCATTTGAACCTGGTGAACAGGAAGATGATATAAAGATATTGTATTGGAGAAAAATTATTCTTGGGTGGAAAGATGAAAGGAGTCAAGGAAGTGAGAACAGGAACCATGGGCTCCAAGGTCTATAATGGTAGACCTGACACAGCAGAGGCCGTGATGGAGGGACATGCCCAAAAATCATGCAGAGAAAGAGCCAGGAGTTAGTGATTAAGAGGAGAGCTGAGAACACCAAATGCGCGTATGTGACAAAGGAGTTAGTGCCAGTTATGGCCTCTTAGCTGGTAGCTTCGGAGATTATCTGGGTGAACTCCTGTTTGCTATTTGTATGAAAAACCCTGAATTTAATGTTCTGACTTCAGGGATTGGAGACTCACTTAAACTATGCAGACAGACATGCAGTTCTTATTTCAATTTAGATGTTAAAAAACCACTCCTGCTTGCTTTGACATGAGAATTCTTTAAAAAAGTAAATCCTCTCTCAAAATAGTTTTGTTTTGGCACTGGGGATAAAAAGCATATACATATACATATAATGTCTCAGGGTGTGTAGTGTTGGGGTTATCATAACCTAGATGTTTTGATATTAAACGATGTTCTTTTAAACAGCTTGTACTTGTCTTTGTCAGGGAATACCACTAGGAAGAAGGCAGTTCTGGGCTCATTAATAAACACTATGTTCTTATTGTGTATTCTCAACTAGAGTAGGAGATCTACAGATGTGTATCTTGCTCTCACTGTCTGAGGAGATGGATGCATTGAAGGTAAGAGGGGCCTCACTGAATTGTGCAGCACTTGCTGTCTCTTGGTTGTTCACAACTGTGGAAGCCAACCTCAGGTGACTGAGTTCATATAACTCCAACTGCCAGAACTTTAGGGATTCCTTTATTTCTCAGATCCCTCACCTCATGAAACACTTCCCACATGAGGTCCCTTTGACTAAGTTCTTTCATGTCCACCACAGTCCCACAATAATGATGTGCTATGTGTAAAGGGCAAGGAGAACAAAGAAGGCATAACCAACTTCTGGGGTTCAGAGTAGGCTCCACAGAGCAGGTGCATCCTATTTACACTATTTTTCCCATAAGATCTCTTGCATTACAACTGAAAAGCTCTCATCAGCAAATTAATACATTTCATATTCTCTTTGTACACGTTTTATGCTTTTATCAGTAAGAGTTTAGGTAGGTAACAGATGAAGAGAAATAAACTAAGGAACAGTTTCAAAGATGTGGGCAAGGTCAAGAAAAGCTAATGAGGGGTGGTGCAAGAGCAGAAGGCAGCTGGGAGAGGCTATCTGCTAGGAACTTGGGGAAGGAACCCAGCCATCATCCACCACAGCACAGAAGGGAGGGAGTTCAAAAGATAAATACTCTTGCTTCACTCTCTTCCTGCCTTCTGCTCTCCTGCCACTTGGCCTTCCTGGGACGCCAGAGTGAAGGGATCCCTTAATGTAGACCATAAAGGCCAGACTGCTGGGGCAGATTGGACACAAGGTAGAAAGTGTTATCTGAAGAGGCAATGGATAATATCTAGCAATACCTGCTACAAGTCTTGGTTTGAACATTCATATGTATCCATGTCTAATCAAAATATAAGGTCATTTTCCCCTCACCCCACCAAGACATTAATAGTTAAATATATTTGATTTACAACTGATCTAACTGGTTTTTCTTGCCTGGATATCTGCCCTAGTTATCTCTTTAGCCGTGGTTTATACAATGTCTGTGTCTCTGTTCTCCACATCACCTCCTTCATCTGTCTGTCCTAAAGCTCTTTTTGTTTTATACTGTTATTGCATATTTATCATGATTCTGTATTCTCCATAGTACAAATACATACATAAAGAATTTTGTTTAGCTCTTTCCCCTGTTAAGGCTCAAATCAGTGCACACTATTAAGTCACAAAATACCCTAGTGAAATAGATAGTAATGCATACTTAATGAGAAAGAGGATGAGAGATAGAAATTTATTCAGATGATTAAGTGGGTAAAATTTTTTGTGGCCAAGTGAAAGATTACTCACACCAAATTGTATACATAGATTCTTGCTGGGATCACCTATTTCTTGGATACTACATTGCCAGGGATCCTGGATCTCTTCCTTCTTAATCTCCCAAATGCAACAAGTTCTCTTAAACAATATTGACACCTGAGCTGATGAACTTGGCTGAGCCCAGTACATGGGTGGTCATTTGGGTAAGGAATGAACTTTTTCATAAAATCCAACTTACCAATTTTTTTTCGTAGATTATGCTTTGGTGTTGTATCTAAAAATTCGTTGTCAAACTCAAGGTGACCTAAATTTTCTCCTATGTTTTCTTCTAGAAATTTTATACTTTTGCATTTTATATTTTAGTTTATGGTCTGTTTGGAGTTAATTTTTGTTAAAGGTATAAGGCCTATGTCTAAGTTATTTTTCTTATTTTTGCATATAAACATCCAAATATTCCCATGGCATTTGTTGAAAATACTCTCTTTTTCCATTGAATTGCCATTGCTTCTGTGTCAAAGAGCAGTTGATTATATTTGTTTGGGTCTATTTCTGAGCTCAGTATTCTGTTCCATTTATCTAGTAATATATGTCTATTCTTTTGCTAATACGACATTGCCTTGATTATTGTGCCTTTATAGTAAGTTTTGAAATTGCCTATTATGTGTCGTTCAAGCTTACTTTACTGTATTCTGTTGATTATTCTAGGTTTAAAACTTAAATGGATAAACTTTAGAATCAGGTAATTTATAAAATAGCTTGCTGGGATTTTGATTTGGATTGCTTTGAATTTATAGACCAAGTTGGGAAGAACTGACATCTTAACAATATTGAGTCTTCCTATCCTTGAAAATGGAATATCCCTCCATTTATTTAGATTTTGTTTATCAGTTTTGTAGTTTTCCTCTTATAGATCTTATACATATTTTCTGAGACTTTATACCTAAGTATTTCATTTTTGGGGTGCCATTGCAAATGTATTTTCTCTCATTTCAAATACAAATTGGTCATTTTTGGTATATAGAAGAGCAATTGACTTTTGTATATTAACCTTCTATTCTTCTATAGTGACCTTGCTATACTCACTCATTAATTCCAGGAACTTTTCCCCTATCCTTTGGGATTTTGCACAGAGAAAATTGTGAATAAAGACAATTTAATTTTGTCCTCCCCAATCTGTATACCTTTTATTTCCTTTTCTTGTCTTATGTATTTAATTAGGACTTCCAGTATGATGTTAACTAGGACTGTTGAGAGGGGACATCCTTGCCTTGTTCATGATCTTAGAGAGTTACTGGTTTCTCACTATTAAGTAAGGAAGTGTTTTGTAGCTGTTCTTTATCAAGTTGAAGAACTTTCCCTGCATTCCTAGTTTGCTGATAATTTTTATTATACACGGATATAGGATTTTGTCAAATGCCTTTTCTGTACCAAGTAATGTAATATTGCTTTTTTTTCCCTTAGCCTGTTAATGTGGTGAATTACATTCATTGGTTTTTAAATATTAAAACAGCCTTGCCTAGCTAGAATAAATCTCACTTGGTCATGATGTATAATTATTTTTATATATTGTTGTATTTGATTTGCTAATATGTTGAGGATTTTTACATTTATCTTCATGATAGATATTGATCTATAGTTTTCCTTTCTTGTAATATTCTTATTTGCTCCTGGTGTTAGGGTAATTCTGGACTCATAGAATGAGTTAGGAATTATTTCTATTTCCTGTAAGAGATAGTGGAAATTGTATCATTTTTTCCTTAAATTTTTGGTAGAATTCACCAGTGAAGCCATTTGAGCCTGGTGCTTTTGTTTTGATGGTTGTTAATTATTGATTCAATTTCATTGGTAGATATGGTCCTCTTCAGATTATCTACTTTTCCTTTTGTGACTTTTGGTAGTTGTGTCTTTGAAGAATTGGTTCACTTTATCTAATTTGTGGGCAGAGAGTTGTTTGTACTATTTCTTTATTATCCTTTTAATGTCCATGTGATCAGTAGTGATGATCTTTCTTTCATTTCTGATATTAGTAATTTGTGTCTTCTCTTTTTCTTGGTTAGCCTAACTAGAGGTTTATAAATTTTATTGAGCTTTTCAAAGAGCTGCTTTTGATTTCATTGATTTTTGTCTATTGTTTGCTGTTTAAAATTTTATTGATTTATATTCTGACTTTTATTGTGTTTCTTTTTGTTACAGGCTTCCAAATTGTTCTTTTTCTCTAGTTTTTTTTTAGAGAAAGTTTAGACTATTGATTTTATGTCTTTCTTCTTTTCTAACATATGCATTTAGTGCCATAATTTTCCTTTAGATCTACTTTACTGAATACCACAAATTTTGGTGCTATGTTTTCATTTTTGTTCAGAATATTTTCAGTTTCTCTTGAGACTTCCGCTTTGATTCCATGTGTTATTTAGAAGTGTGTTGTTTAATCTTCATTTTTTTCTATTTTCCAGTTGTCTTTCTGATTTTGATCTATAGTTTAGTTCTGTTGTGATCTGAAAACATACTTAGTATGATTTCTATTCTTTTAAATTTGTTAATGTGTTTTTTGATCCATAATGTTCTATCTTGGTTAGTATTCCATGTGAGCTTTAGAAGATGTGCATACATGTTAAGGATTATTATGTCTTTGTGGATACTTGTCTACCTTCTGCAATGCCTTTATTTAAGTATTTTTCCTGAAGTTTAATTTGTCTAAAATTAATATAGTTATTCCAGCTTCCTTTTGGTCAGCATTAGAATGATATGTGCTCTATCCCTTTACTTTTAACATATTTGAGCTTTTATTTATTTATTTTAATTTTTCCATAAGTTATTGGAGTACAGGTGGTATTTGGTTACATGAGTAAGTTCTTTAGTGGTGATTTGTGAGATTTTGGTTCATCCATCACCCGAGCAGTATACACTGCACTATATTTGTAGACTTTTATCCCTAGTCCCCCTCCCACTCTTCCCCCCAAGTCCCCAAAGTCCATTGTATCATTCTTATGCCTTTTTGTCCTCATAGCTTAGCTCTGACATATTAGTTAGAACATATGGTGTTTGGTTTTCCATTCTTGAGTTACTTCATTTAGAATAATCGTCTCCAATCTCATCTAAGTGACTGCAAGTGCTGTTAATTTATCCATTTTTATGGCTGCATAGTATTCCATCATATATCTGTCTATACACACACACACACACACACACACACACACACACACACACACACACACACCACACTTTCTTTATCTACTCATTGATTTGTGGGTATTTGGGTTGGTTCCACAATTTCGCTATTGTGGATTGTGCCATTATAAACATGCATGTGCAAGTATCTTTTTCGAATAATGGCTTCCTTTCTTCTGGCTAGATACCCAGTAGTGGGATTGCTGGGTCAAATAGTAGTTCTACTTTAAATTCTTTAAGGAATCTCCACACTATTTTCCATGGCGGCTATACTAATTTATATTCCCACTAGCAGTGTAGAAGTGTTCCCTGTTCACTGCATCCATGCTGACATCTACTGTTTTTGATTTTTTGATTATGGCCATTCCTGCAGAAGTAAGATGATATCACATTGTGGTTTTGGTTTGCATTTTCCTGATCATTAGTGATGTTGAGCATTTTTTAATGTGTTTGTTGGCCATTTGTATATCTTTTTTTGAGAATTGTCTATTTATGTCCTTAGCCCACTTTTTGATGGGATTGTTTGTTTTTTTCTTATTGATTTGTTTGAGTTCATTGTAGATTTTGGATATTAGTCCTTTGTCAGATGTATAGATTGTGAAGATTTTCTCCCCCTTTGTGGGTTGTCTGTTTACTCTGCTGACAGTTTCTTTTGCCATGCAAAAGCTCTTTAGTTTAATTAGGTCCTAGCTATTTATCTTTGTTTTTATTGCATTTGCTTTTGGGTTCTTGGTCATGAAATCCTTGCCTAAGCCAATGTCTAGAAGGGTTTTTCCAATGTTATCATCTAGAATTTTTATAGTTTCAGGTTTTAGGTTTCAGTCCTTAATCCGTCTTGAGTTGATTTTTGTATAACGTGAGAGATGAGGATCCAGTTTCATTCTCCTCCATGTGGCTAGCCAATTATCCAGCATCATTTGTTGAAAAGGGTGTCCTTTCCCACTTGATGTTTTTGTTTACTTTGTTGAAGATCAGTTGGCTGTAAGTATTTGGGTTTCTTTCTGGGTTCTCTATCCTGTTTCACTGGTCTATGTGCCTATTTTTATACCAGTACCATGCTGTTTGGGTGACTATGGCCTTATAGTATAGTTTGAAATCAGGTAGTGTGATGCCTCCAGATGTATTCTTTTTGCTTAGTCTTGCTTTGGCTATTTGGGCTCTTTTTTTGGTTCCATATGAATTTTAGAATGTTTTTCTAATTCTGTGAAGAATGATGGTGGTATTTTGATGGGGAATGTGTTGAATGTATAGATTGCTTTTGGCAGTATGGTCATTTTCACATTATTGATTCTACCCATCCCATGAGCATGGATGTGTTTCCATTTGTTTGTGTCATCTATGATTTCTTTCAACAGTGTTTTGTAGTTTTCCTTGTAGAGGTCTTTTGACCCCTTGGTTAGGTGTATTCCTAAGTATTTTATTTCTTTTTTGCAGCTATTGTAAAAGGGGTTGGGTTCTTGATTTGATTCTCTGCTTGCTTGCTGTTGGTGTATAGAAGAGCTACTGATTTTCATACATTAATCTTGTATGTGGAAACTTTGCTGAATTCTTTTATCAGTTCTAGGAGATTTCTGAAGGAGTTCTTAGGGTTTTCAAGGTAAATGATCATATCATCAGCAAACAGTGACAGTTTGACTTTCTCTTTACTGATTTGGATGCCATTTATTTCTTTTTCTTGTCTAATTGCTCTGACTAGGACTTCCAGTACTATGTTGAAGAGGAGTGGTAAGAGTGGGCATCCTTGTCTTGTTCCAGTTCTTAGAGTGAATGCTTTCAACTTTTCCCCATTTAGTATTATGTTGGCTATGGTTTTGTCATAGATGGCTTTTATTACATTAAGGTATGTCCCTTGTATGCTAATTTTGCTGAGAGTTTTAATCATAAAGCAATGCTGGATTTTGTCGAATGCTTTTTCTGCATCTATTGAGATGAACATGTGATTTTTGTTTTTAATTCTGTTTATGTGGTGTGTTTATTGACTTGCATATGTTAAACCATCCCTGCATCCCTGGTATGAAACTCACTTGATCATGGTGGGTTATCTTTTTGGTATGTTGTTGGATTCGGTTAGCTAGTATTTTGTTAAGGATTTTAGCATCAATGTTCTTCAAGGATATCGGTCTGTAGTTTTCTTTTTTGGTTAGGTCCTTTTCTGATTTTGGTATTAGGGTGATGCTGGCTTCAGAAGATGAATTAAGGAGGAGTCCTTCTTTCTCTGTCTTGTGGAATAGTGTCAAAAGGATTGGTAACAATTCTTTTTTGGATGTCTGGTAGAATTCTGCTGTGAATCCGTCTGGTCCCGGACTTTTTGTGTTGGTAATTTAAAAATTACCATTTCAATCTCACTGCTTGTTATTGGTCTGTTCAGGGTATCTAATTCTTACTGATTTAAGCTAGAAGGGTTGTATCTTTACAATAATTTATCCATCTCTTCTAGGTTTTCTAGCTATGTGCGTAAATGCGTCATAGTAGCCTTGAATGATCTTTTGTATTTCAGTGGTGTCAGTTGTAATATCTCCTGTCTTGTTTCTTAGTGAGGTTATTTGGATTTTCTCTCTTCTTTTCTTGGTTAATCTTGCTGATGGTCTATCAATTTTATTTATCTTTTTAAATAACCAGCTTTTTGTTTCATTTATCTTTTTTGTTTGTTTGTTTCAATTTCATTTAGTTCTGCTCTGATCTTTCATGATAACTTCCTTTCTTCTGCTGGGTTTGGGTTTGGTTTGCGCTTGTTTCTCTTGCTCCTTGAGGTGTGACCTTAGAATATCAGTTTGTGCTCTTTCAATCTTTTTGATATAGGTGCTTAGGGTTATGAACTTTCCTCTTAGCACCGCCTTTGCTTTATCCCAGAGGTTTTGATAGGTTGTATCATTATTGTCATTCAGTTTGAATAATTTTTTAATTTCCATCTTGATTTTGTTTTTGACCCAATGCTCATTCAGGAACAGGTTATTTAATTTCCATGCATTTGCATGGTTCTGAAGGTTCCTTTTGGAGTTGATTTCCAGTTTTATTCCACTGTGTTCTGAGAGAGTGCTTGATATAATTTCAACTTTCTTAAACTTATTGAGGCTCATTTTATGGCCTGTCATATGGTCTATCTTGGAGAAAGTTCCATGTGCTATTAAATAGAACGTGTATTTTGCGGTTGTTGGATGAAACGTTCTCTATATATCTGTTAGGTCTATTTGTTCCAAGGTATAGTTTAAATCCATTGTTTCTTTGTTGTCTTTCTGTCTTGATAACCTGTCTAGTGCTGTCAGTGGAGTATTGAAGTCTCCACTATTATTGTGTTGCTATCTCATTTCTTAGGTCTATTAGTAATTGTTTTATATATTTGGGAGCTCCAGTGTTAGGTGCATATATGTTTAGGATTGTGATATTTTTCTGTGGGACAAGGCCTTTTACCATTATGTGATGTCCCTCTTTGTCTCTTTTAGCTGCTGTTGCTTTAAAGTTTGTTTTGTCTGATATAAGAGTAGCTATCCTGCTCGCTTTTGGTGTCCATTTGCATGAAATGCCTTTTTCTACCCTTTTAAGTTTATGTGAGTCTGTATGTGGTAGGTGAGTCTCCTGAAGGCAGCAGATGATTGGTGAGTTCTTATCCATTCCGTGGTTCTGTATCTTTTAAGTGGAACATTTAGGCCATTTACATTCAATGTAGTATTGATATGTGAGGTACTGTTGCATTCATCTTGCTCTTTATTGCCTGTATGCTTTGATTTTTTTGCTTTTTGTTTTGCTTCTTAACATGTATTTTTGTTTTATAGGTCCTGTGTGATTTATGCTTTAAAGAGTTTCTGTTTTGATGTGTTTCCAGGATTTGTTTCAAGATTTAGAGCTCCCTTTAGCAGTTCTTGTAGTGGTGGCTTGGTAATAGGTGAATTCTCTCAGCATTTGTTTGTCTGAAAACAACAGTATCTTTCCTTCGTATATGATGCTTAGTTTTGCTGGATACAAAATTCTTGGCTGATAATTGTTTTGTTTGAGGAGACTGAATCCCTTCTAGCTTGTAGGGTTTCTCCAGAGAAATCTGCTGTTAATCTGATAGGTTTTTCTTTACAGGTTACCTGGTGCTTCTGTCTCACAGCTCTTAAGTTTCTTTCCTTCCTCTTAACTTTGGATAACCTCATGACAATGTGCCTAGGCAAAGATCTTTTTGTGATGAATTTTCCAGGTGTTCTATGTACTTCTTGTGTGTGGATGTGTAGGTCTCTAGCAAGGCCAAGGAAATTTTCCTCGATTATTCCCCCAAATATGTTTTCCAAGGTTTTAGAATTCTATTCTTCCTCAGGAACACCAATTATTCTTAGGTTTGGTTGTTTAACATAATCCCAGACTTCTTGGAGGCTTTATTCATATTTTCTTATTCTTTTTCTTTGTCTTTTTTGGATTGGGTTAATTTGAAGACCTTGTCTTTGAGCTCTGAGTTTCTTTCTTCTACTTGCTCAATTATATTGCTGAGACTTTCCAGAGCATTCCACATTTCTAAAAGTGTGTCTAAAGTTTCCTGAATTTTTGATTGCTTTTTCTTTAAGCTATCTACTTCCTTGAATAATTTTCCCTTCAGTTCTTGCATTATTTTTTGGATTTCCTGGCATTGGGCTTCACCTTTCTCTGGTCCTTCCCTGATTAGATTAATAACTAAACTCCTGAGTTCTTTTTCAGGTAAATCAGGGATTTATTCTTGGTTTGGATCCATTGCTGGTGAACTAGTGTGATTTTTTTGTGGGTGTTGAAGAGCGTTGTATTGTCATATTACCAGGGTTGGTTTTCTGGTTCCTTCTCATTTGGGTGGCCTCTGTCAGAGGGAAGATCTAGGGCTGAATGCTGTTGTTCAGATTCTTTTGTCCCACAGGTGTTCCCTTGGTGTAGTACCCTCCCTATTTTCCTGTGGATGTGGCTTCCTGAGAGCCAAACTGCAGTGATTGTTGTCTCTCTTCTGAGTCTAGCCACCCCGTGAGACTGCCCAGCTCTGGACTGGTACTGGGGGTTGTCTGCACAGAGCCCTGTGATGTGAACCATCTATGGGTCTCTCAGCCATGGATACCAGTGCTTGTTCAGGTGGAGGTGGCAGGGGTGTTCAATGGATTCTGTGAGGGTTCTTAGCTTTGGTGGTTTAATGCTCTATTTTTGTGCTGGTTGGCCTCCTGCCAGGAGGTGACACTTTCCAGAAAGCATCAGCTGTAGTAGTATGGAGAGGGCCTGGCAGTGGGCAGTGCCCTAGAACTCCCAAGATTATATGCCCTTTGTCTTCTGTTTCCAGGGTGGATAGGGAAGGACCATCAAGTGCAGGCAGGGCTAGACATGTCTGAGCTCAGACTCACTTTGGGCAGGTCTTGCTGCAGCTGATGTGGAGGATGGGGTTGAGATTTCCAGGTCACTGGAGTTGTGTACCTAGGAGGATTATGGCTGCCTCTCCTGAGTCATGCAGGTTGTCAGGGAAATGGGGGAAAGCCAGCAGTCACAGACCTCATCCAGATCCCACATAAACTGAAGGTCTCACTCCCACTGTGCCCCCACCCCCAGTAGCCCCGAGTCTGTTTCCTGGCGGAGGGTGTGACAGGCTAGAAAACTTGCACTGGGCTACCCACCTCCCAGCTGCGAAAGAAAAGGGCTTGGTTTTTCCCCTGCCTGTGGAGTCTGCACACCAGATTTGCACCCTCCCGTGACTTCTGAGCAGGAGGCTTCCCACCCTTCAAATTGTTACAAAGTTCAGCTAGAGATTTTCTTCCTCCTGTGGAGTTTATCCCCTGCTCCTCTGGTCACCCTCCCAATGGATCCCTGTGGTGCCAGGCAGGAATGGGCTGCTAGGGTACACAGCAAGCTCCCAAGGCCTTTCTGCTGCTTCCTCTCCCCTGTATTTCACTTGGTTCTCTAAATTGACTCAGCTCCAGGTAAAGTTGGAAACTTCTCCCACAAACAGACCTTCAGCTTCTCCATTGAGGGTCTGGACTGGTACTGGGGGTTGTCTGCATGGAGCCCTGTGAGAGGAGAGTCTCCTTTTCCCATTTCTGCAGTTAGGGCACTCACAGTATTTGGGGTGTCTCCCAGGTCCTGCAGGAGCAGTCCACTTCCTTCAGAGGGTCTGTGGGTCCTCTTGGGATTTTTGGTTTGTAATTGCAGTCGTTCTGGAGCTAAAATTCACAGTGTGAGCTTCTGTACGTTGCTGTCTCTGGAGCTGTAATCTAGTCCTGCCTCCTGTCTGCCATGATGATCCCACTTGAGTTTTTAATATTTAGTTTCTGGTAGGCAACATATATTTGGACCTTGTTTTTTCAATCTACTCTGACAACCTTTTTGTTTACCTTGTGTTTTTAAACAATTAACATTTAAAGTGATTATTGGTATAGTTGTATAAATATCTACCATGTTCATATCTGTTTTATAATAATTGCATTTGTTTCTTTTTTTGTTCCAGTATTTTCCTGCCTTGTCTGTTTTTAATTGAGCACTTCATGTGATTTTATTTTATCTCCTTTCCTAGCAATTACATTTCTTAAAAATTTTTTTAATAGTGGTCTAGAGTTTGCAATATAAATTTTTAACTTGTCTATATCCAGCTTCTAATAACACTCTACCATTGCATCTGCACTTCAGGTTCTTACTCATAACAGTATCCCTCATTTCTCCCTCCTATCTGTTATGACATTGCTGTCATTCATTTCACTTATTCATATTCTATAATCAACCAATACATTGTTACTATTATTATTTTAAGTAAACAGTTATCAGATGATTGTATCTCCATTTATTCCTTCTGTATTGATTTTCCTTTACATAGATTTGAGTTTCTGACCTATATCATTTTCATTCCCCTTAAATAATGTTTTTTAAAAAATTTCTGCATTACAGGTCTTCTGGTAATGAATTCCCTCAGGGTAGTTATTATTATTTTTTGCATGAAGGAAGTCCTTCTCTTTTACTTTTGAAGAACAATTTTGCTAGATATAGAATTTCCAGGTTGGTGATTTTTGACTTTCAACACTTTAAATATTTCATTTCATTCTCTTCTTGCTTGCATGGTACTGATGAGAAGTCTGCTGTAATTCTTAAACTTGTTTTTCTATAGGTAAAGTGTTTGTTCCTTCTGGCTTCTTCTAAGGTTTTCTCTTTGTAGTTGGTTTTCTGCAGTTTGCATATGCTATGCCTACAAGTAGTTTAAGTGTTTATCCTGCTTTTCTCTGAACCTCATGGATCTGTGGTTTTGTGTTTGTCATTACTTTCAAGTATTTCTTCTGCTCCACTTTTTCTTCTTTTTCTGGTATTCAAATTATGTATGTTACACTTTTTGAAATTGTCCCACAGTTCTTTAATATATTCTTCTGTTTTTTCCACTATAGTTTTTTCTTTTTGCATTTTAGTTCTTGAAGTTTATATTGACATATCTTCAAGCTCACTGATTCTTTTTATAGCCATGTTCAGTCTACTGAGGAGTCCATAAAAGGCATATTCAGTTCTGTTAGTGTTTGATCTCTAGCATCTCCTTTAGATTCTAAGACTTTTCATAGTTTTGGTTACATTAGTCATCTGTTCTTGCATGCTGTCTAATTTTATCATTAGACATTTTTTTCATTAGGTGGGTAAGCTTCATGAGTGATGGAGTCAAGGAAAACTTTCTAGTGCATGTAAAATTATATCAAATAGGGAGTTGCCATCTCCTTATAAAACTAATCTGGGTAGAAGCTGTCATTTATGAAAGAGAGGCTGATCTATTACACTCAACACAAAAGCTCCCTGTTTGTCCATAAGCTGTTCCCATAAGTGACTACCTTAAGGGAAAGAAGCACCTGTAATATAAGCATTCACATGTAGGCTTCAGAAGTATGGAAGCCTACGTACTGGAAAATTACCAGCTTAGAACTGTGATTACTGGTAAGATACTTGATGTTTATGAACATCAGAGAAAACTTTGAAACAGCTTTTTATACATGGTTAGGAAATAGTCATTCTTGTATTTGCCCAATCCTAGCTTCAAATTCAACTTTTGGTGCTAAGTGTGGGTAAAAATTGGTACCCACCTTGATGCTTTTCATCTTGCTTCTGATAGTACTACCCTTGGAAGAGACTGAAAAATAATTGAGAAGTTAAAAGCCTTCTATTGTGACTAAGAAATATTAATACAATTTATTGAAAAAACGCATAGGTAGAATGAATGTAATAGTTTTTAAAAAAGAGAATTTGAGGACCAAGAGGACCAATTAGGCTACCAGGAGACATCCTTTGGTCAGCTCTCCTGAGGGTAAAGTTCATAGGCCAGGTCAGTACCTCAGGAAGCATCCTTTCCTTCTGTTCAGAGAATGGGTTGGCCTGAGGTAGAAGCTGGCTTTGGTTCAAACTTTAGGCAGACAAATCTTTCTCCAGGGGTCTTCTTGCCTCTACTTTTCCTACTTCCTAGCATGGCTGCCATGCACAACATCTGAGTTTGCCCTTCTTTTCACTATATCCTCCAATAATCCCTGTTCAGTTATGACAGTGAAAGAGGGAAACAAATGGACAGGACATTACGTACATCTTGTGTACGTTTGAGAACTATTAGCATTGTAGTCAATTGTGGATAGAAAATGTATGTATGATGAATATCTAAATATTGAGGTCTAGGGGTGCGTGTGTGTGTTGCTGTGAATGTTTCTGGTGTTCATTCCCACCTGTCAGTTATCTGCTTAATTGTCGGTTAAGGGCTAATTTAATTTATATCAAAAAGTCAGTTTTCATAGGTTAAGAATTCAAGAGCAATTTATAGTTTTACAGAAGAGTCTTGAAGATAGTAGGTGAAAAATAATCTCAAATGGTCAAAGTTTTAGCATCAGGTAGCACCTCTAGACCCTTACCTGAAGAATGCCTCTCCTAAATCTGAAAGGGTTGACCAGGTGTGCGCCTTTAGGACGATGCAAGGCAAGAAGGCAGGGAAGAATGGTACTCCTAGTCAGTCAGATCAGACGGATCAATCTTGGTGATGAATGGGGACAGATGTCTTAGGTGGGCCACCCCATATCGCTCCAGGAAGATTGGAGGGCTTTTAAGGTAGTCAACCCACTTATACTAAGGCCACTGTTTTAAACATCATGAGTTGTATCATGTCATTCCTCTGCTTAAAGCCCTGCAGTGGTTCCCTGTTTCACCCAGAGTAAAAGACAAAGTCGTTTTAAAGGTTTAAGAAAGCTCTGTACAATCTGATCCTCCTGACCTCTCTAATTTCATCTACTACTCCTTTCTTTCCCTTTCACTCTCTGCTTCGTGTCCTTCTTGCTTTTCCTGGAACGATCCAGGCATGCCCCTTCCCCATGACCTTTGCTCTGGTTGGTTTTCTCTGCCCAGAATACACTTTCCCTAGATGTCCACATGGCTAATTCTCAACTTATTCAAGTCTTTGATCAAAAGATACCTTCCCAATAACCAATAGCTACCCTATTAAAACTCCAATGTCCTGGCACTCGTTTATCATGCTGAATTCATTATTTTTTTCTATAGCTCTTACTGCATTCTAACATATTACATAATTTACTTGTTCATTATGTTTGTTATTTGTCTGTGTTTTTCTATTAAAAGGCAACCTTCCAGACGGCATGAAATAATATTCCTGGTGCCTAGACCAGTGCTTGGTATGGTGGTAGATGGTTAATAGTTATTTGTTGAATGAATAAAGGGGCGAATAAATGCATGTTAGTTACTTGTCTTCTATTCCTTTCTAGGAAGTGTTTTCTTCTAGTTTTCCTATAATCCACCATCTTAAGCCAGCTCACAATTTTGATGCAAGCTTGTATGAGACAAAAAGTAAGAAAGTCAAAGAATCTGAGAAAACTCCAGAAAGCATGTTGGTACAAAGCATGTTTGCACTCAGAGCACATAACGTTTTAATCCTCCTTCCTTTAGGTGACAAAATTATCTTAAAAATTATTTTATATGAATAATATATAATATGCATAATAATGGCCATAAAGGAAATACAAATTGTGGATTTTTTTTTTTTTTTGAGACGGAGTCTCGCACTGTCACCCAGCCTGGAGTGCTAATGGCATGATCTCGGCTCACTGCAACCTCCACCTCCTGGGCTCAGGTGATTCTCCTGCCTCAGCCTCCTGAGTAGCTGGGACTACAGCCATGTGCCACCACACCTGGCTAATTTTTTTTGTATTTTTAGTACAGATGGGGTTTCATCATGTTGGTCAGGCTGGTCTTGAACTCCTGACCTCAAATGATCCACCTGCCTCGGCCTCCCAAAGGCCTGGGATTACAAGTGTGAGCCACCACACCCAGCCAAATTGTGGAAATTTTTTACTGGACTTCATATATATAATTATGCTTTTAAAAAGTAAAGAAACATAAAAAATGTTATGTACATAAAAGGAAAAAAGTAATGGATTGGTAATTTTAATTACATTAGTATAAATTTTTGCACAAAGGGAAAGAACCAATTATTGGTTTATGACAGTAATAAATAATATTAAAGTTTATTAAATAATCACAAGAATAACAAAAGAAATATCAATTTTAAAGATATTATTAAAGTTTAGCAAAATCATGTATAAAGTTTACACTTACCAATAAAAATACTACATCTCACATTCTGTACTTCATTTCGTCACTTTACATTTTTAAAAACAAAAATTCCATTAATCATGTGGAATGATGAATTTACTTGTTTCTTTTTTTTTTGCAAGTAATATCCTATAATTATTTATTTTGAATCTTCTGTTTAAATGTCAGAATATGGAGTATCATAAGTTTTTTCGAAGTGAGCTGGAATGATTCCCAAACCTTCACAAACTTGCTTATGGAACACATATGTGTGTGTCCAAGACTGCATGTGTCTGGAGTCAGCTGTATAACTGGGATTTCTCTGAATTAGCTTACTTGTAGATTATAATATATACAGGCATACCTTGGGGATGTTGTGGGTTTGGTTCCAGATGATCACAATGCAGTGAATATTGCAATAAAGTGAATTACACAAAATTTTTTGTTTCCAGTTTATATAAAAGTTATGTTTACACTATATTATAGTCTATTAAATGTGCAATGGCATTATGTCTAAAAAGTAATGTACATACCTTAATTAAAAATTTATTGCTAAAAAATGCTAATGATCATCTAAGGCTTCAGTGAGTCTTGACTTGATGTTGATGGCTACTGACTAATCAGGGTCGTGGTTGCTTAAGGTTGGGATGGCTGTGGCAATTTCTTAAAATAAGGCAACAATGACGTTTGCCCCATCAATTAACTCTTTCATAAAATATTTCTCTGTAGCATGCTTTGCTGTTTGACAACATTTTATCCACGTTAGAACTTCCTTCAAAAATTAGAGTCCATCCTCTCAAACCCTGCTGCTGCTTTATAAATTAAGTTTATGTCATTTTCTAAATCCTTTGTTGTCATTTCAATAATGATCACAGTATTTTCACCAGGAATAGATTCTATCTCAAGAAACCACTTTCTTTGCTCATCCATAAGAAGCGACTTCTCATCTGTTCAAGTTTTATCATGAGATTGCAGCAATTCAGTCATACTTAAGGCTCTACCTCTAATTCTAGTTCTCTTGCTATTTGCATCACATCTGCAGTACTCCACCAAAGTTTTGAACCTCTCCAAGTTGTCCATGAAGGTTGGAATCAACTTCTTCCAAACTCCTGTTAATGTTGATATTTTGATCTCCTGAGTCACGAATGGTTTTTTTAATTCATTTTTTTTATTTCAATATGTTTTTGGGGGAATAGATGGTGTTTGGTTACATGAATAAGTTCTTTAGTGGTGATTTCTGAAATTTTGGTGCACCCATCACCCGAGCAGTGTACACTGTACCCAGTGGGTGGTTTTTATCCCTCACCCTTCTCCCACCCTTTCCCCTGAGTCCCCAAAGTCCGTTGTATCATTCTTATGCCTTTGCGTTCTCATAGCTTAGCTCCCACTTATAAGTGAGAACATACAATGTTTGGTTTTCCATTCCTGACTTAACTTCACTTAGACTACTGGTCTCCAGTCCCATTCAGGTTGGTCCAAATGCCATTATTTTCTTCATGTTTATGGCTGAGTGGTATTCCATGGTATGTGTGTGTGTATCACAATTTATGCACTCATTGATTGATGGGGATTTGGGCTGGTTCCATGTTTTTGCAACTGCAAATTGTGCTGCTGTATACATGCATGTGAAAGCATCTTTTTTATGTAATGACTTCTTTTCCTGTGGGTAGGTACTCAGTAGTGGGATTGCTGGATCAAATGGTAGCTCTACATTTAGTTCTTTAAGGAATTTCCACATTATTTTCCATAGTGGTTTTAGTAGTTTACATTTCCACCAGCAGTGTAAAAGTGTTCCCTTTTCACCACATCCATGCCAACATCTATTATTTTTTCATTTTTTGAGTATGGCGATTCTTGCAGGAGTAAGTTGGTGTCACATTATGGTTTTGATTTGCATTTCCCTGATCATTAGTGATGTGGGTGGGGCATTTTTTCATGTTTGTTGGCCGTTTGTATATCTTCTTTTGAGAACTGTCTGTTCCATGAATCACAAATGTTTTTAATGTCATCTAGAATGGTAAATCTTTTCCAGAAGGTTTTCTACATATTTTGCCCAGATTCATTAGAGAAGTCACTATCTATGGTAGGTATAGCCTTACAAAATATATTTCTTAACAATAAGACTTGAAAATTGAAATTATTCCTTGATCCATGGGCTACAGAATGGATATTGTGTTAGCAGGCATGAAAATCACAGTTATCTCCTTGTATATCTCCTTCAGAGCTCCTGGGTGACCAGTTACATTGTCTACGAACAATAATATTTTGAAAGGAATCTGTTTTCCTGAGCAGTAGGTCTCAACAGTGGGCTTAAAATTTTCAGTAAATCATGCTGTAAACAGATGTTCTGTTGTTCAGACTTTGTTATTGCATTTATAAAGCACAGGCAATGTAGATTTAACATCATTCTTAAGGGCCCTAGGATTTTCAAAACAGTCAATGAGCATTGGCTTCAACTTAAAGTTACCAGCCACATTAGCCCTTAATAAGAGAATCAGCTTGCCTTTTGAAACTTTGAAGCCAAGCATTGAGCTTTCCTCTCTAGTTAATCCTGGATGGAATCTTCTTCCAATAGAAGGCTGTTTCAGCTACACTGAAAATCTGTTTAGTGTAGCTGCCTTCATCAATGATCTTAGTTGGATCTTCTGGATAACTTGCTGCAGCTTCTACATCAGCCCTTGCTGCTTCCCCTTGCACTTTTATGTTTTGGAGATAGTTTCTTTCCTTAAACCTCATCAACCAGCCTCTGCTTCAAACTTTAGTTCTGCTGGCTCCTCACCTTTCTCAGCCATCATAGAATTGAAGAGAGTTAAGATCTTGCTGTAGATTAGGCTTTGGCTTAAGGGAATGTGTTGGCTGGTTTGATCTTCTGTCCAGTCCACTCTAACCTTCTCCATATCAGCAATAATGCTGTTTCACTTTCTTATCATTCATATATTCACTGGGTAGCACTTTTATTTCCTTAAGAATTTTTTCTTCATATTCACGACTTGGCTGTTTAGTGCAAGAGGCCTAGCTTTCGGCCAGTCTCAGCTTTTTATTTGCCTTCCTCATTAAGCTTCCTCATTTCTAGCTTTTTTTTTTCCTGGCTTATTTTTGATTTTTATTCCACATAGAAATAAATAAAACATTTTATTAAAAGTTAGAGGTTTTTTTTTTTTTTATAGTTTCTGCAGTACATGTGCAGAACGTGCAGGTTTGTTACATAGGTATACATGTGCCATGGTGGTTTGCTGCGCCCATCAACCCGTCATCTACATTAGGTATTTCTCCTAATGCTATCCCTCCCCTGGCCCCTCAGCCCCCACCCGACAGGCCCCCGTGTGTGATGTTCCCCTTCCTGTGTCCATGTGTTCTCATGGTTCAACTCCCACTTATGTGTGAGAACATGCAGTGTTTGGTTTTCTGTTGTGTTAGTTTGCTGAGAATGATGGTCTCCAGCTTCATCCATGTCCCTGCAAAAGACATGATCTCACACTTTTTTATGGCTCTATAGTATTCCATGGTGTATATGTGTCACATTTTCTTTATCCAGTCTATCATTGATGGGCATTTGGGTTGGTTCCAAGTCTTTGCTATTGTGAACAGTGCTGCAATAAACATATGTGTGCATGTGAATGTGTCTTTATAGTAGAAAGATTTATAATCCTTTGAGTATATACCCAGTAATGGGATTGCTGGGTCAAATGGTATTTCTACTTCTAGATCCTTAAGGAATGACCACACTGACTTCCACAATGTTGAACTAATTTACACTCCCACCAACAGTGTAAAAGCATTCGTATTTCTCCACATCCTCTCTAGGATGTGTTTCCTGACTTTTTAGTGATCACCATTCTACCTAGCGTGAGATGGTATCTCATTGTGGTTTTGATTTGCATTTCTCTAATGACCAGTGATGAAGAGCTTTTTAAAATATGTTTGTTTTCTGCATAAATGTCTTCTTTTGAGAAGTGTCTGTTCATATCCTTTGCCCACTTTTTGATGGGGCTGTTTTTTTCTTGTAAATTTATTTAAGTTCTTTGTAGATTCTGGATATTAGCCATTTGTCAGATGGATAGATTGCAAAAATTTTCTGCCATTCTGTAGGTTGCCTTTTCACTCTGATGATAGTTTCTTTTGCTGTGCAGAAGCTCTTTAGTTTCATTAGATCCCATTTGTCAATTTTGGCTTTTGTTGCCATTGCTTTTGTGTTTTAGTCATGAAGTCTTTGCCCATGCCTATGTCCTAAATGGTGTTGCCTAGGTTTTCTTCTAGGGTTTTCATGGTTTTAGGTCTTTCATGAAGTCTAGGTTTTGATTTATAGTGAGAGGCTTCCTTTCACTTGAACACTTAGAAGCCATTGTATGGTTACTAATTGGCCTAATTTTAATCTTGTGTCTGAGGGAATAGGAAGGAAAGGTCTGAGAAGAAGGAGGGAGATGGAGGAATGGCTGATCAGTGGAGCAGTGATGACACACACAAAACTTATTGATTAAATTTGCCATTTTATATGGGCACAGTTCGTGGTACCCCAAAACAATTATAATAATTCCATCAAAAGTCACTGATCACAGATCCCGATAAAGGATATAATAATAATGAAAAAGTTTGAAACATTGCAAGGATGATCAAAATGCGACACAGAGACACAAGTGAGTACATGCTGCTGGAAAAATGACAGCGATAGACTTGTTTGATGAAAGGTTGCCACAGACCTTAAATTTGTGAAAAATGGAATATCTGTAAAGTGCAATAAAACGTATGCCTGTATAAAAGGATGAGCAGTAAAAACGTGCTAATTTAAAGTTTGCATATATATTATTAAAACCCAACAGTAACCACAACAATTGTTAGAACTTATACAACAAAATTTTGGTGGGGAGGGAACAGCATTTTATCACTTATATTAGTTAGAATTGTTGGCATGTACATGATGATAAGGAGCAGACTGGTTTTTGGTCAGTTTCATTATTAAAACTTTATTACTTGTATAAAGTGTTTGTTATGTTTGTAAATTCTCTACAGACAGGGTGCCTCCTTTTTGCCTGCAGATTGCCCCCACTTTCCACCTTCAGCCACACTGGGAAGCCAGACTCTAAACCTTCTATGCCCAGATTTTAAAAGGATGTTTTAGAGTTAGTGATTTCCTACTCTTAGTGAAGAAACTTTCAATTTAATTCAACTCATGCTTGCAGATCATAATTTTTAATCCAAACACAAAAGGAGCAAAAAAAGAATCCTTTCCTTTGATCAGGGTAAAGTATTGTCTGGAAGATTAAAATAAGTTACACCAGAGGGCACTTGAAGGTGACCAATACTAGTTTAAACAAGTTATTTAAGAACAAATATTCAGATCCTTTAAAAAAATTTAAACTAGAACAATCCAGGATATTTTCATAAGAGGACTCCATAAGGATGTGAGAGTGCAAAAAGCTAGCATTTTCAGGTATCTTTTCTTCTCTGTAATATTTTAACTTGTGAGATGAGATTGAGTTTTTGTTATAAGAAAGCAACATTCTCTCTCATATTAATTTGTTTTAATATTTAAAACATTAATTGTTGCACATACTAAAGAGCTTTGTGTTCAGTCCCATCGCCGCCTTTCCTGGCTCCTGGAATGTTTTGTGCATGAGCCAATCTTTGGTTGATGGCTCCATCCCAGCACTCATGTGGACCCTGCAACAAGCTGAAAACCTGGCTGATTTTGTATGGCCTTCATTTATCACAACTTCAGAAACGAGGTTTATTAATCTGAGTTGCTGAGTTCCTGGCTGGCAAAGAAAGGCTCTAAATTTATGTGGCTTAAGTGAATTCCTTAATCTTAAGAATTTAATTTCTGAGCCTTTTATGTTTTCTAATCTTGAGTGATCTGGGGCCTTGTGCATAAAGAAGAAGGAAAAAAAATCACCAGAGAGAAGAAGCAGGAGGTAAAGAGGAATGTTAAGCCAAGATATTTATTTATATTTATTGCTTCACAGTGGGAAAAGTCCAGGATCTCAGGATTAAAGTATCCTGTATTATTTTATATAGCTAGAGGTGGGTGTGTGTTTTAAAATCATTCCATTAACCCAATTACAAAGGAGTCATTGGTGATGATTTTCATTAGTAGAAATTCTTTTCCCTTGCGAAAAAGCATCCTATTTATCTTCCTGATTCTCCTGATACTTTATAACACACATCCTTATTTTATTCACAGATTTTGAAATTGTCAGAAAACTGATGTCAGAGCTCTTGGATCATGTTGCTTCAACTCTCCCATGCCCAGATTTCTCTGATTCCCCCACTCCTACCAGTACCAAAAACACACCTCCCCAAAGTTAGCAGCTTCTTTTGGGATCTCCTTTCACTTTGGCTATATATGGCAGCAAAGAGAATAAAGAAGAGGGAGTAAAGAGGTGGAATAATTCAGTGACAGTGACTCTGATATAAAAGGAAAACAGCTGAACAGTGGCATGAAACCAGTTTAAAGGTGTAAGGCAGGCTGTGGGCAATTTCTTAGGAAACAAAGGTGAAGAAAGTAAAAGGCCACCTTTGTGAAAAGGCAGCAAGAGAAGACTCTGTCAACAGTGTGAAGAAGTTGCGGTGACAAAGCACCATGTTTGAAAAATTAGGTCAGTATTAGGAAGACAACATGAGGAAGATAACATTTAAAATGAAAGGAAAAGGCAGGTTTGGAATGCATGCTGAAGGTTTACGATGTGAACTTGTCCACCGATGAGTCTGCCAACCCAGGTTGGGATTCTGGATTATCATGGCTACTGAGTTGGAAAATATATCATTCCCAAATATTTGAAAGCTTTTGATATATATTTAAGAGGGCTTTTTAGGCAGTAAAATGAGCTTAAAAACTAATTTCAATATGTGTTTTATCATCAAAATGTCACCCTTTTAGAAAGGGCATCCCAGTCCACTGTACCAAAAATCATATTTTCCATCATTTTTACTCATTTTAGTTTTGCCATAGCATTTAGCACTAGTTGAAACCTGAATATATATATATATATATATATATATATATATATATATATATATATATATATCTGTTTACATGTTTATTATCTGCCTCTCCTGCTAGAAAGGAAGCTCCATGAGGGCAGGGGCTTTATGTTTTTCACCGTTACATCCTCAGGACTTAGAAAAAACCAGGTATATAGTGGAATATTTGCTGAATAAATGGTAATATAGTACCTAACGTTGACTGAATGCCTAGTATTAGCCAATCTCAGACTCATTCAATACTGATATAAATTCTAATAAATAAGTACTGTTATTAGTCCCATTTTGCAGATGATAAAACTGAGGTCTGAGAGGTTAAGTAACTTGCCCAAGGTCACCTAGGGATTGGTGGAGGTGAGATAATAATTTCTAAGAAGAGTTCCTTTTGGGCCAATATGGTTAAGACAGACTTTAAAGGAGAGGTGAAACAAGCTAAATTTTGAGATGAGTGTTTTGAAGTGGAGAGAGGGCCAGGTACTCTATGATAGTGTGAGGAAAAGCTGCCTACGATGGCTATGAAAGAGGTTTTTATAAAGATTTCCAACAAGGTGTGCTGAGAAATAAGATTGGAACTCTCCAAAGTCTGTGTGTGTGAAGGCCAGTCCAAACTGAATGAATACATTGTTCAAGTTTCAAAAGAATTTAAGAAATAGTTTATAATACAGATCTTTGCTGAGTCAGATTGAATTGTTTTCCTAATTACAGTGAATTATTGAGATTTTACTGTCTAGTCCCAGTTCAGAAAGGACCACAAACACATCACTTGCAGCCTTTACTTTTAGGGCTAACTCCAGGCAAAATTATGAAGTAGGCCATTGTTATTGTATTAGTCGTTCTTGCACTGCTATAAAGAGATACCTGACTCTGGGTAATTTATAAAGAAAAGAGGTTTAATTGGCTCATGGTTCTGCAGGCTGTACAAGAAGCATGATGCTGGCATCTGCTCAGCTTCTGGGGAGGCTTCAGGAAACTTACAAACATTGTGGAAGGCAAAGGGGGAGCAGGCACATCGCATGGCCAGAGCAGGAGCAAGAGAGTGAGGGGGGAGTTACTATACCCCTTTAAATGATCGGATCTCACAAGAACTCACTCACTATCCTGAGGACAGTGCCAAGGGGATGGTGCTAAACCGTTCATGAGAAATTCAGTTCCAGATCTAATCACCTCCTGCCAGGCCTCACTTCCAACATTGGGGATTACAATTCAACATGAGGTTTGGGTAGGGACAATTATCCAAACTATATCATTCATCTTGCTGATATTCTCTGCTCATTCCTCCTCTGCTCCTGTGTCAGTCCAGGTCCCTATGGGAAACAGCATCTCCCAAAGGGGTGCTTAAACATTTTTTTTATCATTAAAAAATTTCTTTATGATGGAAAAATTTTAAACATGTGCAAAAGTAGAGGGAAAATTATAAAGACCCTGAACGCTTTTACTTTGATGATTACCAAATCATGATCTCTTAGCTTTGACGGTTATCAAATCATGACCAAACACGCTTCATTTAAATATCACTTTGTCCCTAAATACTTCAGGATGTATCTCTAAAAGGTAAAGCCCACTTGAAAAAATAATCACAGTATCATTCTTATACATGGATAAATAATTCTGAAGAAAGTGGTTATGGAAGGATTTATTTATAAAAGGAATTAAGGGAATTCAACATGGGATGGTGAAGCACCCATGCCCTAGTTACAGGGGGAACCCCCTACCACCTAGGCTTGAAGAAGCTGCTGAAACCCATGGAGGTTGTATTTGTAGGAGAGTTCTGCCAGGCAGGAGCTGTGGCCTTCAGCAGAGAAACAGTCACTGCCAACCCAGCAGGGAAAGAGGGTGTTATACGTAACTCAATTTGTCTTTCCTACTTTCTCATCCCTGGCAAGTCCTTTGCACTGATTAAACTCAACAAGAAGCCAGAGAGAAGGGCAGGCTGTTATGGCCCCTGCCTGATAAGCTTCCTGAGGCCTCACCAGAAACAGATGCCAGGTCTATGCTCCCTGTACAGCCTGCAGAACTGAGAGCCAATTAAACCTCTTTTCTTTGTAAATTACCCAGTCTCAGATATCTCTTTATAGCAATACAAGAACAGCCTACTACAACCCCTATCCCTCTGTTACACACCTTCTTCTGAAGATATCTTTTCAGGCTTGCATTTACCACACTGTACCCCAGACCCCGGATCTATTTCTTTGGGCCCCACCCATCATCCACATAACTAAATACAATAATCTACTCTGTGAACAGTGATAAGGAGTAGAGTTAGATATTTTGGTTAAGAAAGCCCTTTCCCTTCTAAAGGCATTCTTATTTTCATCCAATCTTGATGGTACAAAACAAGAGCTATATTTTAATATGCTAGCCTCAGACATTGATAAATCATGGCATAGGGAAGCTACTCTGACTGCCTTTCAAACTTGTTTCGCTTTGCTGTGTTCCAATTAGGTTTAAAATAATAGATGAGAAAAAGTAGTTCTGGTTCATTTAAGACAAGCCTCCAGTAAAAGGCAGTTTGGAGTTCGCTGTTGGAAGCCAGCAAGGGTTATAAAATCCAGAGCCTAGTTAAATAAATCCTTTTACTATTAACTCCCTACTCAGACAGGAGGGAGAAACCAGAATGGTTAGTCTAGCAAAAAGAGAGAAGGGGAGATCCTTATAGTTAATACTTGGTTACCCAGGCAACCATTCCCTGACTGCAAGAAAGCCATCCTGAAGTCTTGATTAGATGGAAGAAAAAGGCCTGGGATCTTCCTTTCTGCTGCTTTCTCTTCTGGCCTGGGAAAAGAGGAACCAAGAAATAGGAATAAGTGGGAAAAAGCCCTGAACGGAGGTATGGGTGAGAGAGAGGCGGTGGCTGAGGGAGGAAAGCTGTCTTTTCACTGGTGCCTTCTTGTTAGAGCTGAGGAAGGGGCTGCCCCAAAGGCTTGGAGCCTCTTAGTCTTTCCAAACCACAGATCCCACCTGTAGCTCCTGTTCTTTGTGGCCTGGAAGGCCCCAGGGCTCCAAAATATCTTAGTTCTGGGAGAAAACCACAGACCTGGAAGCACAGAATTTTCAGAACATAAGAGGATCTTACAAATGCTATATAGTTCAACATTGTATAACCAGAAGAGTTAAAGGACCCATCAAGGATCACACATCTTGACAGGTGTGTGAGCAATGAGTAATATTCCATTGTGTTCACTCTAACATCCCTGTGATCAGCATGTGTCTTGCAGTTGATGTGATGAGGAAGTACTGAGTTATAATTTACCTGATAATTTTTTTTCTCTCATAGTAGCACATAAAATAAGGGTACATCGTATAATCAGTGATCCTTAAATCCACTGAAATAGGGTAAACAGTGACAGAATAGTGTGTGTTTCTGCTGATGCACCCTTTAAATCTTTTTTTATACATATATTTTTATTATACTTTAAGTTCTAGGGTACCCTTTGAATCTTGTTTGTCATTATAGTTGTCTTTATTCATGTCTTATAGAAATTAGTTATTTAATAGTTTTTTTGGTAGAAAAAGTGCATTCAAGTAAAGAAGGTATATTTTCTTTCAGATATCATCGTTCATGTTTGGAATAAGTCTTTTGCTTCAGCAGCTCTACTGTACACATGCATGCGCACACATAAGTGTATGCATGGACACACATGCACTAAAGTAATGCAATTCTCACATCAGCCCCCTGCAATTGCTTCCCTAGCTAGAGCTGACTGAGACTGAGTGTCAGGGTTTGGTGGTGATTGGATGATGGAAGAATCAATTTGTAGGAGTATAGGCTGGAAATGGGAGGGAAAATCTAGGACTGGAAGAAAGATTCTATCTCTCCAGCTGTTCCAGTAGAGCCTGGACCTCCCTATCTCACAGATCAGCTTCCTCTTTTGTGCATCTTGTTTTTTCTAAATCTTGATGTTTCCCTCCTCTTTTCCTTCTTTGCTCTTCTCTCAAAGATCAAAGGGCCACACAGGTGGGATTTATCTTGTGAAGACAGGAACATTATGTAGTTTGTTGTTTTCCTACCTCAGGTTCATGGTTCTTAAAAATTTGTATAGTCGCGTTTCTTCTTTCAATTAAAATTGTTTTTGTTGTAAGTAAAAATTTTAAGTGTATGATAAAGAATGTTTAAGCAACTCGGAACAGTACAGAGAAGAAAGTAAAAAGAATGACCTCTAATCCCATCATCCAGAAATAACCATCGTCCTTGACTGTCTTTCTCTTCTAATCTGAGAACTCTTGTTTCTACTAAGAAAAGACCACTCAGGCTCTGCTTTTTGGTGTTTGATCCACTTTTCTGTTTCCTGGGAATAGGCTGGGAGCCAGAGAGCTCAGTCGAGGTGGGTGCAGGAGTTAGTCTGGATTCTCACCTCTGAGAGAGGTAATGCTAAATGTTCACCTAAGGGCGGGGGGAGGGGGGTGACCTCTATCCCTGGAGGCGTCCCCACTTGCTTCTGATCCTCCCTCAATTCATCCTGTAGCCTAGAGGCTTCTCTTTTGCCAGAAAACTGCTTTTTTCTCCCTAGCATCCCTTCCACAGCTCCCCAGAAAAGGGAAAAAGGCCCACCCTACTAAGTTCGCCTCTTTCCAGATCCATTATTGATGTGAGGGTGCAGGATTTTGCAGCTCTGCTGTGTAACTTGTGAGGGGTGTGTGTGTGTGTGTGTGCGCGCGCGTGATGGAGCCTCCTTACACCCTTACACAGGCCGCCCTGCTCTGCTCTGGAATCTTCTTTGTTTTTCCTCACCCATTATTTTCTGAGGTAATGGCCTTGGCTTGTGGCTTTTTCTTTGTTTGCTATTTGTTGGTGAGTTTTTGTTTTAATTTTTATTTGCTAGTTTTTGTTTATCTTATTAAATTTGGATAGAGGGACATGACATGAGTGAGTTTCTTCTATCCTTCAACCCTGCAAGTCCCGTTGGCAGGTTTCCACTCCCAGTTAATGTGAATTTGGTAAACTCACTAATCAAACACCCTCCTTTTTTGCAAGGAGGGGTTATAAAGACCTCAGAGTGTATATTGGTGGCTGGGGTTTAATCTAAGTAGGTGTATATATGCTACCTCTCCTTTTATGTGGTATTAGATTAGTGTTTTCTTGAAAGAGATGTATGTTAATAGTCTTTAAAATACCATTTTCTAGTTTTCTTATGCTTAGGCAATGCTTTTATAAAACCTCTCTATTAAACATATTCTTTTACATTCCATTACAGTATTTATTCTTTAGTTTTGCTTTCCTACTTTAGAAGTGAAGTCAATTTTCAGAATCACCTTTTATTTGTGAAAATAAAGTAGGATGCTTCAGTTTTGCGAGCATGTTTTATTGCAATTTATGTCAGTTTTTCAGGGAGGAATTCAGCATTTGGATTATTTTGTTTAAATTTTAGGATGCTGTAATTTAATAAAAACCAAGTCTTTGTCTTTGGTTTATTTGCCATTTAAATAACCGTAACTCTTATGAAAAACAGTGTAAAGCTTCATGGTGCTGTATACATGTATAGCTAGGGAAGAAAAGCCTGTGGCAAAATGACTGTAAATATGATTTACTAAATGAGGATTATCTTAAGGAGATACACACAATTTAAAAATTACAATTTTTTTAAAGTTCAACTTTCAGTCCTGTCATTTTTTTTTTCTCCCAGAAATTTACATGGCTTTTTATTGCCATGTATTTATTCCAGCATGCTTGACAACTGTGTTGAAATCATGCTGCAAGCTTTTATACAGCTGTTTCAGCAGTGCCATACTTTTAAAGTTAGTAGTTGCCTTGTCTAAAAGCTTTGCCAGTGTTTCTTTTCTCCTGACATTCTATGTAACAATTAATTAGGTCATCTTTAAAAATAGATGCTGGTGGCTAAACTCAACATACGCTCAGTGTTTCCTTTCTATTAATTTTCTGTGCTCACAAGTACTTTACCTTGCATCTTATTATCAAACAGTGACTAAAATGCTTAATTTAAATGAGTAATTTTAGACAAGAAGAACTGTATGTAGATCAGATCTGTTATTATTAGTTCGCACACAACAAAAGTGATGTGGAGAATACCCGGGAGAGATGAAATCAAAGCCTTCGTTTTTGTTTTCCACAGCCTGGTCCACTGAGCAGCTGTAACCACTTGCACACAGCCTGCTCTTACCAAACCTGAATGCAAGGAGGAATGCATCAGCGTAATTTCCATACAGGCTTTCTCCTGGGGAGCATGCTTCATGGCATATTGGGGGACCAAGAGGACTTGCTTGGAGAGTTTTGTATGCTGTCACTCCAACTTAAGTTAGGGCCCTTCTAGAGGTGGTGAGGCAGATAGAGAAACAGAATGAAAACAACCAGTTGTTTATTGCTACCACCTACAGCTAGGGGGCAGTAAAAAGACCAGGAGAGCATATTCAGCCTTTTTTTTTTTTGGTATAGATGGTGTGATGGTCTGAATGTTTGTGTCCCCCTACGAATTCACATGTTAGAACCTAATACCTGATGAAATAGTATTAAGAGGCGGGGCCTTTGGGAAGTGATTAAGTCATGAGGGCTCCACTGTCATGGATAAGATTAGTGCCCTTATAAAAGAGGCTCCCTTGCTCCTTTTCCACCATGTGGTGACACATTAGCAAGGTGCCATCTTTGAAGCACAATCAAGCCCTCACGAGACACTGAATGTACTGGTGCCTTGATCTTGGACGTCCCTGCCTTTGAAACTGTGAGAAATAACTTTCTGTTGTTTATAAATTACCCAGACTAAGGTATTTTTATTATAGCGGCAGTAATGATTGAAGACAAATGGAATGTCATGTCTTCACCCAAATGTCTGGACAACCATTGGATTCCTGAGTTTTTTTCTGTCTCCACTGACAAGAGAGTGGACGGTGAGGATGTCCTTTGTCTGAACTGGAAAAGACAATTTGTGGCTGGCCTTTCAGATTAGGACAGTTCTGAGAGCTATTCCATGTCCTCTCTAGGCTGACAGGCTTTTATGCCTGACCTGGTCTCAATGGTGTACTCTCTTGAGGTGGGGTAAGGACATCTCTGAAAACAGCAATTTTAGGACTATTAGAGCTGACAAAGTCTGGGTTTACTTGTATAAAATCTTTAGTTGCTATCTTGTAATTTTTTTTCTATTCTCTCAAATGCCAATAATGTCTGACTTTCAGCCTCCACCCATCTTTGATGGGGTTGTTTGTTTTAATTAGATCTTAGGTACTGAGAGTTATGTTAATCATTATCCTTAGTTTAGAGCACATTGCCATCACTGATTGGTGCAAAGCCTTCTTCTTGTCTTATTTTCTTTCTCTTTCATCTTCTCTGATCACTGCTCCAATTCCCTTTTCTCCCTTAGCATTCACTTTGGTGTCTTTGATGTAATTGTTTTACATAATGTGTGTAACCTTGTTAAGTCTGTGGTATTGTTTTGCGTGTGAATGTGTTTTTAATTTTTATCAGTGGTATCGTACTATAAATCTTGCTTTGTTTTCTACTTTTATCCATGTAGCTATGTTTATCATTAATACTTGGTTAGGCTGCAGTTACAACCAACTTACATTTTTGTGTCAGCAACAATGTATATTTTTTTCATCCATGATAAAATGGGTTGGCTGTGGTTCTTCAAAATTACAGTATTAGACCATCCACTAAGTCTTGTTGTGTTCTCATTAATAAGGGAGAACACCTATTACTATATCATAAATTTGTTTTTTAAAAAATATTTTGGTAACTATTTTTCAACATAAATGGTTTTATTTATAATCTTATGTATTTTGTGTTATGCAATTAATAACAATTTTTAAAATTTTTTCATTTTAGAATGAGTCCATAGAATTCACCAGATTGCCAAAGTGATTCATGGCACCAAAACAAGTTAAGAACCTTCAGTGTAGTCTGTTAGTCCTTGATTCTTTTCTATACATTTGACTTCTTTTTTCCCTCTCTTCTCTCCTGTCCTCTTTTGTCCTCTTCTCTCCTCCTTTCTTCTCCCCATCCTCTTTTCTTTCTTTTTCTTTCTCCTCTTTCTTATTTGTTCTCATTTCCTTGTTCTTTCCCCTCCTTCCCTCCCTCTCTCCCTTCCTCTCTTCCTTCTTTTCCTTGTTAGACCTTTAATCTATAGTTTTTCCCCTTTCTTTAATTCATAGAAATTTTCAGGAGTTATTTCCTCAACTGCTTTATTATCCTCTCCTCTGAGACTGTTGTTAAAAAGATGTGGACACTTGTATATTCCACAGATCTTAACTATTACACTTTATATCTTTTTTCTTTTCCAATACCTTATGAGATAATTTCTGCATCTGCTCTCAATCATTGTTTGGTTGTATCCATTCTGCTATTTATTCCATCTAGGAAGTTGTTTCAACTTTATATTCTTCATATATTGTTTTTCTTTTCAGATTTTTATAACTTCTTGTTCCTGCTTCATGTTATCAATAATCTCTCTTCCCTCTTTGATGACATTTATTTTGCTTATTTTAACTTCTCGATTTCTCGTTTTCATTAGTTCTGATTTATTGGGTGTAAGTTGTTCAGTGTATTGCCTCTCATCATGACTGCTGCCTTGAACCCTATCCCACTTTGTCTGCTTCAGGTATCAGTCATATAGAGGAAGAGCCAGAGCCAGATCCTAGTCTTTGTCATTCCTGGTGAGTTTAAGAAGAGGAGGGTGATGGAGTGCCCCAGGACACAGAGTTCATATCACCAAAGCCTGTACTTGAGGTTAGCATTTGCTGCCTCTTTATAAGAAACTCTGCTCTTAGGTAAAACTGTCTATGCCTCTGCTCTGAGCCTGCTCTCTTTTTACAACTTAGTTTGCTACTTGGTTGTCAAGTCCTAAGCTTTGGGCTGTGGAGAGGGACAGTGAGGTGGAGGAACCGTTTAGGGGTAGGCTAATCTTCTCCCAATGCAGCCCAGATTCCAGCTCTGCCCCAAATATACCCCATAACTGCTACGAAGGTGGGCTGGTGCTGCTATTCTTCCACCCCAGTGGTAAGAGGGCAAGTGAAGTTGTACAGAGCAAAGAGAACACAACTCATATGCATAGCCCCAGCCTATCCACTCACATACTGCCCCTCCTTCCTCCACACTGGCTGCCACTTTTCTTCCACGCTTGCTTACGACCAATCTCTTTCTCCTCAGAGTTTCTTCATAGTCTTTATCTTAGGTTTCCAGATTTATACCCTTGTCTTTTATGAGTAACTACTGCTAGAATTAGCCACATCTTACAACAATGGGCTCTGGGGGTTATTAAACATTGGCAGCCTTCAAGAGGGCGTCAATTCCAGGTTTTCTACTACCCTCTCCTGTGCTGAGCCACAAGTTTAGCCTTCTGTTGTTTTCCATGTTAAGATGTTCCTTGATTTTCTTCCATGAGCACAGGTCCCTAGAGACATTAAATCAAAATTAGCATAAGGAGGACAGGACTGATTTCATTGTCTTTCTCTACTTCTTATATAATGCTAACATGTGTTTCCAGGCTGTTTGTGTGCTTATTTTATAAACATGTTTATTGAGTGGAATTTTAAGGTCTTCACATGGAAAAACTTGTGAATAAAACTTTTGTGAACCGAACTTGCTATTTAGTTCCAGATAAGTTCTTTCTGTGCTTTTCTTTTTGTTTCCTGCATGGTTCAATATGGTTCCAATTGCCACATATCCACCTCAGTCCACTTGGTAACTCAGCCTTTCCCTTCTCAAGGGTTGATGGTTTAGAAAGACATTCAGCATGCAGATGGGTGGGGTATGCAATATATCTCTTTGACCTCCCTCATGTATTTGTTCAATGAAGTAAATATTTTGGAAGATATTTTATTTTAAAAGATCGATGAGAGTTACGTTGGATGAATCAAAGAAAGAACTGCATCCTATTTCAAGAAAATAAATTTCTCCAAACAACATAGCTATGATTCTAGAGAGTATAAAAGCACCAGAAATGCTGTGCTGAGTTAGATCAGACCAACTGGATGTATCTTGCTCGGTGCTCCAGCTACAGTGGCAAAGATACAGGTGGCACTTCGTGAGTAAGTGTGGGGTGGGCATGCCCTGCTGACAAAGTAAATAGCTCTAATTTCCACCCAGTGACATGCTGGAACCATCATCCTAGATTATAGCTAAGTCCTCCTTGGAACGTACTTATACTTTCAAGTCTGTACCAATTCTTACAATAAAACGTTTCATGTTTGCCACCTGCTGTGTAAAGTGGCACTCCTTTTATTTATTCTACAGCCACCTTCTTCAGGCTTTCAGGGGTGCCTTTAATTCTAATATTTGTGAATTTGGAGAATGAACAGTCTTATTTCCATAACCCGCATGTCTTTTGTTATATTTTATACATCTTTAAATCAATATGAACCTTCTTGTTTCTAGACAGTTTGAGTTCAAAAACTGATAGAATAAAGAAATCAGTTTTCATTTAAATTATTTCTACTTTTTAGAAATTTTATTCAGACTCCAGTAGTGCATACATCGTATGTGTTCCTGAAATTAGTTAAAAAAAAAAAGTTATAGTCCATGGGTTGGAAAAAGGAAATCAAAAAGAATTGATATCTAAGAAATGCCATTTGTCTGCAAGGTAGATGAACAGTAAAACTCAATTCAACAGACATGCATTGAGAATCTATGATGTGCCAGTTGCTTTTCAAGTTATGGGGAACAAAGGTTAAATGTAGTTTCTTCCATGCCTAAAGCCACGTTCAGGGACACAGTAGGGGTGGGCTTCTTTACTCTGTGAAAGGGGCGGGACAGGCTTTGTAGAAGAAGAGACATCTGAGGAGGAGGAGTGGGAATTTATAATGGAAGGGGCTGGGGAGAGAAAGGACTCCAGTGAGAGAGAACATCACTTACAAAGCTTGGGACTTACAACATCACTTGGTGTTTTAAGCCAGGAAGTACTTTGGAATAGCTGGAGCATAAGGTGCAGGAATGGAAGTAGCAGGAAGCAGCTGGAGGGAACTACAGGTGGGGAACCGGGACTGGATCCTGAGCAAGAGAGCTAGGCGTGATTTATTATTTTTCTGCCTGAGTTCCAAGGAAAAGTGCCTTTTGCAAAGTTGGAAGCTGGAGTACAGAATGACAGGTTTCCTTTAAAGCTTTTCCCCAAACTCCAGGTTGACAAGCACAGTTTTCTTACAGAGGCAGTGATATATGGTGCTACACTGATTCTTTTGATCCTGTTTCTAGAATCCTGCTACTCTCAAAGGTGGTTTTCAGCAGAGGTGACTGGGCAGCCATCTCATACTCACCACCCGTGCTCCTCACGTCCCCTCACTTGTACCTCTCCTCAGCTGGCTTCCTGTGTACCAGTGACCTACCTTGAATGTAAAATCGAGGCCTCTGGTTTTTCTTTATGTATATGTTGGCCTTCACTATCAAATCAATTGTGTTTTGCAAACCTAAAAGAAGGCCAGTATTTATTTACCATTTACTGTTTGTGTTCAGACAATTCAGATATTTGCCATTTCTAATTGAGTCAAATATGAGCATCTACCTTGTGCCAGGAGCTGTGCTAGGTGCTGGTGACACAAAATGAATTAAATCATTCAGTAGTAGGGTAAATTGACAGAAATGGATTGAGAGATTTGATGCTTCTCAAAGTTCATAGTCACCAACTTCAAATTGCCTAATTATCCGCTATTTCCCAATTAACTTGCTCTACCATATCCCAAAGTGACTCTTTCAAGTCACCACTCTCCCCACTTCCGCTTTCTCAAAAAATGACTTTCTACTACTTCACAGAGGAAGTGGAAGATATCTGACCCATACCATCACAACTTCCTCCAGACCTTTCAGCCTATAGGCTAATTCATCATGTGTCCCTCCTATCAAGGTTTCGGCTGTGGTCTGGATTTGATCTTCTACATTCTCATACTCCTTGTGCTATCAATTTTTTTATAAAATTCCTTTCCCCTTTACAACATTTCTGACTGCCAGGGACACCAGGATTGGACTTGTACTAGCTTGGTATAGCACTTGGATTAGCTGTAACTTCTTGCCTGCAGAAGTGCTTCTGATGGCTGTGAAATATGCCTTTCCTGTGGACTATAAATAAAAATGAGCTTCACACTTCATTAATGAATCCTTCCTCTCAATGTCCCAAGTGGTCCAAATGCTAAAGATACAGTATTTCACAGCAGGTTGTGTAATCATTTATGTAATATGCCCTTTAAGTAATTGGGTTATGGTCTTGTGACTAATGTACCCTGATATTCACGTTGAGAAAATGGGGAGGGTGTTAAATACTTTAAGAAAATGAAGAGCTGTAAGAATTTTGTGATTCATGCAAATAAGATTGACTAATTTGTTCTACAAATGGAATGCCTATGATTTAATTTTGACTGACAAGTGGTTCCAAACTATTAAGAACATAAGTAATATATAACAGTTGAACTGTAGTCCTATGAAACATGTCTGAAAATTATTTTTATTCATGGTTTTACCTTTTGGTAAATTCCTTTGGTGATCTTTAGATGGTTTTCTCCAAGTGTCATCAGATGCATCTCCAATTTAAAGAAATAATCTCTGTATCATAATACCTACACTCTTGTATAAAGAGAGCTCAAAACAAATTGGCAAAGGAAGAGTCACCTAAGGACACTAGGCTGACCTTCCCCTGGGATCAATTATTGATTACTGTGGAGATAAACTGAAATGAGATTAGCTAGTCTGCTGATTCTCATGGAATTTGCAATCCAGGTTGAGTGTCTTTCAAAGCAGAATGAAGTTGTTAATCAGGTTGGTAGAATATTTCCTTTGCCATAGATACTCTCAATCATGCTTATATTTGGATTTTAGGGAAAACCATATCTAGTATTTCTTTCTCACTTTGCTACCTTCACCTTCTCTGCCCTGTCTTGCCACTTTTGCCTGTTAACCACCACCACCATCATCCTGTATGTCATAGTTTGGATTTCTGTATTGTGCCAAGTGCTTTACCTGCATTGCTATATACCCTTAGACCAGCTCCTGCAAGGTGATTGAAATGAGGAAAATGAGTTTCAAAGAGGTTAATGAACTTGCTCAAGTTTACTCACTAAGTGATAAAACTCACATGGGAACTAGGCCTGAATGACTTAAAACATATGCTCTGGCCCCTTCCCACTCTGTCTGTCTTGCTGTCTTCCCTGTCTCTGTAGTTTCTCTACTCTTTGTTCACTTTTCCCTAAGGTGGCAGGAAGTGAAGGACAGATAGCAGTTTCCCTATTTTCAACACTAAAAATAAACATGAAAATTCAACAATTGGCAAGTGAGAAATCGTAAGTAACTTTAAAGGGGACTAGGAACATCTAATATTAACTTCTTTTTTTAATCTACAGAATTAAAGGCTTTGGAATGCAAAAGAGAAACCTACAAAACCTCAGAATATAGACTATAATCTACATTCAGTAGTTCCAAGAGAAGAAAAGTGTAACATCTAGCTTTCTAACAAGCTCTCAAGGCACATAATATCTCTTCTTTAGATTTGTATTCTGTAAAGTACAAGTCCCTAGGCCTTTTATCATACGGAAGAGATTTTTCTCTGAGATTCTCTGTAAATACACAGGTTCAACTTTTGATACATCTCTGTGTATTTCTTAAAATCCCAGTAGAAAGCCGTAAACTCAGGGGCTCAAGAACTCTGTGAGGACGATAATGATAATGAAAGGCAGATGTTGCAGCGTGACTGAACAGCATCCCGATCGCCTCCTATGTGAACTGTAGAAAACGTTGTTGATGATCCCCTTAATTTGACATGGCTTTTCACAACCATCCATAATTGGGTTTTGGGGTGTTTTTTCTTTTATGACACAAACAGATCTTTGGAAGAAATAAGAGGTCCTTAGATAAGAAATGGTAGAAATCCGAGGAAGATCCATGGAAGAGATAAGTTGCTTTTTGCTAGTGGGAGATTTGCTGGAGGTGGTTGGTCTGTATGGTCAAGAACCACAAGAACCCTTAGGTGGTTGAGTTTATTGAAGTGTGTCATGTGATTTTCTCTATGGAGGTCAAGGCTGGAGAAGGATCTGGAATAGCATAACCTGTGAGGACTAAAAACATACCCTCTAGGCCAGGTGGAGAGACTTTTGGAGTATAGAGTCTCCAGTGCTGTCCTAAGGAGGCCTGACCTCCTACAGAGTCCTTGTGTACCAAGGAGCCAGGCAGCCACACACTTAGCGATGCCAGCATATGTTGTTCCCCAAGGAAGGAAAGTGCTTCATTTCTGCTAAAACCCAATGTGTATAGCTAAAACCTGTTGTTCTGCTAAAACCTGATGGGTACAAACTGCAAAAAACAAAAAAACAACAACCTTCTTAAGACAGCATTTCATAGACTCACCATGATAGCAATCTTGTTTTTGAGGCAGGGCTTACCTACTTCAGATACAGGTGTGTACTAACATCTGGAGGGTTTCTCTAATTCTGGGCTTTATGAAGCCAACCCAAGGGTCAGCTGAGAATGGTGGGCCCACACTGTGTAATAAGACCCATACAGACTCTACTCTCCTTGAACAGAAGGAGGCAGTAGAGCATAGAGGTTGAGGACAGAACTGGGAGTGGGATTCATTTTGAATCCCATGCCATCACTTTAAGTGGTGTGTTTGGGATGTGACTTTTACAGTCTTTCTGTTTTTTTCAGTTGTCCCGTCTGCAAAATGGGAATAATAACACTTATGGTCTATTATAGTCGTTGTCAATGAGGTAGGTAGAGTGCTTAGTGTAGCACTGGGCACCACCAACACTGAGTGCAAAAGAGAGCCAGTAGGGCTTTGATTTAAATTTCCAGTTTTTCCCCATTAAGACTTTGGACAGCCTGATGCCTTTGTCTTCTTTTCTGGTCAGGTTCTGGTGGCTCCTGGCTTCTACAGAGCCCTCCTGCATGTCCATGTGCTCCTGTTCCACTGTCTTGAGAACAGCCACTGGTTTCAGTGACCAGCCTCCTTTTGAAGTCCCTGCCATTGCAATGCCTCTGCTGTCAAATACCAATTCATTAGCAATTGTTTTCCAGGAGGCAGAATTTTTCTTTCATATGAGCCCTCCATTCTATGCCTGTCTTCTTTCCTGTTTCATTGAGGCAAGGGAAATAGAATTTTATTTATTTATAAAATAAATTGTATTGTATATATTCAAGGTATAAAACATGTTAAGGGATACATGTGGATAGTAAAAAGGTTACTATAGTGAAGCAAATTAATGTATCCATTATCTCACATAGTTACCCTTTGTTTTTGTGGTGAGAGCACTCATTTAGCATGAATCTCATATAGAGTACAATTTTATTACCTATGACCTTCATGTTGTACATTAGATCTCTAGACTTCTTCATTCTACATACCTGCTATTTTGTATCCTCTGACATACATTTCTTCATTCCCCCACCCTGACCCCATAACCACTGTTTTGTTCTCTATCTCTGATTTTTTAGATTCCACATGTGAGGTCATGTGATTTTTTTCCCCCGTGTCTGCCTTATTTCACTTAGCCCTCTAGTCCCATCCATGTCGTGGCAAGTAGAATCTTGTTCTTTTTAAGACTGAACAATATTCCATTGTATATTTGTACCACGGTTTCTTAAGCCATCTGTCCATTAGCTGACACTTAGGTTGTTTCCCTGTCTTGGCTGTTGGGAATAATGCTGCAATGAACATGGGAGTGCAGATGTCTTTACAAAGTGGTGATTTTATTTCCCTTGGGTATATGCCCAGAAGAGGGATTGTTAGGTCATATGGTAGCTCTATTTTTGATTTCTTTAGAAACCTCCATATTCTTTTCCATAATGGCTATACCAGTCTGCATTCCCATCAATAGTGTATGAGTTCCCTTTTTCCATACCTTTGCCCACATTGGTTGTCTTCTGACTTTTTGATAATAACCATTCTAATGGGTGTGAAGTGGTATATCATGGTGGTTTTGATTTTCATTTCTCTTATGACTAATGGTATTGAGTATCTTTTCATCTATCTATTGGCCATTTTTATGTCTTCTTTGGAGAATGTCTATTGAGGTCTTTTTAAAATTGAGTTATTTGTTTTCTACTATTAATATATGAATTCTTTATACATTTTAGATATTAACTCCTTATCAGATATATAGTTTGCAGTATTTTTTTTCCCAATCTATAGGCTGTCATTTCATTTTGTTGATTGTTTTCTTTGCTGTACAGAAGCTTTTTAGTTTGATGTAGTCTCATTTATTTTTGTTTTTGTGGCCTGACCTTTTCATGTGATATCCAAAAAGTCATCAAGGCCAATGTCCATGAGCTGTTGCTCCTTCTCTTCTAGAAGTTTTATAGTTTCTGGTCTTATGTTTAGGTCTTTTATTTAGAGTTGATTTTTGTGTGTGGTGTAAGATAAAGGTCTGATTTCATTCTTTTCCATGTGGAAATCCAGTTTTCCCTGCACCATTTGTTGAAGACTCACCTTTCTCCATTGTTTTCCCTTGGTGCCCTTGACAAAAATTACTATGCTGTGTTTGCATTGTCATTTGTCCTAAGTTATTTTTAAGTTTTCCTTTTGCTTTCTTCTTTGACCCATTGGTTGTTTAGGAGCATGTTATTTAATTTCCACATATTAGTGAATTTTCCAAGATTCTTCCTGTTACTGATTTCTAGTTTCATACCACTGTGGCCTGAAACAATACTGTATATGAGTACAGTATTCTTAAATTTGTTAAGATTGTTTCGTGGCCTAACATATGGTCTATCCTGGAGAATGTTCTATGTGTGTTGAAGAAAAATGTGCATGTATTATACTGCTGTTGGACAGAAATTTTTGTCTATGTCTCCTAGGCCCATTTGGTCAAAAGTGCTATTCAAGTCCAGTATTTCCTTATTATTTTTTTTTTTTGCTTCATCTATCTATTGTTGAAAGTGGGGTATTGAAGTCCCCTATGATCATTGTATTGCTATCTATTTCCCCGTGTCCATTATTTGCTTTATGTATTTAGGTGCTCTGGTGTGGGGTGCATATATATTTACAATAGCCATGTCCTCTTGATGAATTGATCCCTTAAACTTCTTTAGTGGAAAAGTTGCTTTCTAATTGGTGGATTGGATTGGGCAGAAGTAGAGATACCTGAATCGACTCTGTTGCACCCATTTAAGAGATATTCCTTGTAGAATATTTCATGCCTAGTATGGGGAAGGTCAAGGCTTCTCAAACTTTATCATGTCTACAAATCACTGGAGGCATCTTGTTAAAATACAGAATCTGATTCAGTGGGTCTAAGGTGGGACCTGAGACTCTGTATCTTCAACAAGTTTCCAGATGATGCTGGTTCAATGGCAAGGGGATGGGCCACATTAATGTGTTGAAGAGTTGAGTTCGAAGATGGGCAATAGTAGATAGGTTATCTTTTCAAACAACAAAGCTTACCGTGCTCTTCTATACTAATTTTTATTTATTTAACTCATTTTAAAGCTGCATTTGAGGCATCAATAATTTTACAAAGCTCTAATATTCTTTCTCTGGGTAAACAACATAAAAACATGGTAAAGTCTTGACATATAAGTGTAAAAGGATTCAGGCATTATAGATGAAAGGAGAAAACAGCAAAATTGGGTTGCATTAGTTACATTGGTTAATTCTGAAAAGCTTCTAAAAAGAGGTGTTTTGAACCCAGCTTGAAAGATATGGCAAATGTGGATTAGAGGATATTAGAAATATACTAAGTTAGTATACTTGTACAGGGCAGAAGGTGGAATTAAGCCTTAGGGACAGCTGAAGCAAGGTGAGTGGGGGGATAGGAGGGAATTTGCCCAAAGCAGAGACCAAGAGAAAACTGCAGCTTATTAGTAGTTAGCAGAGAAGTACCCAGCCAAGCTTGCAGAGAGCATTACGAAAGGGTTTAACAATATGTATTAGGAAACAAGGTCCTTTAAGGTAAACTTGAGCTTCCCACTCTCTATCAGTGGGGCCTGTCAGAGGACCCTCATCCACAGCAGTAGGAAGCATTTTTACTTTCTGTACTTTGGCCGGAACATGTTTACTTTCAGCTTTGCTTGGTTTGGTGGTGGGGTTCAGACTTCTTGGGAAACATTGATTAGCTCTCTGAGGCTTTCTGTGGCTGCCCAACTTTCATTCATTGGACCATTCTTTTGTAAATTCAATATTGTTGAATCTAGTGCCTCTATGTCTACTGAACCTCATGCTAAAGGTGTGATAATTGCATATTTGCAGTTAAATAGCAATAGCAATAATAGCACACACAAATATACCATCTAACTTACGGAGAGATGCTTTCCTAATGCCTACCAAAGAGCTTCCTACGCTGTGAGTAGACAGTGGTTTTAGGTGATTAGTTTCTGTTCCCCTTTTATTTCCCTAAGCAACCCCCTTTTTAAGTTGGAGATCCTTTCTTTGAGTTGAAGAGGTGACAGGGGTCATCTTTTAGGTCATGGAAGATCCTCTCAAGAGGTATGGGACTGCAGAGGTGAGGTGGTGTACAGAGTTACTGTAAGATGAATGACTACCAAATTTTAATGAGATTTTTGAGTAAGTGGAGGTAAACAGAGGGATGTTTGTGAAGGGGAGGGGATTAGTAGCCTTAGCTGTGTCCTACTAGAGCTGATACTCATCTTTTGTGAAATATCTGGATAACTGAACTAAAATATTCTGTTTTGATCTTGCAGATTAAAACAGGAATTTCAAGACCATATGTCCTGGTTCTCATATTCTTCAGAATTCTCAGTTGGGAAAAAACACTTACATGTCCAAAACTTGGAATTTGTTGTCTCTGAGTTTTCCTGGGTTTGTCCCTGGGTTTCCCTTGTTTCCCTGTTCCTCTATCTCCTGGAGCCATGAGACCCCCACACTGTTTTTTCTGAGGCTCACTTTTGCCGTGGAGAGCAGTTGTGAGTCTCTTCAAGCCATAGCTCTGGGAACCACAGTTTTCAGAAATTGCCATGCAAGGGACCATAGAATGCCACAAGTATCTCCTACACTCTCTTCAGCGACAGAGTGCCCCTGATGTAGGCTGTATTTCCTTAGGGTCTGCATGCCTTTTCTGAATGATTCTGAAGGGGAAAATATAACAGAGAGGCTGGCTACCCTATGAGACCTATCTATATTACACTTAAAAAACAAAGCAGAGTAGATTAAAAAATAGATCAGTAACTTTTTAAACTTCAAATCTGACTTACTAAATACACAGAGTATTTGTCTCCTGGACATGCTGTCTCAATACTGGCTGTGGCTCATCTTAGTATCCTCTCAGGGCCCCAGAGAGGCCCAGAGCATCCTCTACCACCAGATTGCTCCCATTTTGCCATAGCCCACTTTGCACCAGAGACCAAAAAAAGTGTTTCTCAAGGTGAATTTATCTTACAGATACTGCTTTTTTAAAAGTAGGGTTGCCAGATAAAATGATGCCAATTAAACTTGAATTTCAGATAAACAGTGAATAATCTTTTATTGTAAGTATGTTGCATGCAATATAGAAAACAAAAGACAAACTTATTTGCGTTTTTGTTCTGTTTTGCTAAATCCAGTAATCCTCAGAGCAGGGTTTGTTCCGTTTTCTTGTTAATTCACTGACTAAATATCCTGGGCATCATTTTCAGCATTATTATGCCACTCTGCTTCAAAGTGTTGAATGGCCCATATTTATTTTCAAAAATAAATGAATTATATCTAATTTTGCTTTGAGAAATTAATAATGCCATTTGACACAATTAGCTACCCCTAGTGTATTACAAAATCAGAGACAGGTATTACAGATGTTCAGTAATATGAAAAGTTGATGTTATGGAATTGGGTTGCTAAGCTTGACAAAATTGTTAATTTGGATTTAACAGCGAAGCATGAATCTTTAATTGTAGAAAGACATTAAATACTTTAGTATACTGTGCTTTTTCACAAGACATATAGAAGTTCCTTGAAACAATTATTATACAATTATGCTATCACTTGCTTCCTACATAATAAAGAGAATGTGGTTCATAACTCTGAGGAACTTGAAAAACTTATTTGCGAATGACATTATGACTATGTAAGTACATAAAAGGGAAATGTTTCTGATCGTGATTAGTTTGGGCTTACCATGTTTGCAAGAAGAGATATTTAACTAGAATCAGATTTAACAATTTTCATCAGGCTGTTTACAGTTGAGAAATTAATTAAAATGTCATCTGTTTAATTACTATTTGTTATCCTTAATTAAAATGTTAATTGAGTACATTTGTGTGTGCACAATACTTAATATGTTGACTTTTTGACAAAAGCCATGACAATGTCTTCTACCTTTTATGTTCAAATGTTTGTCGACTTAATGCAAATATTTTGGGGAAAAGATGCATATATTAAAGAAACATAAGAGCATAGTTTGAAAGATCATTTTTTTCTGCTAGAACTGTGTAGATAACCGATCTGTAGGAAATTAGCACTTTAACCGCAGAAAGGAAATCTACCAGAGAGTGCATTTTAGTCTTGTATTTGCATATGAGAAAGAAGGACAGAAATTAATCAGCTGTAAAATGTCCACCCAGAATGACATTTCTAAGTAAAGAAATTGATTATGGGGAGATGCACTTTAAACATGTTCTTGCCTCACTGACAGTGAGAACAGACTAAAAGATAATGAAAACCTTTATATTCTTTTATATTGATGTATACTTGACCTTTTCATTTGAGCAACATTTGAAATAGTTGTTTAAAACAACATATAGAACTATGCTGAAAAATTGGTTTGGATTTTCTTTTAACAATGGTCATGATTTTTCTTTTTCATGCAAACCTGTGGCATTGACCTCTTTTTAGTAAATAAACATATGCTGATTGTGTTTTGAAAAGCAATGATATCTCATAGATCAGTATAAAAGCAAAATGGTTCCTTTTCAAATAATTTATGAAGGGTAGTGCTTTCCCAAAACAGCACTGGTTAGCAATAGCATCCAGTGTGCCCTACCAGCAACACAAGTCGTGGGGGATTGAAAAGACAGATGATGGAATAGACATAGCTCTTTGCTCCTACTGAGCTTCAAGTTTAAAGAACTTATTCTTTTCTTTTTCTTCTTGATAAACTTTATGACTTTAATGTCTAGTGGAATGAGATGAGCCAGTGCTGCTTAAGAAGTAATAATAAGCATAACAAATATGTAGTTTTATTTAGTGCCCACACTGTTCCAAGTATATGCCTTTTAATCCTCAAAACAATCCTGTATCTGCTATCATTATTCCCATTTTGCAGATGAGGAAATGAGGCACAGACTTCTCAAGGCCACATAGCAAATAAGCAGTGAGGCTGGGAGTTGAGGCGAAATATTCTGGACAGAATCTGTCCTCTTATTCTCCTACTCTACTTATGGGTATTGAAAAGGTTTTGTGCAAGAGATATCAAAATATTTTTAGCACTCACACATTTATACCTATTGCAGCAAAGAGAAGAAAAAGTGCTTGTGTTAACTCTTCAGTTCTAAACTTAATGGTTTATAGTGTTTTAATGACCATTAAATATTAAAGAATGATTAAAAGCAAACAAGGGGAAGCATAGGCCTGTAAAATAAGTTTTCTGAGAATAATTTTTAATTTTTTTCCATATATAATAAGCCTTTGCCCTTAATGTGGATACCATCAGTAATTTTGTGGAGCTACATGGCCTTTGTTAAAATTTTAGCTCTGCCACTTAGCCAAATGATCATGGGCAAATTTTTTAACCTCTGTAAGCTTTAGTATCTTCTTTTACAAAATGCAGATAATGATTTCTCCCTCACAGGGTCGTCATGAAGATTAAAGGTAAAGCACATAGCCTGCAATGATGGGCTTATGCTTATACTAGACACCCCTAAATGTGAGCTACAGCTGCTACAAATTAAATAAGCAAGTTATTTTGAGAGGTATCACACTGGATATTAGTTAATACTTATTAGGATATCTCTGAAGAGATTTAGTAACAACAGAGGTAGATGTGTAGTTTAACTGGCTTAAGACAATAGGCTATCACAATTTCAATGGTTTGCCCATTATTGGAAGTGACTATTTATTAAGGATAAAATGAATCCTCTCCATCTGTTACACTACTAGGAAATATCCACCAAGAGCTCATTCGTTTGCTGTTTTCCTTCCCTTCCAACAGGCTTACCTATTAGAACTGTAGGAAAAAGGCAAAATTAAAGGGGAAGATGCAAAACAGAGCAAAGAGAGCTTGGCTTCAGGAAGCCATGCTTAATCTTAAAGACCAGCTTGAAAGGGAGAAGGGGAATGACTTGGACTGTCCCTTTCACTTCACCCCTCTAGGGTTTTCCACTGTGGAAGGATGATTATTGGTTGGTTCTCTCCTTGGAGTGGTGGAAAGATGCATGGGGCATCTCCTTACTCTCAACAGTGGCTTTCAAATGGTTATTTATTTTTTTTAAATCATGACTTACACTAATAAATATATTTTTCTCTGCTGTCTGTTCTACTAAACATCATAAATGCAGGGATTTTTATCTGTTGTCGCTAATGTATCCAAGTGTCTAGAGAAGTACTTGGCACATGGTAAATGCTCAATAAATAGTTGTTGAATCAATCTGTCTCGCTGTCCATCCGTCCATCTGTCCGTCCATCCATCCCATCCATCCATCCAATCCATCCATCCATCTATCCATGCATCTATCAAGCCTATTAATCATCTATCATATATCTATCAATTTATCTGGAAAAATATTTCATCAAACATTCTTATGCTTACTATTTGCTTACAGTGCATTCTCAAATATTCATAAAAAGAAAAAAATTTCTGAATTAATTTGAGTACATTTATTGAGGGAGAGAACCTTAATAGGTCATTCTTTGCAATACTCAGGGTTATGATCTGCAATTTGAAAAGCACTACTTGTCACTGGGAGAAATTGGCTTTGTGTGTAAACTGGCTTGTGTCGTTGGGACTTCTCTTTCTTGCTGTCACAGTGCCTCATTTAGCTTGTGTATTTCCCCAGTCCATGCACTAGCTTGTGCACTCATATTACCATAACCAACTGCATGCTAGTAAAATAAGTCAATTAGTATAAGCTGGGTATGGTGGCTTACGCTTGTAATCCCAGGACTTTGGGAGGCTGAGGTGAGAGGATCACTTGAAGCCAGGAGTTTGAGACCAGGCTGGATGACAAAGTGAGACCCCATCTCTACAAAATTTTTAAAAAAATATTAGGTGTGCATGGTGGTGCATACCTATAACTTGGGAGGCTGAGGCAGGAGGATTGCTTGAGCCTGGGAAGTCCAGGTTGTAGTGAGCTATGATCACACCACTGTACTCCAGGCTGAGTGACAGACCAAGACCCGGTCTCTTAAAAAAAAACAAAAACAAAAACAGACAAGTCAACTAGTATTAAGAGTTCTTGACCAGCTTCTGGGAAGCTCTGAAAGCATTTGCTGCACTCCAGTGGGTCCTATTTTTGTGAAGCCCCAGGCTAATGGTTAATTATTGGGTATTGCCATAGTCTAGTCTTGGTCTGTGCCTGAGCTGGTTTGGATGTAGATCTCCATAAAGGCAGAGGATTGCAAACAGTAACCTGTTATAAAGTTCTCTCCACAATGAGCATATTTCTTCTCCATACAGATGCTGAAATTAAATTATTAATGGATTTTAACACTTTTACATTCTTTTTATTTTTATTTTTGAGGTATCTGTACCTAAATTTTATGCTCACTGTAGCTATGAAGAAGGAAGGAGATGAGGTAGAGAAATTGATGCAATTAAGTGTTTTGATAGGTGTGACAACTGTGAAAGTCTTTCATTTCCTGAGAAAATATGTGAGAGTAAAAAGGATAATGTATTCAAATGTTAGGTTCATTGTGAAGTAGGACTGGGGATCCTGTTTCTGTACATTTTCTAATCCTCAACAATTTTTTGGATTATCTGACTAGATAAAGCAATATTCTGGCTTAAGTCTTGAGTAAAATTAAGGTAAACTATCTAGAAGAATTAATTGAACATGAATTCTAGCATCTACTCAGGTCTGAGTGCCATAGCTTCGCCAGGGTATCTAGAATGTCATGAGCCAAGATCTGGACCTGGAAACCCCTCAGTTGTGTGGGTGGGATGGGCACTAGGGAGGGGTTAGGTTTAAAGAAAGAGACCAGCAGGCTAAGGATGAGAGCCGCAGGGTTGGTGAGAAGGCAGCTGGTAGTGGCCTAATATGGCCATTGGCACCATATAGGTGCAGCAAGGTCTAATGAGCAAGGGTTGACAGATTGTGGAAGCTCAGTGATGGTCACCTCCAAAGAAGGTAATATTTGGAATTCCAAGGGCCAGACAAAATAACATTGAGTTAACATTGCTGTCAGCATGCAGACAGTCACAAATTCTGAGTTGGGACTGGTAAGAATAATTCAGGGTCCTAATCCTAGAGGATCATACAGCATGAGACCAATGATGAAAGTGTAGGGAAAAAAACACAACTTACATTATCAACATGGAGTGATAAATGGAGACTTTGTCTGCAGCTCAAGGCACATGCCTGGCTTTCAAAAGTGAGTCACAAGGATGGGTTTAATGACAAACAGCAGGAGTAACTTGACACTGACTACCAGAATATGAGGATCGTATTCCTCCTTGCCAAATCAAGATCAGTTCTTGAGAGACAAAATTGGAGGTGACCCTAAAGCTGGGTGGCGTTCAAGGGCCCCAGGTGTTCAGAAAAGGAAATGGAGAGATGGAAATCAGTCAGGGCCCTGGAAGTGGGCCCCTCATACTCCACCCAAGGGCATTTGAAGTACAGGTAACAGCACCAGAATGAGAAGGGCAGAGCACTTGAAGTTAGACAGAATAAGTCAGAATCACTGAGGCTGATAGTAACCTGGGGTGTGAAATATCTTTTAAATAGTTACATTGTAGTGTAGAAATATTATATTTGCCTTTCAAGACCATTGATAGGGGACAATTGAGAAAATAGAACAGTGTTTCTCAACTGGAAGAGATTTGCTGTCTCAGGGACATTTGGCAATGTCTGGAGACATTTTTTGGTTGTCACAAGTGTGGGATTGGGGACAGGGTTTGCTACTGTCTAATGAATAGAGACCAGGGATGCCACTAAACCTCTTAAAATGCACAGGATGGCCCTTCACATCAAAGAATTAACCAGTCTAAGATGTCAATAGTGCTGAGATTGAGAAAAGCTGAAATAGATTAAGATTACCACTCCATAGTCTTGATTGAATATTGAATTTATATGAGCAATGCAATATATTTCTGGGTGCACATAAATTAGTTTTGACTTTGTTGTTGGCAAAACATGACTTGACTAGAGAGTAAATAGCCTAGGCATATGCTGCCCTGGAGATGCAGAGCAACCCAGCCAGCAAGCATAGTGGGGCTGCCCTGGAAAACATTGATCCATGGGCCTGTGAGGGAACCTGTGCTTCTAGCATGAGTGGCACATTGTCGCCAGTTGTGACCTAGCTTCCATGGGATTCTGTGTAATGTTTACTATGTTTACTAGGGATCACATGGCCTTTCCAGCTACTCTTTTTCACTCTGTATAACTTCCGATAGAAAGAGCTTAAAGTTAAGGACTTGTGTATTTCTTTTTTTCCATGAATTTCTGCCTACTGCCCAGTCTTGGTCTACTCTAACACAGGCTTTCCATGAGCTACAGAGATTTAGTGCAGATAAAGGAAAACAATCGTAATGATGTACTTGCAGTGGAGGGTGCTGATGAGAGATTGATGATTATCTTGAGGAGGTTTGATGACTTTAAAAAAAGCAACTGATTCCAAAGCTGAAACTTAAAGTCTTTGCTCTGGGGTAAGTGAATATTGCTTGAAGAATATATGCCAGTTACTTTTTAAATAATAGATCTACTTAGACTTGATTATGAGGCAGTTTGCTCACTGCTCTTTTCTTTCTGAGATTTTTGCTTTCATGGCTCCATTTTTCAAGATGGTACCACACTAATGTGACTACTATGAGGTACTGTGACTGTCATAGTTTGCCTCAAGGTTGGATGTGCTCAGGTTACATTTTGTTATCTCTTTTCTGTGGTAAGAAGAACATGAGGCCCTCAATAGGTATGTGAGGTGTTCCAGATACTGTCACACTTAATGTACAAAGTGCAGTGTCTTGGTTCATGGGAGAAGTTTCTGGATAACTTACAGTCATGAAACTATGAGAACACATTGTTCTTTCCACTGTCCACCCAATCTAAGCTGATGGGCTGGAAGTCAGCACGACAAAGTAGTTAGAATTTGTGGGCTCAGAGGTCAGACACACTTAAGTTGGAGTTCCACCTCTGCCACTTATTATTATAGAAGACCTTGGGCATGTCGCATATATCTGTCTGCTTATGGTTTCTTATCTGTGAAATGAGGAATATTGTTGTGAGGATTAAATAATATATGTGGCTCATTTGACAGAGTGCCAGTGTTAGTAAGGACAGAAAAAATGTTTTTGTTATTATCACTGTTGTTGTTAATTGCATTGGACTCTGTTTTCTTTGTTCTGATTTTCGTCTTGTTTAAGATAGAGAGGGTGAGCTGAAAGTTGGATTTCAGGTAGGTTGTGCTTTTGGGTACTCTTCAGTGCTTTTCGTCACTAAAGAGAGTTGTTTTATCTCTTTTCTTTGGGTTTTTCCTTAAGTTGCCTTGGCATATGTGTGTATGTGTGTGTTACAATTTTTAAAATTTATAGTGATGCAGGTCAAATTCCAGGAGACAAATGCTTTATTAACCCAAATACTAGTTATAATGAAATGGAAATGTTGTGATCCCATTAAACCTCAAGTCATTCAGATCCTGGCCCTGGGATCACTCAGATGACAGGAACCCTCAGCTTGTTTACCCAAATGAGAAGCCATGAAGAAAATCTGCCTGCCTAGGCTGCATATTCTCCAAGTGAAGGGCTGGAGCAGTATTTCTTGTATGAGGATCATTTGGAGTGCTTATGAAAATACAGGTTTCTGGACCCTGTGTGGGGAATGGAAAGGTTCTGCAGATTCTAACTGATTTGATTATCTAAGAGATGATGTGTATAGGGAATATTCGAGCCTCTGGGTATACTGGCCCAATTATATGAAATTAACAAAAAAAAATTTTAAAAGAATGCAATGGGTGGGGAGGAGGATTCGATTACATGATTTTCTTGTTTGGAAGAGGTAGATTGAAGCAAGGGCTTTGCAGCTCTGCACTGAACCGTTAAGGGCTGTGGAACCTCTCTTGTGCTATCTGTTTTCAACATTCTTTGTGAAGAGGGAATTGCAGGTGCTGCTTGTATACTTTTGATTGGGATTGGAGAACCAGTTTAGAGAAGAGAGAGGGAGAAAGTAAATATCTGATTTGTGGCAAACAGGCTGCTGTAATCTTGACAAGTTGTTAAAAAATTAGAATCTCATTTTTAAAAGGAAAGGAGCTTAAGCAATTAGTACAAACTCTAAATTGAAACTTTCCTATGGGTTTAGAGTCAGGTAAAAAATATTTTAATTTCTTTACTTTTTCACAAAGGACAGTAAATGAAGAAGATTGCCTCTAGGCAAAACTGTTATTTAACTTTTTACCCAGAAATATTATTGCATTTTGAATCAAACAAGAAATTCACCTAGTATTCAGGATTCATAGTTCTGTTTTTATTTTTTTTTAATAGCAAAGCAAATTAAATTTTGGAAAGGGACCCAGACAAACCCAAAGATGGCAAAACAATGGAAGAATTTTAAATTTTAAGTAGAAAAACAACAGCTCATTATCATAGCCAAGTAACCTACGTAAGTTTAAAGAAGGAGAAAATTTAATAGGTTAAGAATGAACACTCTTCATTTTATGTTTGATTTACTTGATAAAATCTATTCACATACAGGAGGAGCCAACTGCAATTACCAAATATAAGTAGCAGTTTATTAGTTTCTATTATATGCTATGTGTTGTGTTAGATCTTGGGATTACAGAATTGGATATGACATAGTTCCTGTCTGTAATGGCCCATAATGTAGTGAGGTGGTGAGAACATGAGCAGATAGTGCCTATACAACTTAGAGGTATCCACATTACTAGGCATTTATTGCTCCAGTTTGCAAAGTGCCTACTCTCTGGCATTGTGCTAATGACCTGACTATATGGAATGTGTGTGTGTGTGTGTGTATGTGTATGTTTATGCATGTGTATGTGTATAAACTCCAACTCCTAGAACAGTCCTGCTTTTATCTTCATTTTATAGATGAGATAATCAAGGCTTACATAGATTAAGTCATCCAAGATCACATAGCTGGTTTTTAACAGAATTCAGATTTGAACTTGGAGGTCTGAATGACCGTAAAACCTATGCCCTTTGCAGGACAATGTGACTTTTATCCTGTGATTTAATTCTTATATACATTCTTTCAAGCTAATATGCAATTATTCTTTTTTTTCAGAAATATATGTAAATATCCTTAGATTGAAAGTCTTTTAGAAATTGCCTATATCTGATGGGGAATTTTCTCAGGAGTGGAATATTTAAAAAGAGAGCTTGAGCTCTTAGCAATCTGGAGCCCTTCTGCTTGGTACACATTCCTCTCAGAAAAAGAAGTGTAAGTGTCCAAAACATCCTCAAATGCTGACACATCCTCCTTGTTAAGTGAACAATAAATTTACTCTTTGTAGAGACGTCTATTGCCTGTGTACATACATGTTTATAGAAATAGTGAGTTGAGTCTCAAAGTACAGCACAGATGCTGACATGTTTTTCCAGTGCTGGGTAAGTTTGTAGCTGAGCTTCGGTACCAGGATTTGAAAGATCTGAATAAAAAAATATATCCCTTCAGTGGAAAGAGAGAAGTCTCTGATCTGTCACAACCTACTAAATTTATGTTTTAAATATCTTCACATTTTATGTTATAAAAGTTCTGCTGGCTTGTGCTTTATAACACACAGTTGAATGGTACTATTATGGATACTAGCTTCCTTCCAGGAGGTAGAATGAATACAACATAATCCATTCTGCCATAACGTGAGCTATTAGAAGTGATGCTTCTGGCTATTAGGGGTAAATCATATCTGTGGAATGAATTAAGAGTTAGACTATTCGCAGTGTATTGGATTTGCCTGTTTCACAACTGCATTCATTAAGTTCAAATTTGATGAGAGCTGTTCATATTAAATTTGATAACCCCAATTCTAGCAAGTTACACATATTATAAAGCTCCTTTGAAAATTCTGTGACATTCATGTTATTTTTGTCCTTTAATAACTAAGCCATTTTTAAATTAGGTGCCCATATGTAGCCATGTGTTAGTGAAAGTGCTTCATAATTGATGACTTTTATTGAATTAGTTCAGAATTCAGTGCTCTTGTCTGATTTTATCTTAATGCTTTGGTATTGAAGAATCTAAGATTACTGAATAATTTCAGTCTTTCAATTGAATTTGATGAACTTCTGTGGGACTCCTACAATATCCAGAGCATTGTGCAAGATGTAGTTGGTTTGAAGAGGAAAAATAATTCTCAATTTTTAGAAATTACTATCTAATGAAATAATAATAGTTAAGATCTATTTGCCAGAAATCAACAACCTCCTTGGAGCAAACCAAATGGAGAAAATGACCTATCTTATCATATTTAAATTTTTCTTAGGAATAAGAAAAACGATTGTAGGCGAATGTAAATATAATCTCTCTGCCCAATTGCATGTAACAGTTTCATGCCCGGTTTATGAAAAAAATTACTCATTAATTCTTTTTTTTTTTTTTTTTTTTTTTTTTTTTTTGAGACGGAGTCTCGCTCTGTCGCCCAGGCTGGAGTGCAGTGGCGCGATCTCATTAATTCTTAAGCTGTCAACTCTGACTTTCTAACTAGCCTCTTCTCACCTATTCCCATCCTTAACTACAGAACAATGTTAAATCTGGAGGGAAGGTGGGGAAAGATCAGTTGGAATTAGTAAAATGTCTTTATTATAAATATTTTAAATTGTAGTTCTATTATTTTCAAATATCTATAATAGCTCAAACACCACCTAAAATTTTGAACATTTTTGGTTAGATTTCTGTACACCTGCTTTAGTGAATAGTGAAAAAAAGATTTATAATTAGTTTTACACAAAGCTCAGATTTATTTATATGGAAATGGGCATTCTTAGATTTCACAAAATAGTTTCTTTTGAATGGGTTAAATATTTTTTTTCCTGAAAATGTTTTCATCATATGAATTTACTGAGTAAACTTCCTTTTTGAATGGATGATAGAAACATAAACCCTGACTCAGCCCAAATCTTCTCTAATTCCAAATTAGTAAAGTCTAAATCATTGATCTAAAAAAAAGACAGGTAGTCATATTTTTATGATTAGAATTATTTAACACATCATTTTTTAGCAATGATGTGTTAAACATAAAAATCTTTTTGCCTATTATATTTTCATCATGTTAAATTTCTGTTATTCATGTGTTTAATACATTTTTAAAAATTGTTTATGAAGTTTGCAGAAATGTTAGCTGTTTTAAAGGTCTTTGTGAAAGTTGCAGACTTATGTTCAGAGCTCAGGAGGAAGCTAGGTGAAATTTTGATAGACTTTTCACTTAGCTAAAATGTTTTTTATGTCCAGAAGATGTATGTCTTGCCTACATTTTATGTTAAGATCTTAACTTTTTTTGTATATAAGAAAATGCCTATCAGTTAACAGACCAGGAAATATGTGAGCACTGCTCTGATATTTATAATGTTTTAAAATATTATGGTAGCAAGATGAACAATGTTGCATTTTAATTTTAATTTTTTCTCTTTAAAATTTGTTTTGCCTTTCCTACAATTCAAATTCTATTAATATTTTGACCATCTTTACAATTGATATCAAAATGTTTTAGTTCATGCTTCAAATAATCCCATTTGGTTCTCACACTTTCTTTGTTGAATCATTGCAGATTTTAAGGTAAATCAGGCCCATTGGAATTCATGTAACAGTGATTTAACAAGTCAAGGTGATATTTCATGGAGGTGAGATCTGTAACAAGATGTGACTGTTTAAATTGATCTTTGAAGTGTTGAACAACTTTACTGCAGCATAGTAGATATTTTCTCACCTTTTCTTTAGTAATTTTTGCCATTTTTTCTTAACGAAGGAAACTTTCTGAGCACAAATGTACTTAGCAACAAGTTCTTGATTTGCCCGGAAGTTAAATCTTAATAGAGTGCCTGATAGAGTATATGATAATAACATGAAATTATAATCATAGCAGCTAATGCCTAGTCAGTACTTTTATGTACTAGGCTCTGTATCAAATGCTTTACATGTATTATTTAGTCTCATAGTTAGGCCTACTTTTTGGAAAGAGGAAGCTAAGGGATAAACCTATGAGGATGAATGGAGATAATACCGAACTCACAGAGATAAAATGCGGTGGAAGTAGTGTACACACCCAGAATTTGCCTGGATGCCAAAGTTCATGTGCTTAATGAGTGCATCTGTCTCAATAAATATACTTTTCTTGGCAGCTAGAACTGCCAAGAAATACACTTTTCCTTTAGTCAGCTAGAACTTTTAGGAAGATAACACTTTTTGACTACTTTGTCATTCAGTAGCATACACATTATAGAGAATTAAGAAAGAAAAAAACCCAAGAAGGGTGAAAAAATGCCAGTTTATCTTGTTTGTATTTATTAATTTTTTTTTTTTTTTTTTTTTTTGGAGAGGGAGTCTTGCTCTGTCGCCCAGGCTGGAGTGCAGTGGCGCGATCTCGGCTCACTGCAAGCTCCGCCTCCCGGGTTCGTGCCATTCTCCTGCCTCAGCCTCCCGAGTAGCTGAGATTACAGGCGCCTGCCACCATGCCTGACTAATTTTTTGTATGTTTAGTAGAGACGGGGTTTCACTGCGTTAGCCAGGATGGTCTCGATCTCCTCGTGATTCGCCTGCCTCGGCATCCCAAAGTGCTGGGATTTTGTTTGCTTTTTTAGAGACAGGGTTGTGGTTTTTTTTGAGACAGACTCTCACTGTGTTGCCCAGGCTGGTGTGCAATGGCGTGACCTCAGCTCACTGCAACCTCTGCCTCCCAGGTTCAAGCGATTCTCCTGCCTCAGCCTCCTGAGTAGCTGGGATTACAGGCACCCGCCACCATGCCCGGCTAATTTTTGTATTTTTAGTAGAGATGGGGTTTCACCATGTTGGTCAGACTGGTCTCAAACTCCTGACCTCATGATCTGCCCACCTTGGCCTTCCAAAGTGCTGGGATTACAGGCGTGAGCCACCGCGCTTGGCCCGAGACAGGGTCTTATGCTGCCCAGGCTGGTCTGCAGTGCCTCTGAACAGGCACAATTATAGTTTGCACTACTGGCTTTGAACTTTTGGATACAAGCAATCCTTCTGCTTCCTGAGTAGCTGGGACTATAGGCATGTGCCACTGTGCCCAGCTTGTTATCTGCTTTTTAAAACGTTGGTAGAGATTTATGGGACTAATTAAATTCTTGAAACATCCCAGCTATTACTCTACCAAGGGCTTTACTTGGGGAATGTGGGTCTGGGGACTGATCATGCTATGTGCCCTGCTTTTGCCAGTGAACATCTAGGACTCCTCTTGTCCGTTCATCCACTCTAGCCACAGAAGCATGTCCTAGAGTGCCCAGACCCTTTCATTTCTTGGCATAATTACATCAGCTCTTCCCCTGCTTGGAAACCTCTTCCTCAGGTACTTGCGAGGCCAGGAAGGCAAGGCTCCCTCCTGTCCTTCAAATCTCAGCTTAAATGCCATGTTCTCAGAAAGTGCCTATCTGACCCTTCAAATAAAGTGAGATTCCTCCTCACTTTCATCTCTCCCACACACTATTTCCAGTGTACCGCTTTCATTAGCTCCTGTCAATTTGTTGTCTGTATCACCTACTAGATCCTAAGCTTCTTGAACTATGTCTGTTTTATTGTGTCTCTAGCACTGAGCAGAATGGCATGTGACAGATACTCAGTAAATATTTGAGAAATGAATGAATGAAAGACCGGATGACTTGGAAAGCTTGGAAAAGGAGAAGAAATAATTAAAAGGAACAAAATGCAATAAAAGTAACTTTCTCATTATAGCCTAAGCAAAGGAATTGGGATGAGTAGCAGCAAGCGAGAGGGGAAAGCATTTTCTGTTAGCGTGTGAATCTCAAATTTGTCCGACAACTTTGAAAGTGAACAAGGGTGTCCCAACTTCATCTTCTGAGAAACAGCTGTGTCCCTGTTAACTTTATTTTTTCTAACAAAGCAAGACCCTGATTCCAAATCCAGGCCTCAGATTTGCTGTATCCCAGAGAAGGCTGATTGTAGCTTGCCATAGATAATGAAGACTGGTCTGTGGTGCATAATGGATTATAGTTTGTCCCTATTTATTATTTTTTTCCTTAAGACTGCCGAATTCAAAATAAATGACATGTTTTAAATGGCTACTCTTTATTTTGAAAAATGTTATTAGAGTTATAAATTAAGTTCATGCTGTTCAGATTACTCTTGCATTTAAGAGTTCAGAGCTGTATAGGTTTAGGGAAGAAAACATAATTAAGCATAAATAACAGATTCCAGGAAACAAAGGATAAAAGAGGAAATGTTAAATTATAAGAGTAATATAGCAAGAAATAATAGACATGCAGCAAGTCTCCCACCACAAAATTATGGTAGATGGGTTCAGTCAATTCTGTCTTTAAAGCCTGGTTGAAAAAAAACACAGAAATGAAAATTATGGAAAATTGATTTCCTAAAAATATGTAAGTCATATTATCATTTTAATAAAATAAGAAAATTAGGAACTTGGGACTGTGAGATACCTTAAACCAGTGTCCCCACAGGCAGAGAAGAATTGAGAAGGTGGTACAAGGAAGCCCTCGTTATCTGACAGTCCCTGGCCCTGGAATATGGCACTTACATGTGATTCTACTTAGAATGGGAATAAACTTTTCCAGATAAATAGTTTAAAAAATTGATTGAGGCTTTATATCAAAAATCAAAACAAAATTATGAAACCACTTTCCTCTGAAAACTTTGTTGTCTGTCCCTTGGTCTAATCATCCCAAAGGTCATATGTCCATGATTTTGCACATGATTCTGGCAAGTTTTCAATGCTGCTTCCAGTGACTTTCTATAACTCTGGATCTTTTATAAGATCTCCAATTTCATTTTGTAGTTGTTTTGCATTTTACTTTTGGCTATTGTAAGCAATCAACAAGAAGTTGATTAAAAAATTTTGCCTGGAACAAAAGTGAAGGTTGGGAGGGAGCCTGTTTCAGAGGTCAGTGGCTTAGTGAATATTTTCATTTATGACAACTTGCTTCTCCATGCAACTCCTGCACTAAGGTTTCTTGGGCAACACATGCTCAGACAATTAAGAACTCTTGTAATTCTGCTCCCAAACAAAAACCTTTTTGTATTAGTCTGTTATCACACTGCTACAAAATTATTACCTGAGACTGGGTAATCTATAAAGAAAGGTTTAATTGACTCACAGTTCTGCATGGCTGTAAAGGCCTCAGGAAACTTACAATCATGGCAGAAGGTGAAGGGAAAGCAAGGAGTGTCTTACATGGCAGCAGGAGAAAGCCATCAGATCTCATGAGAACTCTCTCACTATCATAAAAACAGCATGTGGGAAACTGCCCCCATGATCCCATCACCTTCCACCAGGTCCCTCCCTCACTCTTGGGGATTATAATGCCAGATGAAATTTGGGTGGGCACACAGAGCTAAACCATATAATTCCACCCCTGGCTCCTCCCAAATCTCATGCCTTTTTCACATTTCAAAACCAATCATCCCAGAAATTTCTTCTGCCAGATACACTAAATCATGTTTCTCAAGTTCAAAGTTCCACATATCTCTAGGGCGGGGGCAAAATGCCGCCAGTCTCTTTTCAAAAGCATAACATGAGTGACCTGTACTCCAGTTCTCAATAAGTTCCTTATTTCCATCTGAGACCACCTCAGCCTGGACTTCATTGTCCATATCACTATCAGCATTTTTGTCAAAACCATTAAACAAATCTATAGGAAGTTCTAAACATTCTTCTGTCTCCTGAGCCCTCCAAACTGTTCCAACCTCTGCCTGTTACCCAGATCCAAAGTCACTTCCACATTTTCAGGTTATTTTTATAGCAGTACCCCACTCCCTGTACCAATTATCCGTATTAGTCTGTTCTCATGCTGCTATAAAAATACTACCTGAGACTGGGTAATTTATAAAGAAAAGGTTTAATTGACTCACAGTTCCACATGGCTGAGACCTCAGGAAACTTACAGTCATGATGCTTCTATGATTGGGAGGGGAAGGAAGGCATGTCATACATGGCAGCAGGAGACAGAGCAGGGGAACCTGCCACTTTTAAACCATTAGATCTCATGAGAACTCTCTATCATGAGAACAGCATGTGGGAAACTGACCCCATGATTCAATCACCTCCCACCAGGTTCCTCCCTCACACATGGGAATTACAATCTCAGATGAGATTTGGGTGGGGACATAGAGCCAAACCATATCGTTCTTCCTGACCTGCCACAAATTCTATTACTGAGAAATGACTCAGAGATTGAATAGCTTCAAAATTATCTTGATTGGCTGCAACAGCGGTCCAAATTCAGAAAATTATTGTTTGACCCATGTATTAGTTTTCTAGGACAAACTAGAAAGAGTAAAGAATCTCTACTGTGACTTTGGCTGAAGGGAAAATAACTACATTCACGATTGGGCTGCCAAGGTCAGTCTTTTGGATTGATTTTTCTCATTGGTTTAGCTTTCCATGGTCTGGGAATTAAATCCCCTACTGTGTGTAATTTACACTTATTGAGAAGGGCGTATCATGGCAAGCTGTTCTGTGTCATGTCTAGATGAGGATGAAAAATGAAATTTTTAGCAGTTTTGCACAAGTGTTTGGGAATTTGATTTTGGCTATTTTGAATATTTAACTTACATGAGTACATGTATATTTTCAGTATATAATAAAGTGATGATTAAAATTATACTAACAAGAAGTTTGGTTTTATGTCCAACAGTTTAGTTTCTCAAAGATGCTGAGTACTTTTGCCTTGATTTGGGGAAAGCAGTTCAAAGGAAATAAATATCTTTTCATAAATTAAGGCTATTAGCTAATAGCTTCAGCAAGGAATGGTAAATAAAAGTGTTCAGTCTTGTTTATACCTCAACTGAAAGGCTAATAATTTTCTGGTTTATACCTTTGATTCTATAGATTTATTAAAAATGTTAGGATATGAATGTTGACTTTAGCCGGGTTCCTGCTATGAAATTCACGATGCATGAAATTTTGACATACTTATAGACATTCCTACATATCATTTATTCGTAGGAAGAAATAATTCCAATTTATCAGGTTGGATATGGTGAATAAGGAGTCATTATGAAGTCATATGATTAATATTGATAATGCAGTTGCCATAGGACCTTAATTCATGTGGTTTTGTTTTTTGTCCTGTCAGTTTTCTTCCCTGTTGTAATCAGATATTAGCTATTGTTCAGTTGTTTGCTGGGCCTTCTGCTGTGGCAGCTGCCATCCAAAAGCTGACTGGAGAAGAACAAATTCAGAAGGTAGATATAAAGGAAGCAGTGAATATGACAGGGAACATTTTTTTCCCTGCTTATTCCTAGGGAAACTATATAGTATCACAGAAAGAATGTGGTCTTTGGAATCTGACAGATTCTGGCTTAAACCTTACCGTTATTCATTAGCTGTTTGTAAGCAAAGGACCCTAACTTTCAAGTCTCAGTTTTCTTACCTATAAAGTAGAGATAATGATATCTGCTTTATAAGATAGTTGCAAAAGTTATAGTATACATAAAAGTGCTTGGAAAGTTTACAATAATTAGTATTACAATAATTACTACCATTGAAGGGATCTTTCAGATAAAGACAGATGACTTTGGTAAGAGTGAGTGGTAAACCTGGTACTTGGTGGGCAGGTTTCCTAGTGGATAGCTGCCAGGCTGTATGGAAACAGTGGTATAAATAAAATGACTCAGCTTGATGGTCTTGGCATGAGACTTAACCTTCCAGTAACTCCACTGACATCAGAGTAGTATGATCCTCAAAACTAGATGATTATCAGGATAGTTGGAGAAAGTGCTTGGTGTCATCCTCAAACTGAATTAGAATCTCCATATGAGGTTAATAAATCTGATTTTTAAAAAGCCACCCAGGTAATTCTGATACTCAGCTTTGGAAACCACTTCTTAAGATTCAAACCCAGATTTTTCAAACCAACTTTGAGCATCATTGGGTGAGTAGCTACACATTATTTTTAAGACCCTTTATCTTTTATATTTTTGAGAAATGCAAATAGAATGGAAAATAGATTGGAAGGCCATGAGAGTGCCTGCTGAGATGTCACAAGAGATGTGAGTAAGAGCTAATGGGGCATAGGCCTAAAGGTGCCAGTGGAGATAAGATATGTCAAGACGCCGAGATATTTTGAAGGTAAACAGAATATAGTGATTGCATGAACATGAGTGTTGAAGGATATGGAAGTAAGAAAACATTATACCAAGATTTCAAATAACTTAAGGAGGACTTGTTTTTGAAGGGTGTGTGCTGGGGTGGAAGGAGAGACCAGGCATTGATTATTTAAAAAAATCTTTATTAAATAATAACTTACATATAATAATATGCACCTAGTGTAAATGAGTATTTGATGAGTTTTGACAAATATATAAACCTGTATATCACAGTCACAATCAAGATATAGCATTTTTCCGTCACCTAAAAACTTTCCTTGTGCCATTTACAGTCCTCTTACCCTGCTCTGGCCCCAGGAAATCACTGATCTATTTTCTCACTGTAGGTTAGATTTGTGTTTTCTGGAATTTCAATAAATAGAATCACATTGTATGTAATCTTTTGGGATTGGCTTTTATTGCTCAGTATAATAGTTTTGAGATTCATTCATATTACTGTGTTCATCAGTAATTTATTTTGATTGCCAAGTTGTATTTTATTTTATTGCTACACCACAGTTTGTTTATTCAGTCACCTATTGATGGATATTTAGGTTGTTTTCAATTTTGGGCTACTGTGAATAAAATTGTAGTGAACATTTGAGTACAAGTCTTTGTATGAACATATGTTTTTATATCTCTTGGGTAAGTATACCTAGTAGTAGAATTGCTGGATTATGTGGTAGATGCATATATTTATATTTTATAAGTGTACATACATATGTACATATGTGAGTGTGTGTATACCCCCCACACACATAAGGGATATATATATCTGCCAAATTATTTCAAAAGTGGTTGTAGCAATTTGCATTCTCAACTGCAATGTAGGAGAGTTTAAGTTGCTTCACATCATTGCCCTACTTGGTATTGTCAGTTTCTACCTTTAGGAATTCTAGTAAGTATGTAGTTATATCTCATTGATTTTAATTTTAATTTCCCTGAAGAGTAATATGATTTAGCATCTTTTTATTTATCCATTTGTATATCTTCTCTTCTGAATTTCTGTTCAAGTTTTTTACCCATTTTAAAATTTGGACTGTTTGTATTGTTATGAGTTGTAAGAGTTCTTTAAAAATTCTTGGTAAAAGTCTTTAATCAGATATAGCCCCCAAGTATTTTCTCCTCAATCTGTGATTTGACTTATATTTTATTAATAATGATATGTGAAGAGGTTTCTTATTTTGGTGAATTCCAATTTGTTAATTTACTTTATGAACTGTGCTTTTTGTGTCTTTTCTAAACATCTTTACCTCAATTTTGTGAAAATTTTCACTTAAGTTTTTCTAATAGTTTTATTAGTAGTATTATTTAAATACATTTAAGGAGTACAAGTGCAATTTTGTTACATGGACATATTATATAGTGGTGAAGTCTTGGCTTTTAGTGTATCCATCACCTGAATAATGTTCATTGTACCCATTAACTAATTTTTCATCACCCACCCCATTTCTCTTCCCAACCCTTCTGAGGGTACTAGACCTACCATTCTATACTCTGTGTGTACACATTATTTAACTCCCACTTATAAGTGGGAGCGTCGGATACTTGACTTTCTGTTTCTGAGTAATTTCACTTAAGACAATGGCCTGCAGCTCCATTCATGTTGCTGCAAAAGACATGCTTCATTATTTTTACGGCTGAATGGTATTCTGTTGTCCATATATACCCCATTTCTTTTATCCAGTCATCCACTGATGGACACTTAAGTTGAATCCATATCTTTAGCAAAGATTATGAATAGTGCTATGATAAACATATGAGTACAGGTATCTTTTTGATATAGTTATTTCTTTTCCTTTGGGTAGATACCCGGTAGTGGGATTGTTGGATCAAATGATAGTTCTACTTTTAATTCTTTGAGAAATCTCTTTACTGTTTTCCATAGAGATTGTAAAAATTTACATTTCTACCAACAGTATAAAGCATTCCCTTTTCTCCGCATCCTCACCAACATCTGTTGTTTTTTGACTTTTTAATAGTAATGGTTCTGACTAGTGTAAGATGATATCTTATTGAGGTTTTAATGTGCATTTCTCTGATGATTAGTGATGTAAAGTATTTTTTCAAATGTCTGTTGGCCCTTTGTATATCTTCTTTTGAAAACCGTCTTTTGCTCACTTTTTAATAGTTATTTGTGTGTGTGTGTGTGTGTGTGTGTGTGTGTGTGTTTAGTTGTTTGAGTTCCTTATAAATTCTGGATATTGGTCCCCTGATGGATGCATAGTTTTCCAATATTTTCTCTAATTATGCAGGTTATCTGTTCACTCTGTTATTTCTTTTGCTGTGTTAAGGTTTTTTAGTTTAATTAAGTACTCATTTATCTAGTTTTGTTTTGGTTTCTTGTGCTTCTGAGGTCTTAGTCATGAATTCATTGTCTAGAAGAGTTTTGTCCTGAAGAGATTTCCCTAGATTTTCTTCTAGTATTTTTGTATCCTTGCGTGTACTGCTGTATAGTTTTATTATTTGTGTTTGGGTCAGTTGTCCACTTTGACTAATTTTTATGCATGGTATGAGAATCAAGTGTCTTTTTTCTTCATATGGTTATTCAGTTCTAGCACCATTTGTTGAGAAGTTATCCTTTCCCCTTTGAATTTTCTTGGCATCTTTATAGCCATTTCTAAACTCTTCACTTTTTTCCATTAATCTCTATATCTAGCTTTATGCCAATCTTTGCTTTGTTGATTACTGTAGTTTTATAGTTTGTTTAGAAAACATTTAATGAATTCTTCAAATTTGCTCTTATTCTTTAAAATTATTGTAGCTATTGTAAATTCTTTGCATTTCCATACAAATTTTAGAATCAGCTTGCTAATTTCCAGTGAAATGGACAGTCTTGTGTCTTGCAGACTCTTAGGGGAAAAGCATTGAGCCTTTCACCACTAGGTATGATTTTAGATGTATTTTTTCAACAGATGTCCATTATCACGTTGAGGGTATTTCTGTATAGTCTTAATAAGCTGAGACTTTACTTATTTGTTTATTTATCTATTTTGTGAATGGATGTTAAATTTTTTCAAATGCTTTTTCTACACCAATTATGGTTTTGTATTTATACCGTTAATATGGTGAATTGATTACATTCCTTGTCATTGTTTATTTAATTTTTTATATACTCCTAAGGTTGATTTCCCAATATTTTGTTAAAGGGTAGGGGCTACATCTGGTTCCAGTTATTTCGTTTTGGCCAGAAGCGCAAGTCTGTGCAATCAGTTCTGATCATGTTGAATTTAAGGTAAATTTAAAATTTCTAAATGGAGGTTCATTATCCAATTGGTAGTAGGTTTGCATTTTAGAGAAGTCTGAGTTGACTATTTCAGAGATAAATTTGGGCATTGTAGTTATACTGACAGTGATCAAAGTCATAAACTTGTTGGACATTGTCATCTTGTGAGAATGAAAGGGTGCAAAAATATTGGGGCTCAGGTCAGGCCTCAGGGAACCTCACTTTTAAATTGTAAGCAAATAAAGATGAACTAGAGGAGATGACAAAGAAGGAATATCTAGAGGGGTAGGAGAAAACCAAGAGAGCGTGTTGTAGAAGCCAAGGAAAATATTGTCCAGATTTTAAAGTTGCTGATTCAAGTGAAATGAGGACAGCAAATTGAGCATTGGATTTTGTGACATGAAAAGTTTTATGATCTTGCTTAGAGCAGTTTGAATACAGCCCTGGGACAAAAGCCGGTCTCAATGCTGAAAAGTGAGTGGGAGGTAAGACAATGGAGAGGGTACTTAGTTGAAATTTTAAAGTTTGGTTGTAAAAGGTAGACAAATATTAGCTTGAGAGCTGGAGTTGGATGAGGAGTTGAGTAATGGTTTATTTTCTTTTTTGAAAATGTTTTCTTTTTGAATTGGAGAGGCTTGAGTATACACAAATGCCAGTAGAAAGGACCCAGTTGAAAGTATGTGGTTAATGACTTGAAAGAGAGAGGCAATAATCTACAGTGTCAAGCTCAAAAAGGCTGCTGCATGTGCAATTCAGAGCAGAGTTGAGGCTTCACTTTAGATAGCAAAGGTGACATTTTTTCTTGTAACGAAAGGAAAGGGAAAGGGAAAGGAAGAAGGAAGGGAAGGTTTGTCATGTGATGATGTGAAATTAAGAGGTATCTTTAACTGATGGCTTCTATTTCTTATGGGGAAGAAAAAGATACATTCTACAAAATATTTGAAAAATATTTGACCCATATTGAAACAGATCTGAGGAATTTTTGAAGAAAATTTGGTAATGTTTTATTAGAAACCATGGGCAGAATAATAAAGTTGTCTTAGTTCATTTTGTATGGCTATAAAGGAATACCTGAGGCTAAGAATAATTTATGAAGAAAAAAGGTTTATTTGGCTCAGTTCTGATGGCTGGAAAGTTTAAGATTGGGCATCTGCATCTGATGAGGGCCTGAGGCTGCCTCCACTCATGGCTGAAGGCAGAAAGGGAGCTAGAGTGTGCAGAGGTCACACACAGAGAGGAAATGTGAGACAGAGGGAAGGTGCCAGGCTCTTTTAAATAACTAGCTATTGAGGGAACTAACAGAGTGAGAACTCACTCCCCCAACCTTGTAAGGGCATTAGCGTATTCAGGAAGGATTCCCCCCAGGACCCAAACACCGCCCATTATGCCCCACCTCCAACACTGGGGATGAAATTTCAACGTGAGGTTTGGAGGGGACAAACATTCAAACCGTAGCAGTTGTATAGGCACAGACATGTTTGATTGTGACATCTGGCTGATTACTAGTTTTGAAGGGACTCAGTAGCCCTGGCGACTATTATATGGATGAAATGAGACACCCTAAACCAAGGCTATGCCAGTCCAGAATGATGATTTACAGATGATTAATTCAATAGTAGCCACTTAGCAGGGATGGAAGGCTGGAGGGAAAACAGTGACTTCTTTGCTTATTCCATCTCCTGCTACAGGGGATTAAAAGTCTTTCTTTTCCTCTTTCCCATCTTCTTCTCCTGTTCCTGAAGTTCAACGTTGACTCAAGCCACACTGCCTTCTCCACTCATCCCCTTACCCTTAGTCCCTAGTCTTCTCTAATGCTGGTTTCTCAACCAGTATATTTAATCTACCCCCTACTCTTCTCAGTCCCTCTCCCAAAAAGTCTTTTGGTGACGTGTTGAATTTTTTTTATCTCAGTATTTCCATTTTCTTTTCAAGTGTTTTTCATCCTGCATTTTTTGAGCTACCTTGAATTCTACTTGTTGTCCTACTTTCTATTTATTTGTTTACAAAAGAAAATGTCTACATTTGCAGTACCTCAATCCTAATTTAAGTTAGATTATATTCTTAAATGTCAAACTACTTTAAATCTCCTCCATTTTTTTTCTTAGAATTAAAAAAAAATTAAAGGGCATCCAAAAAGCAATGTGTATGTCTCATCAAATTTGAGGTTGAAATGGTATTTTTTTAAAAGACAGACGTGCCTAAGAGGTTTTCCTGTTTTTTCTTTTTCCATTTTTTTTTTTAAATAGAAAGCCTAATGATATTTACATACAGTCTCTAGCAAAGCATTATGGAGACATTTACATATTTAGATTATTTAGAAATTTAGAATTGGAAAGACAATAAATGTCTTCATATATCTAAGTTACGGTCTATGCAAAAGGATTCAGCTACTCATAAAAAAAGAAAAGTATATTTTCATTTAAGCACCGAAAATGTGGGAAGCTTTTGAGAAGCAGTTTTACTAGGTAGACTGTTGATATTAAAAGCCAGGAATCCTGAGTTGTTTTACTGTCGCTAGTAAGCAGTTAATCAACAATGTCCATGTGTTATCTGCTATGTACAAAGTGCTTTCCTAGGATCTGCTGAAGAATAGCAGTGTATCCCAGTGCCTCAGCTCATAAGCCTACTCTCTAAGGTAAAGTAGGTGTATGAAATGAATTTGCTCTTCAAAACTGAAGTGAAATGAACTTTTTTTCTTTGATATCAAATAATTCTGACACTGAGCCACATTCACTAGGGTGTCAACAATTCAATCATATTCAGTTTGGAGACCTAGCCTTCAGTTGCCAAGGCTACTAATATGGTTTGGCTCTGTGTCCCCACCCAAATCCCATGTGGAATTGTAGTCCCCAGGTGTTGAAGGTGGGGACTGGTAGGAGGTGAGTGGATCATGGGGGTGGTTTCTAATGGTTTAGGACCATCCGCCTAGTGCTGTCTCGTGATAGAATTCTCACAAGATGTGGTGGTTTAAAAGTGTGTGGCACTTCCCCCTTTGCGTGCACTCTCTCTCCCTCACCCCTGCTGTGCTTGCTTTCCCTTTGCCTTCTGCTATGATTATAAGTTTCCTGAGGCCTCCCAGCCATCCTTCCTGTACAGCCTGCAGAACTGTGAATCAATTAAACGACTTTTTTTCATAAATTACTCAGTCTTAGATAGTTCTTTAGAGCAGTGTGAGAGTGGACTAATATAGGTACAGAGGAGATAACCACGGAGATGCTCACTGTAGCCCCTGTGGGCTGTTAAAAGGAGGGGGATTCCATTCCTTCTATGGCAAGCATGGGAAATGAGCTTCTTTGAGGGTTCCTGGGTTCTCAGGCACTACCAGAGAAGACTCATTCCCAAGTCTCTGGTGAAGTACTATTCTCTCCCTCTATTTCCATTTCAAATTCCTCCTCCTCAAACCTTGGGAGATGCCCCTGCTCTAGTAATTCAGCTCTATAACCTCTATAGGCCAAGTCTCCTGAAAATGAGCTAATTCGCCAAGACATGCAGGCTTGATTGCTCATGTAGAGGGCGCAAAGGAAAATAAATCTTTTCATCCGTCTCCTAAAGCAGTAACAATCAGACAGAAATGAATATCTTACTAAATTATCCTGCTGCATATAAATGCTATGGAAAATGTATCGATGACAAGGTACATTGCATCTTTTATTTGGCATTTCATCATGCAGGCTTTGCCAAATTTTTATTTTTCAAAAACTCATCTGTTATTTTCAAATAAGTAAGAAATATATTTAAAAAGCTTTTACTGACTCAACTCTTGATATGATATATTCACTGGTCTATAGATTTATCATGACACTAAAAATAAACTCCATGCTAGCATTTGATGCAAGAACTGAAACATAATACTCTTAAAAACAGAAATTTGGATGCAGAATATTTTTGAAAAGAAATTTCTAATGATCAGGAGATGTTCATCCTAGGATAAGTGAACATAATGTTCAAGGCATCAACTTCTTCATAAAGTGAATTAGAGGGAGCTTTTATATCTCCTCATGATGACAACATCCAGAGCTACAAAAATAATCTTTGCAATGAATGTGTTTAAATCCCTTTGAGCATGATATGGAAAAATTTCAAAAGGAAACAGGGCTCTTGAGTACACATTCAATGTTTCATACTATAGCAGAGCTTTTCCAATTTTATTGTGAACACGAATCACCTGGAGATCTTGTTAAAATTCAAAGTCTCATTCAGTAGGTCTGGGGTGGGGCCTGAAATTCTACATTTCTAAGAAGCTCCCAGGTGATGCTGATGCTGTGGGTTTGCTGATAGCACTGAGTAGCAAGATTGTAGAGAAAACTTAGTACCACAGTTACTGTAGTCAATACTGTTGAATTTATCTTTTGCAACATGAACATATCTTTTATACCAAAACATATAAGCATTTGTTTTCCTCTAGAGGAAATTTGGACCTTAAATTTAATTTTTAAAGAGTCTTCATTTCTGGTGGCCAACTGGCCACTGAGAGGTATAAAAAAGGGAGGGCTAAACAAGGCAGACCAAAGCCATGCATAGATGATAGCTGCATAGTTGGAAACTTCATAATTGGAAAGTGTGTGGCACTCACATAATTCTGGAACCCAGCCAATTGGCCAGCTATGACTTGAGGACCCCTGGTGCACCAGATGATCTTCAGTTTATGCTGGGATTGGTGTGCGTGACAAGTTTTGGGCATGTCATTTTGAGATACCTGTTGGACACTTAAGAGAGAGGTCAAATAAGTAAGACATGGGTCTGGAACTCACTGGAGAGATTTAGACTGCATTTATAGGTTTGGAGTGGGTATGAAGTGAACACAAAAGAGTCTAGGCCACATCCTAAGGAATGCTAACACTTAAAGGATGAAACAAGGGAAGAATAGCCAACAAAGGAGATAGAGATTTAAGAGGAAAATTGGAGAGTGAGTTCTCATTTAGGCCAAGTAAGAGAGTGTTGACATATCGTAAGTGCTTAACAAATACTTGTTGAAATGAAAAACGAGAACAAACAAACAGAAAGCAGACTGAACTGGGCTCATGAACACCTTTCACCAAGACTACTGAATTGTTAGCTTTTCCTAAGCAATCTATAGCCTTTCATAGGTTTGTTTCTGTCAGATGCTGTCCCCTATGCCTGGAACACCTTTCAGTCATCTTCTACCTTTTCTTTTCTTTTTTCTTTCTTTCTTGTGTATGTGTGTGTGTGTGCATGTGTGTGTGTGTGTGAGAGAGAGAGAGAGAGAGACAGGATCTCGCTCTGTCACCCAGGCTGGAGTGCAATGGCACAATCTTGGCTCACTGCAAACTCTGTCTCCCGGGTTCAAGTGATTCTCATACCTCAGCCTCTTGAGTAGCTAGGACTACAGTCACACACCACCATGCCTGGCTAATTTTTGTATTTTTAGTAGAGATGGGGTTTCACCATGTTGGCCAGGTTGGTCTTGAACTCCTGACCTCAAGCAATCCCAACTCGGCCTCCCAAAGTGCTGGGATTACAGGTGTGAGCCACCACGCCTGGCCCCATTTCTTGGTTCTTGCCTCTGCTCCCCATCGCCTGTTGTATTTAGATGTGCTCTCTCTGAACTTGGGAACTTGGCTAGCCCTTTTTGCACTTACCTTCCCCTGTTGACCTATGTGATTGCTGTCCAACCTGCCCCAAACTTGTCTCAGACCATTTTGTTGGTACCCAACTGGGCCAGGAGGCCCCCCTCCCCAGAAGGAACAGTAGCAATTGGGATTGATGAAAACCAATGGAGGCAGATAATATTTAGCTGATCTTAGATGCTAGTATCTCCTATTCACTGTGATACCATATATGGCAATGGCTGGTGATGTCCAAGCTCCAGCCAAGCCATGACTTACAACCATAAAGGAGTTGTAGATGTGAACAGAGGTGGAAACGGGGAGGAAGCTGAACACCTGTGGGAAAAAAAGCTACTGAAGAATTAATATCAGATTTAAAAATGGACCCAAAGTAGCGGAGAGTAGAGGAGTTTAAGAAATGAATCCGGGGTCAGACTACCTGGATTTGAATCTTATTCTGTCATTTACAAATTACTTGGTCTTGGGCAAGTTACTTCTCCAGATTATGGTTTAGTCATTCATGAAATGAAGCTAGAGCACTAAGCACAGTTCTTGGCCAATATAACATGTTAAATAAATGTTGGCAAAATGAACATGTACACATGTGTACGCACACACACATACGCACACATTATGGAATACGACACATAAAGAAGGCTTATAGAGAGCAGTAAGCTAGGCTTCCCAAAAATGTTCATAGGATGAAAGGGCTAATCAATTTGTTTAGGGGAAACTTAATGTATTGCCCTTTGGATACTGAGATGATGCCTTCTCAGAGGAACATATCCTTGCATTCTGTAGTATGTAGTGGAATAAAGGACTCTGAGTCATTTACATCCTTTTATCAACTTTTCCTGTTACCAATGATGTCCATTTATGAAATCAGCTTTTTGGTCTTTGCAAATGGAGTGGGTTTTCCCCCTGTGTAAATGGAGCTCGAATGAAGACGTTTAACCTCATGCGTACCTTCTTCTAATCTACTAAGTTTACTAACTTAGGTAACAGAAAGTAAATGAGAATTTCCAGTGCTATTAGGTGTTCAGAATCAGTACCTGAATGCTAGCTGGGAGATAAATAATGACTTGAAGACTAAGATTTTGTGAATGCGGATAATCACTAAAAATCCATGAAATTGCCAGCCAGGAAACTTACTTGCATAAACGTCCTTATCAACATTCTTCTTTATTTGCAGGAGTCAAATCATGTACTATTGGCTGGCAGAATGCCAGTCTAAATCGAATATTTGCCAGCTTAAAGTTTATTGACTTCAATTTGTTAGTTATAATTACTGACTTTTTATTTTATAATGTTCTAGTGCTGACATGCTTGGGGGAAAAATTGAACCACAGCAGTGATTGCACAGTAAGGAAATCAGCAGAAGAGGAAAATTAAATGCTAGGTGATAGTTTGAAGTCAGCAGTGATGGGAATGAGTGGGTGGGAGAGTTAAATTTTTAAGTAACTTAGCAAATGATGCTAATAAAGTGCCATGGCATCGTTTTGGTTTTTCTATTATAACACAATGTAATTTATTATTTTTTGTACTCATGTAAGAAAATCACTTTATAGAAAACTTTCACTGTCTTAAGCAGCTCATTTCAAAACTTCCCCTAATTTTTCTTTTGAAGAATAATCAGAGATTTCATCTTGAAATCCCAAACTGCTTGAAAACTTTTCCAAGAAGATATCAAAGAAACTGGCAGAAACAGAAAGAATGAAATCAGGGAATGCAGTTCTCCATGTCTCCCTGGGATGCTGCCTCATTGAGCAGAGTTTCCAGGGGTGGACAGATGCATGTATTTCTCTTTCCTCCTCTTGAGAGGTGCAGAAAATATATATTACCTTGTAAAGAAACAAACCAAAGCAAAGCAAAGCAAAGCCAGGTTCTTTTAGAATTAGTTCTAACCTGCTTCTCATATAGCTTGAAGTCCTATCCCAAAGCCTTCACTGCCTGAGTACAAAGAAGAGAGTTTCCTCCTACTTTTCAATCACTTATTTTTTACTTTCCTAAGGAAGGAAACAAATATTAGAGCTTATAAGTAATATAAGTATACATTTATTTTTTTTCTGGACTCTTGACTTAAAGTTGCTTCTTAGTGTCTTCAGTTTTCATTCATCTGTTTACCTTTCATCTATCCATTCATTTATTCATGCCTTACCCTTACAAGCCTCAGGACTCAGAGATCTGTGAGAATGTAATGCAAGTCCCTGCTGATAAATTACGTAGCATTTTCTTGATAGTCCTGGCATAAGAACCCCAGTTTTGCATATAGTATTTGAAAACATTATTTGTAATATGCATGGGAGACGGTGGTCTATGGTTTAATATTTTTCAGCCTGTGGCAAGTTTTCTAAAATTAAGTACCTGTCAGTAGACTGCCTGTCCTCTTCATTTCTGCAAATTGGGTAGTATACACATCTGAAGGAGATCTCAAGTGAGAGGCAATCTGTGGCTGGTGTTCAGTGTTCATTCCTTTTTCTTCTTCATTTTTCAATGTGTCAACTTAATGTCACTTCATCAGGGAAGCTTGCCCTGTCCCTTGCGGACCAGGTGAGTGGCCCTGTAACTCTTAGCGGCAGGTTCATAGCTTTCACAACAACCATTACAATTGCCGTTAAATGTTTATTTGGTTGATTATTTATTGAATGCCTGCTTTTTCCATTTGGTCATATGTTCCATGGGGCTGGGAGGACCATGTGTTGTTTACAGTCCTGTCTCCAGGGCCTGTCACCGTGTCTGGCATGTAGTGGGAGCTAATTTGTTGAATGAATTAATAAAAAAGTAACCATTAAAGAACATTTAACTATTAGAAGAAGTGTATGTATTGGTTTAGCCTTCTAAATTTCTGTGTAATTTTGCATATGCACTGATTATAATTTTTTAGAATCACAGAGTACTGAAATATATGGAAATTTAAATAAAACTGTTCAATTTTTTAAAAAGGCAAAATTGAAGATAAGGAGATGCTATAAACTAGAGAAACTATAAAATTAGTTGGAATATTAAAGTCCTCTTTTTAATTTTTTGAGTGGCAGTGTCTTTCTCTGTCACCCAGGCTGGAATACAGTGGTGCAATTATAGCTCATTGTCACCTAGAATTCCTGGGCTCAAGTGATCTTGCAGCCTCGGCCTGCCAAGTAGCTGGGGCTACAGGTGCACCACCATGCCTGGCAAATTTTTTAATGTTTTATAGAGATGGAGGTCTCACTGTGTTGCCCAGGATGGTCTCAAACTCCTGGCCTTAAGGGATCCTACAGCCTCAGCCTCTCAAAAGGCTGTGATTACAGATGAAAGCCACTGGGCCCAGCCTAAAGTCCCTTTCTTTGAAAGTGAAGGTTTTAAATCCAACTTGCTAGTAAAACTTTTAGGGTAGTTAGGCTTAAAAATCCCCACACTACTAGTGACTTGATGGATTAGAACAATTCTTTTCCTAAGGAGCTGTTGTGCTTTCTTATTGTAAAATGTAATTAGCAGATGTAAAAAAAAAAGGTTTATTAATCTTATGGGGTAAAATTATGGTTGCTTATATGTAAATTATTTCATGTTCATAGATTGCTTCTCTTTTATTTTAAGTAAACAGGTTAGAAGTCAAAATGCCATTACCAATTTGATTAAAATCATTACATTTCTTTCTAAAACATGATATTAGTTATTTTATTTTCCATAAGAAATCCAGACTTCATTAGTCTAATCTTAGGATTGGGATTTTCAGTAGCCAAATCAAAATGTCTTAGTGTAGATTTTCTGTCAAAAATATTTGAAAGCATCAAATTATGAAAGAGTAATATAATGTAGAAAACTGAAAATCTGCACAGCTCTCCATACATTTAGTTCACATGTCCAGTGAGCAATGATTAATGGTGCCTGGGCTAGATAGCTTCTGCTTGGCCTGCCACAACCACTTTCTTTTGCTGTCTGCTGGCTGCCGTGGAAGGTTCCTTTGTGCAGGCAAAGTCAAGTTCTCTTGCTCTCTGGCTTCCAATAGATTTGGTCAGAGGGAGACCCAGCAGGAGGTGTGTATGAGGGAGAGGTCAGAATGCAATTTCCTTTTGAGGTTGCCAGGGGCTGGCTGTGTCCTTTTAGAGAGATTACTGCACCCCTCAAGGTGGCTTCCGTTCATGACTCTGTAACTGCTCTCTCTCTTAGGGCTCATGGGTAACAACTGCCAACCTCGACCTCTGACTCCTTCTAGGTTGTGGCTTTCCACTGCCTTCTCTATATGCTGCTCCTGCCTTGAAAATAGTCCCTTTATTTAGTCTCCTTGAGTCATTTGTTTTCTTTCCCTCTATGACTCATACAATACCCATGAAAAGGAGGTGAGAAAATGTACCCTTTTACAATTCAATGGTCTATTCAAATGAATTATCTGAAATCAACATATGACTTTGTAAGTGTAATATATATTTATACTTTCAGGCAGATATAGATACAAAAACACTATGTTTTGAAGAAAGTGTGTCTCATGATTTGCTGCTAAAATTTTAGGTTCACCATTAGTAGCAAACCATCTTTGAATTATTCATCTAGCAGTGAGAATGGATTGATCTTGTCTCTCCTCTCTCTGGTTGACTTTGTTATGTGCTCTGTGTTTGTGAGAGGAAGATTCTGGTGAGGGGTGTGGTCTTCATCCTGGCCCATAATGGAATTCAACTCATGACCTTAAACCTACTAACTGTGTTACACTCAGCTGTGTTAACTAACCACAGGCCCCTTTTGTGCAGGTGTGTATGTAAAGCTTTGCTTGGTCTTACTGAGCTCATGTTGGGGAGATAGATAAAAATATGGTGCAATATAGTGTACTCCTGGCTCTCCTTGACCCCATGATTTCCCCATTTCAATAGGCTTCCTCTCCTTTGCTTTTGTTAAACTCCATTGTGCATCAAAACCCAAAGGCTCACATCCTGCTCTGAATCAACTATGGGAACTCAACTGAGAAGAAAAGGTCAGAGACTGAATTTCCTATTTGACACCAACTTGTACAAACAGGAATCTTAATAACTGTCGACTATGAGGACAGGATTATTCTGAGCCAGTCCTGATTTGGGGAAGGAATACTACTACTTCATGTTTTTGGATGCAAACTTGGGGTAGTCATCCATCTTCTTTTTTGTTTCACACTCTGGCTTTACATTTCCTTTCTTCTTTTCCCTCTCCTTAGCCTGTTTTCATGAAGGTGGGAGGAGCATGAAAGCTCAGGGCAGTGTCGGGAGAGTTGGGCCAGTGCTGGACATTGACTTCTAGCCCTAACTCCTCATTTATATCTAATTTCTGATTATATACTGATGTTTTGCCACAAGCAACTAGTAGTTTTAATACTAGAGAGCAGTCAAGTATATAAAAAGACAAAGTTAATGGCTATAATAATTATGCTTTTTTTTGACCTGAGTTTTGCAGCAAAAACAAATCTACCCCAAGGCCAGGTGGTAGGAAGCTATCATCCTGATGGCCGCTGTTGCTAACCACCATCACTGGAAAAGTGCTTGGTCAAGCACTACCCCCTAAGGGAAGAATGTGGCTTCAAGCTGATCTTTCACTGGAAAAAACCAATGATGTTATTGAGTAGCACAAAGAACCCACCCCGCCAACCTACTTCACCAATTAAGTTCCATGATCAATGGACAAGGTTGTTTGCAGAGAACAAAAACCTTTTTTGGCAGGGGGGAAAAAAACAAAAAAAAACCCTTTTTCATGGTGAAAATATACGTGATTCAGGTCTTAAATTGTCTTCTGTCTGCAAATCTGTACTCAGATGTATGCAAGTTTCTTGCAGAAAGATTGAAATTTCCTAGAATTTGGAGGAGCTTCCTCTAAGCTGTGCTTTAGGTGGCTTTTTGCTAGCCTTGTCAGGGGTGTCTTGGCTTCCTTGGGATATTTAGCAAACCAGTAACTGTGGTGAACAGATGAAAAACTTATGGCATTCTGAATAGACAAGGCAAGTTTCAAGCTTATTGCAATGTTTTGATGTGCAAGCAGTGGGAAACCTTGAGGCAGCTGAAGTTGTTCTTCCTTGGGCCACAAAAAGTATTTCTGGTATCTAAAAGTCTCTGATCCCCTTGGAGCCTCAGAGACCCTTTATTTCATCACTCAGTCATGTACAGGAAGGCTCAGTGAAGGCAACATGGAGAGACACAGTTGGTTTGGGGGAGATGTAAGCACTTTTTTCCCTGTCTGGAATATCTATCTTACAGATAAAGATAAGAAAGAAGGGGTAAATGATTAAATAATCTATGATGTTGACCTTTGATTAGAAATGTAATTTTTATTCTTTAATGACACATTGAAGTCCGTGGGCTGTCAAGGTGTTTGCCAAGGTAGTTATGAAGTTTTCATGGCCATTTTTGGCATTTCAAAAAGCAAAGTGGCAGTTGTAAGCTTCCCTACGAGAAGACTGCACAGGCTACAACTGAAGCGGCACTTCGGTGATTTGAACTGGAATTCCATCACTTCAGCTTGGTAAAAACAGATGCCTTGTGCTGATCAGAAGTTTTGCAGCTGAACAGATCTTTGATTAAAAGAGAATATTGGAAATGGGTGGTGTTTTAACTTAAATAGTTTTATAGAAAAATATTTCAAAGTTAGGATACATGGAAGAAAATAACAAAAGGGGTTCTTGATTAATGGATGGATGGGCTCATTTTACTTTCAATGAATATTTATTGAACACCTACTATCTCATGGGAGCTCATGTTACATCTGTGAACAATGCAGAAAATAACCCTGTGGAATCTACATGTTAGTAGGGGAAACAGAATACACAAATTAATGCAGGTGGTGAAAGAGGAAGGAAATAAGTAGAGTGATGAGGTCATAATGGAAGGTGAGGAGACAACACTAGATGGGGTGGTCAGGGAAGGTCTGTTGAGCTGAGGCTGAAGGATGAGAAAGGCCAGGAAGGACTTACTTGGGAAAATGTTTGTGGTGATATGTATGAGTGCTGCAGGTGAAACAAAAAGGAAGCCAGTGTAGTTGGATCAGGTGAGTGAGAGGGATAGGTGGTCAGTTGCCAGTTCAAAGGATCCTGTGACAGGAGGTCTGGGCTATATTCTAAGGGCAATGGGGAAATGATTGAAGGACTCTAAACAAGATTTTTCTAAGATCTATTTTGTGTTTTTTTTTTTTGAGACAGAGTTTTGCTCTTGGTGCCCAGGATTGCAATGGTGTGATTTCGGCTCCCTGCAACCTCTGCCTCTCGGGTTCAAGTGATTCTCTTGTCTCAGCCTCCTGAGTAGCTGGGATTACAGGTGCCCACCACTATGCCTGGCTAAGTTTTGGTATTTTTAGTAGTGATGGGGCTTCACCGTGTTGACCAGGCTGGTCTCGAACTCCTGACCTCAGGTGATCTGCCCACCTCAGCCTCCCAAACTGCTGGGATTACAGGCGTGAGACACCGCACCCAGCCTTTAAGATCTGTTTTTGTAAAATACCAGTTTTCTTGCTGGTGTGGCATAGATTTGAGAAGAGCATGAATGGAAGCATGAAGAAAAGTCAAGTGGCTTTAGGAATCCAGATATCACAGTGGCTTGGACTAGGGTGTGGCTTTTTGCTCCACCATTGCTAGGTCATAGCCTAAGATGGCTAATGGAGTTCCAGGCATTATGTCCAAATTCTAGCCAGCAAGAAAGAGGGAGGATCATGAAAAAGGCATGCCTTCTCCCTTTAAGGATCCTTTTCAGAAGCTTCACTTACCATTTCAAGGAAGGCCAGGAAATGTAGTCACGTTCTGGGTGGTTAGGTAAAAACTGGAGGTTTCATCTAGAAGGAGAACAGACACTAGAAGACAATAATCTCTGCTAACTCCTATTAATAATATATGTAAATGAATTTCTTTTGAAATATAATTTTAATCTTGAGCTCTAAGTTAAATTTTTGGAATTTCTCAGAGTTTGCAAGTCCAATATTCACAGAATAGCTAGTTAAATGTAGATTAAGTAATTAGCTTTATTAACATCTGGGCAAGCACCAAATAACTCCCCAGGCACATGACTATCTGCTAAGAACTGCGTTCGAGATAATTCAGCTTGAACCTGTGCCTCCTACTCTTGCACCATATCTCAACCTTGGGACCCACTTCTGCCTGCACGGAAGACTTAAAGTTCACTTGCAGTGAGTAGCATGGACTTCAAGTATTTCTCAAATGTCTGGTTGCCAGTGGAATATGGAGAGAAGAGGGTGGGCTTCCTTTCCAAGAATTGAGGCCCAGCATGGTCTCATGACATTATAGAGAAAAGAAGCCTGAGATGTATGTGGACAGGTCAGAGAATAAAGAGAGAGCCTGCTATCCCCTTTTGCCCAATAAACGTAGAACTCTGGCTTTGATTTCTTTCCCCCTCCATGTTGGGGAAAGTCAGTAAAGGAACGGAGAGTGAGAGAGGAAATGTTTGTTCTGGAGCTCCCAAAGAGAATGGAGTTGGGAGGTAGGAATCTCCTCTTCTGTGGGCTGAAGTGAGAATATAGTGAGAGAAGAAAAAGCGTTTTTCCTAACCAAAATAATTGTTAGAAAAGTGGAATCCAAAACAATTTTTTTTTAAAAAAAGAGGATGATGAGTGTCCTGAGTTGTATAATTAATTGACTCAAATACGCTTCATTTGAGTAATAGAAATATGGCCTTATTTAAGCACATATGATATTTTTATGAAGTCTCAGCACAAAGAAAATAAGAAATGAAGGAAAGCAAAATGACAGGTGTTTTCAAATATGCAGTAGGATGCCTTAGGGAAATGAAGAAGAAAGGAAATGAGAAAGTCACCTAGGGACAGTGGTAGAGAAGGCTGGAAGGGCAGGTGGCTAGAGAAGGGCTAAGAAGTTAGGGCAGGGCTGAGATTGGGGAGCCACAGCAGTGTTGTCTTCTACAGAGACTTGTCATAGGGGAGTGTTCATCAGGCTTCTGGCACACCCAGGGGTAATGAAAGGGCAGTTCACAAAAAGATTATTTGTAAGTGTGGGCACAGTTAGAAAAAACAAGGGATGATGAAGTGCTTCGGAGCCAACAGCAGTGGGGAGACCTTACAGGGGCAATGGTACAGAGTGGTCACTGGAATCTGGCAAAAGCTTTAGCTGTGGGTGAGGGGTTAGGTGGAGAAACAGAGCCAGTGGAAAAAGAAACTGTGGGATAAATACTCTAACTTCTTTCTGTCGCCCCTCGCCCTCCCATGTTCTGCTAGTGCCTCCGGGACAAACTCAACTAGAAGCCAGAGGCAAGGAAGCCCAGGCAGTATGGTCATAGAGAGCAGCCTCCTAGGGTCTTTGGCAGGATAGGGAAGGATCAGGAGGGTCGAATGGAGAATAGCCTGCACAATATTTTGGTGGAATGCAAGGGAGGAGGTGGTGGGGAAGAAGCTGTATTAAATTTCCTGCAGCAGTTTAATTAATTAATTGCCCTCAAACATTCATTGAGCACTTGGTCTGCCTGGTGTTGGGGATGCCAAATAAAGAAACAGAGACCCTGCTTGGTCTTGAGAGGATCATAAGCCAGCAGAGTCATGATTCTAATGTTAGATGGCGGAGGCTTTGGAAGACAGGAATAGCAAAAGACAGCTCTGCCTGATGGAGTTAGTGAACTGTCCCCAGATGGAGGTGACTTTTGAGCTGGATATTGAATTTGTATAGAGGATCATTAGATAGAGGAGAGCATTAAATCTCCCTGGTATGGAGAAGGGTGCAGATGCTGTGAGAATATGGAGAGAAGGTACAGGTCAGGGGAGGAAGATGAGACAGAATCTGATGATCTTTGTGAACCAGACCGAAGAGTTTGTATTTTATCCTTTACATTGGCCATGGGAGTTAACAGAGGCTTATAAAAGACACTACTTTTTTTTTTAAAGGATGGGGGAACTGATAATGGGTGCTTTTCCTAGCAACTTCTTTTCTTGGGATGCTTTTCTTCTTTTTCCTTTCATTTTTTTCCTCCGCTTCTCTTCACCATTCACCACCTTTTTTTCCATTGCTGTGTTTCTGGTAGATGAAACCTCCAAGGTTAAGTGGGTAGTTGCAGTGAATTTGATGTAGGGAAAATAAAAGGAACATTCCAGGTCTTTAAAAAATTTTTACTTCAGTTGCCAGTAGGGTTTAATTTGCGGGTGGTAGAAATACTGGGGATGCTGGGACAGAAATTAAAATGCTTAATGAACCAATGCTTAGGGGTCTACCACAATAAAATAAAAATGAGATGTGACTTCATGAAAACTTGAAAACTTGTCTTGAAATACTATTCATATACCCTGATGTGTATTATTGTAGAGTGAAAAAATAAAAATACAAATGCATACTCTTGCATTGCTTTCCCACACATTGATCTGCAAAGAGAAAACTCTTCAAGACTTTGGGGAGAAAGTCCATTACTGAATTAATCAAACAACCATCTTCTATCTGCACTTTTATTTTATATACCCTTTACACCTGTTTAATTAATCCTAAACATGAGGCTGACTGCTAATTAAACAGCCTGGAAGTGACTGACTGAAGGTAGTAATTTGAGATAATTAGTTTTGGTTTCAAACACTCAATTTTCACACTTTCTGCTCATTTTTAGAAAGGGTGGCTCATTATTATAGGCAGGGTGGGAGTTGTGTAAGTCATTTTACTGCTGGACTCTTAGTAGCTCAGGAAGTGGGAGTATCGGTATCCAAATAGGACAAAGAAATGGTGTAGGGCTATATATTTTGCTATAGAATGCTCCCCTATTCCCTTCCCCCCACACAACCCCTACTCGCACATACATATAATTTCTTCTAAAGTGAAAGTCAGATGGCTGACTTATTTTCGTTAGGATATAGGAATGCACATACTTTTGATATTTGGGAAATTTTTACCTAGTAAGAGGTAGATCTCACTAAGTTATCCATGGTTTCCTTCCCAGGTCCTCTGAAAACAAACAAGAAAAGGTGAGAAAGGGCAAGATTTGGTGTGTGGTTTGAGATTTGGAGGGGTGTCCTTGCGAGTAGTCATGTACTATGCAGTCACAAAATCTAACCAGGGGAAAAATTTGTCAAGGTAAGGTCAGTATATCTGGCAGAGAAGGCAAAGGGCAGGAGGAGGTGGGTCAGATGGTTTTCATGGTCCCACAGTGTTAACAAATAAGTTAACACAGTCCCCACTAGGAGAACAGAACCAGAAAGAATTTGGGGTTAAATGGGCCACGCTATTCTGGGTACTCTCTGTTACGGCCAATGCAGGTGGATCCAAGTTACATGGAAGCTGAATGAATAGTCAGCACCATGGACAGCTCCAAGCACATTGCTCTGCTGCTGCTCCCGGGATGACTTTTACGTTTTAGGAACTTCACTGTCATTTCACTGGCCACTAGTAGGGAACAGGACTCTCTAGACTTAGGAAGGTTATTTAGATGTTGAGAGCTTTACAAGTATGTCAAGGGTGGAGTTGAAATGTTTATATAGATTGGGAATCATCTGTCTACACTGTAGTGGGGACTATTGGATCCCAGAGTGTGCAGCCCTGTGGGGAAAGATGGAACTGCAACTCCGACATCCTCTTTGAGCACTGACATTAGCTGCAACATGTGATGTAGCATAAAGTTAATTTTTTCATGTACAAGTCAAACCTGCATCTTCAAGTTACCTGAATTAGGGCATCTTGGAGTCACTTTGATCTCTGAACTTTCACTCATACCACAGCATGGCAGCAGAGGAGTTACTATACACAATCACATAGCTCACTCTCCCACATTATTGAGAAATGACATAGGATTCCTCATTTCAAAGAATTTCTGGCAATTCACCCCATTAAAAGAAAAATAGTCTCTTCTAAAGAATTTATGGTCTGGATTCCCTTTTCTGTGATGTTTTGAAGGGGGTTAGAATGATGTTTCTATGAGAGGATATGTGGCTGCTGGCAATTCTCAAATCTTTTTGTGGCACTCTGATTATATCAATAAACAGTCAATAGACTTGCAAAACTATATATTTACAATAATTTACTAAAAATATAGTCTTAAGACTGAAATGGTATCAAGTATAAAAAAATCTTATATTAAATTCCCTGTTAGTCATTGTATAGCATTTATGTCCTATAAAGCCAAAGCCAGTTTCAGAGGTGACCTTTTCTGATGTATATGCCTTCATTTTTCTCTCCTTTCTGCACCAGAGCTTATCATGTACAGACTAAAAAAGCAACATCAACAAAAAGCAACATCAACAAAAAGCACAAATGTTTTGCTTTGGCTCCAGAAACAATGGAAACTAAAGCAAAATGAAATTCTTTCTCACTGTTTAGAAATATTGTGCATTGAGAGAAAGTAAGCCTATGGGCCATTCAAAAATACTTTCCAATTAAATTGGTAGTCATAAAACTGTATTTTGGCTTCAGGTTGATATGTCTAGGTTTCTGGTATAGCCTTGGCTGTTTAGCTCATATGACAATCCATCATTCTTCAAGATTCGTCATGGGTTGAAATGACCCATCATTTGTTTTGCAGATACCTCAAATCAGCTATGCATCCACAGCCCCAGAGCTAAGTGATAACACCAGGTATGACTTTTTCTCTCGAGTGGTTCCGCCTGACTCCTACCAAGCCCAAGCCATGGTGGACATCGTGACAGCACTGGGATGGAATTATGTTTCGACACTGGCTTCTGAGGGGAACTATGGTGAGAGCGGTGTGGAGGCCTTCACCCAGATCTCGAGGGAGATTGGTAAGCATATATTTATCAGATGATTGTATTTGGAGGTGACAGATTGCTGATGCCTGAGCATCTCCAAGTGCTCTCTTATCTGTAGGGAATAATTGGAACTCCTACAGATGCATGAACTAGGCTGTCCACTCTAGAGGGAAGCTGGGTTTATTATAAATGATTTTGTTGTTCATAGGTCTATCAAGGTGACACTTTGGTGCTAATTTAGGAAGTAGGACTCCTGACTCAAATGAACATTTTTTAAAGTTGTCTGTTTTGACAAGGGAGTTTGCTGGCACATTAGAGCCACTGTAAATTTGAATAAATGACATACTATTTGATTGTTCTAGATGGAAGTTTACATTAGCAAGTCATTAAATTTAAAAAAAGTCAGTGGAATTTAACATCCAACACTAGAGGGACTAAGTCTAGTAATCATCTTAAAACAATGCTGAAGTAGCCCTCAAGGCTATACTTAAGCAATATTCTTATTGTCATATTTGACTTTTTGCGTTTTTATTCTTAAAACTCTGAAGCTTAGGGTGTGATGAAGGACAAGATGTAAAAACTTGTTTACAACAAGGTGCTGCTGATGTCTGTCCTGGGCATTTTTTTCAAGGTGCTTATCCAAGTGTCTAGGCATTTTACCATCTTGTATGTGTACGATGAGGTTGTAAATCCATTCCACTACTTTGAAAACACAGAGCAAAACAAAGGAACAACTTAGAGCACAAATCTTAACTGCTGATTTGTCAACAACATATCTTTGTGAATTAAGTATGTTGTTGTTACTTAAGTACTATTATTCTTATTAAGAATGAATGAATTTTTCTATAAGAGTAATATTTTGTGGAAAAATTAAAGTGTCCATTGATTTTTTTCAGTAATTTTGAGCCTGAAGGAAGACATTATGTTGATAAATTTATTGTTTTTCTTAGAGGCCTCGACTCAGAGAAAGATCATGGGAATGATTTGGGCTTAACCATAATTACCAAGGACAAAAAGTCTGATGTTATTGAAGTAGGATGTTCACTTGAGAGACTTGCAGATGACTGCAAGCTTTTCTGTACATAGTAGGACATAGAAAAATTATAATACACAATATTTAGTATCTTTAACATTTGTTCTACATTTGTGCTATTGCAGAAAATGTATGAAAGGCCTGGTCTTGTTGGACAGATTGGGCTAATTGATTTAATTGGACAACTGTTCACACCTGCTGTAAGTGTGCATTATGCCATAATCTTTGCTCTCTGGGAATTTATATCATTACTGCTATAAAACTGATTCAAAACATTCAATTGGTCTTTAAATTATGACAAATTATATTATCTTCTTGGGTAAAAATCTAAAGTTTATCCTTAGAGGAAATGCCCACTCAAATGAAAACAATAGCTTCTGGAAACAGGGTTAATGTATTATTTAAGCAGCTGATGTCAGTTCTTACCAGAGTGATAATTTAGCAAGAGGAGAAAACTAATAGAGTATGTATTGAAATAAGTTTTCCACAGTGATCCTGGACATTCTGCAACTTGAGGACACATTTTGTGTGCATGAGATAGATTACTATAAAAAATTCAAAACAGGACATAATCTGCCATTTGTTGCAGAATCCAACAAAATGGATTGTTCTAAAAGTTAAGTGAAACCACAGTTTTATTCTTTTGACTAAAATAAGAAATACTTAGTTTTTATTTTTTAGGGAGCATTGCTGTGCTTTGGTAATACTGTCACATAAAAGGATTTAGATGGTGCCATTCATTACTCCTGTTTCTATCATAGTCATTAGCATGGGAGAAAATAATTTTGGTGCCTTGTATATGCTCTTGATTAGAGCAACACATTTCTTCTGTGTTGATCTTTTCAGTATTCTGTGACTTGATTGGTTGTCCATTCTATTTCAGTTCTCACTTATCTGGGGAATGGAGGAGGGATGGATTGTTAATTAATATGCAGAATACTGAAAAGGCCAAATTAGTACCACACTGGAGTATGCCATGGAATATATTAAATATCAAAATCATCCCTCATTTTAATGACAAAGATTTTATCTAGAACAAAAATAGCTGAAAATTAAACCTTTTACATGACAATGATGTTAATGGGAATGGCAAATGGTAGCAACTTAACCCATTCTGAAATTATCTGATGTCTCTAATGAAAATTCATTAGTTCTGTAACATTTGCAGCTCTTACTACAACATTGATGACATCTGTCACCATGTTAGTAGTGTGTTTTTAAAAAAAAACCTCAGTAGCTTGAGTGAGAAAGAGATGTATACATTCAATTTTTTTGGAGTGTCTGCCCATTAATAAAATTGTATATTTCCCCAACTCATAATGTTTTCTGTACTTTGTTCTGAATTTCTCTTTAGCAACATCGATTGCTAAGAAGTTTCAGTGTAAATTGAGGCTTCCTCTGTCTTACCTCTGATTAACTCAAGCAGATCATAATGGAATGATGGTGAAATGAAAATTGGGTTAGTGATAAATTGCTTGTACAGTTTGATTAGAATGTTTTTCATTTTAAAAAAATCAGACTTGGGAAAGTGTCCTTTGCGAATCTGGGAGAATGAAGTTTATGAGTGTATGGTGGTCATTGATCAGACCTCAGTGATGGCTCTTCCCTAGTTGAGATCTTTCTGAGTGGGAGAGGGCCAGGAGACACTTGGTAAAGACAAATAGCCCCTTGATATCCCAGCTGTTATAGTGTCATCCCAAGGCATCTCTTGACTATAGGATTATTGCTGGAGAAGGAAAAAAACATATTTGGTATCAGCAAATAGCACAGTTTTTCTGACTGGAGCATAGTTTGTTTAGTGAATTATGGGAGACAAAATTGGAAGGTTTGACATAGACACATGATTATTTCAAATCATAGGGTGTTTATTTTATCCTTAGTTTTCTAGACAATGGAGGTGTGTTAGACCATTCCTGCTTTGCTATAAAGAAATCCCTGAAAGTGAGTAATTTATGAGAAAAGAGGTTTATTTATTGGCTCATGGTTCTATGGGCTGTACAGGAAGCAAAGTGGCATCCACTACTGGGGAGGCCTCAGGAGGCCTACAATCATGGCAGAAGGTGAAGCAGGAGCAAGGGGAGGAGGTGCAACACACTTTTAAATGAACAGATTTTGTGAGAACTCACTATCTTGAAGACAGCACCAAGCAATGAGAGATCTGCCCCCATGACCCAAACACCTTCCACCAGGCCCTGCCTCCATCACTGGGGATGACATTTCGACATGAGATTTGGGTGGGGATAAATATCCAAACTATATCATTCCACCTTGGCTCCTCTCAAATCTCATGTCCTTTTCCATTGCAATAGTCTCCCCAAATGTTAACTCATTGTAGCATTAACTCAAAAGTCCAGACTTGGTGTGATGGCTCATGCCTGTAATCCCAGCACTTTGGGGGGCTGAGGTGGAGTTTGAGACCAGCCTGGCCAACATGGTGAAACCCAGTTTCTACTAAAAATGCAAAAATTAGCTGGGCATGGTGGCATGTGCCTGCTGTCCCAGCTACTTGGGAGGCTGAGGCAGGAGAATTGCTTGAACCTGGGAGGTGGAGGTTGCAGTGAGCCGAGATTCCACCAATGCACTTCAACCTGGGTTCAAGCTGCTGGTGGATCTACTATTCTGGAGTCTGGAGGATGGTGGCCTCTTTCTAACAGCTCCATTTGGCAGTGCCCCCACTGGGGACTCTGTGTGGGGGCTCCAACCCCACATTTCCCCCTGACACTGCCCTTGTAGAGGTTTTCTGTGATGGCTCTGCCCCATCAGCAGGCTTCTTCCTGGGTGCCCAGGCTTTTCCATACATCCTCTGAAATGTAGGGAGAGGGTGCCAAGCCTCATCACTCTTTCACTCTGTGCACTTGCAGGCTTAATGCCATATGGAGGCTGTCAAGGCTTATAGTAGCTCATACTCTCCAGAGCAGTGGCATGAGCAATATCTGGGGCCCTCTGAGCCAAGGCTAGAGCTAGAGTGGCTGGGATGTGGGTAACAGTGTCCTGAGGCTGCACAGGGCAGTGGGGCCCTGGACCTGGCCCATGAAAGGACTCTTCCCTCCTATGGCTGTGATAGGAGGGACAGCTATGGAGGTCTTTGAAATGCCATGGAGGACTTTCCCCCATTGTCTTAGATATTAGGACTTGGCTCTTTTTAGTTATGCAAATATCTCTAGCAAGTGGTTGCTCCACAGCCTGCTTAAATTCTTCTCCTGAAAAAGCTTTTTCTTTCTCTGCCCCATGGCTAGGATATAAATTTTCCAAACTTTTATACCCTGCTTCCCTTTTAAATATAAGTTGCAGCTTTAAGTCATTCCTTTGCTCCCACATCTGATATAGGTTATTAAAAGCAGCCAGGCCACATTTTGAATGCTTTGCTGCATAGAAATTTCTTCTGCTGTATACCCTAGGTCATTACTTTCAAGTTCAAACTTCCACAGAGTCCTAAGGCATGGACATAGTGCATCCAAGTTATTTGCTAAGGCATAACACAGGTAACCTTTGCTCCAGATTCCAGTAAGTCCCTCATTTCCATCTGAGACCTCAGCAGCCAGGATTTCACTGTCCATATCACTATTAACATTTTGGTGAAAAGCATTTAACTGGTCTCTAAGAAGGTACAAAGTTTCCCTCATCTTCCTGTCTTCTTCTGAGCCCTCCAAACTCTTCTAGCCTCTGCCTGTTACCCAGTTCCAAAGTCACTTCCACATTTTCAGGTATCTTTATAGCAATGCCCCACCCCTCAGCACCAATCTTCTGTGTTAGGCTGTTCTTGCATTTCTATAAAGAAATACCCAAGACTGGGTAATTTATGAGAAAAGAGGTTTAATTGGCTTATGGTTCTGCAGGCTGTACAGGAAGCATAGCAACATCTGCTCCTGGGGAGGCCTTTTGAGGCTTACAATCATCACAGAAGGTAAAGCAGGAGCAAGCACACCACATAGTGAAAGCAAGAGCAAGAGAGAGTTGGGAATGGGGGAGATGCAACACATATTTAAGCAACCAGATCTTGTGGGAACTCACCATCCTGAAGATAGCACCAAGCCATGAGGGCTTTGCCCCCATGACCCAATACCTCTCACCAGGCCCCACCTTCAGCATTGGGGATTACAATTGCACATGAGATTTTGGCAGGGACAAATACTCATATTATATCAGGAGGAAACTGCTGAGGAGAGGGGGATCTATCAGAATGTATATTTAAGGTTGTACTATAAGAAGTAGAAGACAAGGAGACCAGTTCAGCGTCCATTGCAATAACAATCTTGGCCTGATATAGGGCAGTGATAATATAAATGGAAGAGGAGATAGACTTGGGGGTCATTTGTGAGGTGAAGTCTATGGAATTTAGTAACGGGACACAGAGCTTGAGGGTATGAAAGAAATTAAAGTTGAACTTGAAATTGCATACCTGGGCAACTAGGAAAAGGCAGGTACCATAAACAGAAAAGAGACAGTAAAATGAACACAGTAAACTTTAGGTACCAGTACATAGCTTTGTGGAGAAGAATAGCAAGGAACATTGATCTAGAGCCAAGCAGGAACTGAGATATAGATCAAAGCTCATTCTCATACAATTGATGGTTGAGTATGGAAAGGTGGTTGCTAAGGTGAGAAGTATAGGGGAATGAGGATGGACTCATGGGGAGAAGCTTTCATATAAAGGTATGTGATATGGTTTTTCTGTGTCCCCACTCAAACCTCACCTTAAATTATAATAATCCCCGTGTGTCAAGTGTAGGGCAAGGTGGAGATCATTGAATCATGGGAGTGGTTTCCCTCATACTGTTCTCATGGTAATGAATAAGACTCATGAGGTCTGATGGTTTAATAAATGGGAGTTCCCCTGCACAAGCATTCTTGCCTGCCACCATGTAAGACGTGACTTTGTCCCTCATTTGCCTTCCACTATGATTTGAGGCCACCCCCAGCCATGTGGAACTGTGAATCAGTTAAACCTGTTTCCTTTACAAATTACTCAGTCTTGGGTATATCTTTGTTAGCATTGTGAGAACAGATGAATACAGTGTGGGAATAATGGCCTAGACATTGCAATGGGAGGTAACAGTATGGTAGAGTGTTCTCTTTTCATGGGTTTATGGTCATGGGAGGGCTCTCAGTCTCCTTTGAAGAAGACTTCAATTATGGGAGATGATAAAAGGAGATCCTCAGAAAAAAATTTAAGGATGATGAGCAGTGTTTCATAAGAAAACAGGAACTTTTGCCAGAATGCATAGCTGAACGTGCACAGTAGGGTTGGGGTTAGGGCTAGGGTTCCTACATGAAGAGAGGTCCTTGAAAGGAGGCATTTTATAGTAAAATATAGTATACTAGTGGCTTAAAATAATAGAAATTTATCATCTCACAGTTCTGGAGACTAGAAATAAAAAATTAAGGTGGTTGCTTCTGAAATTTGTAGGAGAGAATCCCTCCTTGCCTCTATTAGCTTCTGGTGTTTGCTGACAATCCCTGGTATTCCTTGGCTTGTAGATGCATCACTCCAGTCTCTGCCTCTACCATCACATGACCATCTTCTTGTGTTTATCTCTGTGTCTTCTCTTCTTATAAAAATGAAGATATATTGGAATAAAGGCCCACTCTACCCCAGTATGACCTCATCTTAACTAACTACATTTGCAATGACCCTCTTTCCAAATAAGGTCACATTCTGAGGTACTGGGTTTAGGATTTCAATGTATTTTTCTTGGGAGATAATTCAGTTCTTAACAGAGGGTGAAGAAGGGTATACTCAGAAGGTTAGCTTCCAGTGGTAGGGATGGGATTTGGGCTAGGAGGACAACAGGTTAGTAATAAGAATGAGAAGGGCTTAAGCAGACAGAATTTGGTTAATGGAGAAGCCTGTAATATAGCGAGTTCACAAATTCCTTTTGGAATGTTATGGAATTCTACTCTCCCAATCCTGATTCTTGGGTAAATGAGGTAACCTAATGGATAATTCAGGGTTCCAGACTGGGGTAAGTGATGGGATCCCAGTGTCTGTCTGGCTTTCCTAGGTAGAGCTCCCAGTAGGATCACAATAGACACTGCCAACATAGGTGTGTACCTGCTGTTCACCTGCCCCACTTTGTAATTCCAAGAAGCTTCTCTTTGATGACACCTGGAATATGACAGACATCCAGAGATTTTTTTCTGGCCTAATTTATTTTTATTTCCCCTTTTGGTCTTTTGGCCTGAGGGAAGGGAATAGCTTAGTTGCTGCTGGTTAAGACCTACGTGTTACACAACACTCAGCTATTAGATCCACAGTCCTCTATTTCTGTCTTGTTTTAATTCCTTGATATAATGTTTCATTGACATTATAATAAAGGAGTTAATAATATTCACTCATGCTTTTCCATCATAAGCTCTGGGCCTGGTGGCTCATGACTCAATAAATGACTTCCTTTAGTCTTTAGACAGGTTCCTTCCCTTCTTTGTCTTACATTATTATATTATTTTTAAAAGAAGACAGGATAATAAATGTTAATGCTACTGCTATCATTATAAGGGGCAAGGAAGCTAAAGCTTTATCTTTGAAGATAAAAGGAATATGAGAGAACATATCTTTTCATTGTAGATTTGCACAGTATGGCAGCACACCTTCTTTAATCAGTCATCATGTTTATGAATGGCTTATTGAAGATGACAGGCCTTCAAGTCATCATTGCATACATTACAGGGGGCAGAATAGACCTGATTCTGTCAAATATTCTATGTGTGTCTTTCTCCCCCTAAATTTGCAAATGCTGGAAGCTTCTGACTATTGTTTGACATGTTCCGAATATTAACATCTTAGAGTTGGAAGGGACCAGAGAGTTGTTGGGATGGCAGATTCTGTTTGAAATGTTAATGTAAGAAACCAATTTAATTAATTCATTTTTTGTGTATATAAAATGACAGTTGCCAAAAAGTTTGATAGTTTTTTTTTTGTGAGGGTCAAGCAATAAGGTAAGGAAAGTTTCATCCCTAGTGTACAATTGAAACGTGTTCACTGATCATATTTTTAATGTATCTTAGTACAGTTTTAAAATAAAGCATTTTCCCCTCTTGGGTTATAAACAAGAAGCAAGTTTCTGGTAACTGAAATGGATTCACTTTAAGATTAAAACGAAGTATTTTCAATGACAGAAAGGAAAGAATACATAAACAGCAGTGTTTCCCCTCAGATGTTCATTGCTTTGGGAAAATGACTTCCAGCAGGCAAAAGTCAATTTGAGAAAAGTATTAATGTTGTAAAATACTATGAATGAAAGGAAACAATTTAATTCAATTGAAAATTTTACTTTATATTTGTACAGCTGAGTTCCATTGATAACACCACATTTTGAGTTACAAATCATATTTAATTAATATTAACACCAGGTAATTGGCAAGAATAACTTCAAAGGAGGGCTGAGGAAATTGCAAATTGGAACTGCAGGTACAGTGATACTGTAGAAGCTTTATAGGGATCCAAAGGACATGCATATGATTTTAACAGTTATTGCAGAAGCTGATCAAATATAGTGTCATTTCAAAGCTGTTCTTCACCCCAGCCATTCCTAATATTTAGGGCTTAGTAACTGCCAAGTAGCAACAGCTGCTGTTAATATGAAACAGCAAACAGCATTCAAATAAGTGCTTTAAAACCTATGATTCTAATGCTGTAGTTAAGTTTTTAGTAAACAATGGCAGTTTGATGCAGTAGAACCAACCTTGGAGTCAAAAGCACTTCTTTAAATCCCTCTTTTTCAATTATGAGATTTTGTTAACAAGCTTCTCTGAGAATTAATTTCCTTGTCTGTAAAATGGATGCCCTGTCTGCTCAGTAATAATTCAATGATATAATTCTTGTGAATGTTCTTTATAAACTCAAAAGTGCTACTTAATATCAGGTATTACTAGTGAAAGGAATGGGGATAATACAGATTTTCCCCCAAAAGGCATAACAAAGCTGTATATTATCATAAAGATGGTAGGTATGTTGCCTGGTGTGCAGGATATTTGAAATAGCAGAGGGTTTTTGCTTGATTTGTTAATTACCTTCAATCTTAACTATATGTGGCTAAGATTCTACATGGAAGACCAGAGAGGAAGCTTTCGAATGACTCCTGACCACCTCCCCTCTCTTTTCCAGTTCTCAATGCCATCCACCCACTTCTGGGCTAAGTATTCTACCCTGTCCTGTTTTTGTCATCCTTGGTTATTGAATATTATTTGCCATGTCACCTAACAGTTGCTTCTACTTGAATGTGACCATTCAGTTGCCACTTTAAAAGGGTTGAGATTTGAGGACAAGTTTGGGGTATCTTGCCTCATCCTTAGCAATGTGCTTCCAGGGTCCCTGCGCTTAACTCTGTGGTACCACTTGCCACTCTGATTGTAGTGCTGATTTCTCTGTCAATCTTTTCTATCAGCATGTGTTTTTTCTTAGTGGAAAGATCCCCCAATATCCAGTATAGTACCTGGCATGTAACAGGCTCTTCATGAATTTCTGTTGAATGACCATTGTCACCAGATTCCTAGTTGTGTTAGTAATGTGAGTCTGGGGGTAAGGTTTGCTCAGCCTCTGGGAACCAAAGGGCAGAGCTGCTTCCAACCATGCCTTATGCATTATCTTTGATAACGCATGGGAACCTTCGGGGGTTACTGTAATGTTAAGTCACTTAGAGTTCAAGTTTTTATTGCTAGCAAATACCAAAACCTATAATCTGTAGGTTCATCCAACCCTAATCTCTTAGGCAGCACTGGGGAGTGGTTAAGAACTTCTCACTGGCTGGGTTTATGTTCCAGATTTGTCATATTGTAGCAAAGGGATCTGGGTAACTTACTTAATCATGTTGTGCCCCAATTTATTCATGTGTAGAGTGGGGATAACAATTGTATAAGAATTGGGTGAGATCATACATAACAATGTGTGGCTCATGGCTAGTGTTCAACAATGGTCAATTTGTATTTTTTTTTTTTTTTAGACCCAGTCTCACTCTGTCACTCAGGCTGAAGTGCAGTGGCATGATCTTGGCTCATTGCACCCTCTGCCTCCTGGGTTCAAGCGATTCTCCTACCTCAGTCTCCCGAGTAGCTGGAATTACAGGTGCATGCTCCCATGCCTGGCTGGTTTTTGTATTTTTAGTAGAGATAGGGTTTCACCATGTTGGCCAGACTGGTCTTGAACTCCTGACCTCAAGTGATTCATCTGCCTTGGCCTCCCAAAGTGCTGGCATTGCAGGCATGAACCACCACACCCAGCCTCAATTTGTATCTTGTAAGGAGCCCATCTACACCAGCAGGTAGCCTATGAGTGTTCTTACTGGCCTGAATATATATCCAATTTGCTCAATGAGCAAAAGGCAGCAGAGAGGCTAAGTGCTCAATTAAGGGCAGCCCATTCTTGCATTCCTGAAACTTGCTCTATACCTTAGCAGTGATCAATCTTATTGTTTCTTCACATGACTAATGTATTACCTGACATAGTGCTGGCCCATAGTTAAATACATGAATTCATGAAATACCAGTCAGAAATGGCTCACCAAATCTGCTTGCTTCCTTTTTCATTTTGAATCTTCTTAAGAATGAATCAATTCAGTGAGCATTTATAGTGCATGTGTCAGGTGATACTTGTGCTGGGCTTTGAGGATACAGAGACAAATCATGGTCTTTGCTTTCCAGCAGGTCACTGTGTTTCAGAGGAGGTGGAGATGCAAACAATTACAAATTCATGTGATCTTTGCCTCAATGGAGGCATCATTTAGAGGCATTGCCCCCAAAACACTGTGCCTGAGAGAGAGCATCCTGCAGTTCATGTAATGAAAAGACCTGGCATGAGACAGTGGAGCAGGACAGCTATGGACCCCAAACTCAAAGGAAGTACACAGTGGCATATGAGTTAAATTAATTCAGACAACTTGAGTAGAAACACAGTTTCCTAAGGAAATAAAGAATGCAAAAAGTTGAATGTAGAATATTATGCCAACTTTGTAATGTAATATATGAGAAATGTTTAATATGTGTAAAATATCTAGTGTTTGACGGTTCTTATTTCTTCCTCTATTGATGATTACTGTCATGTATTCTCTTACATGCAATCAGTGTGTGGCTTTACCTGACACTATTAGTCCCTGCTTTCCATGATCACCCCTACCCAGCATCACCCATGCCCTTGGCAGCAATTTTAATTTTGTTCAGTTCCTGGGTCTTAGCCAGGGCCAACAGCTTCCACCCAGCATCAACCCACAAGTTGCCAGGGTTTGGAATGGTTTTGTCATGATGGACCCTGTGTATGGTTGTCCTGGGGTGAACCCTGAGCCCCTCTCTGTCACTGCAAACTCACAGTGATGTCCCACCAGACATTTGACTTACACTTCAGATCCTTGGAGATGGACCCATCCCTGTATTCTGGCCTCCTGGTTTTGGACCATGACATACTACCTATTCCTTGTCAACTTTACCTGACTGGGTTGAAGGGTCTCCTCTTCTGCCTTTATTCTCACACAGCTGGTAAGGTTTGACTATGCATGAAGCCATTGAGCAGAATCCTGGCTATTGTATGGGGCCCTGACCCCCTCTAGCTTGTTGTCTTTATATTTCTCATGTTCTTTTAGTGTCATACAAATGAATAAATGTGAATTCCCAAGTATAAAGGAATTTAGCCTCAAGTGATAGTTTGAATCTCTTTCCCAGAGATTCCCGTACAAATGCTTGAAAAGGGCCAGGAGCTTCACATGAACTGTGTGGTCCCTGTTTTCAGTTATTTATTATTTTCCTGCTACCTAACTCCTATTGCCAACTGTATTAGTTTGCTAGGGCTGCTGTAACAAAGTCCCATAAACTGGGTGGCTTGAATAACAGAATTGGCCTCCACAGTTTGGGAGCCAGAAACCTGAGATCAAGGTGTCAGCAGGCTTGGATCCTCTTGAGGCTGTGAGGAGGAATCTCTTCCAGCCTCTGTCCTTGCTTCTTGTGGTTTGCTGGTGATATTTGGCATTCCTTGGCAAGTAGAAGCATCACTTCAATCTCTGCTTTCCTCTTTACATGGCATCTCCCCAGTCATGGCTGCCGGATTGAGCCCTGATTAATGAAGTTCTGTCTGACCCAAGCCCATATTTGTTCTGGTTCTTTGGGTGAATTTTGGCCCTGGGATTACCCATTTTCTCCTGAGGGATTAGCTTCTGTGATCAGAGCCTTGCCAGCTGGTCTCTGCATGCCTCCCAAGTCATGACAGGAAGTGTGCTTCTCTCCCATGCTCAGCCCCAAAGAAATCACATTCTTTTATTTTCCTTTCCAAAGTCATTTCCTTGTTAAAGCCATTGTGTTTGGAAACTCCAGCACTAGATGAGAGCTTTAAGATGCAATCTGTACTTACTGTGTTGATAGAAGAACATAATATAAAAACACCCTTCTGCAGAAATGAAGCAACATCAGAATCTATTTATGTCATTTTTTATAGGCCTTAAAAGAGTTGGCCTGAGAATTAGGAGTGTATTTTCTCAGTTTACTTCATCATGTATCAACTAAGCAACAAATATAGTTTCCTTGAAAATAAATGGCTTCATAATATAATAAAATCAGAAGGCTAGCAGATGAATAGTTGATTGAAATAGGTGCAAATTATTTCAGGGGTTACGTCCGTTGGTAGAACTGGGCTGCAGAGTCTCTGTCCTCTAGGATCTGCATGTTTGACAGACTGGGCTTTGTTCTGTGCTTTTTTCACTCTTACCTGACCAAAACCATTTCATGATTCATTGGGGGTCCCACAAGAGGAAGGCAGAGGAATGGAAAGAAAGTGAAACTCAAGTCAGCATATTTTGTTTCTTGTTAACAGCTCTGGGAAGAGATTTGGTTGGGAAAGGAATTTCAAGTAATGATTTAAACATATTTTCTGGCAGTTGTAGCAGTGAGGAAAAAAATAATCTCTCTTGTAGCAGCTCAGATACACTTCCAAGGCATTGGTACTTATGGTCATACGACTCTAGAGTTACATTTACATCATGAATCATGGCTGGCATGTGCATAACGGGCTATTAAGGGAAATAGGGTTGTTCAGAATGCATTGCTAGCCTTGTGTGTTTCATATCATGGAGGACAACCACTGTTTTCCCCTTTAAAATGTTGCTTGATGATAGTGTCAGAGGAAACTCTGCGATAGATGGAATTATTCACGTGAGCTGATATGACATTTTATTTAACAAATATTTGAGCCCCTACTGTGTGTTGGGGCCTTGTTCTAGGTGGTAGGGATATGATGCTGAATGAGTCAGACCTGCTTCCAGTCCTTGTGCAGTTTCCAGTCAAGCTTACCCTCTTTGCATTTTTCATGTCCTTGTAGTCTCAGATCTCTCTAGGCTACAGGAATTTTGCCTAAGCCTACAGAGTGAGATGCCATGAACAGAGAGTCCATGAAAAGGTAGAGATGGCCTACATCTATCATAATAACTACTTGACCCCTTGGGTGTTCTGGAGATGCTAGAGTTCACTTGAGGTGTCTGTGGCATGCTGAGGGTAGGGGTCACACATTTGAATAAGAAAGAACATGTGTGCATGTGTTTTTGTGGGCACACACAGAAGGCTAGGCCTGGACCGAGGAAGGAGCTAGGCCAGCTTGCCAGGTGCAGTTGTTTGGGAGCATTGCCAGGTGCAGGTGGCATGAAGAATTCCATTCAGGCTTATGGAGCACAGATCAGAGATGGTGGTGTTGGTGAGGACCTGAACATACTGCCACATGGCAAGAGAGTCACGCATGCCACCTCACAGCCTGGAATCCGTGCATGTCCTCTGTGTTAGTTTGGTTAACATTTTCTTTTCCTTCTTTTTTCTTTTCCCCCTGAGACAGAGTCTCACTCTGTCACCCAGGCTGTAGTGCAGTGGCACAACCTTGGCTCACTGCAATATCCGCTTCCTGGGTTCAAGTGATTCTCATGCCTTAGCCTCCCAAGTAGCTAAGATTACAGTCATGCACCACCACACCCAGCTAGCTTTTTGTATTATTACTATTTTTTAGTAGAGACAAGATTTCACCACGTTACCCAGGCTCATCTCAAACTCCTGGCCTCAAGAGATCCACCTGCCTTGGCCTCCTGAAGTGCTGGGATTATAGGCGTGGGCCACCGTGCCCAGCCAATGTTTTATTTTCTTTCTGTTCACAGTTTATTTCCAGGAAGCCTTCTCTAATCTTCATCCCCTCCTCTTCCCACCCAAGTTAGATTTCTCTTCTATGTATTCTGTCAAATGAAAACAAATCCAGACTTAGATAAGGAGGGATTTTATTCAAAAGAAAGACCATTGCCACAGAGAGAATGCTCCAACCTCAGAAATTGTCAAGTGTCACAAAATCAAAAAGAAAGAGGCTTCCATTATATAGGGTAGGGAGAGATAAGCAAAAGCTTAATTAAAATTGTAAAAGGGATTAAGCAATGGAGGGATGACCAGTGGAACGGGGGAATGACCAGTGGGATGGGGTGATGACCAGTGGGGCGAGGTGATGACCAGTGGGACGGGGGGATGACTAGTGGGATGGTGGGGGGGGTCATCAGTGGGACGGGGAATGATCAGTGGGATGGGGGATGGTCAGTGGGATGGGGGGATGACCAGTGGGATGGCGGGGATGATCAGTGGGTTGGAGGGGGAGTCATCAGTGGGCCGGCGGGGAATGATGAGTGGGCCGGCGGGGGGGTCATTGGCGGGACGGCCGGGGGGTCGCCAGCCAGACGGCGGGATGACCAGTGGGACCGCGGGGGTGGGGAGTCATCAGTGGGACGGCGGAGGGATGATCAGTGGGACGGGAGGGATGACCAGTGGGAGGAGGGGATGATCAGTGGGATGGCAGGGGGGTCATCAGAGGATCAGTGGGATGGGAGGATGATCAGTGGGATGGTGGGGTGGGTCATAAGTGGGACGGGGGATGATGAGTGGGACAGGGGAGCATGACGAGTGGGATGGGGGGATGACGAGTGGGATGGGGTGGATGATGAGTGGGATGGGGATGACCAGTGGGATGGTGGTGGGGGGGATGACCAGTGGGATGGTGGTGGGGGGATGACTAGTCATCAGTGAGACGGGGATGGTGGTGGGGGGGATGACCAGTGGGATGGTGGTGGGGGGATGACCAGTCATCAGTGAGACGGGGATGGTGGTGGGGGGATGACCAGTGGGATGGGAGGATGATCAGTGGGATGGTTGAGGGGAATGATCAGTGGGACAGGGGGATGATCAGTGGAACTGGGGGATGGCCAGTGGGATGGGGAGGATGATCAGTGGGGTATGACAGGAATTGTCCTGCTGTGGTCAGCTGATTCTCAGTGCAAGCTAATAAGGGGGCCACATTCCAGTGTTTAGTGCTTTCTCAGGCTTGGGGCCAAGTAGAATTCAGGGACCTGTAGGAAGGAGAGAATCCTGACTAAAGTTCTGTCAAGGCAAAGTAAGAGGGTAAGAGGTGAACCACTGTGAACACTTGGTCAGTTTCTGAGGTCCCATGCAGACATCTTACCACTTTTTAAATTATTCCCTTCTTTTTCTTCAGAGGTGGAAAGCATACCACAGACATCTTTCATTAGCACTGTAGCTGCACTGTCTAGAAGATAATCTGAGAGTGCTTGTTGAATGAAGGAATAGATGGACATGGCAGGTGAGTGCATGCTGGAGACAGGACATCAGGAAGTAGGTAGCTTGGAGAAAGTCAGATGGCGTGGCTAACAGTCCACATAAAAATTGTTCTGTAGCAGAGGATGGGACCCTGCCCTAGGGTCAGGGCTCAGCATCTCATTCTGTTTAGCAACAGTTGAGAGACATGGGATCTGGGTTCTGGGGCATGCCAGTGCCGCAACCGGAGGGCACATGGGAAGGAAGGAGAGCCGGGAATCAGAATTAGGGACAGGTTTCAGTTGGGAAACAGAAGCAGTAGCTTAAGTACATGATAGCAGGATTGACACCCAGGTTGCTAAACTTGAATCTGAAAACCAGAACCAGATAGTAGATCTACCATTCTTAGATTAAGAACCAGAGATCTGCTATGTCAGACAAATAGAGTGGATGCAAAATCAGAAGTAGATAAATCTGATGAATATATTATTCCTCTTTCAATTGGTTTGGAATGTTCCAGGTATGTAACATGAGATGTGAGTCATGACTGCAAGATGTCCTAAGGTCTAAAGCTTCTGCTATTGAGTCATGACTCCAGGCCCTGATGAACTTGCTTATTCACCATTCATTTAACACATAATTGGTACCCAAATGAAGTTCCAAGAACTTGTTAGGTGCTGGGAATTTACAGATCTGGTAAAAGCCTTTGAAGGGATTTGATTTGGAGAGATATGGTACAGTTGAGGTACGTGTGCAGAAACTGGATTGCAGGGTCAAGATGGAAGCAGAAGATTAGTTAGAAATCTATTGTGTGTCTCCAGGCAAGAGCTGGGATTGGCTTGGACTGGAGTGGGAATGAGGGCCAGAAGCAAGTTGGTATTGGCACAAGTGGTCACAAGGTCCCAGGCATGGAGGATGGGAATCACTTGATGCTGTGGGGATCTATGCCATTGAAACAAAACTCATTTAAGACATCTTGGCCAACCGCAGTTTGTGTCCTGGAGCCCTTAGATTGGGATGGGCATGTGCAGAATGACTATGTGGCTCCCCAGAAAGAATCCCACAGAGAATGATGCAGAGATGGGACATCAGATGAATTATTTCCTGGCAAAATTCCACTCAAGACTCAGCATCAATGATACTTCCTTAGTGAAGGCTTCCTGGGTTCCCTTAAGTAGTGTTAGATGAGCTCTATTCTGTGATTGCAACACTGTGTGTGTACCTTTAGTAAAGAAAGCATTTGTTTTACTGTCTCAGACAGGACTTAAATGTAAGCCTATGAGGCAATTTAGGGTACAAAAACTTAAAACAGTATAGGAGTAAATCTGACTTCTCAGGCAGGGTTAGCTCCACATTTTAAAATGAAGTCTACAGGAATGTGTCTTGCTCCAGCTCTGGGCTCTGCTTTCTGGTGTGCTGGCTATATGCTTAGGTTTTGCCCATGTGGTGGGAAGATGGCCACCAGCAGCTGTAGGCTTGCATACTGCCAGCTTAGTAACTGTATTCATTTCCCAGAGCTGCCTTAACAAATCACCACACACTGGGTGGCTCAAAACAACAGAAATTTGTTCTCCCACAATTGTGGAGCCAGAAGTCCAAAATCAAGGTGTAGGCAGGGCTGGCTCCTTACAGAAGCTCTGAGGGAGGATCTGCTCCATGCTTCTCTCCTCGGTTTTGGTGGCTGCCAACAATTCTTGGCATCCCTGCCTTGTAGCTGCATAACTCCAGTCTCTGGCTTCATTGTCACATCACCTTTCTCTCTGTGTATTTGTTATTTTCTCCTTTTCTGTCTCTTATAAGGACACTTGTCATTGGATTTAGGGCTCACTCTATTCTAAGATGATCTCATCTCGAATTCCCTACTGCAGTTATGTTTGCAAACACCTTATTCCAGATAAAGTCACATTCTGAGGCTCCAGGTGGACATATCTTCTGGGGTGATATAGTTCAACCCAATACAGCACCTTTAGTGGAAAGGATGTGCTTCGCTTCCAATTGTGTCCGCAGAAGTCCAAGGCTTGGCCCCCACTGTACAAGAAGTGACAGTTCATCACTCAAGCAATCACTGTGGCCTGGGGAAGGTGCTATTCACTTTAGCCATGCATGGGACATATGCCCATTTCTGGAGCTGGGGAGAGAAAGCTGGGGTGAGCTCCACTTGAAACATATGGTCAAAGCCACAGAGAGGTGTCATTTCTTAAAGCTAAAGTGTGATGCTCTCCTACAACAAGAAGAAGAGCTGCCTGGCAGGTGAACCACACAGATGTCCATTGCACATGCTGTATGGTGTCAGTCCATTGACACCACTGCGTTCTACGTAGACTGTAACTTTCTCAGGGGAATTAGCAACCTGGTCTTATTCATCAGTGCCCAGGGCATGAAAGAGCTCTATCAACATATGTTAAATTCAGTTACAGTAGCCAAAATTCCCCTGAAAAATAGGATCTAAATGTAACCATGCATCATAATATTCATCAGAAATAGTTTTGGCTTTCATCTAAATGACAACAAAGCAGTTTCAAGGACAAGAAAAAGCTTCTGTTAGAGCATTCTCCCCAGCTTTGTAAAGGCTCTCCATTCTGTGCTGCCTTCACCAACCCTAGTGTGTTGGCAACCAAAGGAATTAACCCAGGGCCTTCATGGTTATTGAGAGGAACCACATCTACCTACACATTAGTTATCTGTGGCAGAATGCAGACTTCACTCACCACCACCACCACCAATTGAGTCCAGTCAGTGAAAATAGCACATATTGCATACCAGCTAAAGGGCTTCCCTAACAGGACTTCTCACTAATGGGTCACTCTGACCACTAGCTAATTGGATGGCAATCAGAGGAGCCCTGGCAAAAAGGAGAGAAATAGACATTTTGTTTGACTGTCATAAACATGGCTGAGTCCTCTATTTTTAAAGAAAATATTTTATTTCTTTTTATGGTTTCTAAATTATTTTTCATTTCCTCATTTAAAAAATGGAATTCCATGTGTGATTGTCAGGAAGCATGGAAGCCTTGTTTGTACTGTGAATCGTGAAGCAGGCAAGGCACTCTGGGGGAGCCCTATTATTGAGCACTGACTTTTAAAATGTCAATGTAACTGGTATATGTGATAGGTGAGACTCCACAGTACCACTTCTTTATTTTAAAATTTTAAATTTTTAGATTCTTCATTTTTTTATTTCATTTTATTATGGTAAAAAGTCTTAAACATAAGCTCTATTCTTAACTAATTTTTAAGAGCATGCTGCATTAGTGTTTACTGTGGGTGCAGCGTTGTACAGCAGATATCTAGAGCTTATTCATCTTGCTTGACTGAAACTGTTTGCCCATTGATTAAATAACTCCCCATTTTTCTCTTCCCATAGTTCCTGGCAACCATCATTCCAGATTTTGATTCTATGAACTTAGCTATTTTAGATACCTCATATAAATGGAGTCTTGCAGTACTTGTCTTTCTGTAATGGGCTGATTTCACTTAGCGTAATGTCCTCAAGGTTTGAGTTTTGTTTTTGGAAACTTCTTAATTTTGCCTCTTCCTACTGATTTTACACCTGTGAAGTCTAGGATTCTCCCACCCCCATCTGGAAGGTATATTGGTCTCATACTCTTCGTTCTCTATTCACTTCTAAATATATGAAAAGTCTCATTTCAGTTATTAAAATGTCCAGTCCTGTGTAATAAAACTGAAATTCAGCCAAACTGAAAGTTTCTCCCCTCCCACAGCTTGGTGTTGCTCTAAGCTGGAACCCTGCAGTGGAGAAGGGCCTGGGACTGAGGCTGGTTTCTTCTCTGCTGCTCCTTTTTCTCTTTTTCTCCTGCCCCAGCTGCAGGTCCTGTGTTAATGTCCTGTCACAGTTAAGGAAGCACCTAGCAGCAAAGGCATTCCTGGTGTCAGGTGTCATAGTACCTGTCCTTAACTGGAGGTGCTCTCCTTTCCACCCTTATTTATTTTTTCCTTGGAGAAACTTTAGTTTTCTCCCCAGCTTTTGGCATCGAGCCCTCCCTGTGGGCCAACATATGCTTCAGGTCTTTATCTCAGCAGCATGAACTTGTGAGTTCAGCTTTTCTCTCCCTTGCTGGTAAACAACAAGCTGGAGGGAGGACTTGATTAATGAAGGTGGAACAAGAGCAGAACTCTGGTTTCTTTTATTTATGCTAAAACAGGAGATGTCCCTTGGTCACATTCCATAAGATGCACTGCACCCTGGCTATGGGCACAATGCTGTGATAGGCACTGGAGACGGACACAACAGTTGCCCTTCAAAGTTTAGAGCCAAGATGAGAAAATAATTGCTAGATATACACACATAAACTATGCAGGTGCAGAGGTTGAGGTGACTGGTTCCAACCAGGGACATTATGGGAGGGCTTTATGGAGGGGAAGCTTGGGCTAGGTACTGAAGGAAGGGGAGGTGCATGTAGACAGAGACCAGGGAAAGAGATAAAGGCATTTAAGACAATGTGTGCTTCACTGAGTTAAAGACTTTCATTGATGACTGCTCAAGATTGCTTCGGAATTTGGATACATAGCTTTCTGAATTGTTTAAAAAAATACTGGGCCAGGCGCAGTGGCTCACGCCTGTAATCTCAGCACTTTTGGAGGCCGAGGCAGGCAGATCACGAGGTCAGGAGATCGAGACCATCCTGGCTAATATGGTGAAACCTGGCCTCTACTAAAAATACAAAAAATTAGATGGGTGTGGTGGCGTGTGCCTGCAGTCCCAGCTACTTGGGACGCTGAGGCAGAAGAATCGCTTGAACCCAGAAGGTGGAGGTTGCAGTGAGCCGAGATCATGCCACTGCACTCCAGCCTGGGTGACAGAGCGAGACTCCATCTCAAAAAACAAAACAAAACAATCAAAAACAAACCAAAAACTTTGCTTCCTCTGGCATGAATGCCTTTGTTTTCTTCCTCACTTCGATTTTATGATCCAGAGGGCCCGCTCTATTGACAATAGGTATGTTTCCAATATTCTTGATATGCATACTCAAGATAGATTAAAGACTTAAATGTAAGACCTAACACCATAAAAACCCTAGAAGAAAACCTAGGCAATACCATTCAGGACATAGGCATGGGCAAAGACTTCATGACTAAAACACCAAAAGCAATGGCAACAAAAGTGAAAATAGACAAATGGGATCTAATTAAACTAAAGAGCTTCTGCACAGCAAAAGAAACTATCATCAGAATGAACAGGCAACCTGCGAATAGGAGAAAATTTTTGCAATCTACCCATCTGACAAAGGGCTAATATCCAGAATCTACAAAGAACTTAAACAAGTTTACAAGAAAAAACAACCCCATCAAAACGTGGGTAAAGGATACGAACTGACACTTCTCAAAAGAACACATTTATGCAGCCAACAGACATATGAAAAAATGCTCATCATCACTGGTCATCAGAGAAATGCAAATCAAAACCACAATGAGATACCATCTCACGCCAGTTAGAATGGCGATCATTAAAAGGTCAGGAAACAAATGCTGGAGAGGATGTGGAGAAATAGGAATGCCTTTACACTGTTGGTGGGAATGTAAATTAGTTCAACCATTGTGGAAGACAGTGTGGTGATTCCTCAAGGATCTACAACTAGAAATACTATTTGACCCAGCGATCCCATTACTGGGTATATACCCAAAGGATTATAAATCATGCTACTATGAAGACACATGCACACGTATGTTTATTGCGGCACTATTCCCAATAGCGAAGACTTGGAACCAACCCAAATGTCCATCAGTGACAGACTGGATTAAGAAAATGTGGCACATATACACCATGGAATACTATGCAGCCATAAAAAAGGATGAGTTCATGTCCTTTGCAGGGACGTGGATGAAGCTGGAACCATCACTCTAAGCAAACTATCACAAGGACAGAAAACCAAACACTGCATGTTCTCACTCATAGGTGGGAATTGAACAATGAGAATACTTGGACACAGGGCAGGGAACATCACATACCAGGGTCTGTCAGTAGGTGGAGGGTTGGGCGAGGGTTTGCATTAGGAGAAACACCTAATGTAAATGACCAGTTGATGAGTGCAGCAAACCAACATGGCACATGTATACCTAAGTAATGAACCTGCACATTGTGCACATGTACCCTAGAACTTAAAGTATTTAAAAACAAAAAACAACCTGTGGTCTTTCCTTCCACCAGCCTTCAGTAGCAGTGACTCCTGCACTGACACCACCAGTATGAGTGGGTAAGTTAGTGATGGGACAGAAACACTTCTCAAGATCTTCAGGCTTGGCCAAGGTGAGTGAGGCTTAGAATCACTGTCTCCCTCAGTGATGATCTACTCTGCCTTTCTGTAGATGTGACACAATTGTGCCATGGCTTAATTTTATTGACTTATAGAATCTAAGGCTTATTACAACCTCATGTCCCCCATGTTGTCAATGGTCTTGTGTCCACAGAGAACTGTAACATTAATCTATAATGAAGGTGCTCTGTGGTTTTATGTGTTATTTATAATAACAAACATGGTTTATAGTGTATCTAATGCCCCTTCGTCTACTCCCACATTTCAGGTACTCAAATGCATAGCTGTTGGAGATAGCAAGAGGACTACATTTTTACTTATTTTCTTAAAATATTCCAACTCCTATTCTGTTTTGTGTTTAAAAATTCTAGTGTTTGCAAATATCTTGAAGGAACAGCCTAGCCTCGCTCTATTTTTAATATTCTACCAATCCATTCTGCCTTGCCCACCAACTCTGTTTAGAGGTTGAGAAACATCTTTTTAACTCCTAAAAGATCAAAAATATCTTATCAAAACTCTTCCCAAGGAAAAGTAGACCTACTTGCTATTTTTAGGCACCTTCAATGATTTTTAAGCCCCGTATTACATTATGAGATACTAAGTACTTTTTTCCCTCACTAAGGGAGCAGATAAGCCACAAATGTATTCTCTAGAAGTTTGTATCTCTGCTAAGGTCTCCAATACATGTATGAAGTACTTGTTCTCATATTTCCGGGTAGTATGTTGTCAGGTGTTCAGGTTCCCCAAATGAACAGAACATAGCACTGTCTCCTAGGGATTTATAGTCTAGAGGGGGTGTTACTTACAGTGGTTGGTAAATTCTGTACTGAAGCTCTGGAAGGACAGGGATGAAGGTACTTTATTTTGCCCAGAGATATCAGGAAACACTTTCAGACAATAATGGTGTTTGAGCCGATTTTGGGGGAAAAGGGAGCAGCATTCCTTTTGTGAAAGAGGGGGGCAGCATTTGCAAAAGTTTAGAACCAAGGAAGGGTAATGGCAATTTCAAGGAAGCAGATTTTGTTGTTGTTGTTGTTGTTAGGTAGGATGCAAGGAGTATGGGGGCTTAGGAAAGGGATGATGGGGGGACCTTGTTTTTAAACCAAACTAAGGAGGTAGGGCATTTGAAGAATTATATAAAGGGCAGCAGCGTGACCAGATTTGTGTTTGAGGGAGTTCCTTCTGATGGTAGGCTGAAAGATGAATGGAGAGATTCAGTCCATCTGTAGGCAGCAGGTTGAGTTAGTAGGGTGTTGCAATAGTCCAAGCAATGAATAACAAGGTCCTAAATAAAGCTGTGGTTGCAAGGATGGAGATGAGGTGACTAGTAGGAAGACCTTTAAGAAGTAGAATCAAACAATTGCAAGCAATGGGGTATACAGAGTGAGGGAGAAGGAAGAGGCAGGGATGGTGCTCAAAGTTTTGGCTTTGGCACCTAGGTGAATAATTATATTATCAACGAAAGTGAGGAAAACAAAAAGAAATGCTTTGAGGTGAACTAATATTTTAAAAAATATTATTGAGTACCTTGTTCTGTTAAGTGCACAAGTGTGATGGTTGATTTTATGTGTCAACTTATCTGGGCCAAGTTGCACAAGGTATGTGGACAAATATTATTTTGGATGTTTCTGTGATTCTTATCCCATCAGGTGAAGGACTGAACAGAAGTTTGACCTTCCCTGAGCAAGAGGGAATTCCTCTTGGTTGTGTTTCTGTGGAGAACCCTGACTAAAGCAACAGGCTTTGAGGCCATGCTGCCTGGGTTCCGATCCCGCTCTGGCACTTGCCTAGTGACATCACTGCGTGACTATGTTAGACAAATGATTTCTCCAAGCCCCACCTGCCACATCTGTAAACAAGGTTAACAATGTTCTTGACTTCCTATGGCTTTTGTAATGATTAAAAGAGAAAACCCATGTAAAGTTTTAAGCTTAGGATCCAGCATGCAATAAGCTTTTAAGAAATGTTTGCCATTATTATTATAATCGAGGAAACATTTACGCAGTAGTGTTAATGACTAATAACAGCTAAGATTGTTACTTTCCCAGGAGAGATTTATGTCATAATAGGGATCAGAGTTTTCCATTAGAAGAATGGAAACTTCCATTAGCCTCTTAGCTTAATGCTTTGCACATTGAACTAATAGGTAAATATTCATTGACTGGTCGAATTATTTCCTGGTATCATTGAGTGGGATTGAGAACTAAAGCAGGTTAAGAAGGGAGAAACTGAGGCCCAGAGACATGAATAACTTAATAAAGATCATAGAGTGAGTTACAAGGAAAGACTAGCACCAGGGACTCAGGTTTCCTTGTTCCTGGTCTATTGGAACAAGGAAGCCCACCCCTGAATCCATACCACATAACCAATCCCCAGGCTGCCACACCAGCCCTGGCAGAATGGACTACATTTTATATCCCCTTTGGCAAAATCCCTAAAGAGCTTATTCCTGAACAGACCAAAATATATAAAGGCATTGTATTTTTTAATTAAATAAAAATGTTTTCAGGATTATCAGCCCATGTGAATATGGAATGAAAGAAGGCAAAGAGCGGTATAGTTTGTTCTCTTCCTTTTCTGGTGAGCATCTGCAGGAGCAGTGTGGGCTCAGTGTGTACCCACTGACTCTGTGTTCACTCTCCCTTGAATCCCCTGCCACTAGACTTCCTCTCTACTCACTCTGGTGAAATTACTATTACTTTCTTAGAGGTTCTTTCTGAGGCCAAGTCCAAGGCCTTTTCCTGGCTTCCTTCCTTCTTGACCCCTTTGCATCCTCCAGCACTGCTGATACCTTCAGAAATTGTCTCCTTTATCAGCACTCAGAATTCCTTCTCCCATGCTTCTCTCTCTGCACCTTTACCTCCTCCCACCCGTGATGGTGAATATTTCTAAAGAAACTGTTCTTGGCAATCTCATACAAGCTTTCAGTTTCAATTGTCGTCTCTATGCTGATGACTCCCCAAATGATATCTTCAGTTCTGATGTCTCATCTGAGCTCCAGACTCACACTCTCTCATTCATATTCATTTGCTCTCCCTTTTTCCCTCTGCCTCCTCCCTCCCCTTCTGGCCCAGGCACAGTACTAGGTGTGGGGGTTTACCCATGAAGGCCACAGTTTCTAACTTCGGGTTCCAGGTTAGTGGGAGAGAGACAGGCATTAACTCACCCAATTACAGCACTTCTGACAATTTGAAAAATACAGGGCAAAGATGTACCTAAGGTTCTGTGGGAACACAGGTAAAGTAAGGTTACTAATGTTTCACTCTCTCTGGGTAGGGGTGATGCCAGGTGTGGCTCCATGAAGCCAATATCTGCATTGCATTGTGAATAATGAGAAGGTGTTAGTCAGGTAAAAGGGCTCTAGGGACCATCCTGCTCTACTGCACAGGGATGGAGAAGGCAAGCATGTGTTTGCAATGGCAAGCTGTTCAGTGTGACTGGGGCACAGGATACATGGAGTTCAGGGTGGAGGCAGGTGGGGGAAATGGGGTATGAGAGAACAGGCTGTTCTGGGCAAAGGCTAGCCCAGAAAGGACCTTTCGTGCTATTCTAGGGATTAAGTGTCTGCTAAACATCTCTAATTAGAATCTCATTTCTATATTCTCTGACACCGAAATCTTCTCCCTTAAATATCGCTGCTGACCATATTAAATTTGAGCTAACAAGGGGATACTGAATGATGAATGTTTTGTTTATAGAATGCGTTTATTTTTGGTAAAGGGAAGAAAGGTTGCTTTTGATGGCAAGCAGGAAAGAGCCATCCCAAAACTAGCTTAAATAATGAGTGCATTTTTCTTCCTATATAGCAAGAAGTCTGGAAGTGTGTTGGCTGGTTGTGTCCCTCTGCAAACAAAGGCAGCGAGGATCCAGCTCCTTCCCACTGTTCTGTGCTTCTACCCTTAGCATGTGGTCTTTCTTATCAGTCAGCCCTCATTGTCTCCTGGTAGCAGGTCCAGGGATCACAAGTAAATGGTGACATCTATAGAAAAACAAAGGGAAGTTTGTCTTAAAATGAATCTCTCCATTTTTTTTTTTAAGAGCCAAAAAGCCTCCAGAGACTTCCAGGGGACGCTTATATCTCCTTGGCCAGAATTCAGTCACATGCCTACTTTTAAATTAATACCTGGGAAAGGAGTGAGATTACAATGACTGAGTTAGACTATACATTCTCAGTGGTGGCAGAATTGCCACCGTGGTGACCAAAATTGGTTCTTGGGGATGGGGGATGTGCTAGTTTCCTATGCTGCTATTACAGATGACCACAAATCTAGTGGCTTTAAACAAGATAGATTTATTATCTTTCATTTCTGGATGTTAGAAGCCCAATAATTAAGGGCTGTAATTAAGGTGTGTTAATTATTCAGCAGAGCTGTGCTCCTTTCTTAATCTATTTTGCTCTGTTTTCCAGCTTCCAGAAGCTGCCAGCATTCCTTGGCTATGGTCCCCTTCTATCTTCAAAGCCAGCAATGATCAAGCGAGTCTTTTTTTTATGATGACCTTTCTCATTTATGACTCCTCTGCCTCCCCCTTCCCAATTTAAGGACCCTTGTGGTTACAATGGGCCCACCAGAATCATCTGGGATCATCTTCCTGTCTCAAATTCAGCTGGATAGCTACCTTAGTTCCATTTGCAACCTTAATTTTCCTTTGCAGTGTAACCTACCATATTCACAGGTTCCAGAGATTAGAATGTGGATGTCTTTATGGGGCTGTTTTTCTGTGTACCACAGGGACAAAAATAATCTTAGGTGTTACAATCGTTTATGTTCCTCCAAAGGACATTGTATCTGTGGAATTAAACTTTTACAGGATGGGGACGGAGGTTTGGGAGTACTTAAGGAAAAAAAAATACCTACGAAGTCTCCATTGGGGGCCTTTTTGTTTGATAAATACTGGGTATAACTAACTAAACTGAGATTCACCAGTTGGGCTCTGGCAGGGCCAATGTATCCCGAGGCAAATGGCCACTGCCAACCAGTAGTCCCTGAGGAAGAAAAAAGGGGAAACAGCTACTGGGTCTACAGTAGGTAGGATTTGCTCTAGGGGAGTTGTTTGAAGCTGAGGCAGGGTAGAGAAAGGGTAATCGGCTGGCATGAACTTTGGCAGGGAAGATGTCATGCAAAATCCAGTTGGTTTCTGTAGCTGTTAGCTTTTCCTCACTGCTATTTTCTATTTGTTTTTATCTTTAAATAAAGGAAATGATGAAATATCTATCCTTAGAAGGCATCAAAGTTTGATTGTCATTAACTTTAAAAAATACACGGCTGGGCGTGGTGGCTCACGCCTGTAATCCCAGCACTTTGGGAGGCTGAGGTGGGTGGATCATCTGGGGTCAGGAGTTCGAGACCATCCTGACCCATATGGTGAAACCCCAACTCTACTGAAAATACAAAATTAGCCAGGCGTGGTGATGGGTGCCTGTAATCCCATCTACTCGGGAGGCTGAGGCAGGAGAATCACTTGAACCTGGGAGGCAGAGAGGTTGCAGTAAGCGGAGATCATACCACTGCACTCCAGCCTGAGAGACAGAGCAAGACTCTGTCTCAGAAAAAGAAAGAAAGAAAAAAGAAACACAAAGCCCACATGTATATATAAATAAATGTCATTGCCTAATACTTCAATTATGCTTATATATCATGGTTGGATGGCTTGATGTAACAGTATCTGGAAGATGAGATCAAAATTATTGATTAGAAGTGTTAAGTTGAAATTTCCTATTTCTTTCATACATCCTTTTCCTTATAGATGAATGTCAATTTTTCTTTCTCACCAACCGATTGTTTATCTAGAAGTTACTATTTGAAATTCTATTACTTAATGAAGTGCTTACAAAGCTTTGGAAAATTACTCCTAATTCTAAAATAATTATACCACGTATCCTTAGTCAAGAAAAATTGGCATTTATGTGTGCTTTAGCAATATTTAGATAGGCTGTTACATTTCTTCCTTTAAAATAGCCCTGATTGCAATGCAAATTGAAAGCTGTGATGCCATCACTGAAAACTGGGATGGGGACCATCTTCTCAGGTTGATATCCTCTGTCGACAATGGGTGTCTCTAAGAGCCATGTTGAGTCATCTTTGGATCTTCACACTAAGTGTGGTCTTTTCAACCAAGGCTGTACCGTGCATCATCATATAGTCATCCCCATGACATTTGTACCTTCTCTAACAAGAGTTATGATTGCCCTCAGCTATCATGATAATCGCCACTCTTCTGTCAGGCTTGATACTAAGATTGGAGGAGCTGCTCTGAAGATTCAGTTTCATTCTACAAGGATTATTAAACACCAATTCTATGCCAGGAACTGTGCTAGAGGAGCTAAAAGGGAATGATCTATGCTGCTAAGCGGCTATGGTCTAACAAGGTAGACGGATGGTAGGACGGTGGTGTGTAAAAAGTGTCATGAAAGCACAGATGGAGGAGTGGAAAGAGGGACCAGGAAAGGCTGCCAGGGGAGGTGACATTCCATCTGGATCTTGTTAGTGCAACCGAAGTAAGAAAATGCTATTTTAAACTATTGCCACGTTCTAAGGAGGGTGGAAAGAATTTGGATATGCCTAGGACTGTAGTTGGTATTTGAATAGACATGGCTATAGCCAAGTCACTATAGATCAGGGTTTCCCAACCTACAGCCTTCTCAACTCTGTGACATTTGAGGCCAGATAATTTGCTGTTGTAGGACCTGTCCTGTGCATTGCAGGATGTTTACCAGCATCCCTGGCCTCGACCTACTACATGTCAAGTTCCGGTACCTCCTCACTGAAACAACCAAAAATGTCTTGAGATATTGTTAAATGTTCCCCCGTGAACAAAATCCCCTCCAGTTGAGAGTTGCTACTTCTAAGTAGTAGAACAAGAAGGATACAGAATCTCAAGCAATCTTGAAAGGAGGAGAAAGGGGGAGCAAGATAATGAGAAAGAAGAGTAAAAATAAGTTAAGAAGATGGTAAAACTTGAGTTACCAAGGGGGTTGTTACCTGGCAGAGAACGTAATTAAAAAATGGGCATGTCTACTGGTCAGTTCGAAGTGGTTTGTTTTAATGCAAACTGACTCTATATCTCATACTCTCGTATTCACAGTGGCCCTGTGTGGGTGGTTTTTATTTTGTTTTGGTTAGGAGTCTTTGGAAGGGGTTTGATTTTCACATATGATATAGGACAGAGAATGTCACCTTCACCCCAGTAGCTAGGCTATAACTAGAACTTGTGTTAGAAAAGGAGCTTAGAAGCACACAAGGCTGGAACCTGCTCTGGAAATCACAGCAATTTGGGGGAAGTTCATGGATGCACATGAAGAACAAATTAAGGTTTAGGGGAATACAGTTTAAATTTCAAGGAAGGAAGAGATTCTGGTTGAGATCTGGGTTACATGGGAAAGAACAAGCCAGTTAGAGAAATATTACTTATGAAAACTCCTGACATTTGCTTGGCTGAACACCAGAGAGAGGGCTAGAGTGAATACCTGGGCTCTCTGAAGACCTCTTGAAGCTCTTATTCCAGCACAGTTGCCCTGCTCAGCACAGATACAGACACATACTCACACAGACACATCTGCACACACACTCCATTGAAGACCTGGACTTAGGAAAATAATATGGAAATAATATGGGACACACAGTAACGAAGGCTATAAAGGGAGAACAGCACATACATATGGGGTGCAGGTAGTGGTCGAAGGATTGGACTGGCTCACCCTTGGGCTCTGTGTGACCCTGGAAGTCATTCCATCTCTCTGGACTTTAGTTTCTTCCTCATTAATGGCTTTGATTGGCCTAAATTGTCCACTGTTTAACCACAGACAGCTCTAAAATACTGTGAATCCCTGAGAATGATAAGGCATAACTGACGTGACTTCTGTTCTCCACTTGGGCAGTCCTTACTTAGAAGGGCATTTGTTTATAGAGTTTGAGCCAGACCAGCCCAATGAATGCCAAAGCCAGTTTTGGAATGGACACGATGGCCAAGAGCAGAGCAAATGGCCCTGTAACAGCTTGGGGCTCTAGTCAGCCACCAGATTCCTGGGCGGTCCCTACCAGGTCTTGCTCTTCAGGGACTCCTTAAAGGGCATTAAGATCTGGGTGTCGTCATTGGAGGAAACTTAAGGAATAAAAGAGAAGAATGGAGGAAACTTAGGAATAAAAGAGAAGAATGGGAAACCACTTCCACGTCAGGCGCTAATCCTCCTGAGCAGCTTCCTGCCTCATCCCAGCCTTGGGGACTCTCTCTGTTCTTTCTGCTTTCCTGGGCTCAAAGCCTCACTCCTTTTAGTAACTATTCATTGCTGATAATGATGAATGAAAACTGACCTTCTCCCCCAGATACTCTGAGTGTTTGCTGTGCTCTCAAGATGGATCTGAACATGGAACAGAAATAGAGGGCTTCTGTTTAATGTATATTACAGCATTAAAAGTCTATTTGCCTCATTTTTCTTTCCTTGTCCTCAGGTTATCCATCCCTGTTTGGGATTCAGGGCTGCCTTCATGAATGTTTTGCTATACTATGTCAAGTTGTTTACCAATTTCTGCTTCTAATGCAGCTGTCAGATGCTCAAACTGTCTATTAGTCGAAGAGGCTCTCTACTGACCACCTTTCTCAAGTTTCTTCTTCTTACATACAATGTTTTTGACAAGACTAAGCATATCAAACCATCTTTTAACAATTGTAAAGCCTAATATTGGCCAGCATACAATTCAATTCATTAAACATTGTAGCACTGTCTCTGTGTCAGGCCTTCTGCTGGGTGCTCTTGGGTGGTATAAAGGTGAATAAGATAGGGAGTCATTCGCCTAACTAATGCTACCCTTGTCAGTGAAACTGGTGGGAGCTTGGGAGACAGGTATGGGTGAGCAGGCTGTTTTGCCCTCTTTCTTTCAGGATCCCAGTGAACATTAGCCCAACCAGGTGGTTAGTGCTGGCTATTCACATGCCTTCCTCTCCCTCCCCCAATAATGGGAAGAATCCCCTTGGCAGGTGGCTCAAAAACAGGTCTGGACTATGTCATAAATTAGATTCAACAGCTTCTTGGCTGGCTTCGTAGGCCACTACTACTCCCTCCACATTATCCCATTCAAAACCAAAGAAGGTAGATTTATATCATGGATAATAAGACAAGTGTCCTTATTTATTCCTGATTTCTCTGTTGTTAGATGTACCTCCCCCCGACCCCCTGCCCCACATATACTTCGCCCTGACTAAAAGTTTAAAATTCCAACTAAAACTAATTTATGAATGCATTTATCAAGTAAATATTTTAGTGTATTTCTATCAATTTTATTTTTTGTAATCACTTCCATTTTACTAAACTATGAATATAGCCAAATTTTCTGTAGTGGTCCATTAGCTAAGTAATTGTGGGAAATATGTAATTATAAAGGACTTAAAGTAATGCTACATTTTGTGGAAAACACTATTTGTTACCTGTGATTAACTGGGTAACCTATAGATTGAGCTTAAAGCCTCACCTGGTGAACCTATAAGATCCTGGCTGCCACCATCCCATCTCCCACCTTTACCCCTGAGATCTTTACTAGGAACTTAACTATGGACAGCATTTCTTACCACAGAAATCTCTGGGAAAATAAAATAAGCCTTTATACAAAATGAGTAAGACTCCTACATAAAATGTGGCTGTCTATAGGAAGGAAACACACCTATAACTCTGAGAATGAAATTAGTTTCAAGAATACACAAAGGATGAAGCCAGTCTTCTGTTGGAATACTCTGCTTGGGAGACTGCTTGTAAATGAGACACTCATGAACACCTGAGGAGCATCTTAAAATCCAAAGTTTTCAATCAAGAGATCAGGGTGAGCCCTAGGCAGGGCTTGACTCTGTCAGTGAATCCAACTATCCAGCTGTGGCAGGAGGAAGGCACTAACTTATCCAAGAGGAGGTGCCAGCAAGAGATATTATCAGTCTAGCTTTTAAAAGGGGGAGTGGTGAGCATATAGAAGGCAGTTGATTAATATCCAGCACTGTTAGGAGACAGGGCCAGGAGACTGGATGAAATATTTTGGTCTTACAGGCAAAGCAACTTGTATAATGGGGAAGGATGCTTTGGGTTATCTCGAGAGGCATGTCTGAAAATCATCTTCTCATTTCAAATGATAGCGTGGGTTATTGTGAGCCAGTTCCAAGGTGGCTAGCAAAATTGAGTTGCTGGATATACAAAGCTGAGACTCATCACCTAGAACAGGGCAAGTGGGGACATCTCAGAAGCTCTGTCCCCAGAGGAGGAGCAGCCCCCTGCCTCATTCTTTTCCAGTACACATATTGTGACCCTCTGCTGTCCTTGTCCTTTGCCTATATTGCACAATTTCCTGCTCAGATGTGATGGGTGAATGAAAATTGGAAATGTAAAACATTGACTATGTGGAATTAAATTTTCATGAATGACAAAAAGACTGAGTTTTACACTGAAGTCCCCAGTAGCCACCCCTACCCCAATAATGTTGCCCATGTTCTAGATTATAATCAACAGAATACTATTTTATTGCTACCTTCTATTATTTAAAAGTTTAAAATTGTTTGGAATATCAGATTAATTCAGGATACTATTGTATTGCCATCTGGGCTTATCAGTAGCAACTACTTCCATTTCCAAGTCTTATTAAGCAAAACACATTACAGCAATTTGTATGTGAAACATTACAGCACTACTAAAACTTCTATAATGCTGAAAACACAAGTTAAATGAAAGGATACTCCTTTGGTTACCTAAGGTTTGATTAATGTTTCAGTCTTGTCTGTAGAAGGATTTTCAAGGACAAAAACTCCTTACAAAAACTTCAAACTATTTAAGAGCCAATGACTCATATTCAACAGGACTTTCTGTCTAGTTGGAGGAGCACAGTCTTATTATATATATAAAAATGTCTGAAAAAAGCTGGTTGCAATCTAGAGGATCCTCTGGGGCTGGGTCTCTCTTCGAGCCCTCCATCTGGTGGCTTGCTCCCACCTCATGATTCGTGAGAACCTGAGTGGCTCCTAAAACTTGAACTTCAAATGACTCATGCTGTTTCTATTAATTTGCGGGGTCAGTTTTAGTTTCATAGACTTTGGGAAAGCCAAGCCAATCAGCCTGTGGAGTTAGACAAAATAATAATCATTCCCCTGACTAATAAAGGTCCCCACACCATTGGGGGGTAATAAACGAGTCTTGTGGGTGATGCAGAGAACAGAGCCTGTACTTTCATTTTCCTGAAAGAGTAAGTGGAAGCTTCTCAGCTAGTAATCCCTGACCCCTCTAAAAGTATCTGTCTTCTCAAAACCTGCAACCATTATAAGCATCCTGAAGGATCATCTTCAGGGTTTCACTGATGGGGCGCAGATCATCTCTCTGTACTTACTCATCTGCCCCCTTTGCAGTCATGGACCATTACTCCGCTCTTCTGTTCATGGGTTCAGAGTGATCCAGAGGCACTGGCCTTCTGCCCTGCATGCCTTTTGTGTGGCTGATCCTTCCTGGCTTTTAAGCAATTTTCTAGGTCCCTCCAGTACTTAGAAGTTTGATCCCTCTCAAAGGTCTGCTCAGTGGGCTGGAATCGGGTGGTGTTTGTTCCTGCCTTCTGGGCAGAGGAAGGCGTTCTTCCTACAGCTGTGGCGGTGATGACTGACTCTCCTTCTCATTTCCCCTTCACTTTCTCTCCCCTCCTCTGAGAGTTTTTCCTGTAGAATACTACTTTTTGAAGGAAAAGGGAAAAGGAAGCGAGGATGGCCTTTTTTGAAGAAAGAAAAAAAAAAAGAAAGAGAGGTGGGCTAGCTTTGTCTCTCCTGGTGCCTTGTCAAAATAAAAAAAAGTGAACTAGAACAGTGTCTGACCTTATCTTGCCCATCTTCAAGAACTCCCTAAAAATAATGTTTAAGATGTATCATGTGGGTTGGAAAAACACCTACAGCTTTCTCTCCCCAAATTGAACATCCTTTGTGTTTCTCTGTTTCTAGGTAGCACTCTATTTTCACTCATTCACTCATTCCATCTTACTGAATTAATATTTTTAAGTGCCCCGATTTGTGTGTTGAGCCAGATGCTGCAAAAAAAAAAAAAGTATAATATGAGGGTTCAGCATTTAGTGCTGGCAGGATGGGCAACAAACAGACATAAAATTCTCATGAAACAGTGGAAGAAAGCATAAGTTTGAGAACAAATGATGCAGATATAAATGCTAAAAAGTTTCAGAGATCAATATAATCTGGAGTGGTTGGGAAAAAAAAATCCACAAACACAGTGAGACCTTGGAGAACCTTAAAGGCCAGGCTGAAGATCATATTTTATTCTACAGATAATGGGAAACTTTTAGGAAATATGTTAGCAGTCTCAGAGATCCTATTGGAAGAGGGGCGCACATAAGAACTCTTTGTGGGTATGAAAGAACTGGCTCAGTAAAATGTGAATGGAGAGTTTGTGCAGATAGGGAGAGCTTCTGACACCCTCAAATGCAAGTATGAGGAAAATGAAGGGAGAATGCTTGCTGAGCTGAGACTACAGGGTAGTTGGGTGTACAGGGTGATGTTTGGGTGAACCAGGTGTGCACAGGCAAGGAAACACGATATATTACACAGAATGGTGGAAGCTAGTTGTCTATGCCTGAAAACAGCATAAACCTCACCATGTCTCGGTGGGAAGAAGAGCGGCACTGAAGACAGCTTGAGTAAGAACTGAGCAATCAAAGGGAATGGAGAGAAACTGGAGTTCAGGGGGTAATTTCAGTGGTATCAGTGGCATTCCACATAGCAAAGCTGGGCATGTGGGAGTAGAGAGGGAAAATACTGAAAGCAAAGATACCTATTTCTATTTTTACCATACTGAATTTCAGTTGGGGGTCTGATATTCAGTTTGAAAATCTTGAGTGGAGAAGAGGCCAGTTGGATTTATTTCTGGCAAAAAAAAATATGTATATATAGAAAAGATCAACTATGAACCTCAACCATGTCACCATATTTTTAATCTATTAATTTGATTTGCATTCAGAGACCACATTATCTTTTGAGTTACAGTGTTTCCTATTATCTATGAACTGACCTCTACAAATAAGAAGAGAAATAGGAAAAACGTCTGAGTTGCCAGGAAGGGTTATTTCCACCTAGCTTTTGATCCAGTCCGACCAACTAATGAATCCCCCGTCAGGGGCTAATAAAGGAGGCTTGTTGTGAGTGATGCAGAGAACGTAGCTCTAAGTGGTCTTACATTAATGTCTGTTCACCTTCATGCTTGACTTTGAGTCTAATGACATCCATGCACAAAGAAGGCAGGGTGAGGTGGTCTTAAATCATTATCTGAACACCAAGTCTGTAGAAAAAAAGTCCAGTTTTAAGTTCATTAAGGGATCCTGCTGAATACTCTAGGATATCAAATTAACCATTTGAAAAAACCTTTTAAAGTTGAGTTGAAAAACTAGGACATTTTTTCAAATCTTTTGTGATTCCGTTTTTTGAAGTGAATAAAACTCAGAGCTTTTTAGGTATTTTTTTTCCCCAGCCACGATGAAGAGAACATTAAAGGACATTTGCTTAAACTACATACGTCAAGTCTAAGAAGTTACTTTGGAGAAATAACTTCTTTGGCAGTGATGTTATTTTCTGTGAAATAGTAAGGATGATCTGGAACCTGGGACTCAGAAAATGCCGTTTGCAGACCCAGATATTTGGACTAGCTAGACGATTTGGAAGGTAAAACGAAGGTACCTATTCTGTTACATTATTTAATGCTGTTAGAAACTGAAGATGAAATGGCCTGTTTCAGAATTTTTCTTAGGCAGGATTATAATATTTCCAAAAAGAAAAAATTACCTTTCTTCTCTTACCTAGTTTAATGGCTAGAGATTATGGGCTTTGAATTCAGCAAGAGACACGTTCCAGTCTTAACTTTGCTGTCACCAGTTCTAAAACCCTGGGTTATTTTCCAAGTTTCATCGTCTTTAACATGGGGATAATCATAGTCCCTTCAGTTCAGAATTATTGAGAGAGTTAAACCAATTTATTTATACATATAATGTGCTTGTGAGAATACACATGGTGATAGCTCTTAATTTTCACTAGTAATAAAAGTCAAAATTGAGGAAAATAATCCCTGTGCTAGCTCATTGTTTTCAATGAGCTTCTGGGACACATCATGGTTTATGGTGACTTGAAGCGTCTTTGCTTGGACAAGGTTTAGGAAGAGTTATTGGCTGTATTGACTTCTATGCATTATTTCAGAAAGAACTCCCAATTTCTGTCATTTTTACTGTTCAAAGCTGGTGGTGAACTTTATCTCATCTTCCATTTGATGCCTGTGTTTGTGATATAAGTAAAAATCAACTTCAGAGGTTTTAAAGGGTAGTACTCACTGTTCCACCTGGAAATCATGATTTTTCTTAGAAAACAATCAAACACAGAGGCGCTCAGAATGGGGCTTGTATATAATGATCCTTATGTAGAAACAAGCACACTTGTCGACAGATACACACATAAGTGAGTGGATGAATTGATTGTCCAAGTGCATTTTAGAATATTTCAAGTACAAATATCAGGTTGTCTCTACCAGATATCCACTTATTTTAGTGAATGGTATTTTTAAAGACAAGTTAGATGTTGAAAGCTAAGGTAAATTTAAAAGAAAATGAACTGAATGTGCCCATCATCCTGTTACTGAGATTGGTAATAAATCGTGATGACGAATAATTTTTCAAATTTGATAGTGACCTATTTGTTTGTTTTCAGATAGGATATTGGCAGGGAAAAAGGAAGGAAAATAATTAACATTTGTTGAACACCTACTAATGTTGGACATAGCATTCTACGTTTGCTATTTTATGACTTCTCAGAAAATCCCTGCCAGTTGTGGGTTATAGTACCCATTTATCAAATGAGGAAAGTTTGTCTCAGAGAGGTTACAAAACTAGGATCATACATTTAACCAGTGGAATAAACAAATGCTCTTAATCATGACACCATATTTCTGCTTCATTTGTAAAGGAATATTTATCTCCTTTAGTAAAATAAATCAGCATATAGAATATCACTAACTTTTAGTTCTGAGAGAGAAACCTTCTGGTGGGAAGAGGTGAATGTCAACAGTTCTCTACTTTCCTCTTGGGGTTCTCTCATCTGCTTTGTCCTAAGTGTACAGTCCTCACCCTGGCAGCAAGTCATACTCGTGAATCCCTGTCTTTACAAAAGAATTTCCTACCCACAAAGGGGTGATTTCTTTTTTTTTTAAATTAAAATATTTGTTATTGGCCAGGCACAGTGGCTTATGCCTGTAATCCCAGCACTTTGGGAGGCCAAGGTAGGTGGATTACTTGAGGCCAGGAGTCAGAGACCAGCCTGGCCAACATGGCAAAACTCCATCTCTACTAAAAATACAAAAAATTAGCTGGGCATGTTGGTGCATGCCTGTAATCCCAGCTACTTGGGAGGCTGAGGCACGAAAATTGCTTGAACTCACAGGGTGGAGGTTGTAGTGAGCTGAGATCGTGCCGTGGCACTCCAGCCTGGGCAGCAGAGTGAGACGCTGTCTTTAAATAATAAATAAAAATAAAATAATGGTTACAATGGAGACAACAATGTGTACTGGCTGCCTGTGGAAAGAGGGGAGAGAAACTTTGTCTTCCAATGAAAATGGTTCAATATAACAGAAACCCCAATCTGAGTACCATATATTATGTTTATAATAACGTTAAAGACTTTTCCTTCACAAAAGCAGGGAAGCCCTATAATTCTGGTGCGATCCTCCTCTCTTTATGTCAGTGTTTTAGTGGGAGCTTTTCTCTGTCCACACATGCTTAAGTATAAAGTGATGCATCCTGGCATAAATGAAAGAAAAACAGCTGACTGGATTCAGCTAACAGGAGAGCACAAAGAGAAGACAGGCCAGGAGGATAAGGTCTTCTTATCCCCTCAGTAAATATGGATATTTTATTCCCATATTCCTCCTCACTGTGTGGTGTAATCATCTCTACTCCAAGATTCAGCCTGTCTCCTGCTCTGGGACCAATCTTGTCTTCAGTCGGTAGTTGGTAAAAAGCTTTAACTGAATACTCCTGTTGCTCTTGCATCAAGGTCTTGAGTCCAGCTCTGACCTTGTGCTCTGGCTTCAGCGAGGCAGCTTTTCTCCTGTTTCTAGGAAGAAATCCTTCTCCATGTGTGCCCCAGTTCTAGTTGAAGGTTTTCCCTCAACCTGACCCTAGAGTGACTAACCTGGTTTGTCTAGGACTGTCTTGAGTTTAGCACCAAAAGTCCCATGTCTCAGGAAATGTTGCTGTCCCATGCATCCACAAATGGTTAGTTACACTGCAAGCCCCCATTCTGATAATGTGCCTGGAATCCCCTTAGCACTAGGCACGGCATTCTTATTGTCTCTTGCTATGTTTGAAAGCTTTGAATAAATTGTCAAATACTCTGGCTATTGATGAGGGAGTTAATAAATTGAATTTGGAATGCTGGCTACAAGTTCCCCTAAATAATGTGATTTTGACTATCAAACCACCCACATCTTTTGAGCACAGATTCTAAATGATTACAATTTTGATTCATAAAAGAGTTTCATTAATACTAGATATTTCAGGAAATTATCCTTGACTAATACGAGGGATGGAAGGAATGGGGGAAAACTCAAGGCTCACCATATCATGGTAAATTATTTATTTATTGTTTATTTAGTGGGAAAGGATCTGCTCTGTTGTGTGCTTTCACTGGTCTAAAGGGATTTGGCACAGTTACCTAAATAGGTGTAATTATAAACCATATCTCCCTTTGCTGTTCTCCCTGAATCACTAGCCACCTTTCCCAGAACTTTGTTTAAATTCAAGTTTTACATGATCCTTGGAGTGCTGTTATTTGTAAGTAAAAAATTTAAATAATAATAATAAGATGAAAATGAAGATTATTGTAACAGTGATTTATCTAACAAGTAAAGATGGAACCTGACATACTATTCTAAATTGGATTGAGTTTACTTTTGCTATAAAAGAAATGTCAGTTTTATCTAATGACACTTTTAATTTCTTGCATTGAATGCAGGATAATACCCTTTAAAACAAAGGGGAGACATTTAAGCATAATGAGGAACTCTCAAGAGCAGATTATGGAAATAAAGCATTGCTTTTATCTATTATAGGCAGTCTCAGAGAGAGAAACAGACAAACCTAGTAAAGACTGTTCCAGATAGTTTCGGAAATCAAGCTAAATATTGAATAGGCAAAACAAACTTTCACAAAATTAGCTTACAGCAAGGCAAGTCTCCTTTAAGAATTTTAAATAAAGAGTAATTCTTGATTGGGTAGAATTCTGTGTGCTGTTTACATGAACTGTCACATGGCAGGAATCATTTAAAAAAAGAATACGGCACCTGTTACTACCAGATGTGTGGCTTCCTTTGCTACAGGATGATGGGTATATGTTGCAGAAATGCTCATGTGTGATTTGGTTCCTGAGAAACAAGCATTTTTTTGCTCTAGAAATGGTAGTTTATGATGCTCCTCTTGAAGGTTCTCATGTGAGAACTCTTGGCCACCAGAGGGAGGTGGTCAACAAAGATGAAGGGCAACAGGGCCCTCACATGGGTAGGCTGTTGGTGCTGTGTGGAATGGAGAGAGCCTACTTTAGAAAGCCCGTTGGCATTTGGGCCTTTATCACATCAGAGTGAATACTGGTACAAGAGACAGCACAGACTGTCGGGGGAGAATCTCAGCTCTGCCACTTAATAGCTAGGCAGTTTTAGGCAAACCACTTGGCCTCTCTGAGCCCTGCTGTCCTCACTTATAATACCTCATTACGTTAAGTGAAATAAGCCAAGAACAAAACATTAAGCACCACATGTTGTCACTCATATGTGGAAGCTAAATGATTCATCTAATCGAAGAAAAAAGTAGAGCAGAGGCTAGCAAAGGCTGGGAAGGGTAGGGGGAAAGGAGACATGGGGAGAGATTTGTTAAAGCTTACAAAATTACAGCTAGCTAGGAGGAATAAGTTTGTGTTCTCTAGCACTGTAGGATGACTACTGTTAATAATATACAGTTTCAAATAGAAGCAGGATATTGAATGTTTCCAATACAAAGAAATGATAAGTATTTGAGTTGATGAATATGCTAATTACCCAGATCTCATCACTATACATTCTATGTATCACAACATCACTATATAACTCATAAATATGTACAATTATGTGTCAGTTAAATTAAAAAAAAATAAAGAATACCTTTCTCACAGGTTTGATTTGAGTATCAAATGAGATAATGTCTGAGAAAGTACCTTGTAAACTCTTAAATGCTACACAAAGGTTAACTATTTTCCCATAATGTGGTTTATAATTGCATGCGTTTAGATATTCCATAAGTCACAATGTTACCTTCAAAACCCAAGGCCTGATATCAGTTATTCTGTGACACAGATATTAGTCCTCTCCCCAGGTATAAGCATTATAAAAGGTTAGCACTATATTAAGTAATGGATCTATTGCTCTACTAAATTATTCATGATTATGTGTTCAGTGAGTGATTGGTTGGATTGAAATAATCATCAGGTGTTCTCAGGGCTCTGGAGAAGAAGCTGATAAATGACATAAGGTTTCTTCAATGTGATGACTTTGCTACCATTAAACATTAAGAAAAACCAATTAATTGAATCACTGTGGGAAAAAAGTCATCAAATTCCAATCTGGAGTGTCAAAGGATCTGTTTTTTAAGTAATTATTCTTTTTAATACATCAAAGCTTTTCAGCAAAAGTTTCAGAATCGTGAATGATTTCAATGATTTTCTGAAGATCAGTTTTTGAGTAAGAAAGAGAAAAATTCATTTCTTTTTTTTACAGGGAAAGACATGTTAATTTTTTTTAAATGAAAGAATGAATAGGTTTGGTTCATTTTGACCAGGAATTTTAGTAGTTGTTGAAAAGGTTTGTGCTGGGAAATAGGTGCCCCCACCATCTCTGTCCCAGACTTCGCTGGTGGGCTCTGCAACTGTGGCAGTAACAAAAGAATGAGAATTCCACTTGGGCAGTCTGCTGTGATCTTGACTTGCTCACATCTAAATTAAACCACTTTCCATCTCCACCACCACAGCCCTCTGACATCCTCATTTTTGTCAGTAGCCCAACACTCTTCTTATCTTTCATCCTCAAATTATTTGGAGTTGTGCTTGTCTTTTTAGCTTCCAAGCATTTCTTTTTTTAAAACATTTAATTTATTTTAGGTTTGGGGGTACATGTGAATGTTTGTTACAGAGGTAAACAAGTGTCATGGGGTTTGTTGTACATACTATTTCATCACCCAGGTTTTAAGCCCAGTACCCAGTAGTTATATTTTCTGCATCTGTCCCTCCTCCCACTCTCTCACCTCAAGTAGCCTCTAGTGTGTGTTGTTCCCTTCTTTGTGTTCATAAATTCTTATTTAGCTTCCACTTATAAGTGAGAACATGTGGTATTTGGTTTTCCATTCCTTCATCAGTTTGCCTAAGGATAATGGCCTCCAGCTATTGCATGTTCCCGCAAAAAACATGATCTGGTTCTTTTTTATGGCTGCATAATATTCCATGGTATATATGGTACTACATTTCCTTTATTCAATCTGTCATTGATGGACATTTAGATTGATTCCACATCTTTGGTATTATGAATAGTGCTGCAATGAAATTTATTATATGCATGTGTCTTTATAGTAGAATGATTTATATTCCTCTGGGTGTATACCCAGTAATGGGATTGCTGGTTAGAATGGTAGTTCTGCTTTTAGCTCTTTGAGGAATTGCCATACTGCTTCCCACAATGGTTGAACTAATTTGCACTCCCACCAACAGTGTATAGGTGTTCCCTTTCCTCTGCAAGCTTGCCAGCCTGTTGTTTTTTGACTTTTTATTAATAGCCATTCTGACCGGTATGAGATGGTATCTCACTGTGGTTTTGATTAGTAATTCTCTAATGATCGGTGATATTGAGCTTTTTTTCATATCCTTGTTGGCCACATTTATGTCTTCTTTTGAGAAGTGTCTGTTCATGTCCTTTGCCCACTTTTCAATGGGGTTTTCTCTTATAAATTTGTTTAAGTTCCTTATAGATGTGGGATATTAGACCTTTGTCAGACACTAACCTTGAATAGCTAAATACCCCACTTAAAAGGGACAGAGTGGCAAGCTGGATAGAAAAGCAAGATCCAATGGTATGCTGTCTTCAAGAAACTCATCTCATGTGTAATGACACTCATAGGCTCAAAATAAAGAGATGGAGGAAAATCTACCAAGCAAATAGAAAACAGAAAAAAGCAGGAGTTGTAATCCCAATTTCAAACAAAACAGATTTCAAACCAACGAAGAATAAAAAAAGGCAAAGAAGGGCATTACAAAATGGTAAAGGGTTCAATTCAACAAAAAGACCTAACCTAAGTATATATACACTCAACACAGGAACACCCAGATTCATGAAGCAAGTTCTTAGAGACCCACAGAGACATAGACTTCTGTGCAATAATAGTGAAAAACTTCAACATTTTACTGACAGTATTAGAGAGTTCATCAAGGCAGAAAATTAACAAAGATATTCAAGACCTAAACTCAACATTGGACCAAATGGATATTATAGACCTTCACAGAACTTTCCACCTAAAACAATAGAATATACATTCTTCTCATTGCCAAATGGCACATACTCTAAAATCAACCACATAATTGGACATAAAATAATCCTCAACAAATGTAAAGGAACTGAAATAATACCAAACACACTCTCAGACAATAGCACAATAAAAATAGAAAGTCAAGACTTTGAAAATCACTCAAAGCCATCCAATTAAATGGAAATTAAACAACATGCTCCTGAATGACTTTTGGGTAAATAGTGAAATTAAGGCAGAAATTAAGAAGTTCTTTGAAAATAATGAGAACAAACAACATACTGGAATCTCTGGGACACAGCTAAGGTAGTTTTAAGAGGGAAATTCATAGCACTAAATGCCCATGTCAAAAAGATCTCAAATTAAAAACTTAATTTCACAACTGCAAGAATTAGAGAAAGAATAAATCCACCCCAAAGCTAGCAGAAGATGAGAAATAACAAAAATCAGAGCTGAACTGAAGAAAATGGAGACATGAGAAACCATGAGTTTATTTATTTATTTTTTCTTTTTGTTTGTTTTTGAGACAGAGTCTTACTGTGTCACCCAGGTTGGAGTGCAGTGGTGCAATCTCTGCTCACTACAACCTCCGCCTCCCTGGTTGAAGTGATCCTATTGCCTCAGCCTCCCATGTAGCTGGAATTACAGGTGCCTGCCACCACAAGTGGCTAATTTTTGTATTTTTAGTAGAGACAGGGTTTTACCATGTTGGCTGGGCTGCTCTCAAACTCCTGACCTCAAGTGATTTGCCCACCTTGGCCTCCCTAAGTGCTGGGATTACAGGCATGAGCCATGGCACCTGGCCTGGCTTAGGAGTTGCTTTTTTGTTTGTTTGTTTGTTTGTTTTTGATGGAGTCTCACTCTGTCATCCGGGCTGGAGTGCAGTGGCGTGATCTCGGCTCACTGCAAGCTCTGCCTCCTGGGTTCACGCCATTCTCCTGCCTCAGCCTCCTGAGTAGCCAGGACTACAGGTGCCTGCCACCATGTCTGGCTAATTTTTTGTATGTTTTTGTAGAAACGGGGTTTCACCGTGTTAGCCAGCATGGTCTTGATCTCCTGACTTTGTGATCCATCTGCCTCAGCCTCCCAAAGTGCTGGGATTACAGGTGTGAGCCACCACACCCAGCAGGAGTCGGTTTTGTGGGAAAAAAATTAATAAAATAGATAGGCCACTAGCTAGAGTAATAAAGAAGATAAGAAAGGAGATCCAAATAAGCATAATTGGAAATGATGAAGGGAATATTACTGCTGACCCCCACAGATATAAAAGCAACCATCAGAAACTACTGTGAACACCTCTACACACACAAACTGCAAAACCTAGAAGCAGTGGATAAATTTCTGGACAATTACACCCTCCCAAGACTGATCTAGGAATAAAATGATTCCCTGAACAGACCAAAAGCCAGCTCTAAAATTGAATCTAATAAATAGCCTACCAACCAAAAAAAGCCCAGGACCTGATGGATTCACTGTCAAATTCTACCAGATATATAAAGAAAAGTACCAACCATTCCTACAGTATTTCTTATATACAATGTGTTCACAAGTCCTGACATTTATTTTGCTGAAAACATCTCTGGTTGGACTCTTACACCCCCATGTCCCCTGACACCAGCTGAACCCCAGCTTTCATGCTTGCAGTGTCATGGTGGCCCTGACTCCTGGAATTCCTCCAATTCCTCCTGAATCCTTCTACAGTGCTGCTTTTATTACACCATTCCTTCTTTTATAAATGGCAATGACTCCCTATTGCATGCTGTGTCAAGCCAGCTCCTCTCTTGGTGTATCCTTTTTAGTCATGTTTGTTTCCCCAGATTTGCTGGGATCCTCCTGCACACCTGGCTTCACCAGCTTAGCTATCTGCCTTTTCCCCACATGATCTCTTTGTCTGAATTACCTGGAATTAGCCTTTCGTCTTCTTTTCTTTCTTTCTCTCTCCTTTTTTTTTTTTTTTGATGGAGTCTTGCTCTGTTGCCCAGGCTGGAGTGCAGTGGCACGATATCGGCTCACTGCAACCTCTGCCTCCTGGGTTCAAGCAATTCTCCTGCCTCAGCCTCCTGAGTAGCCGGGATTACAGGCACACATCACCACGCCTGGCAGCCTTTCTTCTGTAGGAAATTTTGGATGATCCAGCATCAAGGAGGTCAAGAAGCTGCTTTGAAAATTGAGATTCACCAACTTTAACTTAAATTTAGGATTCTTTAATTAATCAGTCTGGGGCTCTCCTATAGTGTGAAAAATAAAGAACATCCAGTATGGAAGTACAGTAGACTATTTACATTCTGGTGGGAAAAGTATCCTTCCCAACTTTAGCATCTGCAGGCCTGAATTGAGCAGTGACAAGATAGACACTGAGATGACATTAATAAAGTCCTGTCATCAGTAACGATAGCAGAGAGATATCAGTCAACACCCCAGATGGTAGAGGAAGATCTGGAAACACAGTAGAACTTGAGCTTCCACAAGCATCAGCAGGGGGAGGAAGGGTGTGGGGGAAAGGAAGATAAAGGTGGAGATGAATATTCTGCTGCAGGGGCCCCAAAGCCAGAAATTATTGATTAAATTGGTAGCTTGATCTGTGCCCATTCACCTAGTAACCATGGGAAAATAAGTTGGGTTAATTTTAAAATAATAATGCCCAGTTCATAGAGACACTTGAAAATGTTAATGTATTTTTTTGGTTAAAAATGATGAGCTATCAGATTAATTCAAACAGCTGAATGTTGTAGTTTGTATTAGTTAATAATTGTATTCCTTTTCAAGATCATTAAATAAGTAACTGCACGAAATGAGATAACATATGTAAATCACCTAGCACAATTTCTAGTAGCTAGCATAGTCCTTAATAAGCAGGAGTACTTTTACCCCTTCCTTTCTGTGAATTCAATGATTTAAAGAAAATTATTCATGTAAGTAAATAAAGTTTAATGTCTCTCTGTGGATATTTTGCTTCAGTTCATGTGAATCTTAGGAGTCCTAAAGAAGTAGAAGAAAAGCTATGGGGACAGAAAGAATAAGTGCAGTTGTTTGTTATACCTGTCTCAGGTATACAAGGTAGGTGTGCAACATGGAGGCAGGCAAGTTTCATATGAACATGTTCAGCCCCACTTTCAGGGCCACCCTATCACTATATAACTGGACACATTTGCACAAATGTGTCCCTATTTGAAAAAGCAAATATGTGGAACCCTGAACTTGCTAAGTAGGCAAATGATGGGTGATTATTCTACTACAAAAGATTCTTTGCTCTGAAAGACACAAAATGAGTTAAATTTTTTTTTTTTGCTACATGCATCTGTTGCTTAAATTCTATCTAGATGAAAAGTACATTAATATACAGCTGACTAAATCTGCAAAAACTAGGAATTTCTCATGTTGCTATTCTTGTTTATCTTCTGGATTTGGAATTTAAAAAAGGCATGCCATACTTATAATTCTTAAAGAAACAAATCTTAAGAAGTTCACTAACTCCATATTGGACTGTTATATATCATTGGGTTCCTATTTTCAGCAGATATTCTGCCTATATTTTCTGTATTCCATTTACTAAATATATCACTTATTCAAGCAAATTTCATATTGTATCTTGTTTCTTACTATCCTATTCATGATAAAATTTTGTATAAACTATCAGTGAAAAAGGATTGTTATTTGAAAACTTTTTCTCTCTTTCTGTAACCAAATTATTACTTATTGCATGTCTTTTGGAGTGTAGGTACTAGTACTCTTCTTTGTATCATTTTATAAAATATATATGTTAATGAATATATATGTGTATATATCATATATGAGTATTTATTTGGCCATACATTAAAGATTCAAAGCCATACATTAAATATTTTATCAAGTTTAAATAATTGCTCTCATAACCTCTAAAAAGATATGTGTTTGTCTAGCTTAAAAGTGACATTTTAGAAACTTGTTTGAAAACTTGCCTTTCGATGTCATGTAATTCTCAGAAAGATGAAGTCTTTTAGGACTGAAATCCCCTCAAGTTTTTATTCTTTTGTTATGTCTAGTTTCTAAACACCTCTTGAGGATTATGGTAGCTGTAGAAAATGTCTACCAGTGACTTTCATGTGGGGCTTAATGTCAGAATATATAACCACTTATCATTGGCTGGGCTGAAGTGTTTTTCCAGTGCTTGTTTTAAAAGGTGAATCAGCAGCAGGGATATTCCTAATCCATCTTTATGTACACACCAGAAGAGAAGTTGCCAAGGTTTTTATGGCTAGTCAGATGCTTTCAAGAAAGTACAAGTGGCTTTGATTTTCAGTTTTTATTTGGTTACAAAGAGAGAAGGAACATATTTGGTCTCATGGATGGAAAATGCTCCTACAAGAAAACTCCACTGCATTGATGCAGCGTATTCATGAGTTATCTAGAGGCTATTTGTAATTATGATGAAGGATTATGGTAATATGAGTGTGAGTCAGTACCTCTTAAAAATCATTTATATGGGCCGGGCGCGGTGGCTCATGCCTGTCATCCCAGCACTTTGGGAGGCCAAGGCGGGTGCAATCACAAGGTCAGGAGTTAGAGACCAGCCTGACCAATAGGGTGAAACCTGGTCTCTACTAAAAATACAAAAATTAGCTGGGTGTGGTGGCGTGCACCTGTAATTCCAGCTACTCAGGAGGCTGAGGCAGGAGAATCGCTTGAACCCAGGAGGTGGAGGTTGCAGTGAGCTGAGATTGCGCCACTGCACTCCAGCCTGGGTGACAGAGCAAGACTCCATCTCAAAAAAAACAAAAAAAAAAAAAAGCAAAAAAAAAAAATTTATATGAACCAATCATTTTGAGAAAACATCTACAAAATGACGGATTTAGTCTAATACTTTGGTGTCTCCCACATGTCCAACTTGTCCAATTCTTGCATTTGAATGTGGAATTTTTTTCTTCTCTGCCTATTCATTTTTCAAGATACAAAAATATGTTCTCTCCCCTATAGGATCTTCTTGGCAACCCTAGATTATCCTTTCCTTTTCTGAGTCCTCAGAACACTCTGTCATATCATCATTAGAGCCCTTAGCAGGTTGTCTTGAAATCTGTTGCTCACTTGTCTCCCTTATTGCTCTGTGAGCACCTCAAGGTGACACTGTTTCTTCTGTTTCATCTGAGCCCTTGTACCTAGAACAGTGTCTGGCACACAGCAAATGAACTAATGAAAGAGAGGTCACACACTGACAGTCTGCACAAACCGCCCATTATGTTTAATGAACTGGTAACTACATATTTTTGGAAGAGTTCATAAGTTAATTCAGATAACATTCAGATAAATGTTTCATCCAAATGCCCAGGTTTATCATAGTTGCTAACACGGAGACTCTGCTTGTCACCAAGCCTGTGATGGCAAAAGGCCCTCTCTCACAGCTTTCAACACACCCTCCAGCCTTATATAAATGTCTGTAGTCAAAACTATTGACTGGATCTGCCTCCTATCCTCCATTACTTGCTATTTCAGAATGTTATAGAAGAGGAATGTTGTGGTGAAGGAAAACAATTTGAGGAAGGTGGACATTGAGGGCAAGAAATTAGAAACAAATTAATTTTTTTTTTCACCAGCCTAAATATGATCCTATTTTAGGGCCTGGGAAAAAAAGGAGGAACTAACATTTATAAATGTTTATCTTTAAAATGGGATTCAAGTGTAACTAGTTATGGGGCAAGGTGAGTAACAAGCCATGAAATCTATCCCCGTGAAAACTATTTCCTCCAACTCTAAGCTGTAACTTTCAAATTCTCCTAATTTGAGATCTAGGAAGTTTTAATAGACCAGGAAATGATTTGTCCAGTTGCTGTTCTCGCCTACCAACCAGGAGTGTGTTGACAAGAACAAAGAGAAACTTTAAAGCTCTCTTGCCCTTCCTGGGGCCAGGCTGTGGGGAGTGCTGATGAATTTAATTTGATGATATTATGCCATGACATTGTGTCAATATGCGATGATGTGTTGTGATGGCACAGCGTCATCACGTGGTGACGCAACATCATGACGTAAGACGTCACAACGCCAGTTAAAGACGTGATTCCAGAAGGGTTTTTAAACTGAGCAACAAATCTACAATTATTTAACTAAAAGCTTGAGATTTTAGAAAGGCAGCTGAACTATAAATTACAGGTTAGAAAATGTTTCTTTGCATGAATTATGGCTCTTTTTAAATTTGTATATGGCTCCTTCTAGAAATTGTAACCTCTGTTCTTGCAAGGCAGCTTTAGAAATCAAAATATAATTTCATTTAATAGACTGTTTCTATCACAAGTTTTCCCTATATTAGGTTTTTTTTTTTGTGGGATATGAGCTGGTGCTAAATTTAAACATAATTTCACAATGAGATTTAGAAAATATAATCTTTTAATTTGCATATTTGTTAAAAATTATTTAGTGCCTCATAGAGTGCCAGGTAAAATGATTTATAATTGAAATTACATTGTAACTAATATCTTTTCTGGGCATACATTTTATAACAATAATCTTGCACTCAGATTTTAATAATAGAGATATGTTAAAAAGGAGAAATGATTTTCAAATATGTTTTACTTTGTATATGTGTGAAATCTTGGAAAAACCTTTATATGTTTTGTGCCTCAGTTCTACCATCTTTAAAATGATGAGGATGCTTTTTTTTTCTTGTTTTTATAGGGATATTGTATGGACAAACTATATGATGTATGCAAATGTTGTTTGGAACAAATGTTGTTATATAAATCTAGGTTACTATTAAATACCTTCTCCAGAGCTACATAGACTCTACTCATGAACTTGAAATCCAGTGGGGAAACATTTGTTAGACTAGAACCAAGATGGATTTGATGTTTGATTCTTCATCTTAACTTTTCCCTCTGATTGCTTCATTTCTAGATTTACATGTTTAGAAATGAGTTATGCTGAAGTATATAAGACAGTGGCATAAAAATATTTTTGATATTTAAAGTTTTGGTAACTCTTTCTCTTCTGTAAACGTGGATATAAAGCTGTATGTTTCTCACTGGTGAAAGGAACTTTACAATCCACATTAGGGTGAATATAATTTGAGCAAAAGTTCAAATTTTTTTTTTCACTCATATGTAGCTTTGTCAGTTCACAATCCAGAGAATACTGGAAAAGTCTGAAGTGTCACAAAGCTGCTTCACTACATTTAATTTTCTGTGGTGAAGTGAGGAGATTGCTTTGTTGTTTTAAAATTCACTTTTGCTTTATCACTCCTTCTGCAACTCCAGTAAAAATGTACCAAAATTTCATGTCTCCTGAAAGTGATACATGACTTTTTGATGGAATTTGAAATGGTGGTTGATTACTTTTGAATACTTAAGCTCCACCGGTTGACAGCTCACATCTACAGAAAAACAATTAGCAAATTTGTGAATTATCATTGGTTTACACATTAAACAAGCAAAGTAATTCTTTATAACGTTAACCAACAGGCTGTGTCTTGATTACAGGATATTGTTTTTCATTAATAAATGGAGCTATTTTTAGATTTTGCCGGTGTGTATACATTTTACTTGCTTGCTTTTCATATCTCAGTCACCATTATGTGCCAGTCTCCAGGACCACCTGCATAATCTGTGGGGCCCAGTGTTCAAAAATTATTGACACTTTTAAGACATTGACAGTAGATCATTAGCTAAGTGTACCTCCCTTCTGTGTACAGGCCCTGGGCAGCTGCTCAGGTTGTGCACCCATGCAGACCTGCCAGGCATGTCATGAATTTGGCAGCTTTGGATTTAATGTGCTTCTACAGTTTATGGCCTGTTTGTGTGATCTCCTGCTTCTTTAAGGTTAGTTTTGGACTACTTACTTACTTTTATCTCTTTCTAGGTAATAGTTTACTTATAATATTACTTTTATCTCTTTCTAGATAATAATTACTTTGTGTTGGCTGGGAATGATCTATGGCCATTTCTTGCTTATCTGTACTCAAGAATAATGTAGAGCAACATATCATCAAAAATTTCCTGAAATAACTTAAATTAATGAAACCTAATTTAAACTTGGGGAATGCCTAGTTCAAAGGAAAGCTGAATTAAACAAAATTTTAATAACTTTATTATTTTCAAGTGTGTGTAGTATTCAGTAAGGACTGCTAGCAAGGACTTATAACTGTTCAGTCATACCTGAGCTGAGTTAAAGAATGGGTCATTGAGAAATTGGGAAGATTTATTTGTACAGAAATCATAAGCTATTTATTTTTAATGGTGTGTTTTTTTGACTTTGGTTGTAAGGTCAAGCTTCCTCCCAGAATCTTGTTTACCCTAGCAATTCACTTCGCAAACTTTTTTTTTTCCCCTTAGAGATAGCAAACCTTGATCCTATTTTCTTCTGCATTGTTACACATTTGAAACAGTAGAATCTGAGCTAATGAGGGCTTTGGTGTTTTTTCCACCTTGATAAGAAGCATATGTGTGTTATGTGAGTGTGTGTGTGTGTATATATAAATATTTGGGGATGGGTAGCAGATTGGACTTCACACCATATCTTGCTGAGACCGTTAGTAATGTGAATAAGTCTTTTGCAATCACCTTTCTTTTAGGCCATTTGTAGATTATGGATTTATTTTCTTTCAGGTTTGCAAGAGACCTCAAAATTCATTCAGACAAAGCTCCCACTAGTGACTTAATTCCCTATACAATATTCTACTAATTGGTTGTTCAGCCTTTTGTCCCTCTACCCAACATGGGAGAACTCACATTCTGATAAGTCCATACCATATATTTCTTTATTGTGCCAAGTCACAATCTCCTTTATTTGAGCGTATTAATTCTCATTTGACCTCTTTGGATCCTTCAGATGAAGACTATTTTCATTCCATAGACTACCTAAAAAATATTTAAAGATAGATGCCATGTCCTTCTTTAGTTTTCTTTTCTGTAGACGAAAAACATCATTTAAAAAAATGTTCCCTTCTTCTGGTATAAGAAATTGAATATCCAGTTTGTCTGTTTCTTTAAGGTTCAACACCAAAATCCATCTGCAGCATGGAATTAAGTTATCTTTGGCAAGGAGAGCAGGCCTATAATCTCACCTCTCTGAGAAAATTTTATTTCTATTATTACAGAAATTTCTTGTTTCTATTATTGTACCTAAAGGTGGTATAGCTTATGGGTAGTCATACCATATGGTTGGTTCATATTGAATTTATTGCCAACCAAAGTTTCTATGTTTCTGTCTAGGTAGCTGCCAACTATTTTTTTTTTTTAGCATTCTGCACTTGAGAATTATTATTTTTGATCTTATGATTATCTCTGTTAAATTTTGATTTGTTCAACTTGACCCATATCTGTACACTACCATATCTATTTTGGTTTATACAACCTATTTATTATCCCACTCAGTGTTTTTGTCTTAACATTTTTAGGACCTTGTTTTCTATCTAAGCCATTGATAATATTTGAGAACAGAAAGAGGTCCAGAACAGAATCCTGTGGCTCAATTCTTTTTCCAGGTTGAGGTTCTTCTCTTATTCACTAGCCTTTTGGGTACAAATGTTCAACGAGTTACTAGTTGCGCTAACATCCAGTCTACATTTTTCCATCTTTTCTGTTTGGGTATGTTGTTTTCTGTTTTCTGTCAGATGTTTTGCTGTAATGCAATGCATATTATTGACTGCATTTTATAACCAAACAGACTAATAACCCCCTCAAAGAAAGTTATGAGGTTGATGTACATAATATGATATATTAAGCAGTTTAGTGGGATAAAATAGGTACCACAAATAATTTCCAAAGTCAGTCATTCACAGGTAGTAAAGTCAACTGTATTTATTTAAATAAGAATAAGGTCTGGATGGATCCCACTAAGTAATTCTCATTTTGGGCCCTCATTATTTTAGTTTTGAGTTAGTTTTTTAATCAGCAGCGAGGCACATCATAACAGTGAATAGTAAGAAATTTCAGGGGAGTACTAAGGAAGAAATATAAAGTTGTAGGTCAATGTTGAATGCCTGTTAGAAGTAATTAGATATACAAGGGTGAAGCTCTTATAAAATTAATTTACAAAGCATATGTCTATCTTTTGGGTATTAATATTATCACTGAGATGGGCCAAGTCAGACTTAGAATCCTGACTCGTATTTAGTAGTACTGTAAACCTATACCAGTTAAGAAGTATCTACCTCTCAGAGTTACTGTAAGGATTAAAAGAGAAATTGTCATTTAATGTCACTAGCATAGTATATCAAATAGTATGAACTTAAAATGAATCCTGTTAATTCAGTAAGTATTAACTGTATGCTGTTATGTGCCAGATATTGGGAATTTTTTGTATAATAACCAAGATGAAATGTATATTCCCCCCCCCCTTTTTTTTTTTGAGACAGAGTCTCGCTCTGTCACTCAGGTTAGAGTGTAATGGTGTGGTCTTAGCTCACTGCAACCTCTGCCTCCCAGGTTCAAGTGATTCTCCTGCCTCAGCCTCCTGAGTAGCTGGAACTACAGGCACCCGCCACTACGCCTAGCTAATTTTTGTATTTTTAGGAGAGACGGGGTTTCTCCATGTTGGTCAGGCTGGTCTTGAACTCCTGACCTTGTGATCCGCCTGCCACGGCCTCCCAAAGTGCCGGGATTACAGGCATGAGCCACTGCATCCAGCCCCTTCTGTTAAATGAAATACACATATATGTATATAATCAATATAAGTAAGTATAAACACACACATATACACACTGCATTGAATCTAGCTTGCATCTCATTAATGAGTTTATCATTTCTCAACCAAAAGAGTTCAAAACTTAGACTGAGACTGGCCACAATGCCAGATCAATGGATTTGTTAGGTCATTCCATAGAACCAAGGGGTTTCAAAGATGGGGAGACCTTGTAAATAACAAAGTCCATTTTGTCTATATCATAGATTAGGAAACTGAAGCCAAGAGATGTTGAATGATTTCCTAAAACCACTTAGTCAGTGAATTTTAGAGCTAAAACCATACATTAAATATGTTTCCTACCATATCACACTCACCAAGTGCCTAAAAAGGAGCATGGAACCCTCAAGCTTGTGATATGGTGTCACAAATCACAAGGTAGAAGATGCCATTTTAACTTGGTCTGCTGATTTGAGTGTGCAAATTAGTAAAACTTAAAAATACATATTGATGGTGAGTATATTTTTTGTACATTGGAAATATTTTGTAGTAAATAATAAATTAGTCAAAATCAGTCGCCCTTTGTAGGCATAGTTCATCAATATTATGATGTTAATATTGTTGAAATGACTGAGCACATTCAAAGACAGAATCTACAAACTAGCCTATTTGGAAAGGGAATTGCCTATGTAAGTCGTAACTTGAGGGAAGATCAAAGGAATCAGTTCCTAAACATGAGAAACTAAGCTTTCTTTCATTGAAAAAGCTAGTTAGTTGTATTGAATCATATCTAATGTTGGGGTGAGCGATAAGGAGATAGAGGTGATGCCTAAAGAGTAGGAATAAAGTAGTGAACATTGCTGTAATGTTGATTTGAAATTCTCTTTCACTTAGTGAAATTCATTGCTCAGGGAAAAGATTCTCCTTCAAGGAAAGGTTGCTTGCAAATTCAAGGTCATTTTCTAAATCCTACACTGCTTGTCTATGTACCAAACTTTTCTGGTTTTATTTTTATTCTCTTTGTCTTAAAATATATCTTCAAACACAGGTTCTACAATTCCTGCTTTGTGATGTGTTATTAGTCCCCAGCCCATTTGCTGGGGCCATTGTAAACAAGGGGCTATTAAGGTAGACAGCTGGACAGGGAACAACTACTGAGAAGGTTGTTGCCTATGCATAGAGGGGATAAAGAGAAGGGGCTAAGAGTATTTCTATTTGAGCACCAATATATATTGAAGAGGGTGCAAGAGGCAGAGAGCTTCAGAGGTCACTGAACTCAGCCCCTTCTATTTTGCAAATGGGAAATGAAGGCCCAGAGAGAGAAAGTAATCTGCCCAACACCAAAGAGCTAACACAAAATTGGGTTTACAACTCGGATAAATTGATAGCAGACTCCAACTGATTTTTTTTTCTTATCAAAAATTTTCATGAAACATTTTAACTATACAGAAAAATACATCAAGTCATATAAGAAACCCATGTGTAACTATTCCCTTTCTCCCCAGGTCACATCTTAACCAATTGCTATATTTTCTTTAGATATTTGAAGAAATAAAATGGGTAAAGCCCCATGAATACACATCCCTGATTCCCCTTCTTCCTCTTTCCTAAGGGCTATGTATCATTCTTATGCATGCCTTTATGATTTTACTACATGTGGGCATGCCACAAACAATATTCAGTATTGTTCAGCATGTTATAAATACTATATAAATGTTATCAAAATGTATGCATTGTTTTATAACCTGCTTTTTTTTTTTTTTTTTTTTTTTTTTGCTCAACATTATGTTTTTGAGATTTCTCTGTGTTGATACATGGAACTCCAGTTTATTCATTGTAACTGTGAGTAGTATTTCTATGCACAAATATGTCACAATTTGTTAATTTGTATTTGGATAATTTTTCATTGTTGGAAATGGTGCCATAATTAACAAAAAGAATGTATATATAGTTGTTTTTGCACTGGTGTGAGTTTCTTCAGATCTGAGTTTTTCTGCTGGTGGATCATGAAAAGGTTACGGTGAGCTGCTCAGGCCAACACAAATAGGGTCTGGGGCAAGCCTCTGGCAGCCTTATCCACTTAACATGGGGTATTGTACAAATGCCATCATTTTCTCTTTTGTTTAAACTTTTATTTTAGGTTCAGGGTACGTGTGCAGGTTTTTTTTTTGCCACGAAGGGAAAAGGTTGGGAAACACTGCTGAAGAAGTGGTTCTCAATCTTAACATGTATCAGAATCAACTGGAGGGCTTATTAAAAAGACTGTTGAGTTTCACTCCCTGAATTTCTGATTCTGTACACCCAGAGTGGGGCCCAGGTGTTTGCATTTTAACAAATCCCAAGTGGGGACCACCTTTCAGAGCCACTAAGGCATCTATCTAGGAGTTGACTTGTGGGTTCCAATTGACTATTCAAATACATTTTCATTATTGCAAATATTGTATTATAATTAGTATATCATATAATAAATCTGGAATATAATTTAAAAATAGAAATGATTGATAGGATTCAAAAATCTACTAGCTTGGAATTTGCAAGCTTTTGTGTGAGAGAAAGATGGAGAGCATTTAATTATGCTCAGAAATAACTTCCCTATAATTGCAAATTCTGTGTTCCTTTTTGAGTGTGCAAACCAGGACAAGGACTTTAAAAAGATAATTATATGAGAAAAGCAGTCATTCCTTCTTTTCCCTCTTATCTTTATGGTGTAATCAATAGGTCTACCACCATTCACCAAGGAAGAAAAAGTAAAAAGGGAAATGTTACAATTAGAACGTCATCGGCTCTCTGCAAAAGTTGCAGAGTTATCAGAATGTGTCTTTGATGCACAACTCTTTTGGGTCAGTGTGTGTCTATTGAAGTTCACTCTCACTCCTGTGCCTCCCATTGCATGCTTCGGCTTCTCTGGACACCTCTGCCTTCAGAACTTTCCTTCCCCTTCCGTCTCCCCTTCTCAAAGGGCATCTGTTTCTCTCTCCTTGAAAAGATGACACTCCATTTATACCTTCAGTAAAAAGAGACCAATGAAATAAAATCTTTTGCAATAAACAATTCAGGTTGGTAGGGAGAATTGGTGCTGGAATGGACCTTCACTCCTACCTCTACCTCTAAAACACACTTGAAATGGATTCGTACCTGGTGTGAAGTAGCATTTCCTCCATGGTTCCAGTCTTCTGAATGGTCTTGGTACCCTCCCTGTCCGAAAATGAGGGCTCCTTATCAGCTCCTGCTGTTCACACATCCCCCACGCACAGTCAGTCCCTGTTGACTTGAAACTGTTCACCTTCATCTACCCTGTCTCTGCTTCTGTCCAGATCACTGCACTTCTCATCTGGGTGATTGCAATGGCCTTCTAAATGTGCTCCATTCTTGTTCCCTTCCAGTCCATTCTTCACATAGTGGCCAGACTGACCTTTAAAAAATAAGAGCTAAATATGCCATTCTACTGCTAAAAATCCTTCCTAAGTGGCATCTCATTGTCCTCAAAGTTAAATCCATATCTTTCAGCCCTACCTGACCTGGCCCTTGCCTGTCTCCAGCATCACTTTATGTGGCACCCACCTTGTGCTGCTTTCCACCACGCACACCAGACTCCCCCACTTCTTCTTTCTCCTAAGGCATTGGATTCTCCTCTATCAAGCACAAGCCCTTCTCTTTCCTTGAGAAGTTCTTTCCTCCCTCACTGCTTTGCTCTTCTCCTTGATAACCTGTACCCGTCCTTCAAGTGGAGCTTAAGCATCACTTCCATGGGGCTGTCTTCTGTGACCATCGTCCCTCCACCATGCTGGCCTGGCTTTGCTCCCATGTTAAGAACAGCTCTACATCTTCCCTCCTTCTCATGGCTCTCCTAATACTTCTAAGTATTTATTGTTTGGTTTCCCTACTAGGCTATAAGCTTAATGAGGATGGGAATCCTTGCCCATTTATTCTTAGCACTGAATCCCCAAGACCTAAGATTGTGCCTAGGAGCCATTTAATAATTGCAATAAATATTTGTGGCTGGTTGATATAAATTATTGACTGCATTTCCACATATGGATTGCACACACATATGTATGTGTTTGAATTTCTCAACATCATTTACTTGTAAACCTGCGTCAGTGTGCATGGTTTACAAACTCAACACGAATAAACTGGAGATCAAATTTGTATGACTTTCTTTTATGTTGTTTAACATAAAGCCACCCAGTTTGTCACTGAAGAATATACAGAAATATTTCATTAGTAAATCCTTCCATATATATTATCATTCTTGCCAGTAATGTTGCTCCTCTGTGTGTGTGTGTATGTGTATGTTTAACAGAGAGAGAGATGATTTTTCTAGACCTACTAAAATTATGATGGAAGATATTTACAGTGTGCAAGATGAGATTTGAACATGGAATCTACCTATCAGTCAGCAGGCTTAAAAAAGAAGATTCAACACTCCAGTCATGAAGTGTCTTTTAAAGAATATAATTTGAAACTCTATGGGAGAATAAGAATATAATGGCGAGCCTCTAGTTCCTAGGGCTAGAGTAAATAAATTCCCAAGTCTATAGGTTTATTTGAAGCAAATCTAATACGTGAAAACTTAGGGGCTTTTATCCATAAGCCATTCAAGAACAAAATCCAGGAGTCTGGAACTATAGCATCCAACTAGTTTTTTATTTTAGAAGTATGATTTATCTAAAAATTCATAAAATATAAAATATACATGATTAGTCTAAAATCATGAAACTCTTAATTATAATATCATACATTAAATAGTTTATGAAGCATTTTCACAAGGTGAAATCCAAACTAGTCTAACTTCAGATACCAACCTTTGACCTTGGATGGACTCTAGGTTTAAAACCAGCTCTGCTTTATATTAGCTGTGTGACTTGGCAAGTTATTTAAACTTCCACATCTTACTTTCTGCATCTGGAAGAAGGGCATAGTATATATCTTATCCAACTGCTGAGAGATTAAATGACGTGAATTCTTCTCAATACTGCCATGGCCTCTTGAATGGCTTTGCAGTTTCTATAAACTGTACTCACCACAATGGCCAAAGGTAAGCCTTTAAAAATCTGCCAGACCACCTTATTCCTCTGTTTAAAATCTTTCAGTGGCTTCTCATTTTGGTCAGAGTAAAGCCCACCAGGGCCTCTGCAATCTGGTCTCCATAACCTCTCTGATCTCACCTCCTATTCTCTCTGCTTCATCTGTCCCAGCTATCCCAATCTCCCTGCCATTGCCTGGACACACCAGGAATGCTCCTGCCATGGGCTTGGGGGTTCATGCTCTCATTGAAATCTTTGTTTAGATGGCACCTTTGCAAAGAGGCCTGCTGAATATCCTTTACACAACTGTAGTTCTTTCCCCTCCCCTTCCCGCTTACCATTTTCTGTGTGTTCCTTTTTTCATCACTTACTATTTGCTCTATTTTTATTGTTCATTTCCCTCAATTAGAATGTAAGCTTCCCAAGGGCAGGAATCATTGTTTGTTCACTGTTATATTTCAGACACCTAGAACAGTGCCTTGCAAATAGCATTCAATAGATGTTTGTTGAGCAAATGAATTTTAAAGTAACTTAGTAAAGCACCTAGCTATATATTGGTTATCACTACATATTGAAAAAAATGTTGGACAGTTTTATTGTTTATTTAATCAAAGGAAGATATTTTGCATTGCTTTTTTATTTTTTATTTTTTGAAACAGGGTCTCATTTTGTCACCCAGGCTATGTGTAGTGGTGTGATCACTGCTCACTACAGCCTTAACCTCAACCTCTGGTTCTCATGTGATTCTCCTACCTCAGCTGCTCCAGTAGCTGGCACTATAGGTATGAATCACCATGCCTGGCTAAGTGTTTCTGTTTTTTGTAGAGATGAGATTTCACTATGTTGTTCAGGCTGGTCTCAGACTCCTGGGCTCAATCTGATACTCCTGCCTCAGCCTCCTAAAGTGCTGGATTATAGGCATGAGCCACTGCATCTGGACTGCATTGCTTTTTAAAAGTGTAGAATGGCAAGGGGAAAAAAAGGAGAAGGGGAAAAAGAAAGGGGGAAGAAGAGAGAAGAGGAAAGAGAGAAATGTAAACATGAAAGAAGGTAGAAGGAACAGAGATTAGGAGAAGTTAGAAAAAAAAAACTTAAAACTCTTTGGCCTCCTTTCCTGCTTATTCACTAACCCCTCAATTTAGAGTGAAAGTTGTAACAAGAGCAGTTTAATATGCTGTATATCAGGGTGAGCAGTTTTTTTCTGTAAGGGGTCAAATGGTCAATATTTTAGGCTTTGTGGGCCATATGGTTTCTGTATCAACTACTCAACTATGTCACTGTGGCTTAAAAGCAGCCATGGGTAATATGTTATCAGATGGGTGTGGCTGTTTTCCAATAAACTTTTTAAAAAAAATTTTTAACAGCAAAAACAGGTTGCGTAGGCTGTAGTTTGCTGACCCCTGGCCCAATGTATATTGTTGCTAAATGTTCAGTGTAGACTACAATGTAGGGATTAAATTAGAGAAAATCAAATGCCTTCGTCAAGACCTATTCATGATGAAATCGCACACCAAACTAGGAATGCAAGGGGCCTTCCTTAACCTGATAAATAGTATTATAGTTAGCGAAAAATGACAGCAAACATAAATAGTAAAGGTGAAAATTTTAGAATATGTCTTTTAAAGAGAGTAAGACAGGAACGTTGCTATTTCTTTTTCCATTTATCATGATATTGTTAGTCCTGGGTAATACAATAGGGCAAGAAAGAGAAATGTTTATAAGGAAGAAGAAAGAAGAAAGTAAATTTGTTCATACTCAGAGTATATCATTATTTAAAAGAAAATTCAAGATAATTCATAAATTTTCAAGGCCGTTAGATATAAAATCAATATGCAAATTAATATTCTTTTAATAATAAAAGCTAACATTTGCATTTAATTACTATGTGCCAGGCACTAGGCATGTGTTAACTTATTTATCTCTCACCAGCAGTAACTTTATTAGGTAGCACTATTATTCCCATTTGAAATTTGAGAAAACTGAGGCACAGCGAGATAAAGAGCTTGCCCACAGTGACATTTGCTAGTAAGTAACTCTGTCTTCTGTACCAGAACTAGCTCATTAAAAATGTAACAGAAAAAATGATTTTCTTTTTTTTTTATTTTTTATTTTTTTTGAGACAGAGTCTCGCTCTGTTGCCCAGGCTGGAGTGCAGTGGTGCGACCTCGGCTCACTGCAAGCTCCGCCTCCCGGGTTCACGCCATTCTCCTGCCTCAGCCTTCTGAGTAGCTGGGACTACAGGCGCCCACCACCACGCCTGGCTAATTTTTTTGTATTTTTAGTAGAGACGGGGTTTCACCGTGTTAGCCAGGATGGTCTCGATCTCCTGACCTCATGATCCGCCCACCTGAAAAAATGCTTTTCATAACATCAACTAAAACTATATGTTACTTAGGAAAAAATAGAAAATATAAACGTTATTGAGAGAAAAGTCTGAAATGATTAGAGAGATAATACTATGCTTATTTAGATATGTGGGATGTTTCTGTATTGAAAAGCTGTCTAGTCACAATCAATTAAAACATTTTGTGAAATTCCAATTAAATATCAACTGGTTGTGGTGTGTATGTGTGAGAGATTTGACAGATTCTATAATTCATATGGAAATATAAAATTGAAAGAGTAGCCAGACAATTGTGAAACCCAAGCAAACAGGCAAAAAACAAAGACTTGCCTATATATTGATTTGTAAAAAAGCTTCAGTACATGACATGGGGCTTTGGAGTTAGCACAGGGATAGACAAATAGAGAGAACAGAAGAGGTAGCTTGAGAAGTTATGCACGTGTGGGATCTGGGTATATGGTGGAGGTGGGATTGCCAATTAGTGAAGAAAGAATGGAATCTATTTTTTTGTTGTGGTTGATGAAAATATAATTAAGTCTCTACACCATTTAAAAAAATAAATTGAAGATGGATTAGAGACCAAATGCAAAAAAAGGAGACTTTATGACTGTATGTAGAATACAGTTACAGGATAGATAGGTAGATATAGATACAAAAGGATATTTTTATGATATCAGGTAAGGAAAAAATAACGGATTAGACTGCCTGGAGTTAGGCATCTCTTGAATGACTGAAGACCGAAAACAAAGGTAAAGCTAGACCACATCCTGGTGGAAGATATTGGGATATATGATAGATCAAAGACTCCTACAAATTACTGAAAAAAAAAAAACTCCAGATAATGAAATAGAAAACAGGGGCAAAGAATATGAATATGCCACACTATTTATACATTATTTAATAAAACAGAAAATAAAATTCTTCCCTGACAGTATGTTCAAAGTTGATAAGTGCAATGGAACAAATTAATCCACAGTGATAGACTTTGAAGTCATGCATTTGAGTTGATAAAAGATTTCAGGAAATAAAAACCTAAAATAATACTCTATAATATTTATAGGCACATATAAATATGGTAAAATATGAAAATGTCACTGAATATGAACCACATTCATGACATAGTGGCTGTTTCTGAGGAGAAACAGAGAGGGAAATGGGATTTGGGAGTATAAATTCATTTGCAACTTTTTTAAAATAAAAAAATCTGAAGCAAATATGACAAAATGTCATTTTTAAATTTTGGGTGGTGGATATGTAGGTTTTGCTATATTTTCCTTTGTACTTTTTTTGTGTACTAAAGAAAAAGATTGAAGAAAATAATACACTTAAAGCACTTAGCATGTTGTTGCCTGACCCACTGGAAGTGGTCAGTGTATGTTAGCCGTTGCTGCTATAATTGCTGTTATGTCCCATTTAATTACCTCCCTGCAAAATCATTATATTGCCCTCAGCCTGCCTGACACCATCCCTGGCTGGACAGTCCCTCTAAATTAGCTCTGCTTTCCTGCTTGACATGGAGGGATTTGAAGTTTCAAGCCAAACTTTGGTACTTAAATTCCTTGGTGATTGATTTTTTTTTTAGCTAAACGGTAGTTCAAAAGAGTACCTACTGAGAAACATTGTATGCATAATTTAGGTAGATTGCTAGTAACAGATTTATTTTAATTAATTTTAATATCTAAATTGTGCCAGAACTTTTAAATAGACTCAATTTCATGTCCCATGTGGAAAAGTAGATGCATCTTTCTAATCTTGGTTACTCTAGGGCAAGGTGTGTTAGCCACCCAGATTGATCTTCCTTGTCTGTAGGCAGGTGGAGTAGGGAGAGTGGGCTGTCCACCTGATGGTGGGGAACAGGAAATCTCCAGCCCTTGAGCTTGGTTCTGCTTCAGAGAGAGGGTGTGTGTCTGTGCCCATGATTTCTGAAGAGAGTTAATTATTCTGGGAACAGTAGCTTCCTCTCAGATACCCTCCTGTGCAGCTGCTGTTGGCAGTATCTGGTGAGCTCTGAGCTTCCCCTCCACAGGTGCCCCCACTTCATCAGAGAGCCAGCTCAGTGCTGCTGGGGGAACCCCTTCCTCTGTTCACCTCTCCCTTCTGAGCAAGGGATTAAGCAAGACTTGAGAAAATTAGGTCCTAAGAAGAGGTTTTAAAAATATGTAACTTGTGTGAAAAGGGTAAAACAAATCAAGTTTGTCTTTGGTATTCTCCAGCTCCCCCTTTAGGACTCCTGTCCCCCTAATCTCTAGAAACCTCTTGGTCATTGTTCTTTCAGAAGTCCATTGCCTTACCATGCCCTTGGCTACCCAGCATCTCCTGCAGGTGACTCCAGAGCCACCTATCCGCAAAGGGTTTTTTATTTTTTATTTTATTTTTTTTATTATACTTTAAGTTTTAGGGTACATGTGCACAACGTGCAGGTTTGTTACATATGTATACATGTGCCATGTTGGTGTGCTGCACCCATTAACTCATCATTTAACATTAGGTATATCTCCTAATGCTATCCCTCCCCGCTCCCCACACCCTACAACAGGCCCCGTGTGTGATGTTCCCCTTCCTGAATCCATGTGTTCTCATTGTTCAGTTCCCACCTATGAGTGAGAACATGTGGTGTTTGGTTTTTTGTTCTTGTGATAGTTTGCTGAGAATGATGGTTTCCAGCTTCATCCATGTCCCTACAAAGGACATGAACTCATCCTTTTTTATGGCTGCATAGTATTCCATAGTGTATATGTGCCACATTTTCTTAATCCAGTCTATCATTGTTGGACATTTGGCTAGGTTCCAAGTCTTTGCTATTGTGAATAGTGCCACAATAAACATACATGTGCATGTGTCTTTAGAGCAGCATGATTTATAATCCTTTGGGTATATACCCAGTAATGGGATTGCTGGGTTAAATGGTATTTCTAGTTCTAGATCCCTGAGGAATCACCACACTGACTTCCACAATGGTTGAACTAGTTTACAGTCCCACCAACAGTGTAAAAGTGTTCCTATTTCTCCACATCCTCTCCAGCACCTGTTGTTTCCTGACTTTTTAATGATCGCCATTCCAACTGGTGTGAGATGGTATCTCATTGTGGTTTTGATTTGCATTTATCTGATGGCCAGTGATGATTGAGCCTTTTTTCATGTGTCTTTTGGCTACATAAATGTCTTCTTTTGAGAAGTGTCTGTTCATATCCTTCACCCATTTTTTGATGGGGTTGTTTGTTTTTTTCTTGTAAATTTGTTTGAGTTCTTTGTAGATTCTGGATATTAGCCCTTTGTCAGATGAGTAGATTGCAAAAAGTTTCTCCCATTCTGTAGGTTGCCTGTTCACTCTGATGGTGGTTTCTTTTGCTGTGCAGAAGTGCTTTAGTTTAATTAGATCTCATTTGTCAATTTTGGCTTTTGTTGCCATTGCTTTTGGTGTTTTAGACATGAAGTCCTTGCCCATGCCTATGTCCTGAATGGAATTGCCTAGGTTTTCTTCTAGGGTTTTTATGGTTTTAGGTGTAACATTTAAGTCTTTTATCCATCTTGAATTAATTTTTGTATAAGGTGTAAGGAAGGGATCCAGTTTCAGCTTTCTACATATGGCTAGCCAGTTTTCCCAGCACCATTTGTTAAATAGGGAATTGTTTCCCCATTTCTTGTTTTTGTCAGGTTTGTCAATCTGCAAAGGGTTTTATCTTTAAAATTCTTTTTCCGTTTCTTCCTAAAACCTTATCACCGATTGCACCTCCCCACTTCATCTTAATCAAAACCATGACCCCTCTGTGCCTTGGCACCTGCCATTTCTTTGCTCTTCTGTCTAGATATATAACCCATTTCCTTTCTCTCTGGTGCTCTACTTGGCCCAGTTCAAATGCCAACCTGTTGCAATCCTGTTACTTACCCTGCAGACAGGTATTTTCCCCTGTCTCTGCTCTGGAGGCCCTTTGAACTCTAAAGTATTCCCCTGGCAGACTGAAAATGGAATCTTTGAGGCTGAGGCTCTCAAAGTTAAAACAGAACCAGGTGGTCCTAGCTGGGGGAAGGAATGGTAATTGTGTTCTCAGAAAGATGTAAAAGTATCACAGGACCTCTCTTTCTACAATCAAGCTAAACCAGTTCCTATTGTTAGTGCCAAGATGAACGGAGGCCCAATCCCCCCTCCTCTCACCAGAAAGAAACATCAGCCAAGACTCCTGGTTTTGGGTTTGGAAACCAAACAGAGCTCAATCAGAGCTCAACCAATCAGAGCTCCCTCGACTCGACTGGATGAAACAGGGCTCAGCTGTATCAACCAAGCAGGGCTAAGCTGTATTGATCAATCAAAACTCAGCTGTGCCAGCCAACCAGCACTAAGCTAGTTTCCATCGTTCATTTGCATAAACCAACCTGACTGGAAACCTGGGTAGGAGGTTTTGCTATAAAACAGAACACTCTCATTGTTCTCCGGAACATAGCTTCATTTTACACAGCAGGCTGTGTCTCTCTGATTTCCAAACTGTTCACTGGAATAAAGTCTGTTTCCTCCATATTCCTGTAGAGAACTTTTGTTCATAGAACATAATCTCTGTCAGCATATCTCATACATTGTACTATAATTGCCTGTTGGTACATTTGTCTTCCTCTTAAATGGTAGAGAATACATTTTGTTAATTTGTGTTTCCCCAAATAGCATAGCGTCTGATCATTGGCTCTAAATGAATGAATTAATTAATGAGTGAATGGAAACTTCTATTTTATAAGTACAAGGAAGACACTGATAAATTTTGAGTTGAGGTGATGATGATTTGTGGGAGCCCATATGTCATATATTTCAGCCTTCCCTGCCTAAACGTTACCCTGCACCGGCATTGTAAAGGAAGTAAAATGGAACACCTCAGCCTCCTCTCTCCTACAGATGCAAACCTGCCCTGAAACCTGCTGATCCCAGTCCACTGTCTATGCCCCATTTTGTTCCCCTGCTTTTGGGACTGGCCCTTGATTCAGAGAACTTAAGAAGAGCCTCACTGCAACTTTATGCTCTGGGTAATTTACCCCCTCCTTGCCTGACCACAGACATGCTAATTACTATCATTTAAAGGAACTACTTTCATTTATTATTAATCACTATAAAACTCTAATTCAATGCGTTTGCCATTATTTATTTCTCAAACATGAATTGAACACCTGCTATCAACCACTATGCTACATATTGGAGATGCAAGGATTGGACTTACATGTCAGATTAGTTATATCTTTTTGCTTTAAATCCAGCACATTTTTCTATTCATGTACTGTTTGTTTTTCCCATTCTCTTCCTCATGTAGCATATTAGACAGCTCGTAGCTTTAAGAAAGAGGCATTTTGATTCCCCATCCAAAGGAAAGAAGGTAGGCTTGAAAGGTGAGAAGCAGAATGAGTTTGTGTGGTAACTTGGGACCAAACTCCCAACACCAGGTTTGATCTTCCCATTCCGGGGTTAGTAAACTGGGCCTTGCTTTGGACAAGCCTCAGTGGGGCCATCACTGTCCTTATTTACATTATTAATTTGGGTAGCCAGTCTCTTTTTTTTTTTTTTCACAAGGAATACAGAAGTAACTTGCAGGACAGTTATCTTTTATGTAGCTATAATTCTTCAGTCAGTGGGGTTTGGCTACACTGGTTTTACTCTTGTAGAGCATGAAATATTTGTCCTTGAGAGAAAATGAGATGATTCTGTAGTTTCACATCGGTAACTGAATAGGAAACGTGGTTCATTCAGTGGAAATTTGGATGGGCATTTGTGGCATCTGAGTGTAAAGTCCTTGCTGGGCACTGTCCACAGTGATGGAGGTCTTCCAGTGTGGTGGCCATGAGAATGTGCCTCTCAGGTATTGGAATGTAATAAACTGACAAACCCAACAGCTCTGCTCTGAAACCCATCACCAATGCTGCCCGTGAACTGTTCTTGGTTGCTGACTCAGCATGGCAGGGAGACTAAAGCAGCCCATTCCTGGAGATACAGGACTCCTCTATAGTCTTGCAAAACTTGCCTTAGACCTGGACTATAGTATCCCTCCTCCCCCACCCATCTCCCCTTCTTCCCTCCTCCCCTCCCTCCTCCCCCACCCATCTCCCCTTCTTCCCTCCTCCCCACCCTCCTCACCCTCCCCTCCCTCCTCACCCTCCCCTCCCTCCTCACCCTCCCCTCCCTTCCCCTTCCCCTTTCCCCTCCATACCCCTTCCCCATCCCCTCCCCTCCCTTCCCCTTCCCCCTCCCTTCCCCTTCACCTTCCCCCTCACCTTCCCCCTCGCCTTCCCCCTCCCTTCCCCCTCGCCTTCCCCCTCCCTTCCCCGTCCCCTTCCTCTCCCTTCCCCTTCTTCTCCCTTCCACTTCCCCTTCCCACTCCCATCTCTTGCCCTTCCCCTTCCCCTCTCTTACCCTTCTCCTTCCCCTCTCTTGTCCTTCCCCTTCCCCTCTCTTGCTCTTCCCCTTCCCCTCTCTTGCCCTTCCCCTTCCCCTCTCTTGCCCTTCCCCTTCCCCTCTCTTGCCCTTCCCCTTCCCCTTCTCCTTCCCCTTCCCCTTCTCACTCAAGAGCAGACCAGACCAGCATTGTGGACTCACAGTTTTCCCACCCTCCACAGGCTCCCTCCTCATTTCCTCCCCAAGGAGTTTCCCCCAAATAAATTAGTCTGCTGGGACTACCACAACAAATACCACAGACTCAGTGGCTTAAGGAACAGAAATTCGTTTTCCCAAAATTCTGGATGTTAAAAGCCTGAGATCAAGGCGTTGGCAGGGTTGCTTTTTTCTGAGGCCTCCCTCTCTGGCTTTTAGATGGTTCTTTTCTCCCTGTGTCTTCGGTTGGTCTTCTCTCTGTGTCTGTGTCCCAATTTCCTGTTCTTATAAGAACACCAGTCCTATTGGACTGGGCCCGTCATAATGACTGCATTTTAACTTATTAGTCCTTTAACCTTTCTAAAGACCTTGTCACTAAATACAGCCACATTCTGAGCTACTGGAGGTTGGAACTTCAACATATGAATGTTTAGTGCATCCCATAACACCTACTAAACTACTTTCATGTTTAATCCTGTATTAACCTTTACTTTTTAGAGGAAGTGGGCCAATATACCCAGCCTCCATAATGGGTCCCTCTGATTTCAGATTGCAGTGCACTAAGTTTGCTAAGCCTCAGAGACAACTGTGGGGTGAGGGCTCTCTTTGACCTCCTACCTATTTTGGAGGTTTCCCAAAGTCTTTAGCTTTAACTTTGTCTTTCAGGCATTTCACTTTATATGTTATAATAAGTTTGGCTATGGTTACCATGATTAAATGAATTCACTATCCACTGTCATTATTTCTAGTTGTTAGTTGGTCAAATACAGCCATTGTTCTATTAGGTTCAAACCAAGAAGATAAAGAAATACCTACCACTCCATTTTAGCAGATAATATAAAGTTTTGTATGTCATTCACTGGTGGAGATTTTATTTTTCCATTTTTACAATGGATTATTTTTATTAAAGTTTTATAGGTAGCTTTCTGTCTTCTGAATTTTTTATTTTCTCTTTCTTTTAACTGACAAGAATATACTTGTAGGTAAATAAATTTAAAAAATAATCTTTTTAAGTTCTTTATGTGAGTTCACTCGAAGCTTATTATAATGTAATGAGCACACTAATATGAAATAAACAGTTCTTTAGATCTTAAATATCTTGTGTGTCAGAGAAAACAATTTTTCTGCCTGGACTGGAATGTCCTTTCACCAAATTTATATGCTATATTTTCTTTAAGGGTAAGTTCAAAGCTCATTTTCTTCATGTTGTTTTCTTACTTTGGCCCATCCTCTCCTCTCGTATTTTTCTATAAATCATGTGTACTGTAACTTTCTTACGTATTGTCTTATATTTTTCTTCAGTGGCTTCAGGTATGTGTACAAACTCTGGTCTCCACAGCTAGATTATCAATTTCCAGGCATATCTTGCTATGTTATTTAGATGCTAAGGGAAAAACAAAAGGAGTATAAGCTATGATTCCTGTCAACGTCTCCTTTAATGTTGGAAATTGTGAGCAGCAAATTTTGAGGCTCAACTGACAGAAAACAACATTCAGTATGCAAATCAAGTGCAATTTATAATAAAAATTAGTGGTAGATATGTATACTGCCATACGAATTAATAGTCAAAAATGATACATGTATTTCATATGTAACTGTAATTGGCATTTCTTTTACATAGTCAAACCATGTTTTCACTTTTTCTTCATTAATTCTGAGGTACATATTAAAAGCATCCAAGTTGGCAGTTTTTTCCTGACACTATATATAGTGTAACTAAACACACACACACACACACACACACACACACACGGATGCGCATGCACGTGCATGCACATGTCTGGAATTCAGCATCTGACTAGCTATGACTCCTTGTGATCCTGTGTTCTGCAGGGCTGAGATATCTCCGCTATTGTTTGTGGTTCTGCAGGCTTCTCCTTTAACCTCTTTGTCCTCTAATTTAAAAGGTCCTAGTAGCCCCCACTCCTTGCTCCCTCTATCCTCCTTTGAAATTGTGAGACAGCAAAACTTTGGGGTTTGCAGCCTGGGCTGATGGATGCAGCAGGATGGTAATACTTTGAGAGAAAGGAAGCAGATGAGTGTCCAGAATGCCAGGTAAGTTGTGGCATAAAGTGGGGGCAAGAACAGAGCAAGAGGGACCAGCATGTCACAGTCTTTGGTCAGGGAGGAAAGAAGTGAGGTTGGGGGAGGGAGAGGCTCAGACAGGTGAGAGACCTGGGCTCTTCCTTGGTGACAGTAGCTTGGAAAATTCCCCCAAGTCTTCTGGGCTTGGAGCAAGTCCTGGGAGGCAAATTGGGGATACCAGAAGCCTTGTGTATGCACCCAAGCAAGGGTTTGTTCTCTGGAATCCATAGACATGGCTTCAGCCTCAGAGATCCATGAGTTCCTGAAATATTTTTGATAGGGTTGTATATTTTTTTCCTAGTGAGAAGATCTATACCCTTAGCAAAGGGATCTATGATTCAAACATTGGTTAAAAACCATTTCACCATCATGTAAAATGATTTTCTTAAATCAGTTTTTTGAGCTGATTATGTGGGAGGAAGTGTGGGGTTGAGCAAAGGCACTGAGAGAAGCTGAGGGGTAAGCAATATTCTGTCTCTCTGGCTCTTATCCTTCTGTTTGTCTATTTTAAATTAAAAGCAGGAGAAAATTAAAAGGAAAGGTAAATGTGGGTCATTAAATAGAACCAGGAGCAAGATTAAGATGACTATAAAACCTGTTTACTTGCTTAGGATAGGTCATAAATTTAGCTCTAACCAAAAAGAAAAACCTGGTTAGTTGAAAATGCCGTAGGATCCAGAAGAAAAGACAGAACAATTGCTCTGGGAAAAGTCTGTCCTTAGTACTAAAACCAGACAGGGCTCTCTCCCCAGAATCATAATGAAGGGCACTCTGTGCGGCGTAACAAGCAGTGTCCTTACAATCTCCTAGCCATGGACCCATGGTCAAACCCCACATTTGGCTCTATGATTGACCAAACCAAATGGCAACTTTCAAAGTAGCAACTCAATACAAGCAATCCTATTAGGGCCAATACTATGGGGATCCCAGGGTGGGGATCTGCTGCTCTTCCTTGCAAAATGGGCATTAAAGTTTTGAGTATTTGGGCAATATATAGGTGCTCCAGGCAGGCCATCAAATACAAAGGATTCCTTCCACCTAGTTGAGGATACAGATTGGGTAGCCATGAGTTTGCATTAAAATTGTGGATTCTGTGTTAACAGTCATCTTCCTTAACAATAATGCTGGAGAAAGGGTTGCAGTTTTCTTGCAGGAAAACTGAAGAGTTTTTGTTAGGATATGCGACTGAACAGAAAGATACCCCACTTCCATTAAGAAGGGTACAAGGGAGATTTACTAGTTGTATCATAAGCAGATTCCTTAGCTCCTCTATACCTCAGTTTTTTTTTAATATGGTGTAGGTATAAGAATTAGAACTGCACTTATACCAATTGAGTGAAATAAAGTGTAGAACACTGGACAACTGATAGTTATGACTTGTTAATTATTCACAAGAAAGCCAACTGGAATTAGCTTAACAAATATACTGGTCCAAATCTCAAAGGGCTTCATAATCTTTGAGGCGAGTGAAACGCAATAATACTGATAAATATAGAGCAAGCCAGTAGTTGGTAATTAAAAGCCCAAATGTTGGGGGCAAGTAACAGCGGAAGTCAGAAGAGAGAAATACCTGTCATATTGTCAGGGAATGCTTGGTGGAAGTCGTGACATGTGGAATTAGAAGAGGGAGAGGCTCAAGAGGAGAACAGAGTGAAAAAAGCCATCTGAGAGGGAAGCAGTATGGGGATGGGAGCCTGTGTGGCTCCTCTACGGGAAGAATTAACTAACATTTTTTAATAGGTCCCTCTAGGCATGATGAAATCTGTGGGGATTAAGAAACATCACAGATTCCAATTATGTCAAAGGGCAGCTTGTAAGTTGCCACACCATTGACTGATTTCTCACACTATGTGGAGTCTGATGCTCATCACTGTGCTGAAGGTGGAAGATAGAGAGGAAGCTGCCCCTGCCTTTTGAGGAGCTCAGTATTTAGTTAGAGAGATAAGCTGAGAAACAAGTAATAGCCTTGTGGAGAGTGGAATTGGGAAGAGACTACTGTGGCTGGGCGCTCCAAGTGGCTGAAGCGGATGTGGGAGAGCAGTCAGTTGAAGTCCAGCCAAGTATCCAACCAATCCAACCAGCCAGTCAATCAATCACTTGGTTAATTTATGCAAACTACACAGGCCTGAGTAAATGTTTCACGAAATCGACTGGTTGCTTGAGTGAATCAACCTAATCAAGGGTTTGCTGGCACCGTATAGACACAGCCTTAACAAGGCAAATATCATTGTAATCTCTTGCCTTTGAAATGATTCTATGGTGTTTTCCAGGGGATCTGGGCTAGTGATCTTGTCATGTTTTGACATTCTGCCCCACAGTGGGAAAAGAATTGTTTTTTATGGAGTATCATTCGTTGTCTAAAATACAGCTCTGCAAATATTTTCAAATATTTCCAACATTGGCATTATTTCAGTGATACAAAGATGTATTTGAAATCTCTTTTTGAAGGCTGAAGTTCTTTTTCTGGCTATTTACTGGCAACCAATCTAAACTGAGCTGCTTTCGTTTATGACCATGCTCACTTTCCTAGCTTTTAAAAATATTTGCTTTTAAAGCTCTGCAGATATTTTTTTTCATGCCCACCCCAACCAATCACTTTTGAAATGGCTTGAGTGAAAGTTCAGAGTTTTATGAGATTTCCTACAGTAGTGCTATTTTTAGGGAGGAAAGAATGATATTTAGTTCTTTTCTTTTCCAAAAAACCAATTTTGTCTCCATGATCTACTCTACAGCAATGTTCAGAGTTATTTGAGGGATAAAGTGAGTACAATTTTGCTTTTATCCCCTGGAGCTTGTACTAGTGAAAACACTGAATTTGTGTAAGGTCAGGGATGTACCTCTGTGACATAGATTGTATAACCAATTTTGTAATCTGACTCTGCAGCCTCCTAGTCTGAACTTGAGTCAACAACAAGCACAAAGATAAACTTTGCCATTTAGGTCTGGATATGAAGAGGGAAAAGGGAAGGAACAGGGGGAATAAGGTTAGTATAGCAGAGCAACTGTTGGTTTTTTGTGCAGTGGATTAGCTGCTTTACCTCTTAAGTTTATTTTGGGGCAGTGTACCTGTAGTACAGATAATGAGGTCTGTAATATGGGCTTTTATCTTACTGTCTGTAGTCATTTGATCTGCTCAAGGGTCATAAACTCAAATGCCTATAGTGGTTGTTACAAGCTATATAAACATATCATAACAGGCCAGCTGTGACACAATAGGGAATAGTATTGCCAATGGCAAACTGGAGACTGTCCATGCATTTGTGTAAGACAATTAAGGCTTTTCTGCAGGCTGAATTTGGCTGCTTAGCATGGTTGGTTTGCAACTCCTAAATTAAAGTACATGAAAAGAAAATGTATTTATATGTAACTGGTAGAGATGTACCAATTAATTATGCAGTGATATCACTGTGTAGTTTGTCTTGCATTTCCTTCCCCAATTTGATAAACAGGATAAAGAAACAGTGGATGGAGGCATTCCATCTTAGAGATTCAGAATTTTCATTCTTTCAGAAAACTATTCCATTAGAGAATGACAATGAATCTTCCCAGCTTTAACTCTTGTGGTATGTCTTTTAGACACCATAATTTGTGATGCACAGTTAGTGCTTATGGGGAAATAATTGAATAGATTAAAAGCAATGTGTTTACACATGTGATTTTAGCTTTCATTATTAATGGAGTCTATTCTTTTTATGTGTCCAGAATTTATATGAGGGTGATTGTTCTCTATATCTCTTAAAACATAGGAGTTGTGGTTTAATACTTAGGAAAGTCCCTTCTATCTAAAGGTTTGTGGGAGAAGTGTATATAGTGTTCTGCATAATCAATAGAAAGCCATGATGAGGTACATGAGATTTGGAGAAAGAACCCAGCTTTCCAGGTTTGAATTCTGGTTCTAACATACATGATTTCTATAACTTTGAGCAAACTACTTAACCTTTTAAATCTTCAGTTTTCTCATCTGTAAAATAAAATTTTTGTAAGGTTTAAATGAAGTGGTACAGGTAAAATGAGCTGATCAGTTCATGGTACATAGGTGCTCAATAAATGTTTAGATATTTCTACTACTTACAATTATAATTAATATTATTACTAGAGATATAGGTGTCCTAATCTGACATAGGGGCCATAGAGATTATTTGGAGTAAGTCTCAAGAATAATGTAAGGCTTGTAATATGGAACATTGGGAAAAACTTAAAAAAAAATTAAAAGCTGAAGATTTTTAGGCTGGAGAAATGAAGCCAAAGAAAGAGAATATTGCTATTCAATCTGATTAAAGCATATGTTACGTAGGTCTATAGATCAAAAGAATTAGAAGTTAACACAGAAGAAGATTTTTATAATTTTTAAGTGGAGGAAACATTGTAAATTGAGTTAAAAAAATAAAGCAACAGACCAGGAGACAAAAATAACATCTGAAAAAATTCTTGTCACTATGCTCAAGAAAATATTATTAAAACAAGATACCATGTTAGAAAAAAAAAAAAAAGGAAACGAAAGGCCTCAGGGTAGTTTCTGGAGATCCACTGATTAAGGATATCTAGAATGGCCTTTGGGAGAAGTTTTAGATAGAAGCCTTTCTCTCTAGATTGTACAGCAAAAGATGCTTTTCAATTCAGCATTTAGTAGAAATAACAACAACAAAAAAGCAAAAATAAAATTTAAAAATAGAAAACTTTTATCCTTCTTATCTTATAGAAAAAAACCACAAGCTGTTAGTCATCCCCTCTTGTACCCAAATCTGGAAGAGATCCATACTGGGGAGAGTTGGAGTTCTGCAAAGGGAATGGATGATTTGAGGGCTATGTGGTCTTTTTATATTTTCTTAAATTTCCCCTGTTCATGCATAGTTAAAGATTTGGGCTATTTATCTCTGGTGGGAATTAAGATTGCTATTGATTTTTTAAGTACCCCAAATTGAGACAGTAAATGAACCTTTACAAAGTACAGGGCTTCAATTTTCTATAAGGAGCAGAGCATTGCTAGAAAGATGGTTGGAATAGTCTTCTTTGGTGGTAGACTGCACAATTTGAGTGTCCCAGGAGTGTGACCTGATGGGGGTGTGGACGGATGGGCAAAAAGAGCTCACTCCTCTGAAATGCTGCTAGAGGCCAGTCACCCAACCAGTGAAAGTGAGTTGAATGTGACAGTGTCCTGGAGCAGGAGTCCTGAGGGAAATAGCAATGCACAGTTACAGGAAACGCTAAAGTAGAAAGTGTGAGAGCTGTTGGAGCATGTCTGTGAGGATTAAGTTCCTGGGATGAGCACAGTGGTGTCACTGGGCCTCACAAAGAGAACAAACTGTAGCTTTGAAAAGTGCTGAACCATGAAATATATTTTAGATTTAAATTTGGAATAACAGGAATAGTAAAAGAATAGGTTCACCACTTGGACATGATGGTGTGATAGGATAGATATGGAGAAAAGAAAGACCAATTCACATCTTCATTTACTTCTATTTTTTTCTTTCTAGAAGAGCTAATAATCTTCAAATTGGGACAGGGAGGACAAGACATATGAATATGAACAACTAATTAATTCCTAAGGTAGATGAGGAGAAAATAGAAGGTCTAGGCACTGTCACTGCCCCAGACACAGATGTAGAACTTCTTAGGTATTAAAGAATGTGAAGATTTGGCCCTGGAAATGGTGGAGTTCTGCAGGCACTTATGGAGCTTAAGAAGAATCTGAAGATGGAGAGGTATTGAGATTTTCAACAAAGGTACAAAGATTTTTGGAAGTTCAGAACAACAGTATTGATGTTAGGATAGTTTTTAGTGCTTTAGCAGATAACTCGATGATTTTTTTATGAAGAAAATAAGTGAACTCTATACATATATTGCACTAACATAAACATACCTTTGAGAATAAGGTGATCTTATTAATTTGTTGATGTACTGTATTTTTATTTCAACAGAGTATTTCTTAAAAGCTTTAGAGTTTGTAACAGAGAGATACAATAAAAATGTGAACTGCATGAGGGCACCATTAGATGGATTTAGGTGGATTTGCAGTGGGAGGAGCAGCCATGTTCAAAAAGGGCCAATCCAGATGGAGGTCTCTAGAACATTTCAGGGCTCTTGGTTGGCTCCATTCTCTTCAGGTAATTGAAAATAAATAATTTAAAAAAATAGTATAAATAGGGACATAGAGAAATATGTTTGTCAAATTTGCAGATAATGACAAATAATATGATACCAACATTTTTAAAGCCTCTAGATACTGAAACAAGGGGAAAAAAACAAAAGGAAGAAATGTAGTGGAGCTAAATTTAAGATTCAGCATTTATATTTCAGGAAGTGACTTGAACCAATACAGGATGTGGAGGTCTGATTTGACAGTAATCTACATAAAGAAAACCTGGGGTTTGTGTTGACCACACAGTTGGCTTGATGTGAACCAACTGTGTGGTTCCTCTGCTGAAGAAATTAATCCTATATAACAAATGCCCCAAACCTAATGCAAGTGCAACCTGCATTAACAGAAGAGGATTGTCCAGCTCTTAGGAAGTTATAGTCCAGCTGCTCTTCACTGGTAGACCACATCTTAAAAGTAATATTAATTCTTCAGAGAGGGTCAGCCAAGATGGTCAGTGGGTCTGGAAACCATGTAACATTAGAAGCCTGGTGAAAAAGAGGAGTCGGGGACATCCTTTCTATCCAAGAACATTTAAAAGGGATGTCATGTAGGAAAAAAAGTAGTTTTCCTGTTGTTAAGTTGGCCGAAATAGGTTAAATAGATGCACATTTTAGCTAAATGGACACGAGATTCTTTTTATTTTGAACTACCAGTACTATTCAGCATGTTATGGGTTTCATTAGGATGTAGTTAATTCCCTGGTTTAGAAGTGTTCCAAATAGAATTCATTTAACAGATCTTTAATGAGTACTATTATGTGTCAGACACTGTTCTAGGTGCTGAGGATAGACTGAGATGGTGAAGATTAATAAAAGAATGAGTTGAGATAAACAGAGAGTAAACTGATACATATCAACGGTATTCCCCCGTTAGTCCTAGAATTGGGGCTTTGGCTCAAAGTTGAGGACCAGAAAATTAAGTGCCCCTTTTTCTAAGTTGAAGGTGCTACTGGCCCCTGGAATAGCTCTCTTGAAGTATTTATTGAGAGGCACTGGGTAAGAACCAACCTTACCACTAAGCCCACCTGCACCAGTCAGTATAAGAAGACTGGGAGGGGTGAACCTTCTGGGGAGTGCTTTTTCAGAGCTGAGCTATCCCCTTTCCTCCCATGAGGGAGAAGACCTCAGGTGTTAGAGCAGCTCCACTTGTAGGCATCTGGGGAGTGGCCAAGGTGCAGGAGCTGGACCAATGTGTAGGAGTAGGAGTTTGAAGCACTCAACTTGAGGAAAGGCAAAAGAATCATCGCCACCCCCTGGAAGGGTAGCAGAGAGGGTGCTGCCTTCAGAAAACCCCACTCCTCACCTGGGCAGATTTCTTGGTCAAGACTATACTGACTCAGCATAAAACCTTGAACACCTTTTATTCGCCAGGCACATAAAAAGAATCTTTTGAGTGTTGATAATGGGGTAGGTTGTGTGTTTGTTGTATGGTGAGGTTGGGGGACAGAGGACATATAAGAACTCTGTACTTTTTGATCAATTGTGCTGTAAAACTAAAACTCTAAAAAATAAAGTCTATTAAAAATGGAACTTTATCTAACAAGGAGGCTCCCCATCTCTCAGCCTGGCAAATTGGGTAAAGAGTCAAGACCCACTGGTGTGCTGTATTCAGGAGACCCATCTCAAATGCAAAGACAAACATAGGCTCAAAATAAAGGGATGGAGGAAGATCTACCAAGCAAATGGAAAGAAAAAAAAAAGCAGAGGTTGCAATCCTGGTCTCTGATAAAACAGACTTTAAACCAACAAAGATCAAAAGAGGCAAAGAAGGGCATTAAATAATGGTAAAGGGATCCATTCAACAAGAAGAGCTAACTATCCTAAATATATATGCACCCAATACAGGAGCACCCAGATTCATAAAGCAAGTTCTTAGAGACCTACAAAGAGACTTAGACTCCCACACAATAATAATGGGAGACTTTAACACACCACTGTCAATATTAGACAGATCAATGAGACAGAAAATTAACAAGGATATCCAGGACTTGAACTCAGCTCTGCGCCAAGCAGACCTAATAGACATCTACAGATCTCTCCACCTCAAATCAACAGAATATACATTCTCAGCACCACATTGCACTTATTCTAAAATTGACCACATAATTGGAAGTAAAACACTCCTCAGCAAATGCAAAAGAAGAGAAATCATAACAAACTGTCTGTCCGACCGCAGTTCAATCAAATTAGAACTCAGGATTAAGAAACTCACTCAAAACCACACAGATACATGGAAACTGAACAATCTGCTCCTGAATAACTACTGGGTAAATAATGAAATGAAGACAGAAATAAAGATGTTCTTTGAAACCAATGAGAACAAAGACACAACGTACCAGAATCTCTGGGACACATTTAAAGCAGTGTGTAGAGGGAAATTTATAGCACTAAATGCCCACAAAAGAAAGCAGGAAAGATCTAAAATTGACACCCTAACATCACAATTAAAAGAACTAGAGAAGCAAGAGCAAACAAATTCAAAAGCTAGCAGAAGACAAGAAATAACTAAGATCAGAGCAGAACTGAAAGGAGATAGAGACACACAAAAAAAACCCTTCAAAAAATCAATGAATCCAGGAGGTGGGTTTTTGAAAAGATCAACAAAATTGATAGACTGCTAGCAAGACTAATAAGAAAAGAAAGAAGGATCAAATAGATGCAATAAAAAATGATAAAAGGGGATATCACCACCAATCCCACAGAAATACAAACTATCATCAGAGAATACTATAAACACCTCTATGCAAATAAACTAGAAAATCTAGAAGAAATCGATAAATTCCTGGACACATATACCTTCCCAAGACTAAACCAGGAAGAAGTTGGATCTCTGAATAGACCAATAACAGGTTCTGAAATTGAGGCAATCATTAATAGCCTACCAACCAAAAAAAGTCCAGGACCAGACAGATTCACAGCCAAATTCTACCACAGGTACAAAGAAGAGCTGGTACCACTCCTTCTGAAACTATTCCAATCAATAGAAAAAGAGGGAATCCTCCCTAACTCATTTTATGAGGCCAGCATCATCCTGACAACAAAGCCTGGCAGAGACACAACAAAAAAAGAGGATTTTAGGCCAATATCCCTGATGAACATCAATGCGAAAATCCTTAATAAAATACTGGCAAACTGAATCCAGCAGCACATCAAAGAGCTTATCTGCCATGATCAAGTTGGCTTCATCCCTGGGATGCAAGCAAGGCTGGTTCAACATTCAAAAATCAATAAACATAATCTGTCACATAAACAGAACCAATGACAAAAACCACATGATTATCTCAGTAGATGCAGAAAAGTCCTTTGACAAAATTCAACAGCCTTTCATGCTAAAAATTCTCAATAAACTAGGTATGGAGGTAATGTATCTCAAAATAAGAGCTATTTATGACAGACCCACAGCCAATATTGTAGTGAATGGGCAAAAACTGGAGTCATTCCCTTTGAAAACCAACACAAGACAAGGAGGACCTCTCTCACCACTCATATTCAACATAATATTGGAAGTTCTGGCCAGGGCAATCAGGCAAGAGAAAGAAATAAAGACTATTCAATTAGGAAAAGAGGAAGTCAATTTGTCTCTGTTTGCAGATGACATGATTGTATATTTAGAAAATCCCATAGTCTCAGCCCAAAATCTCCTTAAGCTGATAAGCAACTTCAGCAAAGTCTCAGCATACAAAATCAATGTGCAAAAATCACAAGCACTCCTATAAACCAATAACAGACAAACAGCCAAATCGTGAGTGAACTCCCATTCACAATTGCTTCAAAGAGAATAAAATACCTAGGAATCAAACTTAGAAGGAATGTGAAGGACTTCTTCAAGGAGAATTACAAACCACTGATCGATGAAGTAAAAGAGAACACAAACAAATGGAAGAACATTCCATGCTCATGGATAGGAAGAATTAATATTGTGAAAAAGGCCATACTGCCCAAGGTGATTTATAGATTCAATGCTATCCCTGTCAAGCTACCACTGACTTTCTTCAAAGAATTGGAAAAAACTACTTTAAATTTCATATGGAACCAAAAAAGAGCCTGCATAGCCAAGACAATCCTAAGCAAAAAGAACAAAGCTGGAGGCATCACGCTACCTGACTTCAAACTATACTACAAGGCTGCGGTAACCAAAACAGCATGGTACTGGTACCAAAACAGATATATAGACCAATGGGACAGAACAAAGTCCTCAGAAATAACACCACACATCTACAACCATCTGATCTTTGACAAACCTGTTGAAAACAAGCAATGGGGAAAGGATTCCCTATTTAATAAGTGGTGCTAGGAAAACTGGCTAGCCATATGTAGAAAGCTGAAACTGGATTCCTTCCTTATACCTTATACAAAAATTAATTCAAGATGGATTAAAGACTTAAATGTAAGACCTAAAACCATAAAAACCGTAGAAGAAAACCTAGACAATACCATTCAGGACATAGGCATGGGCAAAGACTTCATGACTAAAACACCAAAAGCAATGATGACAAAAGCCAAAATTGACAAATGGGATCTAATTAAAGAGCTTCTGCACAGCAGAAGCAACTATCATCAGAGTGAACAGGCAACCTACAGAATGGGAGAAAAGTTTTGCAATCCACCCATCTGGCAAGGCACTAATATCCAGAATCTACAAAGAACTTAAACAAATTTACAAGAAAAAACCATCAAAAAGTGGGCAAAGGATATGAACAGACACTTCTCAAAAGAAGACATTTATGCAGCCAAAAAACACATGAAAAAATGCTCATCATCACTGGTCATCAGAGAAAGGCAAATCAAAACCACAATGAGATACCATCTCATGCCAGTTAGAATGGCAATCATTAAAACGTCAGGAAACAACAGATGCTGGAGAGAATGTGGAGAAATGGGAATGCTTTTACACTGTTGGTGGGAGTGTAAATTAGTTCAACCATTGTGGAAGACAGTGTGGCGATTCCTCAGGGATCTAGAACTAGAAATACCATTTGACCCAGCAATCTCATTACTGGGTATATACCCAAAGGATTATAAATCATTCTACTATAAAGACACATGCACACGTATGTTTATTGTGGCACTATTCCCAATAGCAAAGACTTGGAACCAACCCAAATGTCCAACAATGATAGACTGGATAAAGAAAATGTGGCACATATACACCATGGAATACTATGCAGCCATATAAAAGGATGAGTTTGTGTCCTTTGCACGGACATGGATGTAGCTGGAAACCATTCTCAGCAAAATATCACAAGGACAGAAAACCAAGCACCACATGTTCTCACTCATAACTGGGAGTTGAACAATGAGAACACAAGGACACAGGGAGGGGAACATCACACATCAGGGCCTGTCAGGGGGCAGGGGGCTGGGGGAGGGATAACATTAGGAGAAATACCTAATGTAAATGATGAGTTGATGGGTGCAGCAAACCAACATGGTACATGTATACCTATGTAACAAACCTTCACCTTGTGCCCATGTACCCTAGAACTTAAAGTATATATATATAAATCACCTAGAAATGATATGATTCTAATTGTTAAATTAAAGTAGCTCTAGTTGCTTCTACTGGGAGCAAGCCTAGCTCCTCTATTTTTCAGAATGACAATGATACAGCTAATAGAGAAAATAGAGTCTGCTTTTCGCCAGCTCCCTTGTGGACTGTCTCTGGACAGGATATTGACTTCCAGTGAGTGGTACACAACTTGAAAAAAAATAAATGTAAATATTGAAGATACAGGAAACTCCAAGAAATGTTTGTTCCTGCACCTAGCACAGGGCCTGGCACATACAAAGCATCCAGTACATGTTTGTTCATGTGAATAAATGAACAAATGGACTGTGGGACTAAAAGAGAGGCAGCTCCCAGTCTCTAAACTAGCACATAGCGGAGCTAAAACACTGCACTTTGGCAAGGAAAAGGATGGGGGACAATATTGTTGTTTCATAGCAGTCAAGCAAAATAGAAAATAAAGAGTCTCTTCCTTCATGCAGCTTTTCTCCTGGGTATGGTGGCTGGTATTGATGGTCCCCAAGGGTCTAGTGTCTGAGGAAAGAAGAGTAAGAAGTTTAAGGAGATTATGAAAAGAAGTGTGTAAAAAGAGGGGATTTCACTCCACTCTCTATCAAAAGACCCTGTAGTCTACCTTGTTCTGGGAACAGGAAGAGCCTAGATTTGAATAAATTTTGAGATGGATATTTTAAAATGAATAGGGCCAAGTCTTAAATGTCAAAGTGGGACTGCTCTTAGGCTCAAGTGGCTGAGAAGCTATAGGATTTGGCCAAGTTTCTACAAAGGAGCTGATTCCTCTCAGGAAGGGGGAGTTGACATAGCACTGTTAGGGGAAATGGCCTTATGTTTATGTCCTCGTAAGCAGAGATTTTTCCATAAAATTATTACATAAATAAAAACAACAACAAAAACATAGGAGGAAGTGAAGGAAATAAAATGGAATTGGTGAGATCGTATGAAGGGCAGGGCAGTGGAGTGGGAGGGATGAGGCTTTTCTAGGTAGGGTGTGGTGGGGTTGCCCTGAGGAGGTGGCCTTTTGGAGCTGATGTCTGCATGAAAAGAAGGACCCAGCCATGTGAAAACATGAGTGAGCTCTGCAGGCAAAGGCAACAGCAGGTGCTAAAACCAGGAATATAAGTCCAGTGTGACTCGAAGGAGGGAAGACCTGATATGTGATGAGGTCAGGGATCAATTTCTGGGAGACCTTGTGGGCCACAGGAAAGTTTGGATTTTATTTTATTCTCAGTGTGAAGTCTCTGGAGGGTTTCAGTCAGCAAAGAGATGTCGTCTCTTGTGTGTTAGAAGGATGCTTTTGAGTGACATATGAAGAATGGAGAGGACAGGACGAGTGTGGAAACAGGGAGACCCAGTTCCACAGTAACTAGCTCTATTTTCTGACTATCGTATTAACATCTCAATTGTTGTTGTCATTGTTAATGATGAATACAGAATAGGCCCCAGAAAACAGTGGAAACCCCTGATGGTGAATGCTGGACAAATCTTTCTGTCTCCCTTAGCTTCATAGCAATTGTGAAATAATTGCTATTAAAATATTAACAGCTGTCATGTCCTCAGTGCTCACTAAGTGCCATGCCCTGGGCCAGGCATATTAATTAATCTTACCTTATTTAATCCTTATAAGAATATGCACCAGCAATGCTGTAGAAGAGGTGGCAGCTGTTAATAGCCAAATACAAGACTTGACAAGCTATCAATTTCGTCAAGCAAATGAGTAGCAGTGCAGTGATGTAAAACCAGTTCCATATTTGACTAAATTCCCTCTTTTAAAAAAGCTACTTTATTACTTTATTTACAGGCCTAGCCTTGGAGAAAAGACTTTAATATCAAAAGGAACACGTGAAATAGTCCTCCCTACATGCAGAGATATTTTGAAGTTACAGGCAGTGTCAGGAATACATCTCAGAAAAATTACTGATCATTTTCTAAAATGCCCTTCAGATGGTATGGCTTTTAATATTTAGAAATTTTGTGTTACATAGTGGGTTCCAATGTAGTTTTTCTATTTATGGAGGGCCTCACTTTAATGAGCAAACAAGATTCCATGGAGCTGTGCAAACACTGAATGAAGGATGACTGTGGATTTGAAATTGGAAATTTTTGTCAGCCAAGGAGATTTTTGGGGGGTTTGTTTCCATGAATTCAGTTTTACAGTTTTTAGTTGATGAAATGATCAAAACCTTTTGGCTCTAAGCTAACATCCCTTTGAAATGTAAAATTAATAGTTTAAAACTTAAAGGAGAAATAATCATGGTTTTAGGTTTTAGAATATGACTAGCTGTTGTGAGTATTTGGAGACAAATTTTCTCCTTAAATACCACTGTCCGGGTTTGAAAATTAACCTCTTTTATGTACAGTTGGAAAGTATTTTCAGTGTCTGTCCCTTTTGCATACTGTGTGGTTCTATGAATAACATGAGGGTTGTTGGCACTAATTGATAACAAAGACTTAAAAATAGGTTTTGCCATAATAAGAAACTATAAATAATGGATGAATAAAGAACATTTTATAATTGTTTAAATTTTGTTCTGAGGGTTGTTGGCACTAATTCATAACAAAGCCTTAAAAATAGATTTGCCATAATAATAAACTATAAATAATGGATGAATAAACAACGTTTTATAATTGTTTAAATTTTCTTCTAAATAAAGAAAAAACACCTGTGATAAAAGCCGAGAAAACCCGTTATGAAGAAAACAGTTGGGAAAACCAAAGTACTACCGAAAACATAAAAGTATCCTTTCAGGGTATTAGAAAAATCACCCTGTAAGTGGAAGTGTGCAGTTACTTCACACCAATGCTAGACCACACAAGACTAAGGCGAGGGGGCATAGCTGGGTTTCTAGAAAGTCACCTACTCTAATTTATTATGTTACTACCGTCAATTGAGCATCTTGCTAGGTATTTAAAAACATGTTCTCATAATATAGATCTTGCTCTCATTTTATAGATGGGGAAACTGAAGCTTAGAGAAATTAAGTGGGAGAACTGGGTTTTGGACTGAAGTCACTATGCTACACTGCCTTCTAGTTATTGTAAAAAGCTGTAAAATTTAGGTGATTGGTGAAACAAAATGTACAGAAAAGTATAATACTCTTGCATTACAAGTATAATACTCTTGCATTACAATTAATGAGATTTTTTTGATTAGTAAAAAGTATTCTCTTTCTGTCTCTGATGTCTTTCTTTCCTGATTCATATGCTTCTTCCTAGAAGTCATGATCTTGGAAACTGTGGACCCAACCTATTCTTACATACCTTTTGGCCTGAAGCGAAATCCCTTATTCTCCCTTCATTCCCCACCCCATTCCTCCCTCCACCCCCATGCCTCTCCATCTCTCTTCCCCTGTCAGGGTTGGGTGCATGAGTGGTCTGTGGTGCTTTGGGTAGGGTAAAGAATTATTATAGTCATTAAATTTAAAAAAATAATATTTTGTCTTTTATAAGTTGACATTTGCAATGGAAACTGATTTATATATTTAAATACATCTCCATTTTTAAATGAATTAAATTTTGGACAAATCCTTCAAACATCTAGAAGATCCTTACAGACCACATTGGAACTATACTTAAGAACCACTGCTTCCAAGATTGCTTAGAGTTCAGACAGTTACCACACAGTGACCTGTGCTGCCATAATAAAATTTGTATTGGAAAAAAAAAAAAAGAAACATTATCAGTTCAAAGGAAGAAAATAAGTGGTGTTATTCTAATAAGATCCAAAGGCAGTTTTAACTATGGCTTACTATGATGTTTGGGCTGTGAGCCAGCTAGTTCCTAGCCAGAAAAGTTAGAACTGATAAGAGCAGTTTTAATATTGTCATCAATTATTAATCACCTACAACATAGGACTTAGGTTTGGATGACATATTGTTTCATCGGCATTCAACTCAATTATGAAACTGAAATGGAAGGACACAAAATTGTTAAAAAATCCTCTAAAGTCAGAGACATAAAAATTGCACATATCTTTTCATTGTATTTTCTAGTATCCTTTCTAATCTGAATCTAATCTTGTATTTACCACCTTAAAAATGGTTGGATTCAGTCTAACAAACTTAATAACTATTACTAGTTGTGTGGCTAAATCTTTTTTCTAAAAATGTTTTTATGTCAATAGCTGAGGTCCCTGTTTTAAGAGCATGGCAAGTAGATTTTTCTAGTGACATCACAGATGTGTATTGTCTTTTTCTGAATAAAGTCTACTAGGGATATTTAATTTAGGTGTAATTAAACAGAGTTACAAGATCTACCACTTTGAGTCATTGATTGAACTGTCCAAACAACTGGATTGACTCACCTTTTTATACCACCTACAGTGACATAGCTGTAATGAGTACATTGAGAAGTAACATATAGTTAAATTGCTGGAAATTAGTATCATCACTTAGTAGCCACTTTTATCATTAGAAAAATAAAAATTACCAAGGAGAGAAAACAACAGTTTAGGCTTGGGCTTATTATATTTCTGAGAAGTTGATTTCTTTAAAAAAAATTTCCCTCTGCAGTACCTTTCTGGCTTCAGTTCCTTAAAGGAAGCAGCTGGGGAGGTGTAGGATAGTAGTGAGGGCAGGGTTTCAGTGGAAAACATTCCTGGCCAAAGTCCTATACAGTGTGGAAGCCAAGACTTCAGAGTCTTTCTGTTTCTTTTGGTCTCTGTGTCTCTTCCTCTTTCTTCTTTAAGTAATAATTTGCTGTATTTGCAATACTTGTGAATATAAGTGAGCATAAGTGGCTTTCTCCTGTAGCAGCCTTTTGAAAAATGTGAAGATGTTATTCCTTGTAAGCATTTAAAACTAAAGTTGAAAGAATAGAAAGTGTTGGCAATTGCACATCACACAATCGCTTATCTCTTCTTCAATAATGTACTATTCAGCACAGTATCCATTCCCTTAGCTAAGGGAAGCTCTGTGGAATTGCCCTTTCTCCCACTTAAAAGGAGCTTTAATTTCCTATCTCTATCTATTCTGAATGGTAATTGGACATTGAGATTCTTGTTTCCTGATTTATGATGATAATTAGGGCAACAGAAGAATAATACAAATTTGACCACTGTCACATAAAACGAAATGTAATCTGAATAATTACAAGGCTAGGTGATGATGGTTCTTCCCCTCACCTTCTTAGGAGGGAACCAGTGAGGTAACACATTTGTATTAAATGAATGGGCATTTTTGAGCTTGGCCAAGATGATGATACCATTCACACCTAGTTCCTGCAGGAAAATATGAATTCTAAGTATCCATGATTGTGGCTACTGTTTTATCACTAGAGTTATAAACATTTTGTTCTTACTGTCCCTTGCCTGCCAGACTGCCCTAAAAGAAGTGAAATAGTCAGAAAGACAACTCATCAGGGAGGTGATGCTTGGTAAGGGGCTTCTGGCTGCTCTCCTAGGGGAGATGTTTGTTTTCTTTATTTCTGTGCTGGTTCAAGGTGAGGGAGATGGACAGCTGTGAATGTGAGAGATCACAGAAAGATGAGAGCAGGGTGAATTCATCAGGGAGCACTACCCCCAAGTGCAACCTCTCTCTGCTCAGGGCTGTGCCCAGGCATATGACCCACACTGTATTTTTGGGAAAATGAGAGTGACTGCTGAAAGTTCTTTTCTAGCATAGCTTTGTGATTACATAATACTAACTTACTAGCCTTTTGAAAATGGAAACAGTCCTTAAAATATTCTTTTTATGGTCTGCATGCTATTCTGATAATAGGCACAATTGCCACATTTGGGCTTCTGTGTATTTATAATCTTTGCCTCAGAATTTAAGTAGAAACTCACTTTTTGTGTTACACTTAATTAGGTTGGGATCTGTTCTGTAGGAATGAATTTTACTAGCTTTTACTTCTGTTTCTTTTAATGAAAATTCCTCAAATGTAGTTCAGTGTAGAGAAAGGGCAAAAGAGAAAGGAGATAATGTTTGCAGAGAGCTTGCAGTGGTGTAGATAGGCCTTTGTGCTCATTGTGTTTGTTTATAAAGGATCTCATTTAATACTCACAAAATATAGGTATTCAGGAAACCAAAGCTCAGACAGATTGGGTGACTTGCTTTGGGTAACATAATTAGCATTCAATAGAGATAAGATTCAAATCTTAAGGTTTTTGACTTCAAAGCTGTATCAGATTGGACACACCTTACAGTGAAATTTGTGCGGCAATGGACAATGTTATAGAGTGTGCCCGTGTAATGATTCTTGGTGTTTGTAATACTTGTTCAAGCTGGCCAGAGCTGATTTTTACATATCCTGCAAAATGGCAGTGTCATGACAAATCAGTGTGTATAATTAGGAAAAGAAAAATGTTAGAAATCTATTTATGCTTTATAATTAAAAAGGCACTGGTTTACTGCCAAATTGACATACATTTTGGAATCAGACTGTAAGATAATTCTTTCATGTTACTTATGATAAATAATGCTATTTAAATGTCTAACCATTTGCTATAGCACCTGGCTGAGCTCTCAGAACAACACTCCCATTACCTTCTCAGATGGTCTTGAGTCATATACAGCAATGGAGAAAGTTTGTTTTTAAGGACAATGTTATGATGTGACAACTGTGTCTTTAAATATACCAGTTTTCAATAGTTTAAAGCTACAAAGCTTCCAAGAGATAACGTTTATAATTCTAAAGCCTTATCCTAAATAAGGTAACACATTCATTGTATAGTTTGATTATCCCATGTGTTTGTGTAGTAACTGTGTCTATATTGTAAAAAGGGACTTGAAATGGTTTCTATTTTTGTTTCTGTATATGTCATCCCTACTTTGATCACTTCCTTAACAATAATAACTCCTCCTCCCATCCCACTACAACCCTGTATCAGCTAGGGATTGTATTTGATTTCAAGTAAAAGAAACTGGTCTACACTGACTTAACCATATAGGAGTCTGCTTTTCTCACGTAACAAAGTGTACAGCTAGACAGTCTGGAACTGATGCAGTGGCTCCAGGATGCCCTCAAAGCTCTAGTGTCGTCTGTTTTTCCCTTTTGTCTTCCTTAGTACGTGGCTTTCATTCTTATGGTTGCCTCATGTTACAAGATGACTGATCCACTTCCAACCTGTTGTTCAAGGTAAGAAAAAGAAAATCAGGTGTCAAGCAGAAAGGGGCTGTGTTACCATTGGGAAAGCAAAACTTCCTGGTAATCCTTAGCAGCCTCCTGCATATGACTTTTTGGTCTGAGTTGTCATAGTCACCCCTAGCTACAAGGCAGGCCGGCAAAATTAGTAATTTGTCTAGGCTCATTGCTACCTTAAAAAATGTGGGGTTCTGTTAGTAGGTAGAACTGGTGAATGTGTATTGGGTAACAAGTTAGCAGTGTCCACCCTGACCCAAACCCTAGCCCTGAACTGCCTGCTTACACTTGGCTTTTGGACTAGGATGGTAAATGGAGGAGGAAATGGTAAAAAAAAAAAAAAAAAGCCACTTTAAGATTTTCAGGGGGCTCTTTATTGCTCTCCATTGTGTGTTTTCCTCTTCTCTTCCTTGGTGTTTTGCTGACTCTGCTCCCTCTGACTTTGGTGATCACTTTTCCTTATTATTATTTTTTATTACTCATTTGCCAGGTATGTCATTTTCTTAGTGTAACTTTCTCTAACACTCCAGGCAAAGTGAGGCAGCTGCCCTTTATATATGCCCAGCACCTGGACCTTGTTTTTGTTTTTGATTTTTTTCTTTTTTGCGTATTTATTACAATTACTCTTATTGGTCTGTATGTGTGTATGTGTGTGTTATTTGTCCAGTGCTTTGCTCTGTTCTTCACTAGGCTATAAATTCCTTGAGGCCAGCGGCCATATTTACTTTGAATCTGTATATTCCTCCTTGCCCCAGTGTCTAACACGGTGCCTAGGATAAAGTGGATTCTCAATAAATATTTGAATAAATTAATAATGAATATATTTTGTTGGATTTTCTTTCCTGTTTTTTCTTTTTTAAAAAAATGCATTTCTTTTCATCCTCTTACTCTGTTCTCACTTTAAGCATTATTTAAGTATTTTCGTTAATATTCATCCATTCATTTATATTTCTATTTTTCTGTCCCTGCTTCTCTCTCTCTGGATTAATCTTCCCCTCTCTCAGATGAGTATTATCTTTACATTTCCATCCCAGTTTTCTTACTCAGGTTTCAGTTATCACACATCTGACTGCCTACTGCTTTTTAACTGGAATGCCTCTCCATCACCCCACACTCAAGAAGTTCCAAATGACATGCATCAGCTCCCCATCTCAATTTTCTAGCCTCTGAAAAAGATGACACCTTCTTCTTTGAAAATGATGACACCTTCTTCTAGCTACTTAAGCTTGAAAACTTGGTGTCATTTGTGACATCATTTATTTATATCACCAAGGGCTATTTCTGCAGCTTGGCAAATAGCTCTAGCTGTTCTGTATTCTTATTGCCATCACCTAGGAGTACAACGTGTAGGGTTGTGGGTGCTGGTACATGTGGGATGGCAAGATCAAGGGTGAACAGGAGTCAGCTGATCAATGTTCTCCATCAAGCAGTACACTCATTTATATACCATGTTTTGGTGCTCATGACTCATGGAATAATCAATTTAGATAATTTGGGATTACTTTGTAGTAAAATTTAAGAGAACTTAGCTACTTAAAATAGGTCGTGAATTTTGTGATAGATATGGACAACTTCTGCAGTATTGATGAAAATATCAGAAAACAGTATTAAAATCTACAGATTATAGTTGCAGTAATAAAGGGTTTTGTAAAGACAGATTAGATGTTCCCATTCAATCGATCTTATAATGCAGAAATTAGTGGAAATTTTTTGAAATTAATAGGTATGAAACTTAGGAAAGTTAGCACAATTGCTTCATAGATGATCTCATTAATCAAGATGGGCATTTTTCTTTTATAGAAAATAGTGAATTATCTGAATATATTGAATGAATAAATGAATAAGGCAGTGTCTCTATACTAAGATGATTGTTTGAAAAGTGAAAAAATTTTAATAAACTTTATTTTAGTATTTGTAGTCAAAACTACCAGTTTTAAAAAACTATGAGCAAAGCCACATTTAACATGAATCTTCTACAAGCATATTGTGAATGTATAACTTTTGCATGGCTTTAGATTCGTGACTTACATAGTATTTCAGAAATTGAGAGAACACATCATACATTACCCTAGTTATTATAAAGAATGCAGGTTTCTTTAGGAATTTTTTTCTGTTTGGATTGAGAAAGAGCAATGGTTTATGATACATTTCATTTTTTGTTTGGTGCATTTGTCAAACTGAAATTTATCTCTGTCACCATGTTCTGTTGGAGAGGTTTTTTGATAGATACATATTTAGATATATAGGGCACAGAGGCAGTAACACGATTATATCATTCTTAATTTCCCCAATTTTATATCATTTTTCTTGCTTTGTCATTCAAGCATCAATTTGATTATGGGGATTACACACAGAGAAAAGTGTTGTTTTTGGAATGCATAAAGACTTTGTTTCCTTTTAAGTTTACTTCACCTGGTTCTGCTCCTTTTAGTGTATCTAGGATTGGAATGTAGGAATTAGGGCCATGCTTAGATTTCTGCTACAGTCTAACTCCCGTGGGAGGAATAGTGCCTCAAAAAGGAGATCAGAGACCACGATTCTATTCCTCTTTATTGGTGGATGTATTTCATTTATTATTTTTAGAGATGCTTCTCCCCTGGACATTTTCATGTGTTTTCCAATAGGATAGAATAAATGTTATTTGGGTTTTCATCTATCATAATAGAAAGCTACTGTCATGAAGAGAAACTAGAGGCTTGAGAACTAGGGCAGTGTTAAGTCAAATATCTAAGCTTGTTTGTATGGCAAAAACAGTGAATAAGAGATATTCAAGGAATTTTTAAAAATATGCCCAATCTTTTTCTTTGGATCTCATTCTCTCAAATGTCTTAAACCAAGAGGTTATAATTTAATGTCAGTTCAACTAAAATCATTTGAATTGATTGTCACTATTCAGCAATAAATTAAGTTCTTCCTCTTTCAGCTGGTTGGGCTTATTTCTTTTTTATACATCAACCTTCTGTATGTTGATATATGTCTCCCTAATGAAATAGGAAAATCAGCTCTATCAAAAACATAGAGTAACAACCAGTCCTGGTGCTGGTAAAGCTCAGGTATTCTGTATATAAGGAACATTCTCTTTATCATTTTATGGAGGTAGAAAATCCAAGGATAAGCAGCCAGATTCATGTTTTAGATGTAATAGGGTAGTGGTCGGAATTGCGAACAGTGAAAGTACAAATCATGCCTATTGTTGAATAGCCTGTACCTTATGGTTTAAGGTCAACAGATGAATACAGAAAATGGCTTTAAAACTATACTTGCCATTTGTAGGTTAACAGCCTAGTATCCATCCCCTTACCTTTTTCTCTTCCTACTTGAACCTCCGTTTTCCCAAAGAAACATTCCAGCTCCATCCTATCAGCATATCACAAATCTCTGGACACAGTGGTTTGGTCTATGTGATGTAATAGGAGGACACATATATTGGATGCTCAGAATGACTCTTCCTCTTTCTTCTTTGGTTCATGTTCATTCTCTCTCTCTCTCTCTCTCTCTTTTCTTCTTCTTCTTCTTCTTCTTCTTCTTCTTCTTCTTCTTCTTCTTCTTCTTCTTCTTCTTCTTCTTCTTCTTCTTCTTCTTCTCCTTCTCCTTCTCCTTCTCCTTCTTCCTTCTTCCTTCTTCCTTCTCCTTCTCCTTCTTCTCCTTCTTCCTTCTCCTTCTCCTTCTTCTCCTTCTTCTCCTTCTTTCTTTCTTCTTCTTCTTCTTCTTCTTCTTCTTCTTCTTCTTCTTCTTCTTCTTCTTCTTCTTCTTCTTCTTTCTTCTTCTTCTTCCTCTTCTCCTTCTTCTTCCTCTTCTTCTTCTTCTCTCTCTCTTTCTCTCTCTCTCTCTCTCCTTCTCTTTCCTTTCTCCCCTCCCATGTTGGATGTGCCTGAAGTATGAAGCGGTTCTTGCTACTCGTCAACTGACTTTCCTTCACAGGAAGGCCACACTTAAGTTGAAGTTGACACTCTAAGTGGCAGAAAGAAAGCATCCTAGCCAATTTAGAACCATCTTATTTAAAGGCAGGTGGCAAAACTAATTTAATTGCCTATAATTTCTTTACCATTTAAGAATTTTAAGCCAAATTTTGAATGTTATACTCTTAAAATCAATACCAATAATATCTATCAGCTATAGAGTTCTTACTATGTGCTAGGCATTGTCCTAGGTAATTTATATTTATGTCTGTTTAATCTGCACAACCGTATTATGAGTTAAATATTACCATCTCCATTTACAGATGAGGAAACTGAGGCACTGAGAGTTTAAGTTACTTACACAAGGCACACAGCTAGCAAGTGGCAGAGTCAGAATTCAGTCCCAAAGGCCGTGCTGCTAACCTACTAAGTCATGATGAGACATTGAATTTGTAGAAGGCTATTCTGAAGATCATTTAGGTCTTCATCCTGAATATCCTAAAAGCAGCCCCTTGAAGACACTTTCGCAGGTGGAGCTTTTGAGTACTAGATAAGTTAAAGTCTTGGTCATGGTTATATAATAAATGGGATGAAAAAGGCAGCGATGGTGTGCTAGAAAATAATTTGGATCGGTGAACACAATTTGCTCCACTGTCTTTGAGGCCAGCGGCCCCTATTTGCTTCTCTGTCTTCTCAGTATCCCCAGGCATTCTGCCTTTCCATCTTTGACCTTGTCATTATCAATTACCATGTTCTGGGAATCCAGATGGTGCCTTGTCTGATTATCCTCACTGCACACCAAGAGGAATGATCCTTTACATTTCTGCTGTGGCCCATAACTCACCAAGAGTCTTCTCATCTACAATCTCATTTGGACCTTTCAGCCACCTTATGAGATGGGCTGATGCACTTTGTCTTAGGTGCTTATATGTCAATTTGCTTTACATTAATTTGCATTTATAATCATCTTACCTTATAAGCAAGTGATTCTTGCTTCTGTATTGCATGTTGCTGAACTTGCAGCTGGACTATAAGCTCCATGAAGAGAGGATTTGATTATAGGTTTTATGCTTGACATTCCTTCAGTAGAGTTCCCTCTTAGTTCACAGGATTCTCTCAAAAACAAAAACAGCTCCTGAAAAAGAACTCATTAAATTATTATCTGGCTTTCCAGAGTCAATAGTTAAATGTTCAGGAATATTGTCAGCAGGTTACTGATCTGTTAGCAGTTTGACATCTATGGTAAGATTACTTATACCACAAAACTTGGGAAAGGCTACACATCAGGGTAACTCTTCATCCCTGCCCACTGCCCCCATCCCCCATCCCCCATCCCCCATCCCCACCAGAGAGCCAGTTAGCCAGGACACTCCTGTTTATAGCATTTCCATAGGAAATGTGGTCCACAGGCACCTGCCTTCCTTTCCCCTTTGTGGATTAGGTAGTAGCCATGGGTCAAGTGTTTACACTAGGGGAGAAGGTGGAGGTGAGGTCATTCTGCTGGTCTCCATGCCTCTGCTGTCATGACTCTCTGAGCAGAGGTTGACAGTTTATGTTCACTGTAGAAAACCCAACTACAGAAAACAGCTCAGAGAAAACTGGATTGGGAAGCCCAGAATGGGCATCACTTGAAACTGGCCGCCTCTCTGCTCCAGCCTGTGAGTCCTCCCACCCATCCTTGATTGAACTAGTTAACTGATCAAGCTGTGTTTATAGGGATATCAGGGTAACTTTGGGTATCAGGTAAAAGCATTCCTGATTAAAAGTGGTTTCAACCACAAGGATCATTATCATTTACTTAACAGAAAGTCTAGAAATAAGAGGCCCAGAGCTGGTTCACTGTCTTAGCAATGACCTCAATGACCCCAAGCTGTTTCTCGTCCCCTCTCTGCCACCCTCTGTGTGTGAATAGTGTTTCCCCTTCTGGCTGCAAGAAGGCTGCAGTAGGACTAAACAATAAGATGCTAATACACCTTCTAAACCCTTGAGAATATTTTGGATTTGTGATAGAAACAATGGAAATCTTCTCTTTTTTCTTTTTCCTGAAGCAAGGATATTATTTTCTCCTTAAATAAGGTGTAAAAGGAATAAAAGGGAAGTGACAAATCTTACAGAATATTAAAAATAGCTTCATGGTAAAATAATTTTGAAGTATTTATTTCCAATTACCAGGAAACTCCAGTGATTCTATATGATGGCACCATTAAGGAAGCCAGCAACCCAAGACCATCATAGAAGCTGTGATGTGAACTGAAGGAAAAACATTGCAAGAAAAATAAGCAAATGCTTTCATTATGACATCCAAGGCAGTAAAAATGCTATTTAAGTAGAGCGGAAGGCCCAAATGCCTGCAATTATGGAGTATTTAAATTTTTTTCACATTGCAAAAAATTAAAATATTTATACTTTTATGGAAAGGAAAATTAGATAAAGCTGTCACATAAGATACTGAAATCCTAGGAATTAGTGTGCATCCCTGCTCTGAGAGACTTGCTCTTCTTTGTTTCTTATTGCTAGCACAGTATTGGGCACACCGGGTATACAGAATGAGAAGAAAAGACAGCAAAGGATGCATATAGTAGAACTATAGAACCAAGTAGAAATCGATCTTGTCAGAAGGAAACCTAGGCCTGGGTTATTGGAACACAGATGGATTGGCTTCAGGTGGATTTGAGGAGTTGCAGGTGCTTGGATCTCATATTTTTTCATTTTCTGCAGAGGAAACAGAGTTAGCCCAGAATCCAGGTGAGTTGACAGTTAAGCGCAGAGAGCTTCCCAGCTAGGATCACTACACTCACATTTCCTTAGGGCCAGTTTTCTGGTTCAGTCTCTTTGACACCAAATGTTGTTTTTCCTTCAATACTGTTGGTGACAATTAAGTTATGAAATGATTAATGTCGATTCACAGGTGGCTGATATTAGTATTTGCCAGCTCAAGTTTTTTGGTGTGGAAGGTACAAAGTAATTCAAATGAGAGGCTGGATTAGAGGGCAGCTGTAGCATTCATGCCAGTTGCATCATCCACTTAAAATACAGAAGGAAGGCATTCTAGGCTGAGAAGGTAAGAAAGTACTATCACACAAAGTTTAGGATATGAAGGAAGTCTTGTAATCTTTCTGTAAGATTTTAATTTTTAAAAATAGTGATATGTGAGTACATATGGTATAAAGCTTTTGTTGGAAATCTGTCTTCAGTGAATCAGAAATGAAAAATTTGCTTTAAGTGTTGAACATCACAATCTATTTTCATATTTTAAAAAACTACAACTATTCCTTAGAACACAATAGGTTTTGTCTTTTTTTGTAGAAGTCTTCATTAGGCTTCAGGCACAGAGTAAAGAGGAAGAAGAGGCGGCTATATATGCAAGTAGTTTAATAAACATTATATATCATGATCACAACTGCACATCCTAAGTGAGATGTATAAATTTAGTAAAAATTGGAAGCACTATATTTGTGAAGGATAACAGCTTAGAACAATTTTAATTTATGTAGTTAAACCTTCAAGTTATGCTTTGCATGTGGATTCTCATTAAATGCATATGTTCAAGTTACCACAGTGAGTTTATTTTACTGAATGTTGACTACTTTTTCTGGGGCAGCATCTCCCCTTTCACAAAGAATATGTGAAAGGCCAAGGGTGTCCAATTTCGTAAGTATTGCTGTGAGTTTTAAGGTTGTGCTATTTTGTATTCCATGAATTTGTTATTGAGTTTCATAGAATCTGATGGTCAAAAGAAATGTCTCCTAAATATTACCACAGACTGAGTAATACATGGATTTTAAAAAAGAGATAATATGTGAGAAAATGATATAGTATAATAAGTAAAACTCAAGGACAATAATAAGTAATAATGAACTAGATGGTAATCTCTTTGAGTTCAGGACCCTTATTTAATAATTACTTTCCTCCTCCTTCTCTTCCTCTTCTCCCTCCTTTTCCTCTTCCTCCTTCTGCTCCTCTTTCTCTTTCTTTCATTAAATCCTACACAACAAGTGGCTTTGAATATCATATCTACTCAAAAAACAGCTTTTGAATTAATGAGTGGATACCTAAATGTTTTTGTCCCTCCTCAAATCTGGCTCACTGTGTTGGGTATACTGAGTGATTGATAAGCATTTGTTCAATGAAGTTTCTGAATTACAGAATTTTTTCACTAAGGAGCTGAATTTTACAGTTTTTGAGTTTATATTGTACTGAGTGAGAAACTATCACAATGTTGTTGGGTAAAGGTTTTAATGGTCCCACTTTAATAAATACATCATTTAGAATTAAACATGATATTATGCAAATACTGGGAAAAGGATTGAAATTAATTTGTTCAAATAGATGGTTTTCTCTTTACAGTTTTGTATATATTTTTTCTTGTTTGGTTTTATATATAGTTACTTCCTGACATCCAGCCATTTTTACTACTTTCATGATTTTTTGACATACTTGCTTACCACCTGTACGGTTATTTCCCAATATTCTCTTTAAATTGATTCACTTTGCAATCTAAATTCATTTAAAGAGAAAACTTATATTAGTACCGTGAACAGAAAACCAGTATTCTCTGTTGCAAACAGAAGGCAACTATAAAAATCAATATAATGTGATGAAAATGACATTATTAAATATTGGCCAGTTCTGTTGCCTTGAGGGAGATTGAGGCTGAGATAAATTTTCTTAAAGAGAGTTTGGCAAATATTAGAGAAGTATTAACATAAAAGACATATAAGCCAGGTGTGGTGGCTCATGCCTATAATCCCAGCACTTTGGGAGGCTGAGGCAGTCGGATCACTTCAGGTCAGGAGTTCGAGACCAGCCTGGCCAACATGGTGAAACCCTGACACTACTAAAAATACAAAAATTAGTTGGGTGTGGTGGTGCATGCCTGTAGTCCCACCTACTTGGGAGGCTGAGGCAGGGGGATCCTTGAACCCAGGAAGCAGAGGTTGCAGTGAGCCAAGATCACACCACTGCAGTCCAGCCTGGGTGACAGAGTGCAACTCCATGGCAAAAAGAAAAAAAAAGACATATAGATACTAAACTAAGCCTTATTTCTGACCATGCTATACGGGTTGAAAAGAATTTAAAGGAGAATGACTTCTTTCTATACTGGATCAAATACAAACTTCAACAAAGAAAAAAAAAATCTGGATTTTTCACAATTCCAAATCAGTAGGGCAGTAATTTGTGACATTTTAGCACTCTGTAATTTTTGTGATAAAGTAAAAATTTTCTGTTCATTTTTACTTTTCTTTAAAACATACTCAGAATTAAGAACATAGGTTAGAGTGAAGCTTCCATTTTCCTGCGGTGCATTTATTTCCTGCTCAGTGGGTTACATGAGCAATGTTGAGGTTTTCTATGAGGTACCACTTACTGAGTCAGGTTTATACTTTCTGTATCATTAATGCTTTGTAAAGAATGTCATTCTAGGAAGTGCCCACATAGTTACAATACACATGTGAGTAAAGTGTTTCATTAACACTTTAGCGTCTTATGGAACAAACTCAGAAGAGCATAGGTATAAATGATCAAAATTCCAAATTAATGTAAATACAGCTAATGAGTTTTTAGGCCATTTTTAAAATACTTTATTCTTTAGCTATTGCTTTGGACTGGTTCTCTTAATGTTGATAAAGATCACTCTAGGTCATACTTGAAACACAATCAGTTTGATTCTCAGCTGAAAGAATTGATTTCTTAACAAGTAAAGTAGTAGTTAATTTAGTCAAGCCCCCACTGGTGTCACATTAATCAAAGTCAAACTGATTTTGTGCAGGGATGGAAAAAAAAAAAACTGGATCATTGGTTTCCCCTGTCACTACAGGAAAAGTTATGTGGCTCAACATAGCCTGGCAAACTAAAAGAAGAAAGAATGCAAATGAAGTGTATGATTTAGAAATGTTAGATAAGATGGTGGCATGTGTTATGTAATGCTTCTTAATGAGAATTTTATAAATGATTTATTACACTGATGTAGATAAAAACATATTTGAAAAGCGGAAAAGTCAAAGCAGTTGACATCTTTGATGAGCAACGGATATATATTTTACTTTCACTATATAGAAAGCAGCCTTCAACTATATAGAATATACTGTCATGACCAATGATTGATGCTTTATAATCCTGGGAACAGAGGCTGTTTTTAAAATGGCCATGGAACTTTTGAATATTGTTTTTGTACTACTAATTGACTTAAAAATAACAGATTTAAATTAAATCAAGCAGAAATGCCATTACAAGACAAAAACAAGGCTTAGGTAAATGTTTTACTTTTAATAGTTTGTCTGAACAAACACTGAGATTAAATTTCAACATAAAACACAAACAGTTTGAAATAATTTAGAGAACAGCACATACTTTTCACAAATGCATTGCAAACAATTTAGTGCCCAGGTCCTGAGGCATGAGGGAGAATTTTAATAGTATTTATAAGCATGAATTTACTTTAAAATATAGATGGTTGACATTTGGCATGTTTTCTTCTTCTTTCATATTCTTATATCCAAGTGTTTCTAAGATTTTCTAAAAGGAAGCTCATTATTTGAATCAGTCAGTTGCTAAGTGGTGCAACATGAGGGTTATGGTTAAAATTCTACCTATCATGTTAATGTTGAAAAGATAGTGTTCAACCCTGGCTGGATATTTGGGTCTACATGAGAAATTCTAGAAAGAACCCTATACTCTTTGTATCATATAATCAAATACCTATTTAAAGCCTCTGCCAGAAAGATAAAAATGGAGCAACTGGTAGAGACTGTACCTCTTAAGTCTGACTTTCCTCTGCTTGCTTGTCTTTCTTTGTTTCATTGTTTTTACACTTTCGTATGAAAGCCAAAGAAACAATTAATCCTGACAAGTAGTGTGGGTGATTTTCAGGATCTGGGTGCCTATTATAATTTTAAGAGGATCTGGTAAATTGACTCTTTTAGGTATAAATACAGTGTTTTATGGCAATGTAGAAGCTTGGCAATGCTCTGAACATTGTTAATCTGCAATAACTACTGGAAGTTAGGAGTTTTAACAGGAGCTCTGTTACAATGACTTCTAGATTGGGGCATCTCTGACTTCTGAGTCCTATAATTCTGTTGGAGTTCTTAAGTAACAGCTATGTGTATCAGTTTAAGTTAAGGAGATACTTGATAACATATTTTAATATAGAGTTTCACTTGGCATCTTTATAAAAGCCAGGTGAAAAAGCTTTCTCTAACTATGATTACATGAAAATTGTCTTGGCCTGAACTTTCAAAAAATGCGAAAAATTTATTATCTTTTATTAAGGTGTTAATCCTTACCACATTACCCTATGGTGGTCTGAAACAATCCACTAGTGATAAAACATTGCTAGAAGTCAAAAGTTAATAGTAAAAATTAATGAAACAAGTTATTAATATAAAGTAAAGCAGAGTGATGGGAAGAATCAAGGATTTTTCCCTAAGGGGTAACATGTTTTCTTATGGAAGAATTAAAATTTTTAAAGAAGTAGAGCATAAAACAGACTAGAAACCCTTATATTTTTACCCCCCATATTAAGATAAAAATCTCTCCTACAGTCATGAGTGATGAATGTATTCTCTAGTTTTAAAAAGGTGAGGGGTAATTAAACAAAAATGGCAACTCATTAGCATAAATGAAAACAAGTACTGTATCTACCATGCCAACCAGCAATTTGTATTAATTTTATATATAAATATTTCTGAGATTATCTGGGGAAAATAATGGCCCTGAAAGAAAGGGGTAAAGAGTTTGCAGCTCTTTGCCTTTGCTAGGGGGAGGAATTGGAATTGTTTCTCTCCAACGTAGAATTTTAGGGAAAGATGGGTTCCACCTTCCATCAAGGATCCCAGTGTCTACTCGACTTCAGTTGACAGACTGAGGCTGGCTACGTAAAATAAAAGACTGTTACTAAGAAAGAAGGAAAGGATTGACACTGGTGAGACATCTTCCACATTGAGTTGATTCCAGAGCTCCATAGGAGGCAAAGAGGAAAGGTTATTGTATTAGTCAGGGCTCCTCAGGGAAACAGATCAAATAGGGGATGCGTATATATCATATAATACAATGGAACTTGAGACTATCTGGTGAGAACTAAGTATAAAGAAGAGAAGACGTTCAAGGACTGAACTCTGGAGAATATTGAGAGGAGGATCCAGCAATGGAAACTGAGGAAAAAAGAAAATGCCAGAGAATGAAGAGGAAAACCAGTAAAGCACTCTTCACAGGAAGTCAAGCAAAGCTAGTGTTTGACAACAATGCTATTCTCCATTAAGTTAATACTCTTGAGAGACTGAATAATTGAGACACAAATATGGCAAGATAGAGGTTGTTAATGACCTTGATTCGAACAGTTCATGGGAGTAGTGGAGACAGACGTCTGATTGGAGTGGATTAAAGAAAAAGCGGGTAGAGTAGATACCCTTTGCCAAAGAAGCAGATAAATGGACGGAAGCTGAAGGGGCAAATAGAATTAAGGAAGTTTGTTTTGTTTGTTTGCTTTGCAAGGTGAGAGTCTTTTTACAACATGTTTACATGCAAATGGAAATGATCCAATTGAGAGAGGAAAACTGAAGAGGAAGCAGCAAAGGAGGGGAAAATTCCAGTTGCAAAGTTCTTAAATGTTGGTGCTGGAATTCAGTGCGCTGTGAAGAGTTGGTTTATATGGACCAAGGAGATTTCATCCCTCATATTAGGAGGAAAAATGAAGTGAATGGGTCAGTTACAAGTAAGTTAGAAGATTTGGTGATGGGAAAATCAGGAGATGTTCTTCTGATTACTTTTAGTTTTTCAGTTAAACAGAAGTCAAGGTCATCATATGAGAGTGAAGGACGGTGGAAGGAGGGAGTATTGAGGGAGGCTTTGAGGCCAGAGGAAAATACGTAAAACAAATTTTTGAGAGAGTGGGAAAATGAATTTGTTATGGAAACATAGAAGGATGCTGGGTGGTGGGGAGGTCTTTCTAAGATTTGTGGTCATAAATTTAAGAAAATGAAGGCATTTCTTAAAATTCTTTCCTAAAAGTTTACATAAAATCAGTTAATTCAAATGAATGTTTTTCTTTGACTACTTCCAGCTGCTGAGGTGCAAGTAGGGAGCAGATAGAAAGTTGGGTTTTAACAGAGTTTCAGTTTGTTAGGTGAACACAGGAGAAAAAGAGGATAAGGAATATTGGAGTTACTAAAGCTAGTGCATGGAGTAGTCGTGGAGAGGTATACAGTGAACTAGTTGCTAAACCTTAAATGCAAGGGAGTGATTGAGAAAATAGTAGATAACTGTAAAAGACTTATTGCAAATAGAATCATGCTTGGCAGAGTCACTCAGATCTACAACTTTGTGGAGACTATGTCTGGTTGAAATAGTTCACAGCCTGGCCTTAGGGGGATTGAAACAATATATCATAACCATCAATTAGCTTAGCATTTTATTTTTCATTTTTTAGTACTTCTACCCTAAAAAGACACATATTGTCTGGAACAAAGCAAAAGCACAATCTGTGTTTTCAGGGAATTGACATTCTACCAGAGACCTGGTAGAAAAGATACTAGATGTAGAGAAAGATTCACAATTTATTTTTTTTGTTGTTGTTTAAATGGGAACAACAGGCACATCAAGTTGTTTCTCAGCTCTTGTAGAGCAGAATGTAAATATTTATGGAATATAAACCCCTTTTAACAGTAGCCCAGTTGGGCTTCTACAAATATGGAGTTCTCTTTCAGATACTTCAAAATACTAGGCCAAAAAAAAAAAAAAAAAAGTTCCTAGCAGTAAAGTTGTAATATATCAGACATAAGCAGAAATTCCCAAGACTTCACATACGTAATCTGTGATCAGCACAAAATGATGGTTTTTTTCCTCTTTATCTTCTTCTTCTTTCTCCTCCTTTTCTTCCTCTTTCGTAATGATTAGGTAACTAAGAAAGTGATAAAATAGTATCTAGGCAAATCAATAATTGTCTCTTTCCTTCTTTTCTTCTTCATCCCTTTCTTTCCTTCTTTAATTTTTTAAGTTAATGACTGTATTGCTTTTATAAAAGTAACATATGTTCATTATAAATATACAAGCAATAGAGGAAAGTCCAGAGAAACATGTAATAACTCAAATTTCACCTACTAGACATAATCATTATAATTTTGAAGGTTACGATTCTGGAAATCTCTCTGTGTTTATATGTATAGGTAAAAGGATGGATAGCAAGAACTGATAGCCAAGTTATTTTTCTTCATCCTTAAAGTTGGGGAAAAACAATTTCACTAAAGCACTTTCTTACAGATGATCATTTATAAATTTTTCCAGGAATTTCTCGTGTCCTTTCAATATACAGGTTTATTTTTTACCTCAATATCGGTGAAGCTTTGTTGTACCATATCTTTTAATACATTTTCTGTCACATTTATTGTCTTACCTATCTTTTCTATCTTCTGTATATATTACTTTTAAATAATTGTTTTTGTTTCTGTGTCTTTTATCTGCATTACTGTGATGTTTCTCAAATGTTTCCTCTAGTGAGTAATTTAGTTTTCAACCTTGTCTATTCATTTCTTTGATCTTATTATTTTATTAATGATATTCTTTTGCCACTCACTCTGTTTTATTACTTCTGCAATCTTTCTGTTTCATTTTGTTATTTCATCACCTGGTTCTAGAGCTATAGTAATTGAATTCATATCCATATAACTCATTTTATTAAAGTATTTGTGGTGAATTTTCATAAAAATATTTTTAAAAGGTAAGAGCCACTATTTAAATAAGTGCTCTTATCTGATCATAATTGCAACTATTGATTGGATTCGCCTAGTTTGAGTACTTTTTATTAATAATGTATGTGTTTATAAAGTCCTTAAAAAATTTACTGAGAATGAAGGGCTCCACTCAGCAAAATGAACTGTTAAAATTGAACTAAACAATTAATTAATGTAAGTATATATACAGAAAAATTCATAAATAGTGTACAGATACACCTACATATTGTTTTGGAGTTAATTGTCAAGGTGTTGGTAAAACCCTTAACCACAAGATTCTAAGAATATCTCTAGCTGGTTGTAGTTGGATTATCTCTCTGTTATGGTCTTAGTTCCCATCTATTTAGTAATCTTCTGTATCCTATGCTGACCCATGCTGGCTCATGCTGGATTGGTCATTTTCAAAACTAAAAGCAGATATAATTGTAGAAAACAATTAGTCTGTCTACCATTGTTCAAGTTTAGACTTTGACGTGTTACCTCTTCATTAACTCAATTTCTGTAGTTTAGTATCTGTTCTATTTGACACGACACAGCTACACATAATATGGAGTGCTCCAGAGAGTTGCAGTACTCTTCTAGTACACAAATTGCAAAAATTTCTTGGCACAAAATGTCCTCCCTTTCTTCTCCTGTTGTGGAAGAGGTTTTATAGACTTTCTTCATGTGGGTGGGAAGGGACTAATTCTCCATCTGGATGCCACCTGTAAAATTCACACTTTTTCTCAGAAGAAATTTAATCTATAGCACCAAACTATTTCATGTTCTTTTAAGCAGTCCTTGTCACCATTCTCTAGGAGCTAAGTGTGGAGATTCTTTACAGGATGTTTTCCTAAGATGTTGCTGTTTATAGAATCAATGCCACTTGTATTTAAAATTCATTTAACGAAGTAAACATCAACCATCAGTTGTAAAGTGTCCCATGCAAAAATAATCATGCTATGTCTTCATGAGGGACAACTTGTTGAAAGTACATTATGATACATTTGATTTTGATTATGTATTTGGTTGTTATCTAGCCTGTCAGTCAACTCACTCCCACCTAACTGGAGGACTAAAAAGTTAAGTGTCCCTGGCAGAGCAATGGAACAGTGCAGTGTTTCTCAAATTGTTTGAAGGCTATCTGTACTAGGATCACCAGAGAGAGGTTAGACCAGATCTTAGACCCCAATTCCCCAGACCTCTGGGAATTTGACTTAAGAACATGCAGTGTTTGAGAACCATAGTATTAGTATTAATGGTAGTAGTAGTATTAGAAGTTGCCTGTAAGATCACTAGAGAAAGTGAACTTTATTAAACAACATAGAAAAACTGCACAATAAATTTATATCTGTGCAAAGAGGAATATATACACCATCACTTGGTTATGCTTTCAATGTTTTAAAATCATTCCTGGCTGAAACCTAGGGTTTCTGAACAAATTCTTAAAGGACTACCTTGGAGGTGGAAGACTGAGTATTAGTGGACTGTCCTGGTCAAGGAGGCAATGGCAGTAACAAAAATGCACAAAATCTTATTATCACTCCCAGATAAAGTGGTTTACTAATTATTATACTTCGAGAGCTAGCCATGGCAGAGGTTTCCTAAATTCTGTCTCAAGTACCCACTGCCAAGAGCAGTTGTCATCTTTTAGGAGGAAGATGTCATATAGTGTTCTCCTGACTCTCAAACTTGTTTAATCTGGGATATGTACATTGCAGTAGAAAAGACTGTGGATATTTCCCAGCTGGGTAGGAGGAAGAAATTTTTTCTGGTGTTGCCAGTTACCTGGTATTCTGCTTATCCTTAAACTTGATTTATACCCACATTCCAGCTTACTTGTGGGTAAGCTTAGCCATATTGCGTTGATGATGCACTCTGTCACAGCCTCAGCAAGTATATAATGTAGATTCAGTAATGGGTATAGATCCTTATTTCTACTCTTAAAATCTTCTTTACTGAGGCATGATTTACATTTAACAACATGCATCCATTCTAGTTTGATGAGTTTTGACAAATGTATACACTTATGTAACCACCACCACTATAAAGATATAGACCCTTTTTATTATCCAAAAATGTTCTTTCTGCCACTTTGTAGTCACACCTCTCTCCTACCAGCCACAACCCCAGGCAATCAATGATGTGTGCTCTGTCATTACAGATTAGTTTTGCTTATTTTAGAGTTTCATATAAATGGAATGATACAGTGTGCCTATCTTTTTTTGCTCAGAAAAATGTTTTTGAAATTCATTCATGTAATTGCATGTAATGATAATAACAATACTCTATTCTCTTATCATTGCCTAGTAGTATTCCATTGAAAGGATGTATCACAACTGGGCTATCCATTGACATACTGATGGATAGTTGGGTTTTTTTCCAGTTTTGTGGCTACTATGAATAAATCTGATATGGTTATTGTGGCAGGGTTGGCATATGATTATTACTCTTGGAATTGTTGGGTCATATGGCAGACATGTGTTCAACGTTATAAGAATCTGCCAAACAGATTTACAAAGTAGTGGCAATATTTTACTTTGCAACTAGCATTGTATGAGAATTCCACTCGTTCTAGCCTTTTAATTTTTAGCCATTCTAATGACTTTGTAATGGTAACTAAATGTGGTTTAAATGTGCATTTTTTGATGTACTTAGTGGCCTTTGTATTTTTATGAAGTGTCTGTTCAAATCTTTTGACAGTTTTTTAAATGAGTTTTTGTCCTCTTGTTGCTAAGATTCAGGTTATTAAGTTCTGGACACATGTATGTATACAAACACATGTAATTATAGTCTATATTTCTATATTAACGAATTGATATAATTTATCACTTTTGGGTTTTTTTGCAAAGTTTTCTCCTTTTAGGAGATTTTTTACATTTAGGTCTGTAATTGATAAGTTAATTTTGTATATGATCTGAGGAAAGGTCAGAGTTTATGTATTCATATGCATATCTTGATGTTCCATACAATATGTTGAAAACATTTTTCTTCCTATTAAATTATCTTGGCACTTTGTCAGAAGCTAATTGATCATATATGTGTCTATTTCTGACATTCTGTCATCTATTGATCAATACATCTACGGTTAACACCAATACTATGCTGTCTTGATTATTGTAGTGTTTCTGTGAGTCTTCAGATCAAATCATGCAACTTAGTTCTTTTCAAATGATTTTGGCTATTGTGGATCCTTTACATTTTAATATGTATTTCACAATCAATTTGTAGATTTCATAAAAAAGTCTCCTAGGGTTTTGTTTTGTAAATAAGGGTGTTTTAGTATAGTAAAAAAAATATAAAATTTGCTATTTTAACCATCTTTAAGTATTCAATTCAGTGGCATTAATTACATTTGCATCGTCGTGTCACCAATATTTCCAGAATTTTCCATCACCCCATACAGAAACTCTGTACATATTAAGCAATAACTCCTCATTCCCTCCAGCCCCTGGTAATCTGTAATCTACTTTATTTCTGTGAATGAGCCTATTCTAGGGAAATTTTCCAATTCTAGGTATTTATACACCATATAAGTGGAATCATACAATATTTTCTTTTTGCATCTGGCGTATGCCACCTAGTGTAATGGTTCTTAAAATGTTTTTTATTTTTAATTTTTGTAGGTACATAGTAAGTGTATATATTTATGGGGCATGTGAAATACTTTGATACAGGCATGCAATGTATATCGTCATAGTAAATGGGATATCCATCCCCTTAAGATTTATCCTTTGTGTTAGAAACAATCCAATTATATTATTTTAGTTATTTAACAATGTACAATTAAGTTATTATTGACTATAGTCACCCTTTTGTGCTATCAAATACTAGGTCTTATTCATTGTTTCTAATTATTTTTTTCACCCATTAACAATTCCCACTCCCTGCCCCACCACATCCCCACTACCATTCCCAGTTTCTGGTAACCATCCTTCTGCTCTCTCCATGAGTTCAATTGTTTTAATTTTTAGTTCCCACAAATAAGTGAGAACATGCAAAGTTTATATTTCTGTGCCTGGCTTATTTCACTTAACATAATTACCTCCAGTCTCATCCATGTTGCTGCAAATGACAGGATCTTATTCTTTCTTATGGCTCCAGTACTCCATTGTGTATATGTACCACATTTTCTTTATTCATTCATCTGTTGATGGACACTTAGGTTGCTTCCAGATATTGGCTATTGGCTATTGTGAACAGTGCTGCAACAAACATGGGAGTGAAGCTATCCCTTTGATATACTGATTTCTTTTCTTTTGGGTATATACCCAGGGGTGGGATTTCTAGATCGCATAGTCACTCTATTTTCAGTTTTTGAGGAATTTTCACACTGTTCTCCATAGCAGTTGTAATAATTCACATTCTCACCGACAGTGTACCAGGGCTCCCTTTTCTTGACATTCTCTCCAGCATTTGTTACTGCTTGTCTTTTGGATATAAGCCACTTTAACTGGTGTGAGATGATATATCATTGCAGTTTTGATTTACATTTCTCTGATGATCAGTGACATTGAGCACCTTTTCGTATGCCCGTCTGCCATTTGTCTTCTTTTGAGAAATGTCTGTTCAGATATTTTCCCCTTTTTAACATCAGATTATTGTATTTTTTCCTATAGAGTTTTTATAGCTACTGCTATATTTTGGTTATTAGTTTCTCATCATATGGGTAGTTTATAAATATCTTCTCCTATTCTGTGGGTTATCTTTTCACTTTGTTGATTGTTTCCTTTAGTATGCAGAAGCTTTTTAACTGATGTGATCCCATTTGCCCATTTTTGCTTTGGTTGCCTGTGCTTGTGCAGTATTATTCAAAAAATCTTTGCCTAGTCCAATGTCCTGAAGATTTTCCCCAATGTTTTCTTATAGTAATTTCATGGTTTGAGGTCTTAGATTTAAGTTTTTAATCCCTTTTGATTTGATTTTTGCATATAGCAAGAGATAGGGGTCTAGTTTCATTCTTTTGCATATGGATATCCACTTTTCCCAGCATCATTTATTAAAGAGATGATTTTTCTCCAATATATGTTCTTGGCAGCTTTGTTGAAAATAAGGATTTGTTTCTGGGTTATCTATTCTGTTCCATTGGTCTAGGTATCTGTTTTTATGCCAGCACCCTGCTGTTTTATTTGTTATTGCCCTGTAGTATAATTTAAAGTCAGGTAATGTGGTTTCTCCAGTTTTGTTCTTTTTGCTCAGGATATCTTTGGCTAGTTGGGGTCTTTTGTAGTTCCATATAAATCATAGGATTACTTTTTCTACTTTTGTAAATAATGTCATTGGTATTTTGACAAGGATTACATTGAATCTGTAGATTGCTTTGGGTAGTATGGACATTTTAGCAATATTGATTCCTTCAATCCTTGAACATGGAATGTCTTCATTTTTTTTGTATCTTCAATGTCTTTTATCAGTGTTTTATAATTTTCATTGTAGAGTTTTTTTCAGTTCTTTAAGTTAATTCCTTTGTATTTCGTTTTATTTGTAGCTATATTAAATGGAAGAACTTTTTTTCTTTTTCAGATTGTTTCATGTTGGCATACACAAATGCTACTATTTATATTGATTTTTTATTCTGCATCTTTACTGAATTTGTTTATCAGTTCTAACAGTTTTATGGTGAAGTGTTTAGGCTTTACCAAATATAATATAATACCATCTGCAAGTAAGGACAATTTGATTTTTTCCTTTCCAATTTGGACACCATGTATTTCTTTCTCTTTTCAAACAGAAAACAGCTCTAGCTAGGAAGGACTTCAGTACTATGTTGAATACCAGTGGTGACATTGGAGTTCTTTGTTGTGTTCTAGAGCTTAGAGGAAAGGCTTTCAGTTTTTTCCCATTCTGTATAACACTAACTGTGGGTCTGTTATACATGGATTTTACTCTGTTGAGGTATGTTCTTTCTATATACAGTTCTTGAGGGTTTTAATCATAAGAAGATGTTGAATTTTAGCAAAAGGTTTTTCAGCATCAATCGAAATGATCATATAGTTTTTATCCTTCATTCTGTTGATATGATATATCACATTGATTGATTAGCATATGTTGAAACTGGGATAAACCCCACTTGGTCATGATGAATGATCTTTTTAATGTATTGTTGAATTCAGCTTGCTAGTATTTTGTGAGGATTTTTCTATCAACATTCGTCGGGGATATTGGCCTATAGTTTTCTTTTTTGATGTGTCTTTGTCTGATTTTGGTATCAGGATAATACTGGATTTATAGAATGAATTCGGAAGTATTTATTCCTCCATTTTTGAAATAGTTTGAGTAAGATTGGTATTAGTTCTTTACATGTCTGGTGGAATTCAGCACTGAAGCCATTGGTTCCCAGGCTTTTCTTTACTGGCAGGCTTTTCATTACAGCTTCAATCTTGTTACTTTGTTATTGGTCTGTTCCATTTTTGGGTTTCTTCATGGTTCAATCTGGGTAGGTTGTTTGAGCCTAGGAATTTATCCGTTTCCTCCACATATTCCAATTTATTAGCATATAATTGCTCATAGTAGTCACTAATGATCCTTTAAATTCCTGTTGTATCAGTTGTAATGTCTTCTTTTTTCTCTCTGATTTTATTTGTTTGGATCGTCTCTTTTTTTTTTTTTCTTAGTCTGGCTAAAGGTTTGCCAATTTTGCTTATCTTTAAAAAAAACAAACTTCTGGTTTTGTTTATCTTTTATGTTTTCTTCATTTCAATTTCATTTATTTCTGCTCTGATGTTTATTTTTTTCTTCTAATAATTTGGGGTTTGGTTTGTTCTAGCTTTTCTAATTTTTTAAGATGCATCATCAGGCTGTTTAAGTTTTTCTTTTTTTGATATAGGCACTTAAAGCTATATATTTTCCTCTTAGTACTGCTTTTGCTGTATCTTATGAGTTGTGGTATGTTGTGTTTCCATTATCATTTATTTCAAGAAATTTTTCAGTTTCCTTCTTTATTTCTTCATTGACCCACTGGTCATTCAGGAGCATATGATTCAATTTTCATGTTTTTTTTTTTAGTGTACAAAATTCCTGTTGTTACTGATGGGTAGTTTAATTTCATTGTGGTCAGAGAATATGTTTTATATTATTTCAATTTCAATTGTTTTTGAATGTTTTAAGACTTGTTTTGTAGCCTGACATATGGTCTGTCTGTGAGAATGATGCTGAGTTGAAGAATTTTTATTCTGTAGCCATTGGATGAAACATTCTGTAAATATCTATTAGATGCGTTTGTTCTATAGTCTGGATTAAGTCTGATGTTTCTTTGGACAGATTTCCCAGGCAGAAAATCAACAATGTTGAAAGTGGGATGTTGAAATCTCCAGCTACTATTGTACTGAGGTCTGTCTCTCTCCTTAGCTCTAATAATATTTACTTTATATATCTGGGTGTTCAAGTGTTGGGTACATATCTATTTACAATTGTTATATCCTCTTGCTGAATTGACCCATTTGCCATTGTATAACAATGTTGTCTCTTCTTATAGTTTTTGTCTTTAAATTTATTTTATGAGATATAACTGTAGCTACTCCTGTTCTTTTTTGGTTTACATTGCCATGAAATATTCCATTTATTTGTTTTTAGTCTATGTGTATCTTTATAGTTGAAGTATGTTTTTTATAAGCAGCAGATCATTGGGTCTTTTTTTAAAAATTCATTCAGCCATTCTATGCTTTTTGATTACAGAGTTTAGTTCATTTACATTTTATGTTGTTATTGACAAGTAAGGACTTTCTGTTGTTTTTCTTTGTCTTGTTGTACTGTTTGTGTCTTAAAAAGTTGTTGTTATTTTTGACTGGTTCATCATTTAGTCTTTTGACTTAAGATAAACATAGTTTACACACCACAATTACAGTGTTATAGTATTCTGTGTTTTTCGGTCTGCTTTCTACTATCTGATTTTTGTACCTTCAGATGATTTCTTATTGCTTATTGTCCTTCTCTTTCAGATTGAAGAACTCCCATTAACCTTTCTTTTAGGGCAGGTCTGGTATTGATGAAATCCTTCAGCTTTTGTTTGTCTAGGAAAGTCTTTATTTCTCCTTCATGCTTGAAGGATATTTTCACAGAATATACTATTCCAGGGTAAAACGTTTTTATCCTTCTGTACTTTAAGTATGTCATGCCACTCTCTTCTGGCCAGTAAGGTTTCTACTGAAAAGTCTGCTTACAGATGCATTAAAGTTCTATTGTGTGTGTGTTTTTTTTCTCTTGCTGCTTTTAGGATTCTTTATCTTTGAATTTGATTATTAAATGCCTTTAGGTAGTCTTCTTTGGGTAAAATCTGCTTGGTGTTCTATAACCTTCTTGTACTTGAATATTTATATATTTCTCTAAGTTTGGAAGTTCTTTTATATTATCCCATTGAATAAACTTGCTACCCTCATCTCTTTCTCTACTTCCTCTTTAAGGCCAAGAACTCTTAGATTTGCCCTTTTGAAGCTATTTTCTAGATTCTGTAGGCTTACTTTATTATTTTTTATTCCTTTTTATTTTGTCTCCTTTGACAGTATATTACCAAGGAGCCTGTCTTCAAGCTCATTAATTCTTTCTTTTTGTTGAGCAGTTATGTTATTAAGAGACTCTAAGACATTCTTCAATACATCAGTTGCATTTTCAACTATAGAATTTCTGCTTGATTCTTTTTAATTATTTCAATCTCTTTGTTAAATGTATCTGATAGAATTCTGAATTCTTCTTTGTGTTATGTTGAATTTCTTTGAGTTTCCTCGAAAGAGCTATTTTGAATTCTCTGCCTGAAAGGCCACATATCTCTGTTTCTCCAGGATTGGTCCCTGGTCCCTTATTTAGTTTGTATGGTGAGGTCATGTTTTCCTAGATGGTCTTGATACTTCTGGATGTTTGTCTGTGTCTGGGCATTAAAGAGTTGGGTATTTATTGTAGTCTTCTCAGTCTGAGCTTGTCTATGCTCTATGCTCATTCTTCTTGGGAAGGCTTTCTAGATATTCAAAAGAGACTTGGGTTCCAAGCCGAGTAATACAGACTCATAAAGATACCACCTAGGTGGTCTTAGATAAGGTCTGGAAGAATTCCCTGGATTACCAGGAAGAAATTCTCGTTATCTTCTGCTACTTTCTTTTAAACAAATGAAGTCTTTCTTGCTGTGCTGAACCACCTGGAGCTGGGGATGGCATGATTCAAGCACCCCTGTGGCCACCACCACTGGGACTATCCCAGGTCAGACCTGAAGCCAGCACAGTACTGAGTCTCACACAAGGTCCACTATATTTGCTACCTGACTACGACCTATATTCTCTCAAGATTCTAGGGATCTACAATCAGTAGGTGGGGAAGCCACAGATTTTGTCATTTCCTTCAGGGCAGTCAGTTTCCCCAGAACCCATGCAGGTCTAGAGATGCTGTCTGGGAGCCAGGGATTAGAATTAAAAAAAAAACTTAGAAATCTACCTGGTGTTCTGTTGCATTGTGGCTAAGCTGGTACTCAGACCATAAGACAAAGCTCTTTCCATTCTTCTTTCCCCTTTCCACAGGCAGAGAAGCCTTTCCCTGTTGCCACCACCACCACTAGCCCATAGGGAGTTTTTCCAGGCCACCACTAAGATTCACTTAAGGCCCAGGGGCTCTTCAGTCAGATTGTGGTCAATGCTGCCAGGCCTGGGGCTCACTCTTCAGGGAAGTGGGCTCCCCTTTGGCCTAGGGCAGGTCTATAAGTGCCATCCAATAGCCTATTCCTGGATTCAGGGATCCCTAAGAGCCCACTTGGTGCTCTGCGCTACTATGGCTGAGCTGGTAGCTGAAGCCAGCATGTCTCAGAGTCTTACCCAAGGCCAGTGGTATACCACCTGAGTATTGCTGTTGGTGATTCAGGGTTCGGGGGCTCTTTAGTCAGAAGGTGATGAATTCTGCCAGTACTTGTTCATTCCCTTCAAGGAAGATGTTTCTCTTCTGGCCGAGAGTGTGTCTAGAAATGTCATCTGGGAGGTAGGGCCTAGGATGCAGGCCTCACTACTCTGCCCACTGATCTACCCTATGTTGGTTTAGCTGGCATCCAAGGTGCAAGACAAAGTCTCTTTGCTCTTCTGTCTCCTCTCCTCAAGTAGAAGGAAGGAGTCCTTTTATTGCTGCAAGCTTTCCTGCCTGTGGTTGTGGGAGGAGTTGCACAAGCACTCCCCTAGCTGGCCCATCTGGTGTCTTTCTAGGCCATGTGCCACCCCAATCCACTGGCTCTAAGTCCAGCACAGCATCAGGACTTCCCTAAGAATTGCAGTCCTTGTGTCCTCGACTGCCTTTCAAGTTCACCTAGGATCCCAGAGCAGTTTAGCCTGCAGTAGCAAGACTTGCAGAGAAACTCAGGTTCAGACCATTGAGATGGGCACTTCCTCTCTGGTTAGGTCTGGTCCAAATGCTCCCTTCATGTGTGGGCACTGGCTGAGTTCATCACGCTTTTGCTTTCCACTGTGACAGGGCAAAACTCAGTTCAATGCAAAGTCCCCCAGTCACTGTGCTCTCCCTCCCCCAAGTGTACAGATTCTCTTTCTATGCCATGTAATTATTTCTGGGGAATGTGAGAGGGGTGGTCTCAGTGATTTAAGCCTGTCTTTCCTACCCATTTAGTTCCTCTGTCAGCAATATAAACCAGGTACTGTGATTGCTTACCTGATTTTTGTTTTTTATGAAGGTGCTTTTATTGTGTGTAGTCAGTTGTTAAAATGTGGTGTTCCTTTTAGGTGAGACAATTTGTGGAGACTTTTATTTGGCCATCTTGCTCCACCCTCAGCATAATATTTTCAAGATTCATCTATGTCGTAGCATATGTCAGAACTCCATTCCTTTTCATGGCTGAATGACATTCTATTGTATGTATATACCACATTTTGTTTATCCATTTACCTGTTGATTGACTCTTGGGTTGTTTTTAACTTTTGCCTATTGTGAATTATCCAGCAATGATAAAAATATCTGTATGAGTCCCTGTTTTTTATTATGTATATGCCTACAAATGGAATTCTTGGGTCATATAGGCCTAGTGGGATTTTATTTCTGATTATACTGAGTTTATAGAAAAATCTGCAGTGAATTCGTATCTTAAATTTTAACCTCAAGTCGTCTGATCCATGAGCACTGTATATCTCTGTCTTAGTCAGCTTGGGATGCCATAACAAAATATCATAGACTGGGTAGCTGAAATAATAGAAATTTATTTTCTCATAGTTACGGATGTTGGGAAGTCCAAGATAAAGGTGCTGGGAAGGTAAGTTTTATTTTGAAGTCCCTTCTCTTAGCTTGCAGGTGGCCACCATCTCACTGTGTGCTCACATGACCTCTTTGTGTACACACACACACACACACACACACATACACACACACACACACACACACGGAGAGAGAGATGGCACGCTCTCTGGTGTTTCTTCTTATAAAGACACTAATTAATTATGAGGGCCCATCCTCATGGCCTCATGTAAACCTAATTACCTATCAAAGTACCCATTTATAATACTGTCACATTGAGGGTTTCAACATATAAACTGAAGTAGAGAAGGGGACAAAATTCACTCCATAGAAATATCCTTATTTAATTTTTCTTTAATTTTTCTTGGTAATAATTTGTAATTTTTAATGAACTGCCTGTGCCCACCTGTTGTTAGATTTAATCCTTAGTTTTACATGATTTTTGATGCTGTTGTGAATATATTTTGTTTTATTTCCAATTGCCTATTGTTAATATATAGAAATACAAATGGTTGTTTTCTATTGAACTTGTATCCTGCAATCTTGCTCAATTAACTTATTAGATTTAGTGGCTTTTTGTAGATTTTTAAGATTTTCTACATGCACAATACACTCTTTCTGAATAAAGACAGTTTTATTTCTTCCTGTCTTCCTTATGTGTCATTTTTTCTTTTTGCTTTATTGAACTGGGACTTGCAGTATAATGTTCAATAAGAGCAATGAGAGTAGACATTCTTGCCTCATCCCCAACCTTGTCAGGAGAGCATAAGAGCTTAGGACATTGTATTTGCATTTGTATATTTGTAACTAAGCAAGGCACTGTGATCAGTTTATTGGCTACAGTTTTTTTCCTTACTCAGATTCTGTAATCACTGGTTATAGTAGCTTTAGGCACTTTAACTCTGTTTCAATTAGAGAAGTTCTTATTTATCTATAATTTTATATATTTAGCTGCTGCATATTTTTTTCAGATTCCATAGCTTAAAATCATTTTAAAATTACTGGTATAATGTCATGCTATTGACTTTTATTAAAGTTCAAAGCAGCCACTGAACCTCACTGATGAAAACACTGTGTATTATGGAACTTAATTTTTCTTGGGGAAGGGCCATGAGAGAAATTCCTACTGAAATTTTAGTACTAAGGCTACACTGAGTATCAGCATATAAAAATATAGACCATACACTTTCCCTCTAACATAATGAGATTTTAAAAATCAACTCTGTTTCCATTTTTGCTTTAGTAGAAGTTCACAGTTAAATGTTTTGCATAATTGTGGCCATCATGATTTTTTTATTTGCATCCTTTTTTCCCAGTATTTGCATATGTTTTGGTTTATTTTAACAATCTTAATCTATTTATGTCTTTTGTTGTAAGTCGACTCAAATCCTTTTTAAAAAGGTTTAGATTAAAAATTATAATCTCTTTGAATTAATAAAAAAGCTATTTCATAAAAGGCCCTACCTTTTAAGTAATTAATTTGTGTAAATACCTACTTTTAAGAGGCTTAATGGAAAGCTATAAATGGAAAGTCTCTAGGCTTCGGAACACAGTCTTTTACTGGCCTTGTAAGATAAGCTGCTAAAGAGAAACAATTGGAGTGATGATCTTGTTGAAGTGAAGCAAAAATGCTTCTGACTAAAACAAAGCGAAACAACAAACAGAGATTTGCTGTTTCCTTCAATGATTAAAGAGAAATGATTGAATGTCCTGAAAATAACCTAGTAAGTGGAACAGTAAAGATTCACATGTCTCAGGTTTCTGGGTGGTATGGCAACAAGAAGTTGTGAGGTTACTGCCAGTCATTTCAGTCTATCTTGTGCTGGAGGAAATGGCTTATTTTGTATCACAATAATTAGAATAATATAAAAAATTTAATCCACATAGCAATTATTAGTTAATATTTGTACTACCTAATTACACAAATGTACATTTTACATTTACATTATACATTTTAATTCTTATTGTAAATTGTCTTAAGTTAAACTATATATAATGATGATTTTAAAAATAAAGAATTGACTTCTCTAACACCCTAAATGTTTAATTTTTATATGTAATTATTTGGAGAAAAAAGCAACATTTATTTTTAAAACATTTCTATTGTGTTTAGTATTAAAATGTGCTTTTAATGTTTGAGAGAAATGCTTTGTGCCAAATTCAATGCCAAGTACTTGAAATGCATTATTTTATATTTTTCACAACAATGCTATTGTAGCAATTTCACTTATGCCCATTTACAGATGAGAAATGGAGGCTTGGAAAAGTTTATTAAGTTGCCCAAGGTCACACAGTAAAAGGCAGAACCAGGATTTAAACCATGGCTGTCTTAAGTAGCATCTCCATTGGAAAGCATTTGTCTGTAAGTAACGGTAACGTCAACAATCTTTTATTCCCACATCAAGCTATCTGAAAACAGGGGATTGTTTGCATAGGTTTAGTTGCTTAATAATCCTGTTTAATCCTCTGTTCCACCATTCCCATTGAGTTTGTTTTTCATTTTCATGCTTTTTATTTCACGGTTGCAAAATACATAATGCAAGCCTAGGTATTGTATGTTCAGGACATGATGAAGGGAGAAGTGACAATGCCAGCCATATTTCTCCTTTTTTTTTTTTTAATCATGAAAGCAAAATCTTTTCAGGGAACCCTCTGGTGGGTTTTGCTTGTATCTCATCAGCCAGAACTGTGTCCAGGGCAATGCTTAGCTGCAAGAGAAGCAGGAAAAATAAGTATTTAGTGTTCCTAGCCACAGAAGAAGGTGGCTGGGGCCTGGGAATGAGTATGGTTGGCCAAACAACAGTGTCTGAGGCAATGGATATTAAATAATGCTGATTCTCTTAGGTTAGCACTAGTGGAATATATGTATGAATTTTAAAGGCAATGACTGAAATGGAGACAGTAAAGGAGAATATTTTACTTCTCTTTAAGGTTTTAATCCAATTTTCCGCCCGAGGGCTTCGGGGTGCTTTTCTCTGCCTTCCTATCCCCCATTTTTTTTTTGAGTCAGGGTCTTGCTCTGTCACCCAGGCTGGAGTGCAGTGGCTCACTGCAACCTCTACCTCCTGGGCTCAGGTGATCCTCCCACCTCAGTCTCTGGAGTAGCTGGGACCACAGGCACGCACCACCATGCCTGGCTATTTATTTTTATTTTTATTTATTTTCTGTACATTTTGTAAAGATGGGGTTTTGCCATGTTGCCCAGGCTGGTCTCAAACATCTGGGTTCAAGCAATCTGCCTGCCTTGGCCTCCCAAAGTGCTGGGATCATAGGCATGAGCCACCGTGCCCAGCCCCCAGTAGCCCATTTTTGCAGTGCTATATTATCTTTCCTGAACATGCCCTTGAAGTGGATACAGTAGTGCGTGTCAGGGTGAGAGGATGGCAAGAAAGAGGAACAAGAACCTGACCCCTGCTCTAGTTTAGGATTTAGTGGAAGGCAAGGCAAACGTATAGTTGAAAGGGTACAGGACACTGTGATTAGAGGTGCAGATTTCAGCTTATTTTCAAAGTTATAAAAAGGAGATAAGCTTGAATAATCAGGCATTGTTAATAGAATTTAAGCTGGCAAGCTTTGAAGCAGAGTTATGATTTATTATCTTGTTAACCTTTAACTTAATAATCAGAATAATTTAAAAGATAAGAAAAAAGTTTAAAAAAACAGATTCAGTGATAAAAGATTAAGAGAATTTAGGAAATTTAACGGAAAATAATAACTGTTAGTAAAGTTATAACTTGTATTGGTTAATTAATGTACTTAGGTTTGATTTATTGTACCCTAAGAGCCTCTATGGGATCTCTGTACTTAGGAAGGTTAATATTAATAAGGATAATGACCAAATGACCATCATCATGTCTGGTCCCTCTGGAAATTTTTACAGATGGGATATAGTTTTATATGTTTGGGAGAAGTTTAGTGAGGTCATTCTTTCATTCAAACAATCATATATTAATGCATAGTCTGTGCCAGGAAATACATTTGGCCCCAGTACTATAGAAGTCACAGTTCTTATTCTCAGGAGCTTGTGATCTAGGAGGGAGTTTGTCTTCCATTACCCATTTGACTCTCTCACTTTATGGACCTACTGGTCCTACCTAAATGCCAAAGCCAACTTGACTATTTGAGTGAATTCACTGGTCAAATTGGACAGAAATGCAAAATGAACAGTTAATAAGAATATTCAGGTTGCATGTATATAGTTTGTATGTTCCTGTTATCCAAAATAAAATGTAGAATTACTTACATCAACTAAAATTCTGCTCTTCCTTACTGTACATACTAAGAACTCATTGCATAATGCTGTTGAATTTGACAAAAATCTGGGAATTACTAACTCAAAAAAATATGGCTTTGCTGGCAGAAAAATGATTTGTACAAGAACACCCAATAGAGTACCTAGCACATAATAGGCACATAATTAATAATTTTACAAGCAAATGCTGCTGAATGAAAGCAAATGAATCACCATGTCTCTGTAGATTATTTTACAAGAGTTAGTAGGACTTTTATAACTAAATTCTATCACTTATGAAAATAGGAGACATTTTAGAAAAGTAGTTTGTGTTGGTTACTTAAGTCAAGTTAGGTTCAAATTATTGTGCCTTAAGTGCTTCTATAGCAATTTTGCTGGAAATATGTAAAGTGGTGCATGAAAGTTTTCTCATGGTATATCTAAATCCTCTGTTTAACTGACAAGTTCTTTTGATGTCCTTTGCACAAAATGACGCACGTCATTTCGCATGAAGGGTGATGTGCTAGCTGGCAATTGTTTGCTTCCTGCAGGGTTTTGATGGAAGTGTTTTGTGATAGTAGCTTGATATATATTCCTGACTTTTAGTTTGAAAAGCTCAGTGCATCTGTGTTGTCATTTTTTTTTTTTAAACGAAGAGCTTTAGTGTCTTTAATTTTGAAACACCCAAATTTTAAATCTCTGTGCCAAGATGGAGAGGACCATTCATTAATGTAGTTTTCTGCAGTGTCATTTTCTTTAAATCACAAGATTATTTCCACACACATGCTAATTTTAAAATTGGAATGAGTACCTACTCCCATAGGTATAGAGAAGAAACCTATTTATTTTAGGTGTTGTAATTTGATAAGAAGTTAGTTTAACTCTCTGGCTGTTGAGTAATTTATAATCATGCTTTGTCTGCTCAGGTACATGTGTTGGAGATAAAACTGTAAACAAGAAGGCCGGGCGCCGTGGCTCACGCCTGTAATCCCAGCACTTTGGGAGGCCGAGGCGGGCGAATCACGAGGTCAGGAGATCGAGACCATCCTGGCTAACATGGTGAAACCCCATCTCTACTAAAAAAAATACAAAAAATTAGCCGGGCGTGGTGGCAGGCACCTATACTCCCAGGTACTCGGGAGGCTGAGGCAGGAGAATGGCGTGAACCTGGGAGGCGGAGCTTGCAGTAAGCCGAGATTGCACCACTGCACTCCAGCCTGGACGAGAGAGCGAGACTCTGTCTCAAAAAACAAACAAACAAAAAACAAAAAAAAAAACTGTGAACAAGATATGCTTCTTGTCCTTAAAGAACGTAACACTTAATATACAAATATTGTGGTAGGTGTTGCTATAGGAGAAAACAGAGTTTGGTGGATGCCGAGCAGGAGGTACATGAGCTAGTGGGATGAGAGTCAAGGAGACATTGGGTGTTTGTGTGGGAGCAGCCACATAGTGAAATCACTTTCAGATCTCTACCAGCACGTCTCCTTAGGTGTTTGAGATCTGAAGTCACTTTCAGATCTCAAAAAGAAAAGTTTTTTACACGACTAAAAGCTATAACACCTTTATATTAAATCAGATTCCAAATATGGAAATGATTTAGAATATTGAGAGGTAGCCTGATGGAGTAGTGCTTGAAAGCTCAGACTCTGGAGCCAGACTCATAGGTTCAAATTCTGACTTTGCCATTTATTGATTCTAGGGATTTAGGCAAGATACTTCTTTTACGCGCAGTTTTCCCATTTGAAAAATAGGGATGATATTACCTAACTCATAAGGTTGTTATGAGGATTAGATGAATTAATATTTATTAAAAAAGCTTGAAACATTGCCTGATGTAGCAAGTGCTATATCAATGTTTGTTAAATAAATATTGTCATACAAATATAGAAGCACTTAAACACAATTAAACATTTTCCTGTTGTCTTTGATATGACTTATGTCTTCTGTACTTTTCTAAGTCAATGGAGGTAATTCTAGTGGCCTGAAGCTCATGTTAAATGGTGTTGGGAAATGGGTTAAACATTGATTCACTATGATCTAGTCTCCTCTACTGAGAGGAAATTATTTCTGTATATTAATGTATATGGATATTTTCTATACATTTGTGTATATTAATAATTTTGAACATTTTTCAAGAGGTCTGAGTAACAAATATAAAAGTGCATAGCTTCTCAGAGACCACTACATTTATGATAACAGAAACAGACATTATTATGAAGAAAAGAAAAGTAAAAATAATTTGGGCTTTAGTAACTTTAAGCATCAGTTAACTTCTTTAGTTGTATTTAGGATGTACTCTAACTATAAGAATTAATTCAACCATAATAAAATATGACATAAGGATAAAAAGAATTTTCTTTCTCTTGATTACTAAAGCAGGTTATGATAATAAAAGTGACTTGGGATTACAGCCTGTGTGTGGTGACTCAAGCCTGTAATCCCAGCACTTTGGGAGGCAGAGGCAGGAGGATCATTTGAGCTTAGAAGTTTGAGACCAGGGTTGAAAGACCCTGTCTCTACAAAAAATGTTTTAAAAAAATTAGTCAGGGGTGGTGGCACATGCTTTTAGTCCCAGCTACTCAGGAAGTTGAGGTGGAAGGATCACTTGAGCCCAGGAAGTGTGGAGGCTGCAGAGACTGATGATTGTACCACTGGACTCCAGCTGGGACAATAGAACAAGACCCTGTCTAAAAAAAAAAATGACTTGAATTTTTGAATTTTTATACATTTAACCCTCATGAAAAAGGAATTATATATTTTTGAAAAGGTGATTAGAATATTTTAACAATCTTTTAGTAGTTCTGCTTCAGTTACTGCTATGATTTAAATGTCCCCTCCAAAACTTATGTTGAAACTTAATCCCCAGTATGTCACTATTGAGAGGTGGGGCCTTTAAGATGTGATTGGATAGTGAGGAACCTGCCTTTATTAACTGATTAATGTATTCATGGCTTAATAGATAAATGGGTTGTCATCAGAAGTGACTGGTGGTTTTATCAGAAGAGGAAGAGAGACCTGAGTAAGCATGCTCAGTTTCCTCCCCATGTGATGCCCTGCCCTGCACTGCCTTGAGACCCCACAGAGAATCCCTGCCAGCAAGATGGCTCTCACCAGACATGGTCCCTTGACTTTGGAGACTTCTCGGCCTCCATAACTGTAAGAAATAAATTATTTTCCATATAAATTAACCAGTTTCAGGTATTCTGTTATAAGCAACAGAAAGTGGACTCAGATAGTTACTAATAAACTCAAATTGTAATTTTGCTTCTCAGATCTTTAAAATACATAAGAGAAAAACATTTAGTTTGAGATCATAATAAATTAATGAGTTTTCTCTTTTTATTTTTTATCATTCTGTCCAGTGGCGAAGTTATTAATGATAACCAGATACTTTAGTTTGAGGTTGAGCTGATTTTAATTTGTGGATGTTAATCCAAAAGTTGCCAACAGAAAGACATTCTGTGACTAATTCAAGCTATTGAGCATAGGGCCTTATACCCTGTGGAAAAAGACATGATGTGGGCTTCATGCACGTGACAAGGAAATGGGAAATATTAATATATATAAAGTTGGCCAAAATATGCTAAAATTGTTTGCTTGTGCTTCTTAAAACTCTCATTTGTGTCAATAAGCTCAGTAAATGATCTCTAAAAGCTTTTCTTCTACTTCATGCATGTGTGTGTGTGTTGTGTGTGTGTGTGGTGGAAGAATTTATTGGAAACTGGGAGTATAATTATCAGGAAACTTTTAATTACATAAAATGAGGCATATGCAGGTATATATCACATGAACCAAAAGGTGCATCCGCCTGAAAGGTCTAAAATCATTTTCAGAACCAAACAGGTTATAATTCTTACTCCTAAGTAAAATGGTAAAAATAACAGAATTATTCAATTTTAGGGTTATCTTTTCAAGGCAATAACTTCATAAAAAAGAAACTTGATTCCATAGATAATAGGGAGTCATAATGTATTACTGAGTAGGGTAATGACAAAATCTATATTAGGCAGGGTTCTCTAGAGTGACAGAACTAATAGGACATATTTATATCTATATATAAAGGGGAGTTTATTAAGTAGTATTAACTCACATGATCACAAGGTCCCACAATAGGCTGTCTGCAAGCTGAGGAGCAAGGAAGCCAGTCCGAGTCCCAAAGCTGAAGAATTTGGAGTCTGGTGTTCAAGGGCAGGAAGCATCTAGCACGGGAGAAAGATATAGGCTGGGAGGCTAGGCCAGTCTAGCTTTTCACATTTTTCTGCCCACTTTATATTCTGACTGTGCTGGCAGCTAATTAGGTGAACCCCTGATTGAGGGTGGGTCTGCCTTTCCCAGCCCACTGATTCAAATGTTAATCTCCTTTGGCAACATCCTCACAGACACACCCAGGATCCATACTTTGAGTCCTTCAATCCCATCAAGTTGACACTCAATATTAACCATCACAAGTCCACCCTTGCCAACTTGAACCCATACACATCCTGAGATCATATGTAATCTTCAAATAAAGACAATAATAAGGTCATAATTATGCCTAACATAATACAACTATCCTTCATGCAACTGGAAACACACCAATCCCCAAGCCAAATGCTATTCCATAGAGTTAACAATACTTAAATACTGATATGGATATGAAGTCAATAAATCTTATGTCACATGATAAAGGAAAAAGGAAATAAAATGAAGATATTTTCTTGGTACAAATGAAGATATTTTCTGTATACCTGAACAAACATGTTTTTAGCAAAAGGAGGAGGAAATACTCATGACAATTACAGTCCTTGTTTCTGCAGTTGGTCACGTGGTCATAGCTGGTATTGATGACTACACTCTTCTCCTACCCATTCTGTATTCCCTTTGCCTTTAGCAAGCACCTTAGCAGGCCGTGGGTTTTTTTCCTGGTGGAGTGACCCAAACCTTTATTCCTGAAGTGTCTGGGTCATTTGTAGTCCTGCCTGGATTGGGCTATTGTAGTTTCCCATTAACCTTAATCAGAGGGCATGGTAATACTAAGAGATGCCCTAATGGATCTCCTGTATTCCACGCATACCCTTCCTTACCTCCGTTGTGGAGTAGTAGACTGGTTTCATCTTGATAGTCTGGGTCAGTCACCCCAGCCAACATTGTAACTCCCTTCTTAGCCTGTTGACTTAAAGGTAGGAGGAACCCCAAGTGTCCAGGTAGCAAAAATTTTGCTAGTGGGTCACTAGGGGTGATAATAAGAGGTGCCACTTCCACTTCCACCCCTGATTCCTGGACTCTGCATATCCTGGCTATGGGAAAAGCAGTACCGTATATTGGAAGCTGGCTCAGAGCATACACAGCCTTCTGGAGAACTTTGCCCCAGCCCTGCAAAGTATTGTCACTTAGTTGGCATTTTAATTCTGACTTCCAAAGGCAATTCTATTATCCTTTCAATCCAGATGCTTCAGGATGGCCTTTTGATGGCACCACTCACCATTACTCCTAGTGACCCACTAGCAAAATTTTGCTTCCTGTTCCCACAATATTATGTTCTGCTGGCCTAGAAGTCTTAGTTCCAGAGGGAGGAACACCAGGAGACACAACAATGATTCCTTTGAACTGGAAGTTAAGATTGCCACCTGGACACTTTGGGCTCCTCCTACCTTTAAGTCAACAGGCTAAGAAGGGGGTTACAGTGCTGTCTGGGGTGATTGACCCAGACTATCAAGACGAAATCAGTCTACTACTACACAACAGAGGTAAGGAAGGGTATGCAGGGAATATAGGAGATTCATTAGGGCATCTCTTAGTATTACCATGCCCTGTGATTAAGGTCAATGGGAAACTACAGCAGCCCAATCCAGGCAGGACTGCAGATGGCTCAGACCCTTCAGGAATGAAGGTTTGGGTCACTCCAGGAAAAAAACCATGACCTGCTGAGGTGCTTGCTAAAGGCAAAGGGAATACAGAATGGGTAGTAGAAGAAGGTAGTCATCAATACCAGCTATGACCACGTGACCAGTTGCAGAAATGAGGACTGTAATTGTCATATTTCTTCCTTCTTTGTTAAAAACATGTTTGTGCATGTACACACTTGTACTAAGAAAATATCTTCATTTCCTTTTTCCTTTATCATGTGACATAAGATTTATTGACCTCATATCCATGTCAGTATTTAAGTATTGTTAACTCTATGGAATAGCATTTGGGTTGGGGATTGGTGCGTTTCTAGTTGTATAAAGGATAGTTGTATTATATTAGGTGTAATTATGACCTCATTATTGTCTTTATTTGAAGATTATGTATGATCTCAGGAGACGTGTATAGGTTCAAGTTGTCAAGGGGTGGACTTGTGATAGTTAATACTGAGTGTCAACTTGATTGGATTGAAGGACTCAAAGTATTGATCCTGGGTGTGTCTGTGAGGGTGTTGCCAAAGGAGATTAACATTTGAGTCAGTGGGCTGGGAAAGGCAGACCCACCCTAATCTGGATAGGCACCATCTAATCAGCTGCCAGCATGGCCAGAATATAAAGTGGGCAGAAAAGCATGAAAAGGTTAGACTGGCTTAGCCTCCCAGCCTACATCTTTCTCCTTTACTGGATGCTCCCTGCCCTTGAACGTCGGACTGCAAATTCTTCAGCTTTGGGACTCAGACTGGCTTCCTTGCTCCTCAGCTTGCAGACAGCCTATTGTGGGACCTTGTGATCATGTGAGTTAATACTACTTAATAAACTCCCTAGATAGATAAATAGATAGATATAGATATAGATATAGATATAGATGTATTTATCCTATTAGTTTTGTCACTCTAGAGAACCCCGACTAATAAGATGCAGTATTTATTTGTCTTCCCTCTGTCAAACCTTGAGCCAACCACTTTTCTCAGATTGCCTGAGAAAGGTATAGGGAAAAGAACATACAAGATAGATGAGACATGGAGGAAAGAACTATTAATGGTGGGGACAGCTTCTTTACATGGTGAAGAGGATGAGAAAAGCCACCCTTAGGCCAAAGAACTCCATGGCCTCTAAGAGGGTGCTATGGTTTAAATATTTTTTCCCTCCAAAGTTGAAACTTAATACCCAGTGTGTCGGTATTGAGAAGTAGGGACTTTAAGAGGTGATTGGCTCATGAGAGATCTGTCCATAGGAATAGATTAGTCTATCCATGGATTAATGAGTTAATGGATTAACTGGTGGCATTATAAGAAGAGGAAGAGTGACTTGAGCTAGCACTTTAGCATGCTCAACTTCCTCGCTATGTGATACCATGCACTACCTTAGGACTGTAGAGAGTGTCCACCAGATATGGTCTCTTAACTTTGGACTCAAGTTCTCCTTAAACTGTAAGAAATAAATTATTTAAAAATAAATTACCCATTTTCAGATGTTCTAAGCAGCAAAAAACTGACATATATAGAGTGCAAAGCCCCAGAATGGCATAGGAGAAGACTTGTTGCTTCAGACAGGGTTCTTGGCATAATCAATGGTGAGGCTCCCAAACACAGCTGCAATTTTAGCCCCAGAGCCAGCTGTCCTGACTTTGGAAGTCCTAGCCCCAATGAACTTGGCTGCTATGCCAATATCCCTTGAAGTGGTGCTGGTTTGGAAGCTGTGACTAGGGTTAAGTGAGGTCGGGGGATGTGGGGCTGCCAAACTGCTGAAGCTCTCATCTGTTAGTGTCTCTGGTTGCTTGAGAACTACTGCAGAGAGTGGTGGGCTTAGCACCTGACAGGTGCTCTCAAACAGAGAAAGGTGGGAACACACTTGGCACAGGTGTACATTTTCAGGGGTGAAAGACTGGGGCAAGGGAGCTTCCCTAGTGCAGAGAAGGTTGAGAGAGGCAATGACTGGCACTTTTAAAAGTAGTTTTTAAAGTAGTTGTGATTTAGTGTGCATGACCAATTGTAAGGAAACAAAATTGAGACAATAAACCTTTTGGGGAGGTTGTTTTAGAGATTCATGTATGAGAAATGACAGCTTAGTTAGTATGGCCCACTGGGAATGAAAGAAAGGTAATAGTTCAAGAGAAATTCTGAAGAACTATCGCCAAGGTTAAGGAGCTGAGGAGGTGGTATCTTCCAAGGGCGAATGCCTAGTAGTTTGTTGTACTATTTGAGAATATAAATAGTTAAGAGTTACATTTAAAACTGATGATTGAAAAGTTAAAGTTTGGAGAACCTTTCAAGACAGAATCAAGGACAGAGGCAAGAATTAAGCTTTGAGTAAAAGTTCTAAAGAAACAAAGGTGAAGAAACTCTAGATTCAAGTAAATATTAAAACCATTAGTTACTGTCATCTGAAGAAAATCAAGAGAAAGCAGGCCAGCTGCTGTGGGGATGGATCCACTTGAATGAAACCAAAATATCTTGTTACCATGAAGCTAAAAATGATACAAACTAATACTGAAATTCATAGCTGAAAGAATCATTTCCATTAGGTGTTGACTTGTTTATCGTTAATTTTTTTCTGACCAGAATGTAAGCTCCATGAGAGTAGGTGCCATGTCTGTTTTATTTGTGGTTATATGTTCAGTAGTTAGACAAGGGATTGATAAATATTTGTTGAATGAATAAATGAATAAACCCTTGCATACTCTGACCTTAAGTGGGAGATAAAGTCTGCCCAAGTCCAAGAACAATGTTTGCCCAAATTGAGAACAAAATGGAATCCTAGGGCACACTGTCCAGTAGCGCATGATGAAAATATTCTGTATACTAGCCACATATGGCTATGGAGCAGTTGAAATGTGGCTTGTACATCTGAGGAACTAATTGCCACATGCAGCTTGTGGCTACTGTATTGGGCAATGCAGATGTGTATAATGACTTCACCAGTTAGGAAACCTGCCTCTTCTGGGCAGATGTAACCTGTGCCAGGGCAGTGGCTTTGCCAGGGGCCAGAAGCAGTGTGGGACTTGGGAAGGAAATAACGGATTCACTGCTGGGGCTGGTTTTATTAATCCTTAGCCCAAGGGATAGGAGCTGTCTGCCAAGCTTATGTGAGATCCAGGTTACTTCACCAGGGAAAGAGAGCAGAGAGGTGTTTGGGTCCAAAGCCCTAGTTAGCAGTAAAAATGAGTTTACTCTGAAGGTCTTTGTGAAAATACCTGTTAGAGAACTAGAGGCTTTCATAGATGACTAGAAAAACTTCAAGATTTAGGGATTCTGGTCACCTTTCTTTGTACCACATGAACGATAATTGCATTCGATCATTAAAAGACGGACTAGGCTCATATAAATGCTTAACAAACACTCAAGACACCCAGGAATTCACAGTTGAGGAAAGCAACGTCTTTCAATACTGTAAGTATAGCAGATACTAAAAAATACTTCTATGTATTTAGCTATGTATTAAATTAGATGAACATTTATATTTATCATGTGTATCTAATTTTTATTAGATTTTGAAATGTTATACTGTGGTTTTTGTTTTAGCAGATTTACCTGGTTATAGCTTGCTTAGGCAAGTATTAGAATTATTCTGATTTCCTTGAGCTCCCTGCAGCTTGGCCGGGAGAGAAGGAGGGAATTGTTCAGGAGTGTGCTAAATTGGCTTTGTATTTAGAATTCACCCAGTGATAATACATATCAATATCATGTATTGAGCTGCATGTGGGAGCAGATGTTTGGCATGTGTCAGGCTACTTCTGGGAATAGTCTGTATTGAAGAAAGGAAAGTATGCTTCAGATCTTTACACATAATTTATGCAAGTGAATAAGGATTTCTCACAAAGGAAGAATGCCAGACAGACTATTATATTTAGCAAGATAAAGTGTGCTGTGTGCAAATTCCCAAAGTCGGCCAGTATAGCAGAGGACAAAGAAATATTAATAAATTCCTGTTTTATAGGAGATTAGTTCTCTAACGAGCAAACAAGCAAGAAAATAGGGGAGTCTCTTAGGGTTTTCTGAAGATTGGTTCACCTCCCTTAGGCTAACCATTTGTTTTCATTGTCTTTATGAGAGAAAGTCTTTTGTAAGGATTTAATGTGCACCACAGGAAAATGTTTACATATTGGAATCTTAAGGTTTGGAGGGACTTTCAAAGATCATCTAATCCTGCCACCTATCTAACACTTGACTTGGTTTTGCAAAAGTCTTACCAAGGGTCATCCAATCAGGGTTTCAGCATCTTCAGGAGAGAGAGTGATCAGTAGCTCCCAAGCTGAGCCATTCTGTCCTTAGAGGACTTTGACACCAAGGTACCCTTAGAGAGTCTAATACATCTGTCCTACTTGTAACCACTGGGGTCAAACACAACACCTCTAATTCTTTTTCCCAGTGAAGTTATTAGGATATTTGAGCATGCTGATCAGATCTCCAGGGTAAATATGCTCAAGTACTTCGAGGAATTCTTGGATATTATTGATTTGATTGTTTGTACATCTCAGGTCATGCTTGAATGTGCTCAGTTTCTCCATGCTTGTATTGCAGTACTTCATGGGTTGTCCAGGCTATATAGAGATAAGTGGGGCTTTTGCTTCCTTTTATACAGATTCTCTTCTCCTTTTCCTCTCCTTCCTCTCCTCTCCTGTCTTTTCCTCCCCTCCGCTTCCCTACTCTTTTTCTCCTTCCCTCCTCTCCCCTCCTATAATACATTACATTTATTCATTCACTCAAAAATATTCCATTTACTGTTGATTCACATTAACCTTTCTGTAGACTAAAATCTCTAAGTCTTAGTTGCCTGTATTGCTACTATGCCACATCTCCATTCTGTACAAAACAATTGTCCTTTTGGACTTAATCACATCATTTTACATTTACTTCTATTTCTTTTCAATTTATTTCTATTATTACTTTTCATTTGTGGATACTTCATTTCTATAAGTACTTTAAAATTTATTTTTATTAATTTAAGATATAGTCCTTGTCTCCAACCTGTCAGCTTCCAACCCCATTCAGTCATCCACATGGCCACTCTCCCTTCTACAAATTTTATGATGTCCGCTCTATTTTCTTCCAGGACATTGAGTAACATGGTGAAACAAATGGAACCCAGAAAAGAATTCTATGATTCTGAGATTTAGAACTAGGTTGATGCTGATGCACTAGTTAACACCGTTTGAATATAGCTGTTGAAACTGTTACTGATCTGCCTCACAGTCTGGGCACTCAGCTCCTGTAATCCATTTTATCTACAAGATTAAGTTAAAAGACCTTCTTCTGTTCTCTTTGGAGGTGATGTGTGCTAGGTTATCTTCAATTTCTGTAATCTTAGGAATTATATCAAAGAAGGAAAGGGCATTTGATGATTCTTATTTCCTTCTCCAGATATTGTGTTGTCCTCTCTTTAGCATATTTCTTAGACAAGCAGTACCCTTTGATTCTCTAACAGACACGTAGGACTGAGAGGAGGGTACCAGAAACAAACTGAATATTCAGGTAATTACTATAAATTGTGATGCATTTTATGGTAGCACAAAACATAACAAGTTGCTTTGCCATATCAAATGAAATCCACTATTTTCTAGTCAGCAGAGAACTTGAAATAATTGATGTTTTTGTTAAAACAAATCAGAACCTCTGAACCATGGCTAATTCTTATTTCTGAAGGTTTTTCTTGTATTTTCAAAGAACTGAAAATATTTAAAATTTTTAGCCACATCAGTGTCATGAAAATTCAGGAGATTTATATACATTTTGGTGAAAATGAGGAGGCACACGAAGAATCCCTCAGTAAAAATAAAACCCTTGCAGCAAGGTGTATGCTAATAAGTCAGTTGGATACAACAGTGATGGACAGAATTGAAAAATTTCAAATCAGTCTTTATCTTCTTATGTGGAAAATAGGTGTTGCATTCATTATGCAACTAAATCAAGGTAAAATCTGTAAAAAAAAAAAAATAATGAAAATAAAACCCCAACCCCCTGTCATCTCTATAGTAAAACAGGAACTAGTTTCCTATAAAGACATGGCTGCTTCCTTCTCCTTCAAGTCGACAGATACTCTCTATGACCAGTGTGACTGTTTCTAAGTTGTCATTATTCAGGTGACTGAGTTTTATATTAAATTTTATTCCACATGTGCAGTCATTTAAATTATGTAGACATTTTAATAAAATCAGTGTTATCCTTTTGGAAACATAAGACCATTTTTTGTTAAATTTCATGATACTTTGTATTTTCGTTTTTTTTGTTGTTGTTGTTGTTTTGAGACAGAGTCTCGCTCTGTTGCCCAGGCTGGAGTGCAGTGGCGCCATCTCGGTTCACTGCAAGCTCCGCCTCCTAGGTTCAAGCGATTGTCCTGCCTCAGCCTCCCGAGTAGCTGGGACCACAGATGCCCACCACCATGCTCAGCTAATTTTTTGTATTTTTAGTAGAGACGGGTTTCACCATATTAGCCAGGATGATCTTAATATCCTGATCTTGTGATCCGCCCCCTTCGGCCTCCCAAAGTGCTGGGATTATAGGCGTGAGCCACTGCGCCCGGCCAATACTTTGTATGTTCCATTCTCCAATTGGAAGCATAAAAATTTAAGAACATCGTAGTTTTAAAAAGAGTATTATGATAAAGCTTTAATTTCTGATTTTAGAAAGGAATTCAATATGGACCAGGACCAGAAGAGGTATCTAAGGTTTGAAAATATATTTTTTGAAGTATAGATTTCATTGATAGTTTATGTGTGTGTTTCCAGTATAGTGAGAAAATGAGAAAGTCATCCATATCCATGTGTTTTTCAACTTCATTATCACTACAATTTGTAACTATTTGGACCTTGAAGAAATGTCCTTGGCAGTCCCTGATTTCATGTTTGTTTGTCCATCTGGGTTGAGCCCTGGTTAGAAAATTAATAATAATTAAATTAATATTAACATAAGTAATAATAAAGAGAGGACTGGGTGGTCATGAGGTAGGCAGGAGTTAAAATGAAATTTTCTTAGTTGAAAGTTTGTAAAAACAGCTATGTATTATCTCAACACTTCATTAGAGATTTACATTCTTAGAATTTTTAGAAGCTGAAATAAGTATTTTATTTTCTTGTTATAATTAACTCATGTGCATGGAGACTACCGGAGATAATTATTGAAGTTATTAGAAATTCTGAGCTCCCAAATAAAACTGTCATAAGATCTTGTCCTGTTCTGTGATGGCTTACAGAATTAATGCATTTCCTATGGGCAGGAGTGTTAGCATAAAGTTGAGGGTAGGCGCATGCCTTCCCCACCTTCATCCAAGATTCCCAGAGTGAAGGCAAATGGGAGTGGCCATAAACTTGATAAGACAAACAGATTATACAAAATCTACTTTCTTTGTTTTGAAACAAATTACAAACTGCAATTTAAAACTCAAGACGGAAAATAGAAGCCTACTAGGGCCACGTCCTGGTAACATATGTGACCTTCATCATCCTCCCTTCTCCCTGAAATGTAAATCATGTTTTGTCTCCCTAAATAATCCTCAAATCTCAAGATTGGAATTCATGTTTAAGAAGAAAAACCTATCTTGGTCTAACAGCTTGACACCTTCCTTCTAACTGTGCTATACTCTCCTTTGATCTGATTGACTGATGTGTTCTGGTCATGAACATGACCAGTTCATGTGGGTAAGTGCTATTCAGTGGGAGAAGTCTTCTTCTAAGTTTAGAGGGTGGGTGCTCTTACACCAAGAGGAAATATTTTTTGTTTCATAAACAGTCTATGGAATTAGGTGGTTGATTATGATATTGGGTTATATTCTTGTTCTAAGAATGGGGATTCCAACCTATGAGCCCTCTCAGCTTTGAGGCATCTGAACTTTGAGTCCCACTTGCAGCTGTCACATTGACTAAGTTAGTGGTTTTTTTTTTTTTTTTTTTTTTTTTTTTTTTTGAGACAAGAGTCTCGCTCTGTCACCCAGGCTGGAGCGCAGTGGCGCGATTTTGGCTCACTGCAAGCTCCGCCTCCCGAGTTCACGACATTCTCCTGCCTCAGCCTCCTGAGAAGCTGGGACTACAGGTGCCTGCCACCATGACTGGCCAATTTTTTAAAATATTTTTAGTAGAGACAGGATTTCACCGTGTTAGCCAGGATGGTCTCAATCTCCTGACCTCGTGATCTGCCCATCTAGCCTCCCAAAGTGCTGGGATTAATTATAGGTGTGAGCCACTGTGGCCAGCCAAGTTAGTGGTTTTTAATCAGAATTGCACATCACAATAACCTGGGAAGCAAGCCCACACTTATATCTCCAGCTACCTTATTTCATCAGTTCCAGTATGTACTTTTTTCCCCATATTTTCTCATTTTTGAAATCTGGATGTGCTTTACATTAGTTTGATCAAACTTTTTTAAGATAAATTTTATTGTGCATATGTGAGGCTTACAACGTGATGTTATGGGATACATGTAGACAGTAAGGTGTTTACTATAGTGAAGCAAACTAACATATCTATCATCTCATGGAGTTACTTTTTTGATGACAAAAGCAGGCAACTAAATCTACTTATTTAACGCAAATGCCCAATACAATACAATTTTATTAACTACAGGTTGTGTATCTTTTATCCAAAATACTTGAGGCCAGAAGTGTTTCAGATTTGGGCCTTTTTCTGTATTTTGGAATATTTACACATACATAGTGAGATATCTGGGGGATGGGATCCAAGCCTAAACACAAAATTTATGTTTTATTACACCGTATACATATAGCCTAAAAGTAATTTTTATTCAATATCTTAAATAATTTTGTTCATGAAACAAAGTTTGTGTATGTTGAATGATCAGAAGGCAGTGTTGCCACTATCTCAGGTACCTGTGTAGCATCATGTCTGTGCTCAGAAAGTTCCAGATTTTGGAGCATTTTGGATTTTAGATCTTTGGATTAGGGATACTCAACCTACATAATCCTCATGTTGTTCATTATATTTCTGGACCTGTGCATCCTAGTTAACTGCTACTCTCTCTGTATAGTTGACGTTTTTTATTTAGACTCCACATATAAGAGAGATTATGCAGTATTTTTCTATGTTTCATTTATTTCACTGAGAATAATCATGGGTTAATTTCTGCCTTATCTTTCTTAGTGATACATAAAATAATGGTGTATCTTATGATCAATGGCATCTTAGAATCAATGAAATATTGATTGCATCAACATCTCTGAGGGGGATGGTGTCTCACTGTGTGAATTTTACAAAAGCCCTACAGTTGAGTCTGATGCACACCATTGGTTATAAATATGTTGACCTAGATCTTGGCATATTTTTAAAATTAACAACAATAATAAACTTATCACTGACATTCATTGGTTTCTCTCTTGCCAGGACCTGGGCTAAGCACTTTCTATACTTTTAATCTTATTTAATTATCCCAACCAACCTATTGGATAGATGTTATTATCCCTACTATATGGATTAAGATACAGGCTTGGAGACATGAAGTAACCTGTCCAAGGACATGTATGTATTAGTAGAAGAGCAAGTACATGAGCCCAGGTGGGTTTCACTCCAAAGCTCTAACCACTATTTTATACAGCAAAGCAATGGTTTGTAAAGTGTGGTCTGCAGACCAGCAGCATCAGCATCCTCTGGGGATGTGTTAGAAATGCAAATTTTGGGGCCCTACTGCAGACCTAAGGTATGAGAAACTCTGAGAGTGGGGCCCAGTAATGTGTTTTTACAAGCTTTTCCAGGTGTTTCTGGTGCATCCTAAACTATTAGACCTATTAAGACCACTGTTGTACAGCATACAATGCTCCTGCAATAGGAATACAAGACATAGCTAATAAAGATAGGACCTAATAAAGTTTATTGGATAGCTGTCTGGCTCATATTGTAATCTTAAGATAATGCCATATTTGCAAGGTTGACTAAGCTTTTAGTTGCTTAATAACAAATAAAATTGCATTTGCTCAAATGTGCTTTAATTATAGTTCCCAGTAGGCAGAACTATGGTAACTAAATATACTAGGCTCTAATGGTTTTTGCATAATGAGCATAGTCAAAGCACTTAGCATGAATGGATTACAATTCCCCATACTAGTTGGGAGAGCTTTAGAAGGACCACATGCTTTTCTTTGGTTTGACATCCTCTTGTCCTCAATCTTAGTCTAATCCTATTATTTCTTTTCTTTTAAAGCACAAAATACGGCATCTTTGTTCCTAAGAGGAAAGGATGAACTGACAATATCCTTCCTTGTATTATCCTGGTTTGATAGATTGGTTAAATCTAGCATTTGTAATGCAGATAGAAATAAACAGTTTCTGAACAAAAGCTGATTAAAGAATTTAGTTGAAAAAATAAAGAACCTGCTTGCTTAGTTAAAAAAAAAAGGTGATTGACATTAAGGAATTAAGCATCCCCAAAGGATAACTAAATTTGATTCCGAGAAGAGAAAAGGCAGTGTAAAAAATAATATACCAAAGTGACAGTGTAGAGATGCCTGGTGAATATGATTGTGTCTACTCAACATCAGTACAACTATTTGAAAAGCACAACATTCAAATAGTAATTTTTTTGCTCTGCATGATGCAAAATAAGCAATTTGATTTTTCTTTTTTCACCAAATTGACTGGTTCTTGAATGTGTTATTTGACCCACAGTACTGTATTATCCACAGCATTTCCCAGATGACTGAACTAAGTAGATGTCTTATTGTTGTTTTTTCCTAATAGACATGTATGGGGATGAAGATAGTGGTAATTGGAAAAGGGGAAAGCATAGCATTTGGAACTTGGAAGTGGAAATTTTAGAAGCATGAGCACTACTCAGCCTAGGGACCTGTTATTCGGCTACAGTGACCTGCAGACCCTGTCTCTACCTCCACGGAATTGTGCACACTTATTAGTGCAGATTGGTGTCTTATAAATACGGCAAAGGGATTGAAGGCCTTGTTGCAGATCTTGAAATGCTTTCTTTGTGATACCTGTTTCTGATGTGTGGCTTGAATTTCAAAATGTTACCTGATTTATACCCAAAAGCTATTTCCTCCTGGGTCTTTCTGCCTTGAATAAATCTTTGGACTTTTGCCTTATACACCCGGATCTTATTGCTGCCTGTGCTCCTGTTGCTATTTGGTCTCTATACTGGGAGTCCAAACCACCTGTCCAAACTCAAAACCTGCCGACAACCTCCATTTTAACTAATCTCTTATAAATGGATATTAGTTCTCCTCATGGACTCATAGCCCTCCTAGAAGATTCAGCTAAGTTCCTTGATGAAGGTGGCTACCATTGTAGTGTAATAGTTAAGTGCATTCATAAGACTGACCTTTAATTGAAGCCCCTATCAACAATTCAGTGATTGTGAAATCTGGAGTAACTTTCTGGGCTTCAGTTTCCTTATCTACTTTATATTCAGTGAGATGTATATGAATATATTTGAATGAGTGAAACACTGACGAACATAAAATAGGATATGTTTAAGGCAGTTAGCAAAGCCTAATGCAAGGATAGAGTTCAACATGTTTTTACCATTGTTATTATTATTTCCCTCCTATTCTTTGGTTATTTGTTTTTAACATTGTTACCACCCAGTCCCTGTATATATAAACTGGCCTGGATCTCTAAAAATTGTGTGTTTATGATGTACAACATGATGTTTATATGTACAGGCTCACCTCACTTTATTGTACTTTACAGATAGTGTTTTTTTTTTTTTTTTTTTTTTTTTTTACAAATTGAAATTTTGTGGCAACCCTACATTGAGCAAGTCTATTGGTGACATTTTTCCAACAGCGTGTGTTCACTTAGTATCTCTGTGTCACATTTTGGTAATTTTCCCGATATTTCAAATTATTTTTACTATTATTATATCTGTTATGGTGATCTTTGATGTTACTATTGTGATTGTTTAGACAGTGAACTTGATTGAAAAATGTTATATATTTTCTTACTGCTACACTGACCAGGCATTCCCTCATCTCTGTCCCTCTCTTTGGACCTCCCTATGCCCTGAGACACAACAATATTGGAATTAGGTCAATTAATAACCCTACAGTGGTCCCTATGTTATCAAGTGGAAGGAAGATTCATACCTCTGTCTTTCAATTAAAAGCTAGAAATGATGAAGCTTGGTGAGGAAAGCAGGTCGAAAGCTGAGACAGACTGAAAGCTAAGCCTCTTATGCCAAACAGCCAAATTGTGAATGCAACTGGAAAGTTCTTGAAGGGAATTGAAAATGCTACTCCAGTGAACACATGAATGATAAGAAAGCAAAACAGCCTTACTGCTGATATAGAGAAAGTTTTTGTGGTTTGGATAGAAGATCAAACCAGCCACAACATTCCCATAAGCCAAAACCTAATCCAGAGCAAGGCCCTGACTCTCCTCAATTTTATAAAGGAAGGGAGAGAGGTGAAGAAGCTGCAGAAAAAGAATCTGAGGTTTCAGGAAAGAAGCTGTTTCCATAACCAGAAATGCCAGGTAAAGCAGAAGGTGCTAATGTAGAAGCTGAAGCAACTTATCTAGGAGATTTAGTGAAGAGCATTGATGAAGGTGGCTATGTTAAACAAGAGGTTTTCAATGTAGACAAAGCAGCCTTCTATTGGAAGATGTTGTCTAGGACTTTGATAGCTAGGGAGGAGAAGTCAATGCTGGCTTCACAGGACAGGCTGACCCTCCTGTTAGGTGCTAGTGCAGCTGATGACTTTAAGTGGAAGCCAATGCTCATTTACCATCTTGAAAACCCTAGGGCCCTTAAGAAGTATGTTAAATCTACTCTGCTTATGCCCTATAATTAGAATAAAACTTGGATTACAGTACATGTCTTTATAGCATGGTTTAATGAATATTTTGTGCTCACTCTTAAGACCTGCTGCTCAGAAAAAAAAAAGATTCCTTTCAAGATAGTACTGCTCATTGAGAACACACCTAGTCTTCCAAGGGCTCAGATGGACATACACAAGGAAATTAATGTTTTTATGACAACTAACACAACATCCATTCTGCAGCCCATGGATCAAGGAGTAACTTAACCTCTCAAGTCTCATTATTTAGGAAATACATTTTTTTAAGGTTATAGGTTTCCTAGATAGCGATACCTGTATGTATCCGGGCAAAGTAAATGAAGACTCCTGGAAAAAATTCATCATTCTAAATGCCAGTAAGAACATTTGTGATTCATGGGAGGAGGTAAAAATAGCAACATTAACAGGAAGTTTGGAAGAAGTTGATGCCAACCCTTAGGGATGGCTTTGAGGGGTTCAAGACTGTAGTAGAGGAAATAACTGCAGATGTGGTGGAAATAAGAAGAGAACTAGAATTAGAAGTGGAATTTGATGATGTGACTGAATTGCTTCAATCTCATAAAACTTGAATGGATGAAGAGTTATTTCTTATGGATGAGCAAAGAAAGTAATTTCTTGAGGTGGAATCTACTCCTGGTGAAGATGCTGTGAACATTGTTGAAATAACAAAGGATTTAGAATATTACATAAACTTAGTTGATGAAGCAGTGGCAGGGTCTGAAAGGAGTGATTCCAATTTTGAAAGAACTTTTACTGTGGGTAAAATGCTGTAACAGCATCACATGCTACCAAGAAATTTCTTGTGAAAGGAAGAGTCAGTCAATGAAGTAAGTTTTATTGTTGTTTTATTTTACAAAATTGCCACAGCCACTCCATTTATCAGCAACCACCACCCTGATCAGTCAGCAGCCATCAACATTGGGGCAAGACCCTCCACCAGCAAAAATATTATGCTTTTCTGAAGGTTCAGATGATTCTTTGCATTTTTAGCAATAAAATATTTTAAAGTTAATGTGTGTACATTTTTTGATACAGTGCTGTTGCATACTCAGTGGAATACAATATAGCCTAAACATTACTTTTATATGCACTAGGAAATAAAAAAGTTCACATGACTCACTTTATTGCAATATTCACTTAATTGCAGTGGTCTGAAATAGAACCTGTGACATCTCTGAGCTATGCCTGTATACATTGTGGGGTGACTAAATCAAGCTATTTAACATATGCATTCCCTTATACACTTAACAGTTTCCCTGTTGGCTAGTCTAGGCTACTTCCATCCCACAACCATCCATATCCTGCCATTTATAAGACCAATGCAAATTAGTATGAATCAAATAATTTCTTTAGAGAGTTTATTATTATCTGCTAAAGCTTATCAGCATTGAGCCTTTGAATCAAATGGTTTCCTTAATCTTATGCAATAAGAAAAAGCTTTTTAGGAGTGTTTCTCCTAAAATTTTGTGATGATTTTTATGGAAGAAACTGTATCAAAATACAAATGTTTAATTCCGTGGTTCTGACTTCCTAAGTTGAGTAAATAGCAGAACTCAGGTAATACTAAAGCTTAACCATTTAATGCTTAGGATTGCTTCCTTGTTAATTAGGGTAACTTTATAGACATAATCATTGGTTTGGTTTCAAACTTGGCTGTTGCTTGGCCTTACAGCAGCAGTCAACTAATCTAAGCAATTTACCATTCTTATAACAAGGATGCAGAGGAAGAGGCAAAAGTACTTAAGTGGGTTTGGAAATCATTGCAGTTAAGACTTGATGGAGTCAGATGATTAGATAATGACTGGCATAGAAATATTTTATTGACCATGATTTAATAGCTTCACAATTTTCTTTTCATTTTAAGAGCATTTACATACTTCTGAGTTGTTTAATAGATAAATCTCAGACAATGGCATTATAACATGATGGTGATACAATGATAAACTCATATATTACATCTAATGGATATCAAAGTGATAGTTTCTCCAAAACCAACAGATAAGACATTTTCATAAGCTGAAATCATAAAATGCATTTACATCTGCATATGTATCGTGTACATTTATAGGTGCACATTTAACTCTGCATGAATATTTATGTAGTCACACATATGAATTGGGATTTATTATTAGTGCTCAATATGGAATTGTAAAGTCATGGAGGCTTAAGGCAGTTTCCTCAAAACCTACTTTTGCTTCATTATGACTTACTGGTTTAAACTTAACCAGTTGTATATTAATAGTACTGTTCTGTTTGAAGCGAGGACTATTCTTTTCAAAGCTTATTAGGACTGTATATGAATTTTGGACCTATTTAAGATTTGATGAATTGGATTAAAGAAATAACATCTGAAACCTTGTAAGTTTCTAATCATGAAGGCTGCTTTCTGTTTTATGTGATTGAACATTTTAAAATGTTTTTGAAGAAGCATTTGCATTTGGGGGCAAATGGAAGAGACGATTTCCTAATGAAAGTCAAAAATGAAGAAGCAAGGTCCATGTAATGCATCTGAGAGTGCTGTACTTTTTTTTTTCTCAAGGGATGTAGATTTAAGAGGTTTTCACATAATCCAAGCTTGTGAGGCATTTATTCTTGCACAGATTACTGTTATCCATTGAACTTTACAGAAATAAAGTGTGGGTTATTTTCCCTTTGAAAAATGTGTGTGAATATGTAGCTTTGATGATGTGAGTCATAGGAGGAAGTCTTAATAACCAGTGGTGTCTCTGAATTGACATGAACAAAGTAAAAAGTGGAAGAATTTCATCTTCCATTGCTGTTAAATGGATTTGGAATTTGTTTAAGTCAAGTTTATAAGTGTATTCAAATCTTTCCTGGTCTAACCATGTATTTGATCAAATCCAATAATCTTGATACATGATATATAAAGGGAGAAAGGTGTACACACACACACACAAACACACACACAGAGTAAACAAGGCAGTGCCAACAACTACCAGAAACCCATCTGTCACCCATGATCCTAATATAGGTTATGTTATGGCCTAGGCATTCTATCTCTCAGGATGAATAAATCTAACAATAGATGCAAAGTTCTTATCTTTTTCTGTCCTGGGGAGATCAGAGAAGGTGGGGTTGGGCCTAAAGGGGACATTACAATATTGTATTACAAAGCTAGCAGCCCCAGTTTTTGAACAATGGGTGCTTCACCTTCCCTCTCTACCGCTGTTCCTGCCCCATGACTTTTGTCCATCAGAGCAGACCAGAATCACAATTCAGGTCCATCACTATCCTTTCCAAATACAATTCTGTTTTTAATTGACTCATTTTTTTCTGAACATCTAGGAGCGAGTTGAGTAGCAAATTATTTCTGTTGGCCCAGTTGTTTTGTTTCATTGAGAAGATGAGTTTAGTAAATAAAAAGTTTTCTGGCTGGGCCAGTTAAAGACCAGTATAACAGTATCTTTAATTATTTTGCTATTAGAATAAAACATGTCTACTCCCTAAATCTAAGTATAGAAATCATTATACATATATCACTTTATATATATTTCTCTCTTTCTCTCTTTCATGGGAAGGTCATCATAATATTATTCTGTATGAAAATTTCCAGCATGCAAGCTGATGCCTACTATTGTTTTCCTTTCCTTTTAAGGTGAAATAATTGCAAACAACTTGAGGAAATCTCTGGCCAGGCGCAGTGGCTCATGACTGTAATCCCAGCACTTTGGGAGGCTGAGGCAGGCGGATCACTTGAACTTATGAGTTCTAGACCAGCCTGGACAACATAGTGAGGCCCCATCTCTACTAAAAATACAAAAATTAACTGGGTGTGGTGGTACATGCCTGTAGTCCCAGCTACTTGTGGGGCTGAGGTGGGAGGATGGCTTGAACCCAGGAGGCAGAAGTTGCAGTGAACCAAGATCATGCCACTGCATTCCAGCCTGGGAGATAGAGCCAGACTTTGCCTCAAAACAAAAAAAAGAACAGCAACAAAAGAAATCTCTGTACCTCCTCCTATACCCATAAATCATTTCTTATATTCTTATGGAGATATATTTTGGCTCTCTTTTGGTTTTAGAGAGTGCTATTTCTTCTGTTTTTATATAATTTGAATGATATTTTTTGAATACTTCCTATGGCCACACATTGTGCTAGGGACTGGAGACAGGAAGATGAAAAGACATGGACTGGCCTTTAGGTAGCTCACAGTCTGGCAAGAAAAAAAAAATCACTCAATTTTCTGCTTATTTATTTATATGCATAAGTGTAATGAGAAGCTAATTACACTTACTTATGTGTAATTACTAATGTCCACAGTGTGCCAAGTGACTCAGAGTGTGGGGTCAGTGGGGATGCCAGTGGTCAGGGAAGGCTTCATAGAGGAGGAGTATACTGAACTTTACTGAATTTTTTTGAGAAAATAAGGAAATAAAGATATATTAGGGAAAAAACCCTTATGGTAGAGAGGGTGTAGGAACTCCAGTCAATAATAGTTTCATAATTATTACATATTAAAGTGATATTTCAGGTATCTTGGGTCAAATAAAATAACTTTATTATACTAAAAATTTAAATAATAATGAAAACTTTTAACCTTTTTAAAAACTTTTTAAAATGTGACTACTAGGAAATATAAAGTTACATACATGACTTGTATCAGATTGCTATTGCAGAACACTAGTCTAGATATATTTTTAATGGAGGGGACAGTGTTTAACAAAATAATTGCTTAATAAATACTTTCTGACCAATTAATTGATAGTGTCTATGTTTTCTATAATATTTGGTACAAATGTTTCCTCTTTCTTTTTTTTAAAATTTAAGTTCTGGGGTACATGTGCAGAATGTGCAGGTTTGTTACATAAGTATATTCGTGTCATGGTGGTTTGCTGTACCCATCAACCTGTCATCTAAATTAGGTATTTCTCCTAATGCTATCCCTCCTCTGACCCCCCAACCGCCTGACAGGACCTGGTATGTGATATTCCCCCACCCTGTGTCCATGTGTTCTCATTGTTCTACTCCCATTTATGAGTGAGAACATGTGGTGTTTGGTTTTCTGTTCTTGTGTTAGTTTGCTGAGAATGATGGTTTCCAGCTTTATCCATGTCCCTGCAAAAGACATGAACTCATCCTTTTTATGGCTACATAGTATTCCATGGTGTATATGTGCCACATTTTCTTAATCCAGTTTATCATTGATGGGCATTTGGGTTGGTTCCAAGTCTTTGCTATTGGGAATAGTGCCACATTAAACACATGTGTGCATGTGTGTTTACAGTAGAATGATTTATAATCGTTTGGGTATATACCCAGTAATGGAATTGCTGGGTCAAATGATATTTCTGGTTCTAGATCCTTGAGGAATTGCCACACTGTCTTCCACAATGGTTGAACTAATTTACCCTACCACCAACAGGGTAAAAGCATTCCTATTTCTCCACATCTTTTCCAGCATCTGTTGTTTCCTGACTTTTTAATGATTGCCATTCTAACTAGTGTGAGATGGTATCTCATTGTGGTTTTGATTTGCATTTCTCTAATGACCAGTGATGATGAGCTTTTTTTCATATGTTTGTTGGCTGCATAAATGTCTTCTTTTGAGAAGTGTCTGTTCATATCCTTTGCCCACTTTTTGAAGGGGTTGCTTGTTTTCTTGTAAATTTGTTTAAGTTCTTTGTAGATTCTGGATATTAGCCCTTTGTTAGATGAGTAGATTGCAAAAATTTTTTCCCATTCTGTAGGCTGCCTGTTCACTCTGATGATAGTTTCTTCTGCTGTGCAGAAGCTCTTTAATTAGATCTCATTTGTCAATTTTGGCTTTTGTTGCCATTGCTTTTGGTGTTTTAGTCATGAAGTCTTTGCCCATGCCTATGTCCTCAATGGTATTGCCTAGGTTTTCTTCTAGAGTTTTTATGGTTTTAGGTCTTACATTTAAGTCTTTAATCCATCTTGAGTTAATTTTTGTATAAGGTGTAATGAAGGGGTCCAGTTTCAGTTTTCTGCATATGGCTAGCCAGTTTTCCCAGCACCATTTATTAAATAGGGAATTCTTTCCCCATTTCTTGTTTTTGTCACGTTTGTCAAAGACCTGATGGTCGTAGATGTTTGGTGTTATTTCTGAGGCCTCTGTACTGTTCCATTGGTCTATATATCTGTTTTAGTACTAGTACTATGTTGTTTTGGTTCCTGTATCCTTGTAGTATAGTTTGAAGTCAGGCAGTGTGATGCCTCCAGCTTTGTTCTTTTTGCTTTGGATTGTCTTGGCTATGTGGGCTCTTTTTTGGTTCCATATGAAATTAACAGTAGTTTTCTCCAGTTCCGTGAAGAAAGTCAATGATAGCTTAATGGGTATAGCATTGAATCTATAAATTACTTTGGGCAGTATGGCCATTTTCATGATATTGATTCTTCCTATCCATGAGCATGGAATGTCTTTCCATTTATTTGTGTCCTCTCTTATTTCCTTGAGCATTGGTTTTTCTCCTTGAAGAGGTCCTTCATATCCCTTGTAAGTTGTATTTCTAGGTATTTTATTTTCTTTGTAGCAATTGTGAATGGGAGTTCACTCATGATTTGGCTCTCTGTATGTTACTGGTATATAGGAATGCTTGTGACTTTTGCACATTGATTTTGTATCCTGAGACTGCTGAAGCTGCTTATCAGCTTAAGGAGATTTCGAGCTGAGACGAAGGGGTTTTCTAAATATATAATCATGTCATCTCTTTCTAGTTATGTATATTTAAAATAATTCAGATTCAATTGATAGTTATTGATTGCATGTGTTGGGGAAATTACTGGGCTAAGAAAAGAAATAATGTTCATTATGGAAACAGAAATAAACTGATGATTGTATGGTATCAGATATGCAAAAATGAAATAGAATATGCAATTGGAAATGAATAGTCACTTGAATCTGGCCAAAATAAAGAGAAATTGATAATATAGAGAGCCTTATTTTTGTCATTATGGTCTCACGATAAGGCAAGTAAAATATTTTTTTCTAAACTAGAGTCTATCCTGTCTTGAAAAACAAACAAACAAAACTCAGTGAGTTATTTGGTTTGCATGCAGAATAGTTGAATAAATTCATTGATGTAAACACAGGTAATGTATATGTATATTTACAAAGTTGGACAGAGACATATAGGAAGAGAAGTTAGGGTCAAAGATCTCTAAGTTTTCATTAGTGGAGAGGTGACTACAGAATTGAAGACTTTAGAGAACATAACCGTCTTGAGTACTAAGCACAAAACTTAGTTTCTGCGGGTAAGTGCACGGGAACAATCTGACCTATAGGGCAAACCACTGGCCAGAGCAAATATGTGGGTTGTGGTAGTAAAACATTTACTGCGGGCTTAGCTGATCATGTTATCATGGTGGGCAACATTTGCTCTAGCTGTAGGTATTCAAAGAAAACAATGTTAAGTGTTTTGAGCAAGCTCTTATTGAAGAGGATTGGTTAAAATTGGAAATTGCTAACTGAGCTATTAAAAGGCACAGTATCTATAAATCAATTAAGGTGCATTATATTCTACTCCATTGCCAGTATTCATTTAAACATAAACTTCTGTGTGTTCTACTCACAGTAATACAAATCAAATGTTTAAGCTACTTTAACTAATTTTATAGTGTTTGTTTTTTGTTGAAATATATTGAAATAATTTTCTGGTAAGCTTGAAGGGAAACAAATTTGTATTCAACAAATTCCTGGTGCTATAATCTTATTTTTGCTTTGCTTTTCACATCTTGACCATATGCAGCAGCATGGGGGCATTGTAAAAAGCTGGGCTTTGGCATTTGAACATACCTGGTCTGAATAGTGTCTCTACTACTGATTGTTTGACTTTGGCCAAGTCACTTAATCTATCCAAGCCTCAATTTGCTTGACCCTAATACCTACCCTTACAGGGATGTTAAGGGAGAAAATATAAAATGTATTGCTTAGCACATAATTGTTGTTTTATTTTTTTTACAAGGTTGAAAAGCATTCTGAGCAGGACAGTTAGTTTTGTATAATAGAAAATGTAATTAAAATGAACATTGTATATATGAACAATATTATTTTTCTGGTCCCAGGGTTTGGAAGGAGGAGAGAAAGAGTGTAGGGAAGAAGGTTAGGAGAGGGGAGAAGGGAGCCCATGGCAACAGCAAAGAAAGCTGCTTCATTTCTAGTTGGAGCCATTGGAGGGATCAAGTCTCCTCTATGCTGGATACAGAGAAATACTTAGAACCAGTACAGTTGAGAGAGGAGGAACAGCAGTACTGGGTGATTCTCCTTTAACTGGAGAACAGGCCTCAGCTTTGCCTGACTATCAGATGTCCAATCAAAAAATGTGTGAAGAAATAAGCACTTCTCTCTCTCCTCCCACGAGGCTTGTGATGGGCACAAGTGCTTTCCTTCAGGCTCCTGGGCCTCTACTCATATGCTGCCGGAGAGATAGTATGAAAACAGAACATGTACAAAGCATCCGTTCTTGGGATCTGCTGTGTCTGAGAGCACCTGCTCTGTGGTGAGGCAGGAGTAGAGCCAGCAGCAGGCCACTTAAGCAGAGTGTGGCACATAGTAGGATCCCATGGTGCTGACAGGACTAGAATGAACGCACACATCCCATAGTTTACAGGCCCCATGAGTATCTGTAGCATAAACAATTCAAGCTTTATTCTAGACAAATGAGACTCTTGTTATATTCACTTACACACGGTGATGGTATAAGAGAAGAAAAGAGAATGGAAATCAATGATAAATTAAGCAAAGGGTATTAACTTCCAAAAGACAAGCCCTTTAAATGCCTCTCAAAATTCTGCATTTGCTTGTTTTACAAAACCCTTTGATCAATGAAATGCAGTAGGTGAGGAGTTTCACACTTAGCAATTCTTTCTCCAAAGCCTATTTAGGATGAACCAGAAAATCTTTCACTTTTTTTTCCCAAGCTTAACCTTTTTACATAGAGAAAGGATTTCTGTTATCTTCATTTAAAGTAAGACTTAGATAACTAAGATCAATTGAGTTTTGAGAGCTATACACTTTGTCCTTTAGCTATGATAATATGGTCAGAACTGTCTTTATGAAAATGAAGAAGGAGAATTGTTTGATGTATGAATATTTTCAAGAGCAGAACTGACTCCAGTTCTGGGCATCACATTTGTTTATATGTCAGTCATCCATAATGATAAAGGAGAGGTGTCTCCTGAAGGTGGGAATGTTCTTTGCTGAATTTTAAGTATTGCTAAACCATTTAGCAAGGGGATTTGAGATCCCACTCAATTCATATAGAAAGTGGGAATAGCAAGAAAAGAACAATATTAAATGGCACTGCTTTCAAAACAGGAATAGCCTGGATTTTAAAAACTTAACTGCTTCAAAATGACATAGTCCAATACCATTTGCATATTTGAATTCAAATCTTTTTTACATGTATCTGGGGAAATAGCATCCAAAAATAGTTTTTCTGGGTCTAGAACAAAGCCAAATCTAGGTATTAGTCTAAGGCTACAAAATTATTTTCTTATGTCTGCCCAAAATAAAGATGATTGCCTCTCCTTCTCCCCTGATAGGATCTCCTTTGAACATATTACTTTATACAATAAGTTTTATTCAATTCTAAACCAACATTCTAAGAATAGTATAGTCTTTGGGCCATAATGTTAGTTTATTGTTTGTTCATTCTTGTTGAAACAAAACATTGTCTACCTTTTGATAATGAAAACTATTTTTCTGTTTTCTGCATAGTTTCAAAACCCAAGTCATCTGAATTGTGTTTTTTAGAGGGAGTATTTTTTTCCCCTGGATTTTCGAAGAAGCCTGAATAAAACAGTATTGCATTAGTAAATTGGTTTTCATTTGTACAGACTTATGCTAATTGTGACTTTACCTGAGTCTGTTTTGATGACAAAGATGATATATATTTGCAGGAGATTTCTTTTTTTTCCCTCACCACTAGTTGCCAGAATCTTGTCAGAGTAGAAAAATTGGAAGATTGATTAGTGTCGTTTTCTTTTTCATTGATTTACCTGGGTTTCTGGCTGGCTGATGAATGTGTAGCATCAGGTGCTATGGATTATGTGTGTGTGAAGAAAAAATAAAGAGCTCAATAACAAAAATAATAAATTCTACCCTTTCTAATGCTTACAGTTTGATAGGCATTGTAATAATTACTTCATACACATTATCTCTTTTAATCTTTGCAACAACTGGCTCTTACAGATGAGGAAGCTGAGTTTAGAGAGGATAATTAATTTATTCAGTGCCATGCAGCTAACAAGTGATGAAACTGGTTTTGCCTTAGGTTTATCTGACTTCAGAACCCAGGCCAGATGGCTTCTGATCAAATTATGACTTAGGATCAAATTAAATTCAAGATATCTGAGCCTACTGCTTTACTAGGAATCATGGGGGATGCAAAGACCACAAGGAATTTAGGGTCCTTTAAAGGAAAAAATAAATGTGTGCAAATAATTAAGTAATAATTGGTAAGCAAATTTTTGCAGGTGAGTTTTAGATTTTTTTCCCTTGAAGGTAGCCCTTTTTGCTTGAAATCTCTGCACCTGTCAACCCCAGAAAGTATACATTTTCCTTGCAAAAGCTGAGTCCCATTTCCATTGTTCAAGCTAAATATGATGAATATATAAATTTCCATGACTTCTAAACCCTGTACAGTGTTATTATCTCTCAAATAAGCAATCAAAAATAGTCTTTAAATCATCTCCTTTATTCCTCAAGTTCACTGCTGCCAAATTTTGCTTCTAAACACTCCTCTATCCCTCTCTTCTACTTCTCTAATGTGGCTTTAGCTCGGGGACTTCCATGTCTGGTTTGGTCAATTGTAGTTTTCTTTCTGTAGTATTGTAGCATTGGGCACTACTCTCTGCAGACTGTCCTTATTGCCTCTTATTATTGTGGTGTTTTTCTTTCAATTATAGGTTCTACCAAGTCAGTCTTTAAAATTTTTGTGGATTCACAAGACCCTGTGTATTACAGCTAATAGTCTTCACTCTCTGCTTCAAAGTCTTTTTCCCAGGGTTACTCTGTTAAAGCTCATTGGCCTCATCTCCTTTTATCTTCCAGATTTCTCCTTCCTTCTACCCAGGTTAAATTTTTTCCATGTTTCTGAAGCTTGTTAGAGAGTCAACAAAATGAAATATGAGTTTAAGTATATCCTTTGTGATGGTTACAACCCCTCACAGTTTTGATAACATTGGGCAGCTTTACTGAATGTACTTATATATGAAATAAACTGGGTAGAGTGTTGATTATTTGGTATATCTGCACATGAGATTGAGAGCGGGGAAGAAGTAGAGAAAACCCTTAATATAATAATAGATTTGGATCTTTTCCCTTTAGATTATTCTTTAAGGGAATGTCACAGGATCCTTGGGGTGTCACTTTGCCAGCCGGAAGCCTCAGTGGTGGGTGGTGCCTTCTGCCTGAGTATTACTTGCTCCCACAGGGCCTGTTATGCCCACTTGTCCTGATAGGCTGAGCTCGGCCCACGCTACCAGTCTGGATCCCACACCTGCTAAGGGCGGGCCGGGCGAGGAGTGGCAGGGGGTGTGTGAACAAGCGAGCGTTGGATCCAGCCACTGCGCACAGCCAGGCGCGCTGGCTGCCGCAGTGGGGCAGGCAGCTCCAGGCGCCAGCTCTGTGCAAGGCTGCGGCTGGACCAGACATACCGCAAGCGGCTTCTGCTGTGGGCACTGGTATTTGGGCAAGTGGAACGTGGTGGCACTTGAAAGCTTGGAGACACTAGGAACTGCAGAGCCCCTGGCTCAGGGAGCCCCTAGGTCTGGGCTCCCCGAAGGGCTGCAGCTCTTCTCACCGCCTGCAATGTGGTGAGTGGGGGGCGTTTTTCAGCCCTGTCTGTGGTACAGCTCTTTCAGTCCCACCATTCGGTGGGTCCTGAGTTCTTGTCCCACATCCAGGAAGAATGAAGTATGTGGACTACTGGAGGATGAGCAAGGCAGAGAGGAGCTTCATTGAGCAACAAAGCAGCTCTCAGGAGGGTAGCTCCTTTCTGCAGGCAGGTCACCTCAACAAGTTGAGGAGACCCCTGAGACCCGAGACACCAAGTAGGTGGCTCCTTCCTGCAGTTGGTAATCCCAATGTCTGTCTAAGACTGGCTGAGTCCAGGAGTTTTTATGGGCACAGAAGGGAGGAAGTGTGTGCTGGTTGGTCCATGGGTGGCCATGGATGGGCCCAGAAAAAGGACCTAAGTTGTCACTTCTGGCTGCGGACTCCACCTGGAATGGGCAGCCCTGCCCCCGGGCTTCAGGGCATCCCTGGCTTGTAAGTGGGCGAGGATCCACCCCTTTCTGCTCTCAGCCTGTCTGCTTCCTGCCTCTGTTCGTGGTACCCAGGCTATTCATGCCGAGGGGTGCCTGCAGGCCCACACTGAGCCACCGCCATCCCCCAGCCTCCCTCCTATGCTTGTTGGTGCCCAAAGTCCAGAGGGGGCTGAGGCAGCAGGGGCCTGGCATGTCAGTGCTGCTTTCAGTGCACGCATACCCAGCTGAGTTGCAACAGTGCCTGGGCTCAGCTGCAACTTTACTCTGCACTCGAGCCGGTGCTGGGAGCAGAGAGAGGCCAGGGATCAGGAGCAGGCACTTCTGAGCCTGCGGGGGTCGTGGGGTACTCCCATGCCCCTGAGAGAGCAGGGATGCCCAGTCTGGAGCTGCAGCTGGGTGGCTGCAGCTGCGCCCAGAAGCATGGGACTCCAACTCGGTAGGGGATGGGGCTCCCACCTATTCCTGCGGAGCCTTCCCCACTCAGCTGGTGTCCCTGCCACAGCTGCTCCAGACAGGCTGCTGCTGCCATCAGGAAGAGACCTCATGGTTATGTAATTGTTGGGGGAAAGTGGAAGAGACTTTTATATTAAAGGTTTTTGACTTTTTTTTCAGTTACCATGCTTTAGTGCTTATTAATTTTTTTTTTAACTCTGTGATTGAGATCTTCCTTACCTTCCAGGCACAAGCTCCCTCTACATCAATGTAGTAGATACATTGCAGCATCTATGTCTGTACCAGTGTAGTAGTCTAACTTTATTAGGCTCCAGAATCAGCTGTGGAACTTTAAAAAAGTGTTCACACCGTGGTCCTGTCCCTGGGCTTCTGATTTGTTACCTAGAGTTGAAAAACATTCATGTACTCATTAGAAGGTCTTTCATTGCGTAGATTATTTTTCTTTTTCTACATCTGTGTTTATAACTAATTCATGGTAATAGTCGGCTCTGTATTGAGTGAAATGTTCCATTATCAGAAGAAAAGATAAATTTTGTAAGTTGAAAGAATAAAGTTTGCTTCTCATGTGTTCTATGCTGAATTCTGACAAGATTCATGTCTTCTCATCACAAGCTATTGATCTCTTCCTATTTTGTGCTTATTGTTTTTCCCTGTTCATGTTCCTGTCAGGTTAATAATGAAAGTATTAGAAAATAATAAAGAAGTCAAGTTGTAGCCTCTTCAGTTCTCTCTTCATTTTAAGGGGGAGAGGGGAGGGATAGCATTAGGAGATATATCTAATGTTAAATGACGAGTTAATGGGTGCAGCACACCAACATGGCACATGTATATATATGTAACAAACCTGCACGTTGTGCACATGTACCCTAAAACTTAAAGTATAATAAAAAAAAGGGAATGTTGAAAAAGAGCAAATTGAAACTTAGCATTTATTGAATACCTACTGTCAGACACTATTCTTATTCATAATGCTGTGTGTAATCAAACAAAACTGGTGAGATAGGCTTGGTTATTTGTCTTTTTCCAATGAAACTGAGGCTCAGAGAAATAATATAATAGTAAGTGATATAGTGGATCCTTGTAATTCCACAATACATGATCTTTTTTTCTCATCATTGCCTCTTTGGACACCTTCAAACATTAAAGGTGGTCATATATGCATGTTTCTTCTCCTTTTTCTTAAAACTGACAGTATCCCAATTTTAGAGTGATAAACATAGATTAAAATATTTTACATATACATTTTTGTTCCCAAAGCTTTAAAGTGCTGTTTATATTTTAGGTAGTTGATAATATACCAAAATTGGTCCCTCTCTGTTGGACACGTCAAATTCGTGCTTTCTGTTGGACACATCACATATACATGTGCAAAGGGTGCCATTTAATTTACTCACTCTTGAACTTGACCATCCAAGTTCTTTTTTAAAAAAACATTTAAAATGGGAATATCATCTCTAGAAAAGAAGTCCTATAATCACTAGGAAAATCCCCCATAGCAAACATCAGTGTGTACTCATTAAGTTGACAAAGTTGTCAGGCTCTCTTATTAAGGAAATAAAAAAACTCCTATCGAGATCCACATATTCTTTAAACACTATACAATTAAGCAGCACTGTAATGCAGAAAAAAATCATTAAAATGTTAGAATCTGGAGTTTATCTGATTGAGTAGGGGAAAAGACCCATTGGGATTTGTTAACAGGAAGATAGATTTGAATTGACAGGAATAATTAATCTCTTGAGGCCAGATAAAGAAAAGGAACCCATTTGAGCCTATGGAACACCCTCAAATACCTATAAATACTAGCTATAAAGACAATAAATCATTTATGTTGACCCTTGCTCCTGCAAAAGAGAGAATAGTTTTTGCAAACTGCTGGCGTAACTGGTGACTTGGAGTCCCTTTTATTTATTTATTTATTTAACTTCCTAGTCAGCAGAAAGAATGAGTTGATAGCGATTCAAACAATTTTTATTGAGAACTTTTCTGCAGTTCTAGTTTTTGCATCCAGCCAAGAGGAAAATGTTATTTTACAGCCTTTGTATTGGTGTTGATGGGTTCTTAGCTGACTTCTTGAAGAAATGAAGGTGGGAGAGGTAGATAGGACACTTCTAAGAGAAGAGCTTAAACATTGGCTGTTATCCAGGCATGGGTAATCTTGCCTCTAGACAGAAATATTTTACTAGAGGTCACTGTCATTCCTTTTTTAAAAAAGGCTAGTAATAAATGTGTTCTTAATTTACATATACACCTTTTCCTCATTTTTGTTTGGGCTTATCTTAGTTGTTTCACTCTTATTCTTTTGCCTTTTATTCTGAATTGAAATGAAAAATGAAATGTGTAAAACACTGCAAGAAAATTCTGCAAGCTCTCCTCATTCTGAAGCCTGACAGTAATTATTATTTGGGGATTACAGGAAAATCTTACAGTGTAATTTAGAGATTCTTAATTTATTCACAGACTCTTCTTCTTTCTCTACCTTGCTTAGCAAAGATACTGTCTTTCCGATAAAATCTAAACTTTGTTTATTAACCTGTTTCCTCTTTCAACAAATATTTTTAATGCAAACAGTAATACTGCAGTAATTACAATAAAAGCAAGCATGTATTGAATACATAGTATATTCCAGGTACTGTATAGATTATTTGATTTACTCTTCACAACCACTCTATGAGAAAGTTATTGTTATTATTATCTCAGTTGACAGATGAGGACATGTACAGTAAGGACATTAAATTGCTTCAGTAGCACAGTTAGAAAGTAATGAATCTATATAAAAGTCCAGGTCTGGAAATTAAATTGTAGCATTAGTCACCTATTTCTCATAAGGGGGAAGGGAAATACCAATTAAAATACAGGTTAGATTTGAATTTCAGATAACAAATAATTTTTAGTATAAGTATGTCCCAAATATCGCCTGGGACATGGACACCCTATATTGCTATTTGCTAGACTTAGCAACCCTAGGAACACATTGGATTATTTGCAGAGTCCATTTTGAGCCAGAAGTTATTTCCAGGGCATGTAGCCCTACTGTCTTAGGATTCAGGGGAAAGGCTTAAGGGTCTTCAGATTTTCATGTCCCCGTGACTGGCAATAAAGTGAGATTTATGACCTTGCCATGCTGCCTTTTTAACTCCTCAGCAGTTTTTCACTTGACTTCCAAGGAAGTTTGCCTTTGATATTTCTAAGGGTGTGTGTCTCCTACCTGTTTTCTGAATTGTTATCTGGAAAGTACATCTTAGCAAACAGTTTACCAATAACAACATGAAGAGAAGTAGAGGCAGGGAAGAAGAAAGCAACAAGGAAAAGTTCCTGGCTGCTCTGTGTGCCAGCGTTGTGCAACATTCTTTCCATATGGCATCTCGTTTGGTAGAAACAAGAGGCATGAGTATATAATAGTGTATATTAAATATCTTCTAGTCCTAGTTAGGTTTCTCTTAGACCTTGGCCAGGGGGTTCAATTTGAATGACTACTGGTGTTGTCAGTAAATGAATAAGTAGAAATGCATATTATAAAGTAGTCATCCATTTAGCAGATAGTAAATTAAAATGTTGTATAATCCACTGGAGTTCAATATTGGGTCATTTTCTTCAAAGAAGAGAGAGGTATTAATTAGTTTGTTGCTTGGAGGCTTCATTCCCTTTGCTGTTGTAACAAACGGTTCCTGGGCACTCTCAGGCCCTGACTGATTAACTTGCATAGCTTCCTTTTGATAGCTCTCCTTCTGACACACATGGTTAAACAGGAGAGAATGAGGTGGAGGAGTAGAAAAAGAAGAAGAAGAAAAAAAAACTTGGCTCTTTTCTTGATAAGTGAAAGCAAATAAATGCAACACATCAGCAAACAAAAGTGAAATACACTGCCCAAGTCGTCCATCTTAGCAATAGAGTTTCTTTAAGCCAAAAATCAAATGTAGTGGCGGTATTTCACTGTTGGAGTTGCAAACAACTGAGAAATGACAAAAGCTTTTTAAGGCCACGGTCTTTGCAAGAGGGAAAGATGTCTTTCTGTTGAAACTGAAAAATTAAGATCGATTATAGCTGAGGAATAAAACCTCAGTGTGTTGAATTCAAGGGACAGAATTGTTGATATAGATTCTTAAGTCATCATAAGTATCCAAAAGTGGAAACTTAACAAAGTGTGGTTTCCCCGGTATAATTTTCACATCAGTGGTTTTTTTCTCCCCCAACCTGGTCTTTCTCTTCAAAGGAGATTTACTTTTCCAAAAAGCATTTTTAATTATGTTGAAGTAAAGGCAATACCTTTTCTTTTAACTTTAAATTTCAAACTACTTTTAAAGAAAAGTTGCAAAAATGGAACGGAGAATTTTCACATATCCCTGCCCTAGCCTCCCTCAGTATTAAAATCTTAACTGGAGTGCAATTATCAGAACCCAGAAATTAACATTGATATAATACCAATAATTAAACAAAAATCTTATTCAAATTCTACCAGTTTTTTCATCAATATTTCATTGTTATTATTCTCCAGGATTCTGTTCAGGATCCCATGTCACATTTTGTTGTTATTTCTCCTTAGTCTCCTGAAATCTGTAACAGTTTCTCATCTTTCCTTAACTTTTAAGACCTTATATTTTTGAAGAGTATAGAATACTTATTTTGCCAAATTCCCCTCAATTTGGGCTTGTCTGGTGTTTTCTCATGCTTGGTTTGAGGTTATGTGTTTTTGGCAAGAATTCCACAGAAATGATGTGTTCTTCTCAGCACATCATGTCATGGGATTTGTGATGCCAATATTTTTTATTAGTGGTGGTGTTGATCATGACCACTTGATTAAGGTGGTTTCTGCTGGGTTCTCCACTTTATAGTTAGTATCTTTTCTCCTACTGTTAAGAAAGATCTTGGGGGACATGCTTTAAGACTGTGCAAATCCTGTTTCTCTTTAGACTGTGAACAAATGATTTCAGCATACATCCATGGATTTTGATTCTAGTTACAATTGTTATTATGGTGTTTGCTTAATGGTGATTTTCCACTTCCTTCTTTCTTTCAACATGTATTAATTGGGATTCTACAGCCATGGAAGAGCTGTCTTTCTCTCCTATTTAGATAATAGATTATTTATATCCATGTGTATGAACTTATATATATTTATTTGGTTTTATGGGTCATATTCTAATATTATTATTTAACTTGTTTAATTTGTTCCAGCTTTGGCTGTTAGGAGCTTATTTTCATTTAGTGTTTGTGCTCTCTTATTAAGCCCTTATTTATTTTTTTGAACACTTTCTTACTTTTTTGCTTCACACTATATTCTAAGCTTATTTTTTTCCTCCTGCTCTAGTCCTGAAATCAATCACTTGTCCAAGCTTTTTTCTTTCTTTCTTTCTTTCTTTTTTTTAAATCAGAGAATGGTGTTTAGAAACTGAGATCTTCATGCTAGATGTGCTTATTACTACTGGGATGTCATTGCTCTAAGCCTTCTCAGCAGGCAGAGCCAGGAAATATATGCATATGAATAACCTGCACATATACACACCTCTATATTTCTTTATCTATATGTCTATATAGATATTTAAAGCCATTTGTACTATACAATTTATACTAAATACTGTAAACTCAGGGTTCACTTTTAGCTTTTTCCTGTCTTTATTTGTAATTTATTTCTCAAATAGTGAGAAATCTGCTTATTTTCCATGATATGTTTACTTCTTTGTTTGATTCTAGTGAACACATAGTTTTAGAATTGCTATCCTATGCCCCTGCGAGAAACATATTTACTGACTAAATTCTAGCATTTATGCATTTGTATTTGTCTTTAGCTTCATGGTATCCAGTCAAGATACTGTTTTCTGTAGTTATTTAGGTTAGTGTTACTATTCCCCATCCTTTCAGTGTAGTTTTGTAACTCATTTGTAACAGGCTTATTTGTTATTTTTGTATTGCATTTTGGATCCTCATCATTGTTAGTTTTAGTTGTTGATTGCTTAGGGGCATGTGAAAAATATGAATCATAACTGTGGTTCTAAGAGCCAGAGCTTTACAAAATGATGCACCCAAGGCAGTATCTGTCACTCCATCCTGTCTTGATACACATAACCATTTCCGTCTTCTTTCCAGCTCTTTGACACCTGCCCTCTGTAGATAGTTTCTTTAGTTTCTGGTGAGTTCCTTCCATATTTTCTTTGTACAAATGGGCAGTTATGTATGTGTTTTCTTATAATCACTTTTCTTATACAAGGAGTAACATAATATAGATACTCTTTTGCACTTAGCTTTTTTTACCTTAACAGTACATCCTGGAAGTTAGCCTGTAACAATTCAAAGAGATCTTCATTAATCTTTTTTACAGCATTATTGTACTCCATTTTGGAGATATATGACAATATCTTCTTTATGTACCACTTTCCCTTGCAGATAGGTGTGCCACGTTAACAGACTAAGGAAGTTTAATATTATTATAAAAGAAGCAAGAATAAGACAGTTAAAAAAAAAAAAGACTTGGACAAAGCTGCTACATGTAGCTGCTGCATTTAGGATCAATCCAGGTAGAACAAAATAGAAGTTAATCAGATGGTCTGGACCACCAAAAGTTTTTGACTTTTACAACTTACTAGTACGGTGAATTTGGGTAAGTTATTTAACATCCTCATGCCTAAGTTTCTCTAATTTATACAATAGGAATGATAAGAATACCTACCTCATAGGGTTACAGACAAGCCATGGGAAATGCTTAGCATGGGGTATGGAACATGGAAGCTAAAACTGGCTATAATCATTATTGTGTTTCCAATTGCTCTTAAATGTACTAATTTTTACTCTAAGCTGAAGTTTTTGATGCTTTGGTTTATATACACAATTGAAAACACTTGGAATTAAAAAAATAGCTGTCTTTATTTCAAAGCGATACTGAGAGAGAGAGAGAAATAGATAAAAATAAAATGAAAATGATCCCCAATTTTACTAACCAGAGAAAGTTGCTGTTAATATACTAGTACCAATTCTTCCAGATAATTTTCTATACTTATTTACAAAGTATGTATCTTTTGACAACAGATGTATAATTTAAACAGAATGTTATATTCCACATACCTGAATCATTCATCTCAATTTTTATTGTGAATATTTTTCTGCAGTACTATTCTTCTTACCAGAAAGCTCTATCAGATCATTTGGCTATTTCAACCTAAGGTCTGATTAATCAAGTGTGAAACAAAATTGAATAAGCAGACAGGCAAACTAAGCAGAAATCTCAGTAAATTTTAATGTTTGAATCACCTGGGTCCTCAACCAGCTATATATTTTGTAAATGCAGTGTTTTCCAAGTACTTACCTAGAAACGATAGAGTTAATTCAAGGAATCGAGCCATTGCTTTTCAGGCCTTATTTGTGATGTTCATTTTAGTGGTACTGCAAAGTGAGGGAATTAACCTCAACTTCAAACCCACGTCTTTGATCTAAAATACTCGACAGAAGCCTACAGGCTTCCTCTAAGGCTGCAGTTTTAAAGGAGGCATTTTCATCATGACTATGGTTTTTAGAAATTGTAAGTTTCACAGTTTTGAAGAAGAATTAGTCAGGGAAAGTCTCCCAAAGCTCTCCTCTGCTCCCTTCCTCCTCCCCACCCTTCCTTATTCCTCTGGCTCCATTATGCAAGAAGTATTGCTGGTCTGTTAATATTGCCAACATTCTGGATGGTGCTGAGACATAAGAAAATTTCCAGTGATGTAAAAGATCTAGCTTTATTCTCATTTTTAAACTCATGTGGGCAATAAATGAGTGGATAAAATTTCAGCAAAGTTTCCATCTAAAGGGACATTCTTAACTCCAATTCTTAACTCACAAAACCATGGAGATATTCGAGGACAGAGATAGGCATACTGCTTTTGCCATATGAAAAATAAACCTGTAATATATATTTTGATTCTGGTACTCATTGCACCTTTTAAAAGAGGGTCTTCTTGGAGGTAGAAGGAAGAAAATCACTTTAAAATTTTTTATTAGCTACTCCAAGGGTAGATCTGATATTTTATTTATCTTAACCTAAATATGCTTCATAAGAATCTAAGAAATGCTGCTGTGGATCAGGGAAGAGGCCTTTAAATGTAATGTTTTGTCTTCGAGGTCTCTGGAGGGGAGAGAATGGGAGTGTGATATTGAGGAGAGTTCTTTTAGGACCATGTCTCAGGTTCCAAGCTTCTCTAGAAATAGGCAAGGTGCTTGACTGCATGATGCTAAATGTTAATAATTATAATTATGGATTACTGAGTATTTGCCATGTTCCAGGAATGCACAGATGAAATATAATTAATTGCATAATTTCTTTCAATAAATCCAGGATACAAGGTAGGTGTTAGTGTTATCTCCATTTGATAGGTGAGGACCTTCAGACTTGGAGAAGTGAAATAACCTTGTTGAAGTCACACAGTTACCAAGTTAGTAAACCACCTGTTGAAATTTAACCTATATCTGTTAGAATATTTACTACCTTAGTGTCACTCAACCACACTCATCTGTGGTTGAATCTTACTGTGGGTCTCTGGGGTTCCCCCAAGTTCATGCTTCTCTTGGGTTCAGGACAGCATTTACGCACTGAGCCAGCCATGAGTGGCAGTAGGCTGTGGTCCTTGGGCTGGCCCATCTGAGAATCCCGAGTGTCTACAGCGCTTCCCCAGGGGATGGCGTCATTGATGATGAATGGCACATTGAGGCTGGAGTGAAGGAAATCCAACAGAGACTAGAGGAAAGAGCAGCAGGCACGGACTAGCCGCCCACTGCTATCCTTCCTTTCCTAACTGGGTCCTCTCATCTTCTCTTCTTTAGGGACATGCTGTCTGTTGAAAGCAAGGATAGCCATGCCTGCTACCTGTCTTTTAGTGGCTCCTTCATCTCCCTAGACAAAAGTCAAAACTCCTTTCCTTGGCATCATCTGTTCTTGCCTATTTCTTCCTTTATGCCTCCTGACATTCCCAGCCTGCATCCTAGATGGAAGCATATCCAGCTGCTTACAGTCTCCCAAACACATCTGTGTGTACATTTGTGTGTTTAAATGCCTTTGCATGTCCTGTGTTCTGTGCCCTTTCCTCTTATGTATTGTGTGCCTCAAAACTCCTTATTTTTCAAAATGCAGCTCAATTATATCCTCCTCCATGAAAAATTCCCTGTCTCTTCATGCAGAGTAAGGTATTCTTTCCTCTGGATTCTCAGAGCATCCCATAAATTCCTGTCTAATCATGTGTGACAAGATTCAATAGTGTTTCTCTTATTTTTTACTTCCACCGAGCTGTGAGCTCCATGAGGGCAACAGGTTTGTCTTGGAACTGTGCATCCCTAGCGCCTAGCATAGTGTCTGTAAGTGTTCGACAAATCTTACATGAGTGGATTAACGGATGGATCTGGAATCACAAACCTTAAAAGTAGAACTTACCCTCTTTGCTAGGATGCTGTCTGACATTTGGCAAATCACAGGACCTTTCAGGACCTTAGCTTCCTCACCCTTGAGATGAAGATCTTGACCATTTCCTCTAACGGCTCATCCTTAGAGCACCATTAGCCAGTTTAACAATGAGGTATTAAGGAGTCTCCAATGGCAACTACTTTTCAGCTTGCTTCTGGCTAAAATCTTGATGTTAGTCCAAGTTTTTGAAGTGAGTGATTTCGACTGAGAGAAAGGACACTGAAATCTATGGAGACCAAAATGGAATGAAAAGGTTGTTTTATGATAGGAAGGCCTCGGGGCTTGTTTCACTGTCACAGGCTCTTGGAATGTTCATATTGGGAGGAACCTAAGAAATAAGTCCAATAGCCTCTTTACTTCATATATACATATATATGTATATATATACACATACATATATATGTGTGTATGTGTGTGCATATATATACAATATATATACATTAAGATAAACAAGTTATACTTAAAATATAAATTAAGTTACTTGCTCAAAATCCCAGCACTGGTCTGAAGCAGAATGCAGCCTCTGGAGTCTCCAGTTTGTACCCTTCTGCTGCACCAAGCATTTGATCTCTACAACTAAAACAATATGTTGAATAATATTGACTGATAATATATACAAGGGGCAAAGTATTAATGTTACTCTCCAAGCTTCTGTTTCACAGTTGGCTCAGTACGGAGAATACTTAATGACATATTAAACACCTTTGATTACTCTTTATGTTCATATTGGCTTGGACTTTCCTGCCAAATGCAGCACAAGTTAATGGACAATTTGTTGTTTGTTGTCTTTTTTCCTACATCAATTTGAATAGCATCACAAAGGGTAAATGAAGAGTAAATGAAGCCTCATAAAGGGTACTTGACATGACACACCATGCTAGAAGATGTGCTAAAATAACCCACTTAAGCCTCAGTTAGTGGGGCTCCAGCTTCATGGAAGATGAAGGACACATCTTCCAGATAAGAAACTGGACAGTGTGTGGGCAATATAGAGCAAGTTCTGATGTCAAACTCTAATGATGACATGAATCATAAAGGCTTGGAATTGTTATATATTGTGTCTAGGTATGAATCAGCAGGTCACCTTTTCTCAAATGGATGGACCTGTTTTCCACTCTTAAAAATTTTACATCTGATGAATGTATGAATTAACTATTGAGGTATAACAAAACCATCCCAAAACTCAATGGCTTAACATAATAAGCATTTACTATTGCTCATGAGTTTATAGGTCTGCTGGATATTTCTCTGGTCTCAGTTTGGGTCTGTAGTCACTGTGGGTCAGGTAGGCAGATCTGTTGATCATGACTTGGCACTCTTGTATCTACAGGTTGGTATAGAATAGCTTTGGCTAGGATAACTAGCCTCTCCTGAACATGGTTTATCACTATCCAGCTGGCAAGTCCTGGTCTTTCTTTCCTTTCTTTTGACTTTTTCTTTCCTTTTCTGCCTCCCCTCCTTTTCTGAGTTTTACTCTGTCACCCAGGCTGAAGTACAGTGGCACACAGCTCAGGCTCATTGGAGCCTCAATTTATTAGGCCCAAGTGATCCTCTGATCTCAGTCTCCCAAGTAGCTCCAACCACAGGTGGCACCACACTGGGCTACATTTGTAATATTTTGTAGAGATGGGGGGGTCTCACTATGTTGCTCAAGCTGGTCTTGAACTCCTGGACTCAAGTGAACCTCCTGCCTTGGCCTCCCAATGTTCTGGGATTACAGGCATGAGCCACTATGCCTAGCCAAGTCCAGACTTTTTCTAAGAGTGTTTAAGTCTAACTGCAAGAGGGAGATCAAGGAAAACCATGACAGTCTCTTGAGACCTAACCTTGTAGTTGGCACATCAACATTTCATTTGTATTCTGTAGGCCAAACCAACTCACAGGGCCAGCCAGAATCAGAAGGAAGAATGCAAAATTACAGGGCAAAGGGTGTGGATGTAGGAAGGACATTAATTGAGGCTTCACTGCAATCACATTGAACACATGAATATGTGTTCATAAATATGTGAAAAACACAGAATTAGGCAGAGTAAAGGGAAAATTTCCTCTTTGGTCTTCTACTGTTCTACTTTCTTCCCTAAGTTACACTATTAATAATTCTGTGTATTCTTCCAGGCCTTTATGTGTGCATCTCTACATAGGGATGGGGAGATATAACTTCCCTTGACAAAATGTATAGCTCTAGGTAGACTTTATAATATATTTTTATTTAAATGTTAATTATAGGTTGTATATCCCTTATCTGAAATGCCTGGGACCAGAAGTGCTTTGGATTTCAATTTCTTTCAAATGTTAGAATATTTGCATATACATAATGACATATCTTGGGGATGGGACACAAGTATAAACATGAAATTCATTTGTTTCATGTCCACCTTATATGTATAGACTGAAGGCAGTTTTATACAGTATGTTTTAACAATTTTGGGCATGAAACAAAGTTTCGACTGTGTTTTGACTGCAACCTGTCTTATGTCAGGTGTGGAATTTTCTACTTGTGACACCATGATGGCAATCAAAAAGTTTTGAATTTTGGAGAATTTTGGATTTCAAACTTTCAGATTAGGGATGCTCAACCTGTATAAAATAATGTTTTAAAATACAGAAAACACAAATAAAAACTTCTATATCCATCACTCTGATTAAGTAATAGAAATATTTGTAACATAGAGATTTTCCTTTTATAAAGAAATAAAATGCTATAAATTGGAATATACCACCATGTATTTATTAATTGCTTATTTATTAATATTTAGGTTTTGTATTTTTTTGCGATTGTGAATATTTCTGCAGGGGACATTCTTGCATGGCTCCCTGTGTACCTTTGTCAGGGTTTCCCTAGAGTAAACATCTACACATGTAATTTATAGATCTATGGCCTCTGCATCTTCACCTTTACTAGATATTTTCATTCTCTTCCCCAAAAGATTGGTACCAACTTCCTCACCCACCAGAAGGATATAAAAGCTTCCCCATATCTTAACTCACAGTTGAGTTATTAATACTTCTCAACCTGGTGGATGTGAAATGACATCACGTTGTTAGTCATTTTACATTTCTCTGATTATTATTGAAGTTGAGCATCTTTTAATCTACTTACTAGATTTTAGAATCATTTTGCTAGTGAAGTATTAATATATATCCTTTGTTCATTTTTATATGGGATTGTTTGGCTTTCTTTTCCTGACTTTTGTAAGTTCTTTATGTATTTTGGAGACTAGTTATCTGTGTCTTACCTACATTCACTTATTCTCTTTCAGTCTGTGGTTTCTCTTTTTGCTTAGTTTATGTTATCTTTTGGGTATTGAGGTCATAACAGAAACTTTGGCTAATTTGTTTTTCTATATTCTGGAACAGTTGAAATTTAAGATGGATTCTGGCAAATCTCACTTCTAAACCTCTTTTTGACTACTGTTTAACATCTTTAATAATTTATATATTTACAGTAGAAACTAAGCTTTGCTTCAGCCCCCTGGGCTGCGTTGGGGGTTTCCCAATCCTCTCCTCAAAGCCTGTGCAGCCCTCATGGGTCAAGTATCTAGTTTAGGTTCTCTGCTGGGCCACAGCCCAAGGCCAGGACTCCAGGCCCAGCCTCTAGGGCCTGTATTCTTGAAAAATACACCTTTGGGATGTCGCATGCAGCCCAGGTCCACCTCATATTCCTGACTTTTACTTCTGTATTTATTCATGGCTTCTGAGAACCTCCTATCTTTCTCTTAATTTCAGATCACATTATAAGATTTATTTTGGATATGTTTGATCCTGTTTTCCATTGTTGGTGGTCAGAGGAATGCCCATGTCAGCTTAGTCTCTCAGGTTGCCAGGAGCTCTCTGGACAGGCTTAACATCTGATTTTGATGGGTACTATTAGTATCTCTTGGCTATAGTACTGATCTAAGGACCTCAGCTTTATTTGCTTGTTAATAGATTTAGCACAAGAAGGAGGTCAGCAGATCTACCTGGAAAGACAGAAAAATATTAATATACATTTTCATCTCAGGCATTTTATATTTAAACTTTCATCAAGCACGTGGGTGAAACGAGTCCTTTAGAAAGAAAGAAAAATATTAAGGCTATGCCTTCCTTCGACAAGTGAAATGCTCTTTTAGCAAATATTTGACAAATGTCTAAATCCATATATGAATGTAAATTTGTCTGTTTACTCTCGATTGAGCTCAAGGCTGACTCACACCCATTTGCAGCACTTGTTCTGTGAACATGAAGGACTCTATAGTCCTAATTTCGGCTGCCTCACCACCTTGCACATACACGGCGTCAATGAGAGAGAGGGAAGAAATGGATAAGGTTTCACCTTGAATCACCCCAAGAGCTATTCCTTCCTGTTAAAGACAAATGGAGTCTGGGCCAATGATTTAATGGATTTGATATGGAGAAGATGTCCCACAAGGCCCCAAGCATATACCAACTTTTGTATAAAATGATCTGTAAGTTTTGTGCCAGCCTTTGATCTTACCCTTAAGACAGGGGTCTGAGATTGGAGGACCTTGACTTCCTAGCCTCCTATTGGTGCCTACCACACCTGTCTCTTTAACATCATCTTTAGCTACTTTGATCTGCCTGTGCCCACAAGATCAGGGCTCTGCCATGTGTCCCACAGTCCCTGGCTGCTTGCTCTGGGTAGTGGAGAGAGAAAAAAGGGACTCAGAAACCCAGGGCACTGGTTGGGACTGAATTCTGGCATCTTTTGAGTGATTGTGACTGGTGTGATCTCTGGATTCCTGAAAACTTGGTGACTCTGACCATTAGTAATTTGTCAGTTTCTTCAGATGTTTCTGAACCTCCAGTTTCATGGGGTCCAGGATTCCCTTACACCTGCCGATCTGATAAAATCTAGAATCTTGCTTTTCAAAGAGAGAGCCAAAGGCCCAGCAGCTTTGGCATCACTTGGGAGCTTATTAGTCAGGTCCCACCTGAGACATATTGAGTAGAATTTGTATTCTAATAAGATCCCCAAGTGATTCATATGTGCCGCTCTACTTGACTGAATTTCAACTCAGTATTGGGTATCAGTATCAGGATCCTTTTGTCAAAACATGAACCTCTCACAATAATGGACATATCCCCCTTCACCTGCCCAGTGAGAGTACTCTCTGTTTAATGACCAGTTCTCATGAGTCTGTGCTACTGGTGGAAGTGTGGCTGTCACTTGAATGTGTTAGCAAAGGAAAGAAAGGTTAGCACCGGTGAGTCTCATCTTCACTCTGCCTGTTTCTGACCTGGACCACACCCTGATTCTTCTGGGCTGAGCAATATTTAATTATACTTCTCCAATCCTAGCTGCACTGGGGACTTGGACTAGGACATTCACATACTCCTCATGCTCTGCACCTCCCTGCTGCATGCCGGGCGAGCAGTAGCACAGACCAAGGTATTTGGCTTATTGTCATGGAGCAGAGCAAACGTCCACATCCACCCATCTCAGGTCTAGGACCTTGGCCTTGTTAACACTGACCTCTAAACTGAGCTTGTTACTGTGATGTTCCTTGTCAGGTAATGAGTGCTTAAGCACCCACTGCTTCCAATTATAATGAATTATTGGCAATATGGGCTCAGCCCTCAAGCAACTTTCATAGTCTGAAGTGGGCAAGTGATATAAAGAAGAGAGGACAAAAGACATGCAGAATGGAAAAAAAATAATAGCATGTAGGCCTGCCAGGTGGTTATCTTGGACCACACGGCAAGTATTTCATTATCGGGCAGTTTTGACACTTAAAAAATAGGTACGTTCTCAATATAGTAACGATGGCCTTCCATACTATCACTTGATTATTGGGAGTGTAGATGCTTGGAAATTTGCTTGCTCATGTAATCAAAACATCCAGAAAGTAGTTTTCCTGCCTGATTCTTTTTGAAAGTCTGGAGAAGTCACCTTGCCAAATTCACTACCCAATTCATGAGGTTAACAGGCTTTGCTAATTCTCTCAAGTTTTTACTCCAACTCAAGTGAGGAAAATATTGCAGAAAGGTATGCCAAAGTGCATTTTAATTATAAACCAATTTTTGTTGTTTAAAGAAAGAGAAAGTTTCTGGTTATCCTATATATTTGGAAGAAAATATTTATGGCCCACCTGAGGTAAGAGTGGAGGGACTTGCCAGCAGATTTTTTTAAAAGAAATGTTTCTAGGTAGATGTGATTTTTGTTTATAATATTGATTATTTGTAAATCTCTCAGACTTTTGGGTTTATAGATTCTGCAACCACGGTTGCATTTGAGTATTATCTTGTTTGCTATTTTTCTGGAAGTAAAAGTTAACTATTTAAAAAAATGACACGAACTTGTCTGCTAATTAAACACTTTCTTTCTTTCTTTTTTTTTTTTTTGAGACAGAGTCTTGCTCTGTTGCCCAGGCTGGAGTGCAGTGGTGCGATCTCCGCTCACTGCAGGCTCCGCCTCCTGGGTTCACGCCATTCTCCTGCCTCAGCCTCCCAAGTAGCTGGGACTACAGGTGCCCGCCACCACTCCCGGCTAATATTTTGTATTTTTTTTTTTTTTTTTTAGTAGAGATGGGGTTTCACTGTGTTGGCCAGGGTGGTCTCGATCTCCTGACCTCATGATCCACCCGCTTCGGCCTCCCAAAGTACTGGGATTACAGCCGTGAGTCACCGCGCAAGGCCTGAAACACTTTCAAATAAGTATATTTTATTTCTAGGAAGGGATTTAATTTTCTTGCTTTGATTATGGCAAGATTTTATTTCAGGAAGTGCAGAATTAGAATTGTTTCTGCTGAGATTGAAAACGTCCACTGGATAGATGTCCTTTGGCCCAGTGTTTCCTAAGCACATGGCCAAAGCAGTGCAGGGCACTGGGAAGTCCCCATGTATGATGACAAATGCTCATGACTAATGAGTCAGTGTGGGCAGATAGGTAGAATTTCAACATTGATCACCATCCTGTATAAAAACCTGCTGCGGAGATGATTAACTAAAATGTATAAAACTCTGTCCCTCATTATCAGCACCTTTTTATCAAGGTAGTTGCAAACAGATAGCTAGAAAGGGGCCAACTAAGCAAACAATGCTCTACAGAGTCCCTTTTTCGACAATGTCATCTGCATTGCTTACACAGTGGGCACTGGCTCCAGGCTGGGCTCTTAGCCGGGACAACCAGCCAAGGACCAAACAATCCAGCTGGACAAATCCAAAAGCATCCTCAAAGGAAGAGAAGGAACAACAACAACAACAAATTGACCCCAAATGACAATCATAGAAGACAGCAAGGGATATTATAGCATAACCAGGAGTTCTGGAATAAGTCTGTGCCTATATGAGGTTACCAGTAGAACACTTCAATTGGGAGCTCATCTTTAATTTTGTTTTGAGTGATGGAGGATCAAGGGCTCTTGTCTACATGGTGACAACAAAGTTGATGGATTCTGGTCTTAGCTCTGACACTGCTGAGCAGTGTGAGTTGGACCTACATACTCCTCTGAGGCCTCAGTGAAGAGGGTAGCAATTTTAACCATTCCAGTGAGTGCCCACCATATGCGGCCAAGATGGTCTCAGGGACCATGGCATTAGGGAATGGAAGCAGATGAACTGTGAAGCCACTCAGCAAGAGGCTCCATGGCTGAGAAAAATCAGCTTAGAAAACTAGGTCAGACCTGGGTGGTGACTATATCAGAAACCTGCAAGAGGAAACACTGTAAATGCATTAGCCAGGGCAAAATTGATTATTTAAAAAATAAAGATAAAACAATGGATTAAATAAGCCATGCTAAATAGCTTCTGCCCTGATAGAAATGGGATAAATAATTGGAATTGCAGGTGGGGGTTAGTGGGAAGGTTCTATTTTAATCCGGAAAAGAAAAAGACTCATTTTCCCTTCAGTTTCAAGCATGTGCTTTAGTTTCAGATTCATCTTCATGTTACAGGTGAAAGATAAAGGCCCCTGGTCCACCCTGGATGTTTGGTAAAATGATTACACTGATTGTCCCAATCAGCTCCCTGAAGGTTAAGATAACATTTTCTTTGCAGATATACTTTTAGTTTGTAAAATCATTAAGTTTTGGAGGATACTGGATGACACACATTGCTGTAATTATCACTTAGCCTGCAGTGGTCAACTTAGTTGAACAGAATGTGACACTAATAAGAAACAATGTTGTGGATGCAATCTCATGCAAGCTATTTGACTTCACAGAGTGGAGGAAGTCTGTGTTTCATGAATACATCCCATCTCTGGACAACAGGCTTGCAAAAATAGCATTTTGGTATCTACTGAGATTGGGAGAGAATGAATATGTGTGGTCAGTATGGGCCATCAGTATGATGAGACAGATAGCACAAAGCATTTACCCTACAACCAGTGGGTCTCAAATACATGCAGGCACAATTTTCTTATGATGAGGTATTTAACTATTTTATGTAGCCATAACTATAGCAGTAATAAAGTTTCCGTCATCCATTATCTGAATGCTTACTCTTTCTAGGCATAGTAGTAACCAGGTGCTTGAATTTTCTCATTTAATACCCATAGCAACCCATGAGGGAGATATTGTTTTTCCATGTTATAGATGAGGAAACCTAGTCTCAAAGATATGTGGAGACTTGTCCAATATCAGTCAATTAGGGAGTGATAATTCAAAGACTGGGTGTTCTTATTTAGGTGGACTCAGCTAAATAAGGGTGACATGGGAATTGGCTTCTCAAACCTAGAAGTATATTTTTATTTTATCACATTGATCATGCTTTTCATGCTAAGGTATCAATACACATGGTAAATGAGTGAATGCCCTGATTGAATTGGTGTCTTTCATTAAAACTCAAGGCACTGGGCATTTTATGGCTTGCCAACCTGAGAAAGAGGTCAGTCTCATAGAACAATGATGGTTAAGATGCCCATCTTCTGATTGATAGAGATATTTTTACAATCAGGTGGCAATGATTTTAGACAAAATTAATTGAAATCATACTATGAACTGGGCATTGCCCCAAGTGCTTTGTACATTATCTCATTTGATCCACAGGAAACTGAAGCACAGACAGCTGAGGCTTAGAGAGTCTAGGTAAGTAGCTGAAGGTCAGGTTGCCTGTAATTGGGAGAACTAGGATGTATAAACGATCCATCTGTTTTCAGAATCAGAGCACTTAACTGCCTGTATACTATGTGATTTTATTTTCTGATATTTGTTACTAAATATTTGCACATGTAACCATTTATCAATTCAGATAACTTTATGGGATTCCTTCTTGAGTTGATCAAGTGATATTTTACTATTAGCTTTAAACTATTGAAAAAGAAGAAAATTGTCTTAATTTTACAATTCTTTTTTTAAGATAAAGTGTTTTCAAGTTGAATATAGTTTTACTTATTCAAATGGATTTTCTTAGCTATGCTTTGGTGAGGAATGCTGGATTTTAATGCACTTACTACTTTATCTTATAACCACCTCTTCTTTCTAAAGTGACAGTTTCTAGGTCCTCACCTTTAGCTCATGCATATGTATACACAATATATAGACTTTGCACTCAAACCACTTTGCTTTCCAATTTTCTCCTATATTAATTAGGGTACAGGTTTGGCAGCTGTAAAAATTAGATGTCAAAATGTAATACTTCAAACAACATAGATGTTGTTTAGGAAGGCATTTCAGGGAGGGTAGGCAGCTTGGCTCCATGAAGTCACCAGAAACTCAGGTTCTGTCTCATTGCTCTGCATCCCCAGGCAACTGTCCCCATCCATGTGCTCAGTGGTGGCACCCTCCTTCACATCTGCATTCTGGCCCATGGGAAGGGGGAAGGGACAGAGAAGGGGAAGGGACAGAGAAAGTTAAGGACAAAAAATTTCCTTTATAAACATGTATACCATTGGCTAAAATTCATATTTTATTGGCCAAAATGTAGTTATATGACCATGTCTAGTTAGCTACAAGAGGGGGTTATGAAATGTAGGCTCTTACTGAGCCACCTTTCTGGTAGTTCCTTATCTAAAAGGACAAGAGAAGAATGGACATGGGAGATAATGAATAGTCTCTGTTCACAGCTTGTCTCCCTAGCATCTAAGTATCCCTTCCTACCCTTCATCCCACGTAGAGGATATGCCCACCTTCTTCCCAAAGAGGCAAACCAAAGCCCATTTATTTACTGCACCCAGCTGAGAGTCCAGGTCTCTGGGATATGTCTAGGCCTCTCTATCAGGGTGGATGTGCCTCCAGTGACCCCGGCACTAAAGGACAAGTTATCTGCCATGAAATCCCTACTTGGAAAGGGAAAAGAGGAGGAGGCAAACAGCATAATCTAGTCAGTAGGAGTTAGCGCTTTGTTGTTGTTGTTATTACATTTCTCTGGGCAAGAACTACTTGGCAGTCTTTATTAGGTCATCTTGGCCAATCCAAACTCACTCTCTGGGTATAACTCCCTGTCCATTGTCCTTGATGGCCTCTGTCTTTTGTGGCCACATCTGTGGTGGGTGTTAGATAATATGCCCTCATTGGTAGCTTCCCTCCTTGTACAGCTTGCTTTCTACTGGTGCAGGTTTGGGAACCTGAGATTTGGTTTAGTGATTCAACAGTCACTAGCTCTGTCAGCCAGGTTTTTGTTTTCTTTGGCAATGTAATACCCGCAAAAATTCCAGTCTGTCTGCTTCCAGTTCCACATTAAAGTAGCCTTTGGCTGTAGTTTTTAACTACCTTTTGATTTATTGGCTTTGTAGCTTATTTATTGGTTTGGTAGCCCACTCCTAACTCCCTCAGTTTAAGGGCTTCTTCCTTGAGGTCATCTGAAGCAATAGGCTCGAATGGGAAATCCAGGCCTGCCCTACCTGAATGTTTGAACTGGCTGCCATTGTGTGGCCTAGGAGAATATAGGAGATTCTTGAAGGATGCTCTGAGCAACAGTCTTACCTTGTACTGCTTGGGGAACAGAAAAAGTTGGCTTTTCTAGCAGGAGTCCTCAGCTTTCCAGCTGTCAATATCTGTATCTCTGTCCTTACAGCCTGTGACCCTGGTCTCAGATATTGTTATGGCAATACCCACTTCTAGGTAGAAACTGTATATTAGAATACAGGCTAAACTGCTGTAACAGAGATTTGTGAAAGTAGCTTAAACAAGCTAGAAATTTCTTTCTTTTTTACCCAATGGTCTCAATCAAGGTGGGTAGGTGGCCCAGGATGGGTGGGTACTTCTTCTCTGCAACATTGATTAGAGAAAGCCCCGATTCCTTCTGTTTGTTACTCTGCTGAGTCCCCGGGGGTTGCTCTCAGCTGCAGCACTGAAACTGGCTCCCACAATCCTGCTCACATTCCAGTCTGCAGGAAGGGGCAAGTGGGAGAGAAAGTGGAGGGTGAACATTGTCCTTAGGAAACATGAGCTGAAAGGTATACACATCCTTCCTAGTTATACCTTATTGGCCAAGACTTAGTCCTTTAACCACTCCGAGGTGCAAAGAAGGCTGTTGGAAGTAGGGAGGTGTAGTCTCCAGTGGGATAGCCATTTGCCTAAATAAAATTCAGGGAATTCTATAACTAAAAGGGAGAGTGAACAGCGGATAGTGGGGGGAGTCAGATAGTCTGTAACACAATCCTATTGACGGGTTATAAAATGAGGTTAAAACATGACTGGAGTCGTGGCAAGCCCTTAAATACTTTCTCTTTCCTAAGGAGCCTATCCATCATGAAAAGTGATAGGAAAGAAAAATCTCCTCTAGGTCCTGTTACTCAGCTCTTTCCCTGTGTTCTTACAAATACAATGTGAGTTGAGTTTTAAGAAAAAAAATCACAGGACAAGTGATCAAACGTTTTAAGTTCAAATATCGATCATTTTCTGAGTTCCTTTCAGCCAACCACATTATACTTTAATCATGGAAACGTATCTGTGTGTCTGGAAAGGTGGTTATAACTAGTTCCAAGCAGCATGATTTAGATGGTTTTTATCTTTTCTTAATACTGCCATTGTTGCCAGCCCAGATAGAGTAATTCAGGCTTGGTAGTGGTAATGTTTGTCTGAGAGCAAGCACACTTACGCTGGTGAATGAAGAGGTAAAAATGATGAGCTTACCCTGTCTGAATCTCTGCTGCCCCTGAAAACACTGAACCTATAGACGAAACTGCTTTCTGAGTTTATATTGAGGAACAAGGTTTATTTAGGATGAGAGGAGGAGGAAAACACAGAGGTGGCATCAAGCCTGGGAAAGTGAGTAGGGTTGGAAAATGTGGTTTCAAAGGTATACATATGTATTGTTTTCTGATGTGGTAAGTTCATGTGGACATCTATAAGCAATTTCCTTGTCATCTCAGTTGAACTGTTATCATCTCTAACACACAATTGTCAAAATTCACTTCTGAACCTTGCTAGTGTGCACACCTGTGCCTTTGCATCCCTCACCATTCAGTGAGTTGACAAGTAACTGCAGATCTGATGCTCTGGCCTTTGTCTCATTCAGACCTTGAAATTGTTCTTCTCCTCCCCCATGTCCACATAGCATCTCCTCAACTCTGATAACATACTTTTCTAGTGTTTTGTGAGCTTTAGTTGCTGCCATCCTGCCTAGGTGTTGAAGATTGCCAGTTCTAGTAAGTTTGCATTTTGCAGACTCTACCATGGTATCTCTGCCACCTTTGCTGTTAGTAGTTCTGAGCTAAGGAGTTCTGGGTCTCAGCCAAAACAGTGAACTGTGTCTTTGTGTCCTTCATTTCCTTTCCCTCTTGTTTTTGCGTCTTTGCCATGGAAGTTTCCCTCTTCAACCTAAAGCCCTAGGTACCCTAAAGTGATCTACACAAACATGATGCCTCTCTGTAGTTTCATGCTTTGTTTTTAAAAATGTAGAATGCAAGATTTGCATTCTACTGAGATTTCCCAAACATTGTGCTAGTCCCAGAGAGGTGACAGAGAATGAAACAGACATGGTTCCTGCTCTCATGGGTCCATAGATGATGTTACCCTATATTTATTGAGCACATATTACATGACAGACATTTTTCTGCATTCTTTACATGTACAAGATTTGCATTCTACAGCATAATTTATTCATTTGTTAAATAAACGAATGATCTAAATTACTACCAGTTAAAACGTTCATCTCCCTATGCTTCCAATATTTAAGAAAAACATAATTTGCAGGAAAATAAGCTATGTTTATCCTGTGGCTTTGCACAATCTTTTGACACATGGCTCCAAACCTCCAAGGAGTCAAAGTATTCCTCTTTGAGAAACATACACTATCTTAGTCAAAGAAATTAAGCTCTAACTGTGAGATTTATGCTAAGTAATATTGCTTATGAAGGCAAAGACTCTCTCAGAAAGCTAGAAATTATATCACAGAAAAGACTACCTCCTTTAGATCCAGTCCTACCAACCAGCCATTCTAGTTTCTGCCCATGTCTCATTTGACCCATGTAAGTGTTTACTGTCTCTCTTTTGACCCTAACTACAGGTACAAAGAATCTGAGATTTCTGTCTCTGACCCTTAAGTGTAATCTCATACTATTTAATGTTTTTTGACTTTAATATTGCCAGTCATTTGAAGATATATTTTATTCATTTGCCTTTCAATTTTTTTGTATTGCTATTTCTCTGGCTTAGATATTGCCAGTATGTTCATTTTTAACTCTGTGGTTTAACCTCCATGTACACCATTATTAAAATCAATTTTAAAAAGTCATAAGCATGCTGTGGAGACCCATCACTGAACATTTTTATGAATGATTTAGAGTGGGGCTAAATAATTACATTTTGTGGCTGAAAGACTCTCAGTTGATAAGTTAGAGGAATAAACCATTTTTTTGCCTTCTTAAATATATACTAGAGCTATGTATTTTTATATCCATTTTATAATGTAGAAGCATCTTGATAGCACAGTTGAGAACTCCAGGGGATTTTGCCTCCATCCACATTTCTCTAAATCTGACTCCTTAAGTATTTGGGAAAGAACTTGGTTAAGTTTAAGTATCAACATCATGAAGAGTTGTGTGGGGCATACAAAAGGAACAATGTCTTACCCCTAGCAACTGGGGAATAAGGAGACACAGTAAACATGTATCAACAAATATATCAAGGGCTTAATGGGTAGCAAAGAATGAAGTGATTAAGTATTCATGCCCTCCACATGTATTCACTAAGCTCTGCTACTTCCCAAACATTGTGCTAGTCCCAGAGAGGTGATAGAGAATGAAACAGACATGGTTCCTGCTCTCATGGGTCCATGGATGATGTTACCCCATATTTATTGAGCACATATTACATGACAGACATTTTTCTGCATCCTTTACATGTACTGGTTGTTAATCTTTACAATAACATTATGAGGTATGAAATACATTTATTTACAACTAGGAATTGTTGGAACCAAGATTTGAACCCTAGCATTTCTCTCCACAGCACAGAGCCCTTGACTTCCCCACTGTCCTCCTACATTATCAGCCGGTATGTCCAGAGTTATTGACCTATAAGCTGTGATTAGTGCTAAGAACACCAGGTGCTGTGAGAATTTAATTGGGATTGGTAAATGTGGGTTCAGAGAAGGCTACATAGAGAATAGTTAAAAGTAGCCAGTGAAGTGTGAACGGAACAGAGACTGGACCAAGTCATAGAGCTTGGTGTGTTCAGCTTTTACCTGACTAGAGGAAATTTCCAGATAACATTCATCCAATCCTTAATCTATGTTCTTAACTCTTTCCAGGATGTACTATTTGCCTGCATTGCTCTTCGCACCTGACTGTACAACCTAAAGGAGCCCTCCCCTTGCTTTTCTGTAGCTTTGAATCCAGTCCCTTTAAAAATATTTTCTGGAGGAGAGGAAGATAAATGTGTTTCTGTCAATTGCATTCTGCTGGGGGCTAAGCCACATTGCAGCTGTGTTTGTGATGCTGAAGGCGTCATTCTTGTAACTGTGAGAGGATGGGTCTTTCTAGGAGTCAGCACACATAATTCCTTAGAGAAAGAATCTTGGGCTTTTCACTATCAGAGTCATCCTCATTCTGGTTTTAGCCTTTCCTGGATAGGGATAGGTTTCAGCCACTAGAACTCTGACAGCTCTCTTAACTTACTGCTTCTTGATATGATATAACTCCACAACCTGAGATCTCTACTTCATTTCATAGCCAATCTTGTCTTAATCGGACATTTGAGGGAATCCATCTATCTCTCTCTTTCTTGCCTCCACAATCTGAATCACACAAATTCATTTCTGAGAGTTCTTTTGAATTTTTCTTCTTTATGTGACCTATAATATTCACCCCTGCCTGGCTATAAGGGACTATTATTCTTTTTTCACATATCCTAATTTGTAAGACCTGAACCTCTCCAAGAAAGTGGAGAGAAGAAAGTGCTTAACTCATTTCATTAAACTTAATTTGTAGTCTCTAGGCATATTTGTATATTATTTACCTGCTACCCTTTGAATGCAATAATATGCCTTAATATGTATGTCTATTTTCTCTAGCAAGATAGTGTACTCTTTAAGGTGAGCACCATGCTTTTATAAAATAATTTTTCTCAGAATCCTGTGTGTTGATCAACCATGGATACACAGGAACGTGTCTTAAATAACTAATACTGTGGTAATTCTTTATTCAGTTGTCTGTGATTTTTTTTGTGTAGTGCCAACCTTGAATTTAGTTTGTCAGCTAAAAATACATCCTTTATTTTATATTAACTAATGATAAACAATTTAATCATTGATTGACCTTTCTTAACTTCCTTACTTTTGGCATTGAGGAGTATTAGCCTTTACACACTTTGGTTTCCACTGCCCTTTAAATAAATGTCCGAATGCCACAATTAACTTAATAGATTCTAAAGAAAGACTCATAGCAAAGGCAAACTAAACAAAGTAGTCAACCTACCAACCAACATAAAACAGTCTTGAGAATAGAAAAAATCATTTATGGCCATCTTTTAGAGATGCTAGTGAGATTCCTGCACTGGTAAGGTTGACCCAAGATTACCCTTAAGTTTCTTTCTAAGATGCTATTTTAAAATTTACAGGATAAATTAAAGAAGAAGATTAAAAGGAATGTTAATTAGCATAGTAAGTAGAAAAATGAGGGCTTTGGAATTTGTTGTGAGAAGGGCAATAGTTATTTTGAGTTAGATGCTAAGTGCTGTGTGATGCTCTCAAAGCAACCATGATAAATTATTAAGTATTTGTAATTTATTATACACATCAGAAAATATATTGCAATGTGAGCTGATGTCACTCAATAGCACTGGCTGAGGCATTTGTCTAGAATGTTGTGTGAGATTGAGGAAGCAGTGGACTCATTAGTAACTCACATTGTTGCAGGAGACTGTGTTTTTCTTCCTATGAAGTTTTTTTTACAACTTCAAACTAGAAAATGAAGAATTATAAAGACATATTTACATTGTTCAGTTGTCTTGGTGAGACTTCTGCCCTCTGAAATTATTGAGATAATACTAGTATTTTCCAAAACATGAATTTGACTTCTATTTGAAGTAATGTTTTCTAAATTCTTTATTAATATTTTGGGTTTTTGACTTTTTAGTTATCTGTGAATGATATGAAATGCTATTAATCTATTGTTTGTTAACCTAGTTACAAGCTACATGTCCTATTATGCTCAGTGCAATTTTATAAAGAATAATTTATACTAAACATGCAAAAGCATGCCTCAGGTAAGGATTAATGCATAAGCCCCTAGAGATTACCATTTTTCACAGAATCTTTGCAACCTGAGTATTTTCATGTACTGATTCAAAGCACATCATTGAATTTGTATTTGGAAGAGAATAAAATATATTCTTGCATTTTATTTCTTAGCAATTGTAGGAGCTCTTGTCATATGCTGTGGTTTGTTAGCTCTGGCACACCTTGAAAATCTTTATTTCCCATTACTCCTGAAAATTATTTTAAAAATCATCCTCTATTTTAACTAACGCATTTTTCCCTTGGATATTCTAAATTTTACCTCCATTCCAATGCATTCAGTATCATCTCTGCTCACAGACAAATTGTTTCACTGCCCTTGAGAGGATTTCCTGAAAACTTCAAAAGTATCTCTCCATCTGCACCAAGCAGTGAGCCTGCTGGAGAGAGGTGGAAGCAGAAGTGAGGGGGTATGTGAGTGCCAGATGGATGGGGACAGAGGAGGCTTGGAAAAGCAGACAAAGAGAGAGTTCAGGAACAGGCCAGGGCATAGCAAAGAGCAAGGATTATGAATACAAAATACACCTCAGTTGCAAGGTGAAAAGTAGCGGTCTCCAAGAATTCTGACTATGAATATCACTTATAATACTCGGCTCACATGAAAACATTTAATAATTGATAGGAATTATCAGCTCATAATCTTAACTATGTTTTGTAACCCATTAGAAGTTAGAAGGAAAAGTGGCCATGAAAACTAAATAGGATAACAATTAGGCTGATAGGATGATGGAATTGGATTATCAGAGGAAATGAAAACTTGGTTGAAGACCCATCATTATTATTTGTTTAATATTGTGCTTTCCCTTGTCTAGAACCTTGTCTGAGACCTCATCTGACATTCCTGAGGCAAAAACATATCACAGTCAGAAGGAGGACTCGGCAAGACCAGAGCAGTGTGTCCTCCCAAAAGAGGTTTTCCTCTTCTGTAGGACTGCCGATCCCTTGGTTAATTTCTAACCAACACTGAGCAATTTATTTTGTATGCCAGCCACTGTTCTAGCTGTTTTGCATGTGCTAGCTCATATAGCTCATGTCAGCTCTTATGAGGTCAGTACTACTACTATTGCCATTAAAATAAGGAGAAAACAGGCACAGAGAAGTTAAGTAGCTTCAGTAAGATCACACAGCCAGGAAATAGGAACTGGGTTTTGAGCACAGGCAGTCTGGCTGAGAGTCTTCATTCTTAATCACTGTTGTCTCCTTCCTATCTAATATAGCTCAGTAAGGGCTTTGCTCCATGAGAATCACATTCTAATTGGTGAAGACACAGGGCTATGATTCCTTTCTTATGGCCTCTGTTGATGGAGACTCCACATTCATCTTTAGCTTCTATATTCTTATTAATTCAATGAAATACATGAAAGTATAGTATAAATTGCAAAGACCAATACAAATATTATTTAATTATCTCCCAAACAGGGGAATTTGTCCCTTAGGTCCTCCTTAAGTTTAAGTTTCTTTATATTTTAAATCTTGTATGAGTACAGAATTCTGCTCTGTACTCATTCTGTATGAGTACAGAATTCTTCTCTGTACTCATTCTGTATGAGTACAGAATTCAAAAAGGATAGACACTAGCCTCATGTGGCTGTTTAAATTTAAATTTAAGGCTGGAAATGGTGGCTCATGCCTGTAATCCCAGCACTTTGGGAGGCTGAGGGGGGTGGATCACCTGAGGGCAGGAGTTTGAGACCAGCCTGGCCAACATGGTGAAACCCCGTCTCTACTAAAAATATAAAAATTAGCCAGGCATAGTGGCCTGTGCCTGCAGTCCCAGCTATGCAGGAGGCTGAGGCAGGAGAATCGCTTGACCCCGGGAGGTGGAGGTTGCAGTGAGCCGGGGTCGCGCCACTGCACTGCAGCCTGGGTGACAGAGCAAGACTCCATCTCAAAAAAATACAATAAAATAAAAAATAAAAATAAATTTAAAACTCAGTTTTTTAGTCACTCTAGCTGCATTTCATATGCTCAATTGTCCTATGACGCTAGTGGCTGCTGTCTTCAACAGCACAGCTATAGAATGTGGTCGTCATAGCAGAAAGTTCCACTGGCTAGCACTAGACAGATTACAAAAGGCAGTATTTCCTTTCAAATGGGGCAACATAATAATTAAATCACATTGGCATTGGACTATCTTATTTTTAAGCTTTTTTATGCTTATAGAATTAATATGATATAATGTCTCTTCCCCTTGGTCTTCTTGCTTACTTATTAATTCCTTTAAGCAAATTTCCTTTTTCTTGTTCCTTTCGTTTTCCTCCTTTTTTCTACTTCAATTCCTCCTTCCATACTGAGTATGTGTGAAAGCAGCTGCCAGAGCCCATTAAATGCATCAACACCTTTGCCTGTGGACAGTCTGCTTCCAGCCTTGCTTCCTCAGACAACCTTTTCTGACCTGCAAGAGGATTCTCTGATACAGCCAGATTGGACCTGAGGTTCTGCATCACCCTTGAATACGTATTTTTTTTTCCCTAAAAGTGTTCACACTTTCTTTTTAAAATAGTTTTGTAGTTCCTCCTATTATTATAAGGGTAGACGTCATATTTAATGTACATGTCAAAGATGGTATCCATATTATATTTAGTAAGTCACACAAGATGAACTATTTTATGTATCTTTTAGGCCAGCAAATGCTTTAACAGTGCCTTGCACTTTTTTTTTTTTTTTTTTGAGGCAGGGTCTAACTGTGTTGTCCATGCTGGAGTACACTGGCATGACCTTGGCTCACTGCAGCCTCCACCTCCTGGGCTCAAGTGATCCTCCCACGTCAGCCCCCCAAGTGTCTGGTACTACAGGTGCAAACCACCATACCCGGTTAATTTTTGTGTTTTTTGTAGAGATGGGGTTTCATCACGTTGCCCAGGCTGGTCTTGAACCCCTGAGCTAAAGCCATCCACCCATCTTGGCCTCCCAAAATGCTAGGATTACAGGTGTGAGTTACCATGCCTGGGCACCTTGCACATTATTAGTTTATACTTTAAGTTCAGGCACATGTGCAGGATGTGCAGGTTTGTTACATAGGTATACATGTGCCATGGTGGTTTGCTGCACACATTAATCTGTCATCTACATTAGGTATTTCTCCTAATGCTATCCCTCCCCTTGCCCCCCACCCCCCACCCCCCAACATGCTGCAGTGTGTGATGTTCTCCTCCCTGTGTCCATGTGTTCTTATTGTTCAACTCCCACTTATGAGTGAGAACATGCAGTGTTTGGTTTTCTGTCCTTGTGTTAGTTTGCTGAGAATGATGATTTCCAGCGTCATCCATGTCCCTGCAAAGGACATGAACTCATCCGTTTTTTAAGGCTGCATAATATTCCATGACGTATATGTGCCACATTTTCTTAATCCAGTCTATCATTGATGGACATTTGGGTTGGTTTCACATCTTTGCTAATGTGAACAGTGCCACAATAAACATACATGTACATGTGTCTTTATAGTAGAATGATTTATAATCCTTTGGGTGTATACCCAGTAATGGGATTGCTGGGTCAAATGGTATTTCTAGTTCTAGATCCTTGAGGAATTGCCACACCGACTTCCACAATGTTTGAACTAGTTTACAGTCCCACCAACAGTGTAAAAGTGTTCCTATTTCTCCACATCCTCTCCAGCATCTGTTGTTTCTTGACTTTTTAATGATCAGCATTCTAACTGGCATGAGATGGTATCTCATTGTGGTTTTGATTTGCATTTCTCTAATGACCATTGATGATGAGCTTTTTTTCATATGCTTGTTGGCTGCATAAATGTCTTCTTTTGAGAAGTGTCTGTTCATACCCTTCTCCCACTTTTTGATGGGGTTGTTTTTTTCTTTTAAATTTGTTTAACAGACCATTTGTCCAGTCACAAGTAGCAGAAACTTAAAAGAGCCCTTTGATTTTTAAAGTCACAATAAACAGGCTGGGCATGGTGGCTCACACCTATAATCCCACCACTTTTGGAGGCTGAATAGGGAGGATTACTTTAAGCCAGGAGTTCAAAACCAACCTAGTCGACATAGTGAGACCTTGTCTCTAAAGAAAAAAAAAACATACTACCAAGTGTGATGGCATATGGCTGTAGTCCTAGCTACTTGGGAAGCTGATGTGGTAAGATCAGTTGAGCCCAGGAGTTTGAGATTACAGTGAGCTGTGAAAGCACCACTGCGTTCTAGCCTGGGTGATGGAGTGAGACCTTGCTTCTAAAAATTTTTGTTTTTAAATATAATAAAAATAAAAAATGAGATGGACTGTTTGATAAGGTACTACCACTGGAAGACGTTGAACAGAGACTGGAGCATTCATTTATTTATTGGTTAATCCAACAAACATGTATTTACCACTACTAAGGGTTCACACTCTGCAAGACACTGAAGATACAGAGTTAAAAGTACATTTCTAACCTTAAAGAACCAATAGGCTGGTTGGGAAAATGTGGAACTAGACAAACACAGTGCAATGGAATAAATGCTCCAATTAGAGGTTTATAATCTGTTTGAATGAGGTTATGAATGTCCAACCAATGCTGGGAAGACAAGAAGTTGGGAAGGTCTCCTGGAGGAGTGGACCCTTGAAAGGCATCTTGCAGGACATGTCCAGATGAAGGTTTGTAAGAGCATGAAATTAGTTGGTGGCAGATGGTTGTGGAGTTACTGATGTGAGATAAGACTGAAGTCTGAGCTAAATTATGAAGAGCCTTGTGTGCTATGCCGTGAAGTTCAGATTTTGTCCTGGAAGAAAATAACATGCTATTGAAGTATTTAAACAGAGAAGTAGCGTTCACCATCAGATTGAAATTTTAGACCACATACAGTATGTCAACTATTGAACTGGAGGCAGAAATACTGGCAAAGAGGTTATTATAGTAACCCAGGTGAGAGGTAAGGAGGGCTTGAACTAAGGCCATGGCAGTGAGGAGAAAGATAATGATGGCTGGAGTAGACTTGAGAGGGATTTGGGGTTTGAAACAGTAGGACTTAGTGACTCATTGAATGAGGGCAATTAAGCACAGTGAGGGGTGTAAGATAATTATCAGGTCTCCATCAAAGATATTGCTGCAAAAATTTCTCTATGGGTAAAAGACTAGGTTAAATAATATCTATAGTCTTTTACATTTCTATGAGCTATAATTTAAAATTTTATTAACTTTCAGAACTCCTGATAGCTTACACTAATAATCTTAAAATATAATACGGGTAACATTTAACACTTACATAGTATGATGGGATATCATTTTCCATATATTACATTAGGAGAACGTTAACCATACAGTATTCAATATTGGCAAGTCTGCTATATAATCATATATTTCTAATAAAAGTATAAATTGGTATAAATCTTTTGGAAAACAATTTGGCACTATGTACCAAAAGCTATAAATACATTCAACCTGCCATGAATTTATATCAAGGATACAGAAAACAGAATATAAGAAGAAAGCTATATCAGGGAAATATGTATTGCAGTGATATTTAGAACTGTGAAATATTGGTCATGACCTAAATGTCCAAGAAGAAGGAGAAGAGTAAGTAAAATTGGTTACATCAATTCTGTGGGATATTAGGTAGCTAAGAAAATGATTCCTATGAGGACTATACAAGGAATGACTGTGTGCCAAGACTTAAACCACATCTTAGGTTCAAAATCAAATGTTCTTTCTGTTGCTTCTCTTGTGATAGCATGATAATGCTCAGTGGGAAACCAAACACAAAAAGTACATGCACATTAATAATTTATGGATTTTTGTGGATAAAGACTGAAAGAAATAATAATTTTTAATGCTGGGATGATAGGAATATGGACAATATTTTTTTTAGAAATTTTTCTTTATGTCTTTGTACTATTACTCCACAATGATGTTTTAACAATTAAAAAAGTAAAAAATACCAAATCAGTTTTATTTTGGTTTCAGAATTGTATTGTTTAGATCTTCAGCTTTCCCACAGATTGCTTGTTATTATCCTTCCCAATTTAGAAGAGTTAGATATTTAATAATAGAACACATGTGCAGCAATTCTAGTACTGCATTCTGCTTTCTAAAAATTCATTCAGCACAAATTTCACAGAAGCCCACCTACACTTTTGAGCTATTTAATTTTTCACAGTTTTATGCCCATGTTGTGCTGTGGCACCCATGCAAAAATAACTTGAATGCTAACTATTCTGCAGAAAAATAGAAGAAATCCTTGTGATAGCTCTGAAAATGATGAATCAAGTGCTATTTTGGGGAGTTTTTCATGCTTAATAATAACAAATGGAAAACATGAAGAAAAAGTTCCTGTTTTGAGGTCTTGCTCTCTTCTGTCACATTCTACCTGAAGTTATTAACCACCATCTTCCTTCCCTCCATTTCTATATCTTTTCTTTCTCTGTGTGTGTGTCTCTTCTTTGCCTGTTTTTCTCCTGGTCTCACATAAATTGTGGTCTTGCCTGCTGAGTTTCCAGGACGTTCACTGGGGACTTGTTTTCCTGGAGTATTGTGAAGCAGCATTTATCTGCCTATGGATTTGGTTCTTATAAGGGCCAGTGACCTCTTTCTCCTTCGTTTTCCTCATTCAACTTCTTATATACATTATAAGCTCAGAGAGGCTCCTAAGTTCATTAAATTCTTTTGCATGATGCTGTGTACAATTAGAGCCAGATAAGAACCTGATTCTTACTGACGTCATCAGCTTCTAAGATTAGTGTCTTTTTCTATAAAGAGAGAGAGAATCAGAAGGAAGGGAGGAAAGAAGGAAGGAGGGAAAAAGGAAGGAAAGAAAAGGAGGAAGGAAAGAAAGAAAAGCAAAAAGGCAGGCAATACCACCCATGTGAGGATTGTGGATATGAGTTGGTAGAGGGTGAGAAAAACCTGTTACTAGAAGACAATGTGCCAACCTGATGTTGCACGAGTTACTGTATCTGGGACATCCATGAGATCCAGAGGGATTATGCAGTCTAATCCCTGTTGTAGAATGACATAATGCAGGAAAATAACTTAACATCTTTTGAGTTACATGATTGTTCCCAAGTTTATGCCCAAGTGATGTTTGAAATCCGTGAGATTTAAAATGAATATTTATTATTTGGTATTAAAATGAAGGAATGCCCTATGAATCCAATACCTTTTATTTCTTTCATCACTTGCATCCCAAATTATCTGTCAGTTGGGATACAGTCCCCTTGCCAGGCATGGGCCTCAGTGTGAGACCATTCCCCCTATTGCTGATGTTTGATTCTCCTTTCTCTTGTGTAAATGACGAGGAGCAAGGAGTCTCTTCATTCAGCAAGGAGTCTAGATGTAGGTGGCCCATTTGCTGTTGGAAAAGAAACCACTCAGATCCTTTCTGGAGAACTGTGAGGTAATTAATTCCAGAGCCTCAGTGTCTACCATACATTAAAAAATACATGTAGATGTATTTGAATCACAGATTAATGGAATCTGTGATTTATTTCTCAAATAGAACTCATCAAGTTTCAATCTGAATGGGTTAGTTCAGACTTTGCCAAGAAGCTTTCTCAAACCTCTTCTCTTCCTAAAAGCACTCATGCCAGAGTTTCAAGCTCTATCTGGAGGGGTTGGAAGACAGCCACTGATATATTTCATACTCTACTCTCTTTTCTTATGAAACACTACTGAACACCTACCAAAGTTATAAACTCGCATACTTCATAGCTAGGACACTAAACTCTGCCAAGGTACATGACTGCAAATACCTACCTCTGGGTTCTCACGTGTTTCCCTGTTCTCTGAAGCCATTTTGTCCACTGAATTTCATTTTCTTGTGGCCCTTGAAGTGCTTAAAAAGGATTAGTTGGGTAATAATTATGTCTGTATGTGAGAGGACTCTTATTTTCTTTATTATAGCAACAAAGATAATATTATATTGCAAACAATATCCAGATAAAGTGTCAGTAGTGGTTTTGGTTAAATGATAGGTCTTATTTGTTATTAAAACCAATTACTGATATATCTGAAAAGAACCTTTGACATTTGGGTATCAGACCAATTAGGGACAGATTAGTAGGTTAGTGTTGACTTACATGAAAAGCAGATGCTTTAAACCCAGGCAACATGGATTTTCATGTGGTTCTTATTATTTTAGTCAATGCAGGTTGTTTTCTGGATTTTGTTCCTAAAAATATTAAACAAGCACCTATTATGCCACCAAAACAAACAAACAAATAAGCAATCAGCATAAGATAATACAGTCACAGGCATAAAGGTGGAGAAATGTTTTAAAGAGAAACCTGGTTACAGAAGATGCTTCCCTAACATACAGGACTAAAATTATCTTGCTATCTTTAAACTCTTTTTTCCTCTGTATTAGTTTGTTCTTGCATTGGTATAAAGAAATACCTGAGACTGGGTAATTTATAAAGACAAGAGGTTTAATTGGCTCATGATTCTGCAGGCTGAACAGGAAGCATAGTGGCATCTGCTTCTGGGGAGGCCTCAGGGAGCTTTTACTCATGGTAGAAGGCAAAGTGGGAACAGGTGTCTTACATGGCAGGAGCAGGACCAAGGGAGGGAGGGGGAGGTGCTACATACTTTTAAACAACCAGATCTTGTGAGAACTCACTGTACAGTAGCAAGGGTGGATGTTGCTAAACCATTCATGAGAACTCTGCCCACATGATCCAATCACCTCCCACCAGGCCCCACCTCCAGCATTGGGGATTACATTTCAATATGAGATTTGGGTGAGGACACATCCAAACCATATCATCCCCACTTCCACTTAATGACCTTAAAAATCAGGGCCCCAAACATGTATTTTACCCAAGCGATATTGTATATAGTGCTACTGGACTTCACAGAAACCCACTGCCCTCCCCGTGCTTTTGAATCTTGATCCCCAAGAACAATTATTTCCAACCCCTTTAGCTCTTTTTCTGGTATTTGTCTCCATTTTTCACAAAACATTTTCATGTTGCTATTTCTTGATTTTTTTTTTAGCTTTCATTTTGATTGTCTACTACGGAAGACGATGACTTAACTCCCCACAGTACACACATTGCACATGGATGTGCGTATGAACACACATACACTTCCTTTCCTCCAATCTTTCCAGTAGGATTGTATCATAATTCTGATTTAATTAGTATTCAGTGCTTGTATTATCATGATTCTGCATTTGATGTTGCAGTTAATCTAGTGTACTAAAATACCATTTCTATTCTTAAACATTTTGTTTTTCCTGAAATTAATCATTTCTTGCTTTGTCATATGCTTAGATTTCTATATAACTTATCAATTCATCCTCAAACTTTGACAGAACTGTACATATCCTTTCAGTATATCCAAACACCTCAAACAGCCCATCCATTCAGTTTCTTTTCTTCTTGGAGATTCTTCTGGAGGCTTCCTTTCCCTGCTCTAATCTGGGTGGGATGATCTTTGGACCTTTGATGGCTGTTAACTCTGCTTCTCTTCATCATCACTTTGAGAAATCCCCTTTCCTTCTCCTGTGGTGAATTCCCTGCTACTTGGATTCTGGGTCTTGTTCATTCTTGTTTCCTTTCTTGGTTTGGAAAGCTTCATTCCATCCCTGAGAAGCTTCCTAAAAAAAGGTATGCATGGAAGGTAAATGATTTTTTTGAGTTTTCTTCATATTTTAAATAGACTTTATTCTACCTACACACTTGATATATAGTTAACTTGCTTTCTTTTCATTTCAAATAAAACTCATTTTTTCTTATAATTTTGAAGGCATTGCTCCATTTTCTTCTGACTTCACATTATTGCTGTGAAAATCCTGAAACCATTCTGAGCCTTAATCCTTCTCTGTAATTGGTTTTTACTCACGAGTGTTTTAAAATTTTGTGTTAATATTCCTTCATATAGGTTTTCTTCCTTCCCCTTCCTTTCTTTTCTTTTTGCTGGTATTTTATAACTATTTTCAATCCAAAAGTTCTTATTCTTCAGTTCTGAGAAATATTCTTAAATTTTTCTTTGGTAATGGCCTCTATTTTCTCTTTTGGGGATTTCAAAATTGGAAAGTTAAGCCTCTTGAATGAATTCTCCAATTTTATGGTCATTTTCATTTGTTTTGCTTTCTGAAATGTTTTCTCTACTTGCTCTTATACCTTATCTATTGAGATATTTCTATCATCTCCTTTTTAATTTCTAGGAGCTTCTTCTTGCCCTCTGAATGTTTCTATTCTTTTAGCCTCCTATTCTTGTTGCATGGACACACTTCTTGTCTCTGAGGATATTAATAATCTTGAAGTTATCTATGTATGTCTTATTTCTTGTCCTCTAAGTTTACCTCTTCTGTTTGCTTTGGTTCCTGACTTTCACGGTAAAGGCTCCTCTCAAATGTCTGCTGTGATATTAAGAGTGAGGTGCTGACATGGTGTTTGTGAGCCTTGGAGGTGAGGACAAATTCATTGGCCAGTGGGCTTTACTTTAGCTCGAGCAGGTGGAATTGGTCATTTAGTTGGGAAACATCCATGTAAGTATCAGTATGTCATTACCCTTGGACCAGATTCTCCAGAGAAGACTCTTCCAATTTTCTGTATGGGGTTTAGTGGGGGCAGGGGTGGGTGGGGGGAGATAAGTTAGGCTACTGCAGTCTGGATGCTAAACAGGGAGAGGGGACCAGGGACTATCCATTCAGCATGCAGACTTTTATTCTATAGAAACTCACTATGTCTTCAGCTGTGTTTGATGTCCCTGAGTTCATCCTCTATAGAAAATGACTCTCTGATCTTCTGTGCAGAGGGACTGGAGTTGAGGGAAGGGACTTTAGAGATTTTCAACCAACTCCATTTTCAACCCCACCTTCTGGAGCCTCTGGTACCTCCACTCCAGGGCCTTCATCATGTTAAGTAGAACACCAGCTTTGTTTCTGTTGGCCTCATCCCCAGCCCCACTCCTTGTGGGCTCTCACTGAGCTTTTTCTATTCTGGTAAGTCAATTGCAACTTGGTAATCATCTGCTTTTCAGCTTTCAAAACATTGGTGACATTTCTCTCCTCTTTTCCCCTCTTTTTTTTTATAGTAGACAACTTAGTTGGGTATTTGGAGGAATTAGAGTGTTTTAGCTCAGGTTGCTAAATCAAAATACCATAAACTGAGTAGCTTAAACAAGAGACATTTATTTATCACAGTTCTGGAGGCTGGAAAGTCTGAGATTAGGATGTTAGCCTGGTTGGGTTTTTCATGAGGGCTGTCTTCCTGGCTTGCAGACAATGGCCTTCTCACTGTGTTCTCACACGGTGAATGGAGACAGAGAGAGACAGAGAGAGATCAGTCTGATCTTTCCTCTTCTATTAAGGACACTAATCCCATGTGGGAGTCTTACTCTCATGACTTCATCTAAACCTCATTACCTCCTAAAGGTAATACTATCACATCAGAGGGGCAGGGCTTCAACATGTGGATTTTAAGAGTACACAGACATTCAGTTTATAACATGGAGGTAAATGAATGTGTTCTATTTTCCATGCTCAGCAAGAGGCCAGGCCATGCAACAGTCCTTTTTTTGCTGCTGCTATTAGTGAGTCTCAGAGTAACAGGATGGAAGTAATTGAAAGGGTGTTGTATCAGGTGGCTCATCTCCATTTTCAGGTTTTTAAAATGGGAAAGACAGAGTAAGACAAGGGAAAGGGAAGGGAGAGAAAGGGAAAGTTGAGCAGGATCAAGAAATAGGAGAGAGAAATGGACGAGGAGAGGAAAAGCGAGGCTATTATTGAATAGTAAAATGGAAGCCATTGTTGTCTTCATCTTCAGCCCATCCCCAACACTCCTTTCATTTTTTTTTTTTGAACTGACAAGAGAACTATAATGCTTCAATGAACTGGTCATCAGATCCCTAGCACCTGACCAAGGCTCCAATACTCTAACAAAAAATCAGTTTTTAAGATCCCCAGTCATTCTTTGACTTGTGAAGTCAGGATTTATAATTTTGAATTGGAAAAGTTTTCTGATGTACCCTCTAGTTCATCTCCTGTAGGCTTTTCAAAAAGCAATTTATTGTATTTAACATGATGTTCTATTCCCGTATTAGAACTTACATAATTCACAGTACTCATGGGAGGCAGCTATGTGGTATATTCATAGAAACACAAAATGTTGAAATTCAAAGGCATCTTGACATCATCCTGTCAAGCACCCTTCTTTTTACAAATGAAGGAACTGATAGCCACAAATGTTACACATCTTGCCCAGGGTCATGCAGAGGGAACATGGGTGTGCTCCACTGCAGGGATGAGAAGAGGATAGCATGCCATGAGTGAACTTGAACGAGTGCTTCTGTTACTCTGTTTATATTCCAGGATCTTTTTTTTTTTAAACAAGCTAAGCTGCTTTTCACTTGTAGATATTTACATGTTATATATGGTTAAGCTATAACGCATTTGCAAGGAGAATGAGTTTTATCTAGAAGTCACTGCATGAATGGAAATTGTGGAAATTATATCACAGAAATTTATGAAGTAACAAATTGTTATCCTTTTGTCATTTGCAGTTCTGATCGGTTTTCATTTTTGTGCTTGGGTGATGTTGGGATTGTTGAAAGCTTAACGTTCTTTTCTAAGAACCCCCTTAGATAAACAATACCATTTAATGCAGAATGTTATAAAACACCGGCTATATTTCCTATAACACTGAGAATGTAGATGTTTTTGGTTTCAGTAAAAGATTGTTTGACAGTGCATCTTTAAATAATGCAATATTGACCTGGCTTGCACATTTTCAGAATTTCCAATAATAGGAATAAATTTTTAAAAACCTATTCTCACAAGTTCTGATGTGTTTTATCATTAAAGTAAAGCCTTGTAGATAGCTGTTGTGATTACATTTTATTGAGTCCAGCTGAAATCCTTCATTCTTAGGATTGATGTGTTGCTATTTCCTCTTCCAGTGGTCATTTTAATGGCTAACTTAATTTTTTTTCTGTATTCCTTCTACAGTAACATGAGTTGTCTGCTTCTTATTGTGGAAAAGTTAGATTAAATCTCCTTTTGTACATAAAGCAGGGTGTTTATTACATCATATTTAATGACAACATTGTCAAAGGAAATATGCATCTCTGTGGACTGGTAGTATCCATTAGAAATAGATTTTTCTGGTTTTTGGCTGGCTGAATCAAGCATAATCTCACTTATGAAATGTTTTCTGACTTGTTGATTCTGATGCATATCAATGTATCATACAACTATTTTTTATGCTTCTCTGGCTACGTAATTCCAAGGCCGCTGGCAAGAACCAGTAAATCTTACTTACAGTTGCCAAATTCCATTTTCTTGGTCTTTTGTCCCTAGGCTGCCCTATATGATAGCATTTCTCACATCAAATTGTAATATTTGTTTACATATTGTGTTGTTTACTGTTATCTCCTGAAGATGAGGGACTGTGTCTTTTTATTCATTCATGTAACTTCAGATTCTAACAGAGAGCTCAGCATGTAGCAAGAGCTCAGTTAATGCTCCATGAGTGATGACAGGCAGACCCGGGTTTATGGAGAAAATAGCTTGCAATAGGCTCTTTTGAGAGGATGTCGGTCAATGAAATTTCTGTCCAACTTGAACCAGACCAAAAAACATTTATCTAAACTGTGCAGCCTTGATGATGTAAAACTTTGAAGTTCGCATTTTGAATATACCACCTTACCTGTTGATGTTGTATTTAATTATGTACATTGAGGCAACCTAATGACCAAGGAGACAATTATTGAGAGATAATAGCAAAGTACAGTAATTATTTGCTATTAGGATTAGGTTGACAAGGTTTGCATTTGACTCCTCAATAGCTGTGTGATCTTGGGGACAGTTTTTTCCATGTAAAAATAAATTTATAATGTTTACCCTACTAACCTGATAGCATTAGGATATTATGAAGCTGAAATTAGATATTAAAACATTAGTGAAATAGTATTTTTCTGTTCAAATATATTATTATTTGCGATTTGTTCTAAAAGTAGATCTTTCATTAAGGAAAAGGTAATAGAATCGTGTGTGTGTGTGCGTGTCCATGTGTGTGTGTGTGTGTGTGTGTGTGGTTGGAGGAGGTCCTTGCATCTCAAGGTACTAATTGTCTTCTATTTTGAATAAAATCTAGTCCAAAATGTATTTTGACAAGAGTCCTTCAAAGAATTATGCTGGGCATGGTGGCTTCCACCTGTAATCCCAGCACTTTGGGAGGCAGAGGCAGTAGTATTGCCTGAGGCCAGGAGTTCGAGACCAGCTGGCCAACATAGCAAGACCCCTATCTCCACAAAAAACAAAAATATTAGCCAGGCATGGTGGCACACACCTGTAGTCCTAGCTACTTGGGAGGCCAGGATAGGATCATCCCTGGAGCCCAAGAAAATGTTAGATGGCTTGCTATCCAAAACATATCTATTCACTATCCTTTCTTTTTAGTGCTATCTGAATCCAAAAAGTTAAAAACGTAACTGCATTTTTAACCTTTTTATGTACTAAACACATGGATCAAATCCTCCTATAGGGAATGATCTTGCATTACCTAGGGAAACACTACATGTTACTTGCATTTCCTTGAAAGACTGAGTTTTTAAATGCTTTGGGTGCTGATGTTTGTTCTCTGAAGTTCATTTCCTAGTTTGGTTACTGCCGTACCATGGTCATTGTACAACCCTTGCTCAGAAGGGTTATTTGGCTAAAATAATAATGACCTTTCTGCTATCAGTTTCTTCTTTCTTAAATTGAGAATCTCAGCCACTGTATCTGTTGAAAATGCTGCTTTGAGCAAAGACCCCTCACTGTTTGAAAGCTAATACATTGCAGAATTCGGGTAATGCTGATAAGTAGAATCAGATATTACTTGGTGCTGAGTAGAAGAGTGCACATAGATTATAAGCTCTCATAGCTGCTGTTGATATACTGTTGAGAATGTCCTATCTGCAGAAGGTATTTGGAAATGACTTTATGATATGTACACATATAACACAGATACCAAGATACTTTGCCTTTTTCTGAATGATGGTGGTTTTAAAACATGGATATGCTTATCTATTTATTAGATAATTTCACTATATCAGGAAACAGTGGCTTCTTATTTATTCACGTATTTGTCACACATCCAATGAGTGTTCACAGCTATCAGGCTTCACTAGACTTAGAAATACACTGGGGTGTTTAACTGCTGCAATTCCATAATGAAATTATTAATTCTGTAATGGGCTTAATTCAAAGTCTAATGCTGTTTTAAAGTCCAGAACAGGTAAGAAATTTAAACAGTGCTCACTTTGATTTCAATATTGTCTTTGTCATAATGGTTTTTCCAGGCAATGGGCTGGAAAATATGTCAGAGAGTCTGTTCATATTGGTCATTTGAGCATTTAGAAGGAGTTAGCTTTCTCTTTTGAAATCTTCCTGTTGTATTTTTTGCTGCAGAGTCTGGGAACCTAATTTGAAATGGCAAAAACAAATAGAACAAATAAAGATCACAAATCACTCACCAAAACATAATCCAAAGAAAATACAAATGCACACAACACATTAATGACATTCATTTAAACCTAGTCAAGTGCTCCTTCTCCAATTGTTCCTCATCCTGCACTTGCTTTTTTGACCCTACAGAGAATTCCTTTTCTGCCCAGTTCCATAGATACCTCTGGACTGGGTTTTCTCTCTCAGCTCTCCTCTTTCTACTCTTGTTCTCTTTCATTCTCCCCCGCCACCATTTCTCTTCTCCCCTTTCCCCTTCCTGGTTCTCTTCTTTTATATTTCTTTCTTTGTTTCTCTGACTCTTTCCCAGTTCCTGTACCCATGTCTCCTTAGACATTTCTAATTCAAAGGAAGAGGTAAGAAGAGGCAACATATCAGACATTCATTTCTATTGTGGTGAGCATAAGTTTTTCTTCTAACTATACAGCTTTCTGCAGCCGACTCTATATCCCCCTTGAGGAATCTCTAGTATGAGTTGTGATTCTGTGTATACTTGGAGAATGAAATTTGAGGTTTCTAGAAATAATGCAGGTGAATATCACTTGATGAAAGACAATCACTGTTTCTGTGTGGGGGCTGTTGATTTTGATTTTAAACAATTTACAACTAGCAGGTGTTTTCTGAGGAAAACGTAATGTGTTGAGTGTCGATTGAATCTCTTCACAAAGCCCATTTGGGTGCCATCTTCTCAATCTTCAGATGAGGGACAGAGGTACAAAGAAGCCACCTCACTTACCCAGTCTCACATAGCTAAGAAGAGAAGGGCCAGGATTTGGACCTAGGAAGTCTGACCCTAGAGACGAGATTCATATTCACCCCACTCCTCTGTTCCTCTGAGCAGACCTCCAGATCGGTGGTGAGTTGTGGCTGAGTGAGAGCCCAGCGTGGACGCTGACCCTGTGAACCTACCTAGACCCGATCCACCTCCAGATCACAGCATCTCTCTGAGAGTACATCTGCAGACAGGCAGGAGAGGGGCTCTCTGTGCCAAGGTCCTTTTCTTTTTAATTATGATTTTCTTTTTTAAAAAAGCATCTATTTTTATTTTAGATTGGGGGGGTACATGAGCAGGTTTGTTACAGGGGTATACTTGTGTGATGCTGAGGATCAGGTTTCTGTTGATCCCATCAGCCAGATGATGAACATAGTACCCAATAGGAAGTTTTTAGCCCTTGCCCCACTCCCTCCATCCTTGGGGAGTTTCCAGTGTCTATTGTTCCCATCTTTATGTCTGTGTGTAGCCAAGATTTAGCTCACACTTATAAGTAAGAACGTGAAATATTTTGTTTTCTGTTTCTGCATTAATTTGCTTAGGATTATGGCCTCTAGCTGCATCCATGTTGCTGCAAAGGGCAAGATTTCATTCTTTTTTATGGCTGTATAGCATTACACAGTGTATAGCTACCACATTTTCTTTATCCAGTCCACTGCTGATGGGCACCTAGGTTGATTCCACGTCTTTGCTATTGTAATAGTGCTGTGGGGAACATATAGGTGCATGTGTGTTTTTGGTAGAAGAATTTCTTTTCCTTTGGGTAGATATCAAGTAATGGGGTTGCTGGGTTGAATGGTAGTTCTGTTTTTGGTTCTTTGAGAAATCTTCATACTGCTTTCCACAGTGGCTGAACTAATTTACATTCCCACCAACAGTGTGTAAGTCTTCCTTTTTCTCTGTAGCCTCATCAACATGTTATTTTTTGACTTTTAATAATAGTCATTCTGACTGGTGTGTGATGATGTCTCATAGTGGTTTTGACTTGCATTTCTCTGTGACCAGTGATGTTGAGCATTTTTTTCGTATATTTGTTAGCCACCTGTATGTCTTCTTTTGAGAAGTGTCTGCTTCTGTTGCAGTCCCGTTTCACAGTGGATTGTCTTTATTTCCCTATGCATGGTAGCACATGCCTCTTCTGTACCATTCCTTCATTGCATTGCTTTTCAGAGTCCCTTTAAGATTCCACATGGCATTTGATAGAGGAAAAAGTATAAAATGTTTGAAAGTGAGAAAGAGAAAATGAACATAAATATAAGTGCAGTTTTGCTCTTTTAATCCATGTTGGTAGAGATAACACTTTTTCTTTACAGTGATGTGTGAGATAAATCTTCTCTTTTGCAAAGTACACTTTAAGCTGATAAACTTACAGTTTCATGTTGTGCACTTTCCTGCTAAGTCCCAGTTGTACGCCACATGAGGAGGCGAAAATATTGTTACAGGAGGCGTGATTACACTTATTTAAACCATAGAACAAATTTTACTCAACTACCACTAAAGGACCAATTACTTTAGGTCAAATTGTTAGTTCACTTATGTCTTCAGAAAGATGGAAATATAAATGATGCTAAGGATATTTAGGGTAGAGAGTTTATGTGTTTCTATTGCCTTAAAAAAACACCTGGTTATTTTGTTTTGCTCATTGCTATTATCTGAAGGCATGTTCATAAGAAATAAATAATGGTGGATGGGCTGTATCACATTTTTATTAGATCAAAAGATGTTTAATTCTAGGCAAATTTCTTATGGTCAAACTGTAAGTCTAATCATTTTTAACCAATAGTCTAGTCATTCTCTTTAACAACTGATAAAATGGTAATTTTGTTTGCTTATTTGTACACCAAAACCAAGGTCTGTCGTGTAGCTCTAACAAATTATATAACCACAGACTTGAGTTGATTTATGTAGAATTTAATTTGATGGAAATTGTGAACCAACTTGAGATACTGATAATACTGTAGTCATGTTGTTTTTTAAAAATGCACACTTAGTATTCTATACACAGCTTTGTAAGTAATTTCATCCCAATAAGTTAATCCTCAATTTCCATCACAGTTGGAACTTGGTGCTGTGACATTGTTTCTTGTTTTATTTTTCTCCTACTAAATTATTAATAGAGATTTTTGTCTTATAAATGAGCAACAACTAAAAACATAATTCTTTATCCTTTTAGATTGTTTTAACAAAACTTCTTTATTGAAAAACCAGAAAGAATGAAGGTCCTATTTCTCCTACTTGTGCAGGCTACAATTCCAGTTTTCTATCATTTGTATAGATTGCCTTTGTTTGTGCAACAAGACGTCTTTGAAAGGAAGTTTTAACATTAAATAATAACATTCTATTAATTATTTGCCTTATAAGGCAAACAATAGTCTACGGTTGTTTCAGAAAAATGATATCTTCATTTTTGTATAAATTTCAATTATACATTATTAACACTAATGTACATATGGTGAATTGACCTTCAAGATCCTATCAGTGCATGACCTGTTATTCCTATTTCTGGGAGTGCTATAGGCAGACAGCCTTCAGCTCTGAACCCTGTGAGGGAATGCCCTGGCTACAGAGAGCTGCCTTGGCCAAGTTCACCTTCCCCTCTTCCAGAGTGGCCCAAGTCTGATGATTCATTGTATTGGTCAGGGTTCTCCAGAGAAACAGAACCAAAGAGATTTTTTGTCAGATACTGGCTTACATAATTATGGAGGATGAAAAGTTTTACAATCTTCTGTCTGCAAATTGGAGACCCAAGAAAACCAGTGGTGTAGTTTGAATGCCTCAGAGCCAGAGGCACTGAGAGCAGGAGAAGATCAATGTCCCAGCTCAAGCAGTCAGGCTGAGTTCATTCAACCTTGGTCTACATTTTTGTTCCATTTAGGCCCTCAATGATCCCAGCCTGCATTGGAGAAGGTAATCTGCTTTATTCAGTCCACTAATTCAAGTGCTAATCTTTTCTCTATTTGTTTGTTTGTTTGTTTGTTTGTTTGTTTGTTTTTGAGACAGAGTCTCGCTCTGTTGCCCAGGCTGGAGTGCAGTGGCGGGATCTCGGCTCACTGCAAGCTCCGCCTCCCGGGTTCACGCCGTTCTCCTGCCTCAGCCTCCCAAGTAGCTGGGACTACAGGTGCCTGCCACTATGCCCAGCTAATTTTTTTTTGTATTTTTAGTAGAGACGGGGTTTCGCTGTGTTAGCCAGGATGGTCTTGATCTCCTGATCTCTTGATCTGCCTGCCTTGGCCTCTCAAAGTGCTGGGATTATAGGCATGAGCCACCCCGCCCAGCCAATCTTTTCTGACACACCTAGAAATAATGTTTAACCAGCTATGTGGGCAGCATGTGGCCCAGTCAAACTGATACATAAAATGAATCATCGCACTGATTGATGTGGAGGTATAATGGCCTGGCCTTTGTGGCCTGTTTTAAAGCAACTCTGAAGGCCATTCTAGCCTCAGAACTTCTTGTGGTGTCAGCAGCCTGTCACTGGGCCACAGCCAGCTGGATTTCTCTGCCTGGATTTCTCTGCTTCCCCTGAGCCCTGCATCAGGTAGATGCCAAGAGCAAATTTTGTGCATTTCAAACTCCTTCTGAGGTTTGCTTCTAGGAGAGTCCAACATTATTATCTCAACACATTAGATTCCAGCCTCTTAAAAAGGTAGCACAAATGTTTGAATGAAACAGAACATGTGGTTGTTTCCATAACAACTTTTGCTTAACAATTGGCACCCGTTAATATTTTAATAGTTTTAACCATTTTATTAAAGAGTTAAATTCTAATTTCAACTCAGATATTGGAGCCAAATCTTTACTACTTATGGAATCCATTTGAAAGGAGAATTAATTCTTGGGGGTAGGAACTGGGGGATGGGAGAAGAATGTAAATAACTTTTCTCATTCTCTCACCTTAAAATTGCCCCGATCACATTGTAATCAACAATGATGAAGAGTGAAATCTAGTCATTTCATCTATTGGCACAGGCAAGTGAGCAAGTATCACTTTTCAGAATTTAGGATGTTTGATAATATTACACATAAAATGGTGAAGATTCAAAAATATGATCTGTTGAAAAACCTGTGTTTTAGGGCTGAATGTCAAGTATCTCTCAGTGTTGGTGATGATTCTTGTCTGGCTATGATTATTACTGTTATTAACACTAATAATAATATGCTACATTGGCATAGGAATTTACCCTTTATAATTGGATTCTCACAGTATACCTGAGAGATAGTTATTATGAACCTCATTACAGAGATGAGGAAACTGAGAGATGAGAGACTTTTCAAGATTATGTGGGGCCACTCTCAGGTCTTCTGACAAGTCTATTTTCTTTCTCATTCCACCATCTCTATGCACTAGCAAATCAATACATACAAGCCTTTTATCTCTCATATCTGTGACACCTGACCACTCACCCACAAGTCTCAGCCTTCTAAAGGGGTAAAAATTCTGAAATGGCATTGTTTACAAATTTGCTCTTGTATCAATATGAGGAAATTCTAATGCCACTCTACAGATGAATACACTAAGGCCTAGGTAGTATTCTAATTCATGGCACCCTAATAAAAACTATTTTGGGAGGCAGATCCCATTTCAGTGACAACTTCCTCTGAATTGTCATGGCCCAAATATTTTTTTTACTTCTTTTAATGACATCTACTTTTAAACATATATTTACATGTAGCTATTTGTTCCCCTACTTGATGGAGAAGTCTTTGAAAGCAGCACTGTCTCATTTGTATTTCTCTATCCTAGCAGTACCTGTCACAAGTCTTGCATTTATTCATTCAACAAATGTTTGTTGAAGTCTATGTACCAAACGCAGTGATACATGTTGGGGTATACTGATAAATTTGAAAGACAAGGTTCAATACTCATGGATTTCTAATTGAAGAAGAAAAAGAAAAAGAAGTAACAAAAAAAAGTAAAATTAAAATTATTATGATTGCTGCAGTATGAAAGAAGTGGAAGACAAGAACCTCAGAAAAGTCTTCCTGAGAACATGCATCAACAGAAACAATTGGAAAGTTTGGAGGGTAGACTGGCTATATGCTGAAGAACTTTAAGTCACTTCTATAATCTGCATAGATTCCAAGTATTTTAATTAAACTCTTATTTAGGATAACAGAAGGACTGTATTTATGTAGCTGTCAATTAGATTTACAAGGGACAACTGGCAGGGTTTTAAAAAAAAAAAGAGTCTTTAAATTTGCTTTATCTTATCCATCAATCATTTGCAGTCACTAAACCATTAAGCCACAGGTATAGTCAATTGTGGATGGGTAAGATGATGGAAGAAGTCCAGACTTAGAGGCAGACAAATCTGGCTTTGAACCTGGATTTCAGTATCTTGCAAGCCGTTGGTACCCCTGTTTCTCATTTTCCTTATCAGAAAGATGGTCATGATGCAAACCTTCAAGTTCTGCCATTAGGAATAGAGATGGTGTCATTGAGTAAATGAGACTGGAAAGGAGTGATCATGTGTATTGTAAAGTATACATAAAGTGTTAAATTCAACAAATGATCTTTAAATTATTGTTAAGTAACCAGAAGGAAAAAAAATACACAGGCTGCAAGGAAACTAGCCAGGAAATTCTAGAAAACAGCCAATTATAAATTCCTTCATATAACATTTTGCCTGTAAGTACTAAGCTTTAAAAATTACAGAACAGTAACACCCCTGCAGAATAGGAAAGTTAAAGTCCCTTAAATTGTACACAATTAGTAATCTTTCAGACTGAGACATGGAAGAATAGATGTGGTGGACACATTCTTTGATGAAGGGCAACTTCTCTTCCTCCCACCCACCCCAGGAATTTAAATCAAGACAGAGTCTCTTTAAAAAGTCAAGCAATGGATGTGGAGTATTGTATGGAAAACGTATCTTTGAGGTCTGAATCTTTGAATTTCATTTTATTTTTTAAACCAAATTCTAACAGTATATAATAACCTCTTCCTCTTATGAAGTCATAGGACTATTTTAGGGGATGACCTATTTGTCATTTATGACTGAACTGTGGTGTATCTTATGCTGTTATCTGTGTTACCTAATTTACACCCTTGTCTGACATTTCTTATGTGTACATATTGTCATTCAATTATATCATAACTGCTGAGGACTGGCGGTCTTTGTCTGTAGCTCCTGAAACATAGTAGACCATGAGTGCTTATGAACAGATTAGCTGTCTGGTTTTTGACTGATATGAAGAAAGAAAGTGTGAATGGGTATCAGGGTTAAGGAAATAATCCCAGTCTTCTAACTACAATCATTTGAGAAATAATTTATCTACACTTTAATAAAATATACACAGGCACCAAACAGCACAATGCCATGTGGAACAGGTTCTCTACAAGCATTTGTTCAGCTTAAATAGATTAATAGTCCAGTGCCTCTTTCCAGGAAAATTCAAACTGACCAGGTTGAAAGATATGAGGTGAGGTGTGGGAATAGCAAAAAGTGAAATGGATTTAAGCTATGTTAAAATTCAACTCAGCTAACTCAGCTCTTTACAAACAAAAATGTTTAATAGGTCCATGGTGAATAAATAAATCAATGAATTCAGACTAAACTATGTTTGGATTGCTTGTTTGCTTCTTCTGAAACAGTAATAATAAAAATTTTCAGAACTTAATTTTTTATGGCTACAGAGTCAGTCTCAGAATGATACTCAGCATATAACATGTCTTTAATGGGATGCTTAAGTAATCATGGCAATTTAATTAAAAGGGCAGTCATCTTTTGAAACAGCTATTGTTCCCTATAGAGTGTTACTTCATGTTACATTTTTGCAGTTACCTAATGTTTCCACTCACGGAGGTTGGTTTGTTTGCATTTTAAATAAATTATACATAGTCTTCAACTTACCTCTAGACTTCATTCCAAAAGTTTTCTCAAAATATTTAATCACTCCTTTCCTCCTTCTCCAAACCTGATTTTTTTCAGAGTTCTATAATTCACCTTTTCTATTGCTGATTTAAATATTCTCTCTCAGTGACCTCTTTGCCCCACAACACTTCAAATACCTAACCTATCAGCCCCTGACGAAAGTATTACAATTCCCTTCTCTCTCTTTAGCTCCAGATTCACTTTTTCAGTTTGACATTCCATGCATACTTTGAAGACAACCTGCTTCCAATCAAAATCATTCTTTCCTCCTCCTTATCCTCCTGGATTTCCCACTTGTTTAATGATACCATCACATAACTGGTCACAAAGACCAAATCCTTGGAGTCATACTTAGCGGTTTCCCATTGCTTCCCTACTTACATCAAATCAATACAAAGCCCCATTGATTCTAACTCAGAGATTCTGCCTTAGCTCCAGCTGCTCCTCCCCAGCACCAGTAGCGCTGGCTCAGTCATCATTTCCCACTGCCTATTCCAATACCTCCTTGCTTGGCTCATTGCCTCCTGTTCATCCCACTTCAGGCTGCCCTCTGTATCAGCGATCGTCATCCATTTTTCTTCCGTGGAGTGCAATGCTCATACATGAGACATATTCCTATGGGCCACTCAAAGATCGAAGAAATAGAAACATTTAGTGAGAAAGTTAAGCATTTAATTATTCATAGTCTTCCACAGGCCCTGCAGAGCCACACACAATTGGACCCTTATCTCCATCTCATTTTTGTTGCCCACTCCTCTCACCCTCATTCACTGACTCCCCTGGCCCTTTCCTGCCCTTTCCCATGCTCTCATCCTTTTGATCTCAACTACATTACACAACTTTAGGGTGGCTTTCCCTGAGCAGTCCTCAATCTAAATTAAATTCCTTTGCTCTTCCTCACAGGGCTTATTATAATTTATAATTATGTATTATTTCTTCTTCTGCCTCTTCTGCTTCTGCTTTCTCCTTCTCCTCCTTCCCCTTCTTCCCCCTCCTTCCTCTTCCTCCTCCTCCCTCTTCCTCCTCCCCTTTCTTCTTCCTCCTCCTCCTCCTTTCTCTTACTCCTCCTCCTCCATCTCTTCCTCCTCCTCCTCCATCTCTTCCTCCTCCTTCCATCTGCTCCTCCTCCTTCCATTTCCTCCTCCTTGTCTTTCTCCTCTTCCTCCTTCTTCCTCTTCCTCCTTCTTCCTCTTCCTCTTTCTCCTCCTCCTTCTCCTGCTCTTCTTCTTTCTCGTCTCCATTCTTTTTCTCTTCTTCTTCTTTCTTTTTAGTTTGCATTAAGCCTGAGTTACCCACAATATTTCTGAATTCTGTGAACTTAGAGAATTTCTTTTATTCACCATTGTGTCCACAGCACCCACACAGTATCTAGCAGATACGGGGCACTCAAGAAATATTTACTGAAGGAATGAATCAATTATCACAACTAGTGGTAGTATATCGGTAGACTAGCTAACTGCAGGTAGTGACACAGCCCAATCTGTGTATTATGGGCAATTCCCACCCCTGGGATGCAAATTGTAAGGTTACTAAGAGTCCTGCTATTACAGGCATAATTTTGAATGTTCTCTAACTTAAAAGAAAAATAGTTTTATATACTGGCACCAGTTACTCATACATCTGCTGTACATATTAGGTCCGATCACAGCACCCTGGAAATCTGTCATTTGGCTACCAGACGTTTCTTCTTTGAAAGTCTACCTAAAGCATAAAGCTCAGCATATATTTCTCCTGCTGATGAACCTAATGGATCCCCATTGTTTTCAAAATAAAGTCCAAGTTATTTGATGTCTTAGTCTCTTTGAAATGCATAATAAATTATTATAGGAGACCAGTGCGGTGTGGTGGCATGTGCAGAGTAATCCCAGTTACTCCGGAGGATGAGGTGAGCAAATCACTGGAGCCTAGGGCTTTGAGGCTACAGTGAACTATGATCTGGCCACTGCACTCTAGCCTGGGTGACAGAGTGACACCCCCATATCTAAAAAATAAAAAATAAAAATTATCATATACTGGGTGGCTTAATCAATAGTAATTTATTTTTACAGTTCTGGAGGCTGAAGGTCTGAGAGCAAGGTGCCAGCATGGTCAAGAGCTGATGAGGGCCCTCTTCCTGGTTCAGTGTCTTTTTGCTGTGTCCTCACATGGCAGATGGTGCAAGAAATCTCTGTGGAGTCTTTTTTATAAGGGCACTAATCCCATTCATAAGGACTCCACTCTCATGACCTAATCACCTCCCAACAGTCCCATCTCCTAATACTTTCACACTGGGGATTAAGTTTTAACATATGAACACTCAGCCTACAGAATTTGGCATGTCTAACAAAGCCGTTCTCAAGTTGGACCTGGTCATTGTTTCCAACTTCAAACCCAGCCAGTCTCTACCATAGGCCATGATCATGCTAGGTTTTTACATACTTTGGCCTCCACCAGACATGTTCCACTTTTGTCCCCATGTGGATATATATTTGCTCTTTAAAATTCAGTTCTCTCAAGCACTTTAGTTACTCCTTCTTCTGTGTTCTGATTGTATTGGGTATCCTATTAATTATATACTTTATTATCTATTCCATGGTAACTTATTCAAATGCCTATTTCCCAGACTAGGTGGTAACTCCTGGATTAGACTGTGCATTTCCAATGTTGAGCCCAGTGCGTAGAATATAATGGCATCCAATAACAGTTGGATGACTGAGTGCATTGGCAATTGTTTGGAAGTAAAAATGCCTTTGCCTACTGAAGCAATGCTATAAATGGTGATTTAATTCTTAGCTGACTAAAAAAAAATACTGTTTATACCATAATGCAGTTGAAACCTATTACTAATATTGCTTTCTCATCTAGTTTCAGAATGTTATCTCTGTTTCACTGCAACTGGGGGAACCTCTTTCTTCTCCTCCTACCCCAGCCCAGAGGCAGAGATCTTTTCTATACTTTTCTCTTTTGTCCTTCATTGCCTAAGAAGGAGAGGCCAAAAGAAGGGTTCTGTCTTTTTATTTGCAGTGAAAATGAGATGGTATTTCTGCCATTTCGATTTTCATAGTGGCGATGTATGTCAATCCAAAGTTGGCATCTTTGGGGTTTGCCTGTGTCTTACATAGCCTTGAAGACCACTTGTCTCATAAGACATTGCTATGCTGATGCATGAGGATCTTGCTGCAGTTCTATTAGCTATACAATGAAATTAACTTTAAAAGAAGTCTACCAGTAAATAAAAGTAACAAAAGGACTTTGCTACTTAATAAGGGTCTCAACTATAAGACATATTCATACTTTTATTAATTCTGTCACTTGTCCTTTGGCTTATGTTGCATAAATCAAAAGATCCCTTCTTCTTTCCATCTTTTGACTCTCATCACACATCTTATACACCTTGGTTTTCTTAGCTATATCCACAAAAATAATGTTTAAATATTGGGAAAGAAACCCATGTCTGATTAATAATTGTTGTCATTTATTTGGTGAATATATTATAATGCAAACAAACAATTGCTCTTAATAGGTGAGAGTGACACATATTTTGAGAAATAATATTCATACAGAAGTATGTGCTTTTATAAAGTAGGTAATTGGGTTTGCTAATTAAATAAATGCTCTTTCTGAATCACCACCTCCCTTCTTTTTTAAATAGGTGGTGTTTGCATTGCTCAGTCACAGAAAATCCCACGTGAACCAAGACCTGGAGAATTTGAAAAAATTATCAAACGCCTGCTAGAAACACCTAATGCTCGAGCAGTGATTATGTTTGCCAATGAGGATGACATCAGGTGCTGATTACTTTTCTTCTGTATGTAGGGTCAGATTTGTGTCCCATATCCTCTTTCTAACATATTTCATGTTCAACATAAAAGCTTGTAATTGCCTTCCAATAACAGACTGCCTTCTAGTTTGTAAATCTGAAATACCTACAGAGTAAAACTTGGGGACCAAATGAGATAAGACAAACAAAGGTGATAGACAGAATGATGTGAATGAGGTTAAGGATAAGGCTAATTAACATATGTTGGAGTTAGTCTCTGCTATATTGTTTTTAGGAGATGATAAGACTCGGGCAGTTAGAATGATCGTCTTAATTGTTAAACAGTGACCTACTGAGTGTATACAACTTCCTAAATCTGGTCTTGTAATATTCATAATTGTGGTATTTTTAATACATGTGATATGCATTATTTATTTTTATTCCTGTAGGAGGATATTGGAAGCAGCAAAAAAACTAAACCAAAGTGGGCATTTTCTCTGGATTGGCTCAGATAGTTGGGGATCCAAAATAGCACCTGTCTATCAGCAAGAGGAGATTGCAGAAGGGGCTGTGACAATTTTGCCCAAACGAGCATCAATTGATGGTAAGAATGCACCATAGAGAATTTGTTTTATTCCAGTTGGATCTGAACTCAAAGGCAAAACTGGAGTATCATAATATGAGGAAATGCACTCATTACTGATGACTTGATACAAATTTTAGCTTTGGTGGCAGAATTGTCAAGACCAGTATTTAAACCAGCATGCATATGCATATATATATATATATATATATATATACACACACACATATATATATACACATATACATATATATATACACATATACATATATATATACACATATACATATATATATACACATATACATATATATATACACATATACATATATATATACACATATACCTATATATATACACATATACATATATATATGTATATATGTATATAGTGTGTGTGTGTGTGTGTGTGTGTGTGTGTGTGTGTATGTATTTAGGAAAGAGGACCCATTATATTTTTTTAAGAAAAAGACCATAGTCAGTTATTTCCATTATGTTAGTAATTGCACTTTGAGTTTGAGTTTGCGTATTTCCATGGGTATTTATGGTGGTTATAGCATTGTTGGAGGGAAATGCTTGATTTATAGAAAATGAATATATATGATGCTGGGCTTATCCTATGGATAAATAAATGCAACAGGAAAGACTTGGAGCATCCTGAAAGGCAGTCTATCTTCTAAACATCTTTTCCAGTCGGTTTGACAGTGACTGAAATTCCCATCTTAACATTATCCTCTGGAGTAAGGCATTATTTCCAGGGGGTCTCCCTTCAATAAAGTAGTTACCTGAGCAAACCGACACTTGAGTTCATGACTCCATAAGATGACATTAACATGATTGCTTTATTGAATTACCTGAAAACAGAACATATAGGAAGGAGAAATTTTGAAGTATGTGGAAACACAGGAAAGTCTGGAACATTGATCCATGCTAGGAAAGAGAAAAGAATGAGGCAAGTTTAAGTTGGGTTCTAAGTATTCAGGATTCAGCATGAAGTCACTGGTTGCTGCCTCTGGGAGTAGTAGAGTAGGAGAGGGTTTAAGAAGGTCGCTGACACCAGGCTTTCCTGTTGTACTTATTCATAGAGCCAGGTGCTTGGGTACTGGTGGTGGTGTGGGGGGATTGTCCATTGATCCTCCTTGACTTTTGCCATAAGAGAGGCCTTATTTATGGGCTACTGGCTTTCTCTCATTTGTTATGTGTTTTGTTTTTTTCTTTTCATGCAGTGATCAGAATATAATGTCCATTCGAAAGTTCTGACAATATTTAATTTTGAAAGAATATTAAAATCATACCTTTCTCCTTTGAAATAGGATTTGATCGATACTTTAGAAGCCGAACTCTTGCCAATAATCGAAGAAATGTGTGGTTTGCAGAATTCTGGGAGGAGAATTTTGGCTGCAAGTTAGGATCACATGGGAAAAGGAACAGTCATATAAAGAAATGCACAGGTAACCACTCAAATGTTTCCTGTGGTGCATTTATTTCATTTTCATTTGTTTTCATTACTTGATAAATTACGTTTTTCTATATGGATAATGATGAATGTATTTTCTATTTTTTGTGTCTTTTTGTTATAGTGTCTCAGGGCTGAGCATACCCTGATCATTCAACAAACTTAAATTTGTTTATTGGTTCTTTCAATGGATCAGCAAGTTTTTATTGAACATATACCATGCATACAGTACTGGGGTATCTGGGAAACATTTATTGTCTACTTTGGAAAATGTACTTTATTAGGTTTGATGGAATACAGACAAATAAGACATGGTATTGCTCTCCAGGGGTTCAAAATGTAATATGTATCATGATAAGTTGCTATAAGACAGTATTTTTCAACTATTTTAATCGCTGTCCTCTATAATACTATTATTTTCTTAAATCCTGCATAGCAGCTATCCTGGAACATGTATGATTTTTAGATGCTTTACTTTCCATAGCTTGTGCTTAAAAATAATAATGATATTGAATATGCATTTTTGAATATATGATTAAAACTATATTTATTTTCAGATGATTGTGCACATAGAAAAAAAACTCGCATAATTTTTTTTTTGAGACAGAGTTACTTAGAACTGAGCAGTAAATTTAGCAAGGTTACAGATATGAGGTCAATATAAACATTCATTTTTAATATACGTATTAGAAACTAACACATAGAAAATGAAATTTAAAGAATACTGCTTATAGTAGGATCAAAAACATACAACATATATAAGGGTCAATTTTAACAAAAATGCACAAATCCTTTACACTGAAAACTACACAACTTGAATGTGTGTTTTAGAAATGATTCATTCCTTCTTCTACCCTGCCACCCCCAGACTTTGATATGTCCTCCTTTCCCTCCTCCTCACTTTCTTTGGAAATAGCTGTTCAAATAAAAGATGTAATATACTAAAAGCTAGCACAGACATATAAACAGAGACAGAACAAGGAGGTGGAAATGGGTGCCACACTGTGGAAGAATCTGATTTCAGGCTTCCATGTGCCAGGCACTTTTCCAGGAGCTGGGTTGAGTGAAGAAAGGCAATATTCATGCTCACGGGCTTACATTTGAGTGTGGGGAGATGGACACTCCATAATAAACATAAATGAACAGATGTGTTCAGATGCTGAGATGTGCTTAGAAGAAATACAACAGATTAACTGTGAAAGACTAACCTGGGTATTAGGAGGAGGAAGGTAATTAGACTGTGTGGTCTGAGTATGCCTCGCCAGAGGAGGTGACATTTGAGATAAGACCTGAGTGACAAGAAGTGGTCAGTCATGTAAAGATATGACAGGAATGCATGACAAGCTCTAGCGCCAGAGTAAGGCTCTTTTGTTCAAAGTAAAGGAAAAAAAAAATAGTTCAGGGAGGTTGGAGCAAGAGTGAATATCGCGAGAGGAAGCGTGATGACAGCTGAGGCTTTGATGATAGTCTGGAGCCAGACCATGCACAGTCTTGAAGTTCTTTCCAGAAGTTCCAGAGTTGAGGAATTTGGGCTTTATTCTACCGGTAGGACACAATGTCTTGAGGCTCTTCATCTAGAGAATTGCTCAGACACTCGGTTCAAGAAGATTTGCCTGGCAGAAGTGTGAAGAGGATTGGGGTTCAGGGGAGAAAATGGAGGCAGGTCAATGAGGACTCATCCAGTATCCTGGGGACAGGCCATCATGGTCTAAGAAGAGCTAACTAGGGGCCGGGCACGGTGGTGCAAACCTGTAATCCTAGCACTTTGGGAGGCCGAGGTGGGCATATTGCCTGAGCTCAGGAGTTTGAGACCAGCCTGGGCAACATGGTGAAAACCCATCTCTACTAAAAATACAAAAAATTAGCCCGGCGTGTGGCGGGCGCCTGTAGTCCCAGCTACTTGGGAGGCTGAGGCAGGAGAATTGCTTGAACCCGGGAGGTGGAGGTTGCAGTGAGCTGAGATTGCACCACTGCACCCAGCCTGGGCGACAGAGTGAGACTCTATCTCCAAAAAAACAAAACAAAACAAAACAAACAAACAAAAAAGCTAGCTAGGGATGTAACACACAGGACAGACGCTTTGGTACGTAGTGTTATATTTATCTAACGCTACATAGTGTTGTGTTTATATAACAACCAGCTGAGTGGTTGATGCTGGGGCAAAGATCGTTAAATCATGGAGGATGCTGATGTTAAACCTCTATCAGGGAGGTCTAGGAAAATGGTGATGTAATTAGTTAACAGAGGAAATATAAAATAAATAGAATGGTTAGGTGTTTGGGAATAAACTTGAATTTTGTTCTGAGATAGCCCCATGAAACTGGCCAGCAGGTGGCAGCATAAGGTCTGGGACCCCACAGACAGTTCACTAAAATTTGAGATTAGGAAGTCTTGGAGATTTTGAAGTTAAAGACAAAAGCAGAGATGCAATTGCCATGGGAGACTGAGAAAAGATGAGGAGTGATGACTGAGAATTCAAGGGCAGGAACCAGGAAAGGACACTGAGAATGCTGGGCTTGGGGGAAGGAGATGAACTGGGAGTCAAGGTTGTCTCAGTCTCCAGGAGAAAGACAGGTGCGTGAGGTTTCAGTGCTGCAGGGACTTGCAGCTGAGAGATAAGGGTGTGCCTGGGTAACCAAATTAGAGGGGTTGAGAGAGAACAGAATAGAAGTGGAGGAAAGGATGCTGTTTCAAGAAGTTTTGAGAGAAAGAAAGTAGGTATGGTGGGAGAGCTTGAGAAAGAATTGGAGATTTCTTTAGGATAGGGCACATTTAAGCATGTTTTCAGAAAAAAAAAAAGAAGGGATAACTAGTGAAAGAGAATAAATGCAGAGTAGGATCTTGATGGAAACTTTAAGGAGAGGCATTAAAGACCAATGTTACCTTTAAATCATGTGATTTGGTTGGGGGAAAAGAAGGTACACACAAACATATACGTAATCAGAGAGGAAAGTTCTATAATTAAATGCTAAATTTGGATATAGATAATTAGGGAAGTTCAGAAAATGTATGTAAGTTTACATTGTAAAATCCAAAGCTCTGTGGAGGAGATGAGTGTTTGATGACAAGGATTTGGGAAAGACATCCAAGATGAGAAGAAATGGGGAGTCAGCAGGACAAAGGCATGGAGTAGGGTGTGACGTGTAGGTGCGTGAACAGCAGTAAAAAGGTCCAGCTTCTTGGAGAGGAGGATACATGAATGGAAAATACAAAGTGGCAGTTTATAGATGGGTTTGGAAGGAGAGTTAAGTTAAGCACTTACATGCTTTCCACTGAGATATATTTTACACTATGCTTAACTTTGAGTTCTGAATGTTATTGTTTGATTCTCTTTAAATTCATTTCCTGTTATTTAGACTGTATTAGTGAAAATACCCCAGTTAATGAAATGGATGGACTCATACACACACACACACACACACACACACACACTGTTAACCAGTCACATAACTTTTTAATAGGCTGTTTTCAGAATAACCAGTTTCTCCAAACTCATATTTTCTTTCTTTTTTTTTTTTTACACTCGTAAGTGGGAGTTGAACAATGAGAACATATGGACACAGAGAGGGGAACATCACACAGTGGGACCTGTCAGGGGGTTGAGGGTGAAAGGAGAGTGAGAATTAGGCCAAATACCTAATGCATGCGGGGCTTAAAACCTAGATGATGGGTTGATGGGTGCAGCAAACCATCATGGTACATGTATACCTATGTAACAAACCTGCACGTTCTGCACATGCATCCCAGAGCTTAAAGTACAATAAAAAAATCATATTTTCTAAGTTCAGTTGAGGTATGTAGCTGTTCCTTTAGCATCTGTAGGTGGTATATGACTAGACTTTTATTTCAGGCACAAATACTGAACTGGTTTGTGGCCGAATCCAGATTCTGTGGCATGTCTGCCTCCAATTCCTTTGATTTATTTGGGTGTTGCTAAAATTATAACAATTTGTCCAATTAGAACTATTTCTAGTGCAATGAAAATGGTGTTTACTCCAAGTGCTAGGGCAAATGCACCCCTAGGGAACTGGGTCAGTAAACAGATTTTCATGCAAATTCCATTGTGGGTGATACCAAAATAACTTGTCTCTGGGTGGAAAACAAATAACACTAATTTAATTTTTTAAAAAAGCAACATATGACAGTTTTCAGATGATAAGAGAAGATATTTGTCTCCCAAATTACCATTTTACCCAGTTTTCATTTCTGTTTTAGGGGAGAAGGGAAGATGATCTGGCATGTTAGTGGTCAAATGTACTTGAAAGGAAAAATTTACAGGATATTCACGAGTAGAGGTGTCCAGCGTTTGCAAAGTGCTTTAAAATGTGGCCTTAAAAAGTTTGCATTTTAACTACCTGCAATAAGTCAAAAAGTTAAGGCACTCTCTGAAAGTGAGATATCCATGAGGCCCTTTTTGTTCATTCAGAACATCATTGGTAGGTTAAGTTATATGTGTTGAGTAACATTTTACATTAGGCGACGGTGATCTGCGAACGTAATTATTTGCTTCCATTGGGGGCAAAATTGGCAATGTATTTACTTGGATGAGAGAGTGCTTCCCAGCAGGGAGGGACTTCTGTCTTACCAGTTTTCCAGAGATAGAACATCTTCAAGCAGTGAGGAGCATTTCTTCCTGAAATTTACTCAGTAGAAACAGTTTTCTGAGATAATTTTCCCCTCTAGAATCTCAGGAAAGCTTTCAAAAAGATGTGATATTACTGCTAACTTTTGATTTGCTGGCCAAATTCCAAGTGAGGTAATTCCTACCATCCACTTAGCTATTTATGTAGTTATTATTGCTTCTGAGAGCTGCTGAGTTCTGAAAGCTACTACTACTTAATCCTACTTAAAATTCCCTTTGTCTTTCTCGAGAAGAAAAAAGGACTCTTTTATACTTGTTATCAGTGGTGATGGGTGTTATTTTATAGACTTTTATCTGACCTCTCCCTCCCTTCCTTCCTCCCTCCCTCATTGTACTCTCAGGCTTAGTGTCTTTCCACTCTCCAAAACCCAGACACCCACAGACTCTCTTGAGAATTGCATCTTCATCCTCTCCCTGTCTTTACACATTTTTCACACACTTATTTCCCCACTCAGTCCTCTGCCACAATTCCTCTCCCTTCATTGCCTCATTTTTTCTCATTCCTATCTTTCCTCTGATCAGTCCCTTACTTGACCTTGTTTTGTCCAGCAATGTTCTCATTGGCAGTAGAGTCTTTCTTCAGAAGTTTTGCTTTACTTTTTAAATGACTGTCATTCTGATTTCTTGTCTTCTATAGTGAGGACCCAATAGTGAATATTGTAGAGACCTGAGTATGTGGGTTAAGCTGCTAAACAAAAGCCAGCTCCCTCTGGACTCAGGCCGGGTCTTTTCCTTCCTGTCTCCATCACGAATTATAAATAGCTCTGTGCTTATCAAAACGACATCCCTTGACTGATCCAGTAAATACAGTTGATTCCATATCCTATCTTAAAACCTTCCTTTGTTTCATTCATCCATCCATTCATTCATTATTCATTTAGTTGTTTATACATTTTGAAGCTCACCATGTGCCAGGCACTGTGCTTCAGATAGAGAGACAAACAACAGACCTCCCTTGCTCTCAAGGAGCTCACAAAGACATATACACTGTCTTGTGGAATTTGAGGTGTTTTCTTTGCTGGGTTTTAATTCTCAGCCAGGAGACTGGGGCACTGCTGCTTAGCCTGCATACAGCTGACACTCAGATACAAAATAGTGGTGAGCATATGCTATGCAAAATGGCCTATTGATTCTTATTTATGATGATAGAAATAGCGGTAATGGAAAAAGCAACGCACAAATATGTTTCTTCCCACAAACAAGCAATCCTGTCAGTGAACCAAATAGCAGCCTCAATAATTAGCTCCCTGGAAGACCTGTCAGTTTATTTTCTGGTGCTAGATTAACTATGTAACTTTTCAATTATAACTACCTCTCAGCAATCCTCTGTTTTGTAAAGTTATGAAAGGTATAAGCTCTCCCGTATTCACTCAGGACGCATAGAGACCATATGAAGGAAGTAGGTAGTCATCAAGGGGGATGAATTTACATAATTTGATTTGGTGATTCAGAGTGAAAGATAACCCAGGTAGGTTCCCCTGAATTAAAATGCGTTCTGCCATCCCCATTTGTCCCCTTGCCTAGAGTAAAACTCTTGGGGAGAATGCCTTTACGTGAGCACTACCAGGTAGCCATCCATATGCTCTTGTTCTTCGCAAGTAAAATAGCAGAAATCCAAGGATGACTTATTTATGCTGTTTCTGAGATTTCATGTTGAATTTCAATAGATCCATCTGAGATGACAAAACAGGCATTGATTTCAGACATACTAGATTTCAGAATTTAGAGCTGGGATGTAAAATAAGAATCAATCTCTTGTTTTCTAGTGAAGAAACTAGAACCCAGAGAAGTAAAGTGAATTATTGACAAATCACAGTGTTAATCTCAGAGCTGCAGCCAGGATCCTGGTTTCTTTTATTTGGATTTGTCCTTGACATTTATATCCTCCATTTATTATTTACTTATATTAGATATTTTACCACATAGTTGAAAAATATTTTCCTGTTTTGCTCTTTATGATACTTTATGTGTGATGGAATACATTTTGGAATTTTAATCACCAACTATAAAGTGAAGCAAAAATAACATATTGGTTATTACCTAATCCTTTATAAAGTAGTAAATATTTTAATATTCTTCACATTGATTTTCAGTTATACATGTAGTTTTTGCTAGTGGGTCTTGAACAGCGTAAACCTTTACATCCAGTTCCCTGGCCCCTTGCCTTGTATAAGAGTAGACCTATGACAACATTAAGCAAAAAACAAAATAGGAGAAACTATCAACTAGAAGTTCTATAACTCTAAGTCCAATGACATTGAATTATAGCAGTTCACATTGCTAAATTAGAGTTAGTTTACTCATTTATTCATTCTCTTAAAGAAAAATATCTATTTTAAAGCAATATGGGAAGCACTATGTCTAACAGCATTTCTAGAATGTTAGCATGCACACAAACCACTTAAGTACCTTGTTAACATGCAGATTTTGATTTTGTAACTCTGGAGGTAGGCATTCTGCATTTCTGATGAGTTCCAGGTGACATGGATCCTGGTGAGCTCTAGGGTATACTTTGAGTAACAGAGAATATTAGAGTTAGTTTGTAATGATAACCATAGCACCTGAAGCTAAATTAGCAAAATAAACATTCAACTGTGCTAAAGGTTACTGATAAACTCAAGGTGTCTTACAGAAGATCGTCTAAACAAGACTTGACCTATACATTGTCAATGCAAAAACATGCAATCAGTAGCCAGCTTTATATACTTACTTGAGTATGTATTCAAATCAGTAAAGTATAATAACAGAGTAATATGTATATATGTGTGTGTGTGCGTGTTTTTCTCATTAGTAAATTTGAAAGTGGGAAGCTTAATTACTAAATTACTAAATTTAAAGAAACGTACACAGATGCACCTGTATCTTCAAAGTCTGCAAAGCAGATTGTAAAGTTTGCCATCTCAGAAACAAAAAATATTCTGAACACTTAGAAAACTGTACTGTCAATCGTAAATACACATAGAGTGGAGGAGTTGAAGAGGTCCTTAGAGATTATTTAGCTCAGTTTCCTCACTTTGCAGAAAGGGAAATTGAGGCTCATCTGGTCAAGTTGGTTGTCTAAAGCCCTGTAGCTACCTAACGATGATAGGACTGAAGTCTGATTTGATACTTGCTTCTTTCCTTCATCCTTTCCTGCTCTGAAGAACTTTACCGAAGTGGGGCTGAGTTGCACTGACCCATTCTACTATTTTTCCTGGTATATGGGCCAGTATGTTTTTTTTCTTGGCCACCTAAGGTGAAGTATTCCCTCTTTGTGAACCGCCTGACTTCTGAGGGAGTCAGATTGATGCATTTGGTCTGAGAAACTAACATTTTTAGAAGGGAAGCAATTCTAGTTAAAATTTCGAGTACGTAAATACTCACATTTTTTCAGAAAATAATTTAAAACAGAAAAATGCTCACACTACAGAGAGAAAAAATGAATTCAGGAGTCTAGGAAATCCTTTCTGCAAAACCCACAACAGAAGCTGGCATTATCTTGATTGATTGGAAGATGAATGTATCTGAATAAACACAATCTCTGGAATATTACACTGAAGAACTCACAAATGGAAAAGAGTATATAGGCAAACAGGTGACAGTTCAGCATTTTTGATCACCAATTATTTGAAAAACTATGGTAAGGCTTGGGCCAGAGAGGATGAGAAAGTTTAGAAAAATACAGAAACATTAGGATAAATTGTCTTCCTTTAAATGGCTATTAAACTTCAGTTGAGGGAACCAATTCATTAAAACCAAACAAACTTTTAAAAAGGAACAATGTATAGATGATTCAATATCAGGAAAACTTGATTTCTCCTCTTTTCTAAAAGTGATACAAAGCAGATAAATACAGGAGACTATATTTCAAAAATAATATTTCTTCTCTATGTTTTATCTTGGGATTCTTTTTAACTCAGAGGATTTGAGAGAGTCTCATAGATATGATTTGCTGAAATACAAGAGAATTACCACAACTTCTTAGGAACATAGCTAAACAAAAGAACTAGCTGAACAAAGGATTGGATACAGTAGGGCAAAGGAGACATAAAGTGTGATTAGAGCTTACTAAGGCTAATTGAGAAATTAAGACTAAGTGTGATTAGAGCTTACTAAGGCTAATTGAGAAATCAAGACTACCGAAGAGTCTTGATTTTTTTTTATTACTTATGACATTTGTTAAACTCTATATTGTGCTAAACATCTGCCCTCAAGGAGCTTATATTTTGTGAGGAAGATAATAGTCAGACAATAGTTTGTAAGTTGCTAGTAAGCAGGGTCTGTATCCTCAGGACTTAGCATATGCTTAGCATTATATATCTGTTAAGTTAATTAATTGGTCTATAATGTATGGCCAGATAGTCCTCCTGTTCTTCATTACAGTGATGTAGATATGATGCATGGTGCCTAGCTTGGCATGCATTTGATAAATATTTTAATTGTTGGAATGATATTTTTTAATAAAAGGAAAAGCTCAACATAGTTATAAAAGGGCTTTTACTGTAATTTAAGAAGAAAATGTACTATTCTGATAGTTTGTCTTTAAATTCCTGACTGCGATGCTAATTTAAATGGGAATATGATTCTAGAAACACATATAGTCCTGTGTCCTATAAAATCAGTCAAATTTTATTGGAGTATTTGGTTACCTGAATATTTAACTGGAATATTTGGTTACCTGAATATTTAATTGGAATATTTGATTACTTCATTATAAATGCCATGACTCCATAGTGTTTTGTTTTTCTAAAAAAATAAAATTACATTTATACTATTTGAGGGGAAAGCACTTTATTTCCATACTACCTCTAATGAGGTAACAGAATAATGAAAAGACAACTTGGAGTACATAATGGAAAATGTCATTTAAAAAGGTTTCATTTATACAATTTTAAAAATGTAAAAAGTTCATGTCCTTTGCCCACTTTTGATGGGGTTGTTTTTTTCTTGTAAATTTGTTTGAACAGACACTTCTCAAAAGAAGACATTTATGCAGCCAAAAAACACATGAAAAAATGCTCACCATCACTGGCCATCAGAGAAATGCAAATCAAAACCACAATGAGATAACATCTCACACCAGTTAGAATGGCAGTCATTAAAAAGTCAGGAAACAACAGGTGCTGGAGAGGATGTGGAGAAATAGGAACACTTTTACACTGTTGGTGGGACTGTAAACTACTTCAACCATTGTGGAAGTCAGTGTGGTGATTCCTCAGGGATCTAGAACTAGAAATACCATTTGACCCAGCCAACCCATTACTGGGTATATACCCAAAGGACTATAAATCATGCTGCTGTAAAGACACACGCACATGTATGTTTATTGAGGCACTATTCACAATAGCAAAGACTTGGAACCAACCCAAATGTCCAACAATGATAGACTGGATTAAGAAAATGTGGCACATATACACCATGGAATACTATGCAGCCATAAAAAATGATGAGTTCATGTCCTTTGTAGGGACATGGATGAAATTGGAAATCATCATTCTCAGTAAACTATTGCAGGAACAAAAAACCAAACACCGCGTGTTCTCACTCATAGGTGGGAATTGAACAATGAGAACACATGGACACAGGAAGGGGAACATCACACTCTGGGGACCGTTGTGGGGTTTGGGGAGGGATAGCATTAGGAGATATACCTAATGCTAAATGACGAGTTAATGGGTGCAGCACACCAGCATGGCACATGTATACATATGTAAATAACCTGCACATTGTGCACATGTACCCTGAAACTTAAAGTATAATAATAATAAAATTTAAAAAGTAAAAATAAAAATGTAAAAAGTTATACAAATATTAAAACTATATTTATTTATACAATTTAAGCATTTTCTAAAAAATTATTAGTTTATTAGGGTTTTTTTTTTTTTTTTTTTTTTACCCTGCAAGAACATGAGCTTCATATAGGAAGAGATTTTGTTTCATTCACAGCTGAATCTCAGTGCCTTGGGTGGCATCTGGCACAAATAGGCTTCCTTAAAATATTTGTGGATTAAATGAAAGAATTAAATTCAGCTTATTTTCTGCTCTTTTTCAAGCACTAGCTATTAGATGTCAAGGACATGTTCGTGAGCAAAACAAAAATGGTTATTGTCCTCATGGGGCTTACAGTCTAATTGGGAAGGTGAATAATTTAGCCCAGTTCCTGCAATGCAATGTGTTAAGCGAATAGCCAGCATATAGCAGGGAGAACTGATGTAGCCTAGGGGAGAAGATTGGTGTCATTGAAGTTGAGACTAAAATATGAGCAGAATTAAGAAAAAGAGATTATCAGTAGTATTATTATTTTAACCAGAGGGTGGCACAAAGACCAGTGGGCAAGAGAAAGGATGGCAGTTGTAGAGACTAGGAGAGGGGGATAGGAAGAGAGTAAGGATAGAGACCTAGGCAAGGGACAGATCATATAACACTTTATATGCCTCAAGAGGCAGTTGAAAAATGTTTTGAAAGTCAATGAATGGGCACCAGAAGGTTTTAAGCAGAATAATAGAATCACCATCTTAGAAAGATTATTCTGGCTGTAGTATGGATAATGTATTGGTGAGGCATAACACTGGAGGAAGGGAGACCCATGAGATACTACAGTAATTTTCCAGAAATGATAGTGGCCCAGCCTATGATGGTTGCACTGTACTAGGAATGGACAGAAGTAGATGGATATATTAATAAAAAGACATTTTAGGGATATATGTAGGGCTTGGCAATTAATTGCATGTTAAAGGAGAGGACAAATCATGGATGATGCCTTGATTCTTGGAATGGGAAATTCGGTCATTGATTGAAAGAGCATTCCTGATATAATGAATGATTGGGGAAGAGGGGGAAGGAGGATGATGAATTTTGTGGGAGATACTGAGTTTAAGGATCCTATGAGATATAGAGCTGCAGATGTCTGGGAAGGGTTACTTGGTTATGTGAGTCTGAAGCTAAGAATACAAGGTCTTGCTGAGACAGAGAATTGGGGCCTCACTAGTATATTAATGGGACTTGGTGAGACAGATCCAGAAAGTATGTGGAGTGGAAATTGCAGAGGGCCTGAGATAGAGCCTTGAGGACTCAGAAATATGTTGAAGGAGAGGACCCTGCCATTCCAGTTTCTGTAGAAATTGTTTTCACTGTCCATAAGTGGAGCCCCTCTGGCCATGTCTCTATTCTACAACCCTGATCCTCTCCTTTGTGTCTCTTCAGCCACAACTGATTGATTTAACACTGAGCTCTTCACTAAAGCTAAATTATCAGAGTCCTTCCGAGTAATATCTAAAATGGGAGTGAAAGGAGGAAGATTATTCTCTCTCAGGGGGTGGGAGGCAGTAGTTTGAGGCTGTGAGATATGAGGCTGGGAAGTTTCCACCACAAGGGGGAAGCTGACCTGGAAGAATAATATTGACTTGTGCAACAGAATAAAGGTGACAGATGGAAAGAGTTCTGATGGTGATGAGGACCTTAACCAGGCTTTTCTTGTAGATATGTGAGATAGTTCAAGGTTCTCCTAATTATGTTTTCCCATTTTTAGCTAGCAACCTAGAGTCCAGACTAATACATTAAAATAATACTTGCCTCATAGAGCGGTTGGGAAGTTAAAGGAAATAATATGCATAAAGATTATTGCCTGCTACATAGGGAATATAACAGATACTGTTGCTTACTGATTTAACAACTTCCTTTTCTTTGAAGCCAGCACTATCTAATAGAACTTTCTGAGGTGAAGAAGGTTTTTCCATATCTGCATTGTTTAATAGAGCAGCCATTAGTGACATGTGGCTATTGGTCACTTGATGGAATATGGCTAGTGCAAACTGAAAAAATAGAATTTCAAATTGTATTTAACTTTAATTACTTTACACTTAAATGTAAATGTAACTTTGATTTCTTTACATTTAAATGTGGCTAATGACTATCATATTGGACAGCAGAAGTCTAGGGTGATAGACCTATAGAACAACAATTTTTAAAGCCATTTTGGATCGGATTTTCTATCATTTGCAGCTGCAAGCATCCTAACTAATACAATGTATTAAATATAAGTGGAAATGATTTATTTAACATGGCATGAGCATCCCTCATTTTAAGATATTAAAGAATTAAATTTTTGTTTTTATATAGAAATTCTGAATTAAGTCAGAAGGTCAATATTTGCAATACACACAAATTATTAAACTAATTTCTCACAGGTTTCCTAAGTACCAGCTTCTCAGTCAGTGAATATAAAATGTGATTTGATTTATTAAAATTAAAATGATATACAGCTTTTCAACAACATTTCATTCAGATATATTTCTACATAAGTTGCAGAATTATAAAACACACATATTAGAGATTGTCCCTAACTTTATCAAAACAATTCTCCTTTGGGTTCCTTTAACAACATGCCCTCTAGTCTACCAAAATATTATTTTACAGATGGTGGGGGTGTGCTACTTGCAACCCAGATAGACAATAATTCAGCTAAGCATTTTTCTTTGCAGTAAGTGAAAATCTGTTCAAAGTGCTGGAAGTTTTATCAACTGGACCATAAGACCCAAGAGGAACTAAGTGTTTCTGTTATGCTTTCTGTGTTTAATAATTCCCAGCCTTGTTAGTAGACACTCAAACACTGCATCCTAGCTGTGGAATCTTGGGTGGGTAACATAGTCTCTGAGAAATTTTGATAAATGCTTATTTTCCGCATTTTTAGATTTTGGTGGTGAGAGTGGTGGTTGCAACCTTTATGCCTGTCTTTCACAAAGGTCACTCAAATTGCTCTGGTTTCTTTTTATGTTACCAAAACGCTCTATAGCTAAACTATTGAGCTTAAATGTCAAACTTGCATTATGTTTAGAAATGGGTACTTATCTCTTTATGCACCTTTCCCTTACACCCCAACGGTGGGCCGACATAGGATATGGTAGAGGAGTTAGTATTCTGACAAATAGGTGATGTCATTCCACCCATGTATCACTTTCCATTAAATCTTTGACCCATATATAACCTTTAGCTGCAGGCTTGTTTGCTTACATCACTGTGATCAAATGGTTAGAATTGTAGATTTTCATTTGGGAAAATGATTATTATTTTTTATTAAGGACATTATTGCTGGTTTGAATTATCCTTTTGTTCATGGTTCATGCACAACAAAGCTTTCCCTAGCCCTTCTGTGGGAGGTGGAAAGATGCTCTGCACCTGTCTCCTACCCAGATCTCTTTCAGAAAGAAAATAGACAGTGCTAGCTAAGCTGTTGGATGGGAGCAATATTCAGTTCTTTGCCAACAGAGATCCTAGACTCCAGATATGCCAATTCAGCAAACCACAGGGAGATTATCTAAAACTGAAAAGGGGCTCAAGAATCCATCAGAATATGAGATAATTTAAATAAAATTTAAATCCTACTGGCCAACAGAGAACCAGAGGACATTAGAGAAGGAAGGAAACTTGGAGGTCATCCTGTTCGATATTTTGCTGAGTGTCACCTGTCAGGCTGATGTAAAATGAGGACAGGGAGTACATAGAAACATTTCGGTTTCTCTGATTCAGTAGTACTCTTGAAGGCCTTTATTGGTGGTGCAAAATGAGGCTTTCTCATTGACTCTAAATAGGCTTATTAGCAGCACGCAGAAGGATTTCCACTGTGATCTTTTCTTTGTCCCTAGTCAGAGTGAAGGCATAGGTCTGAAGCAGGCTGATAGCTTTGGAAGTGAAAAGTACTGGCAGGCTGAGGGCACAGAATGGGCTGGCTGCCAGTGTTGGGTTCAGCACCCTGAGGAGTGTCATTTGTCAGAGCCACTTTTATGAAACAGAAGCCCTCTTTTGTGTATTTGTACCTGTGAAAGGGAGCAGTGGTATAGCTGATCCAAAGTAGCAGAAAAACAAATAATTCATATTGACTTAGGATGCTCACCTACCCCCTCTTTTGCAGGAGTGTTAGTTTGCATGTCAATACATGGACAGCCTCCTTGGATTCTGGCATGATGCTTTCCATAGGGGTTTCATTAATTGGTGCAAAAGTTTATTTCAGTAGAGTCCAGGAAACTGTTAGCTTTTTGTTCTCTGCCTAATGACAGAAAATGTCCCTGTGACTGATTTCTTTGTGGGACCAGTCTGCATCATTCCTAAGACTGACACAAAGCCCCGCTTGAGTGTGTGGGATGAACGGCATGACTCACACGTTCCCCTGGAGAACTGCAGGTTTGATTAAATGTTTAAATGACCTTTTAGGACAGATGATTATGAGGATGGGCAAACAATTTGTTCTTTCAATTCTTAATAACTTCAGTGTGTATTGCGAGGGGGAGGTATATGTAGACAGTTTGGAGGAGTGTGAACAAGAGACTTGGGTAATCACTGGAGATAAGGGTGATGATGATGATAATTTGATATAAATAAGCAGAGAGTAAGATTTGTCAAAAAGGGGCAAACTCATTGCTGTTCTCAATATCTCCCTTCTTTCACTTCAAGCACAGACACTCACAACATGTTCTGTTTCTGATAACTTCCTAAGCACACAGGAACTCCAGGATTTCTCAAGGACCACAGCCCTGTGGCCAAAAATCTTTTTCCTTGACTGCTCTCTGGGCAGCTCAGTAGTATCTTTAACATGGCAAATATAAAGATAGTAGATTCACTACAAAGACACCTCGAGAAAAATACTGCCTGCATTTGTAAACCATACACAGTCTTATTATTCAATTTGTCTTTATGGAAGCTATCAGTTAGCTACACGTTTCCTTTCCTATGTCTGATGTACCTATCTCTAGTTGATTCTTTCTCTCTAACTCTACTTCTTGAAACACTCTCTGCTGGTTTGATTTTCAGGTGCATTCATCCTCTTTTCAGATTCCAGAATGAAAACTTCCTTTTTGAGACACCCAGATAGATTACCTCTTCCTTAGTCCACCTGGCCCTTATCCACGTCCCTTGAATGAGTTTTCTTTGTCTGGACACATTTCTGAAGTAATACTTCTCTGCACTCCCAAAATACAGCTCTTCCTTCTTTCGGCCTTTTGCTGTGTTCTATTACATTATTTCATTGCCACTCAGAATAAGCACTAGATAGACATCTAAGGTTTAACTTTACATTTTATATATTTTATTATATCAAAAACTGGTCACATATAAACTGTAGTACTTGGGAATTGAGGGTATTTCTTGAGTATTACAAGAAAGTATTACTTTCTTGAGAAGATATTACTCAAAAATATATACATTTTGGATAAAGAAATTTTGACAGTATAAGATGAATTAGCAATGATGTTTTTCAGAAAACACGTAGGCAGTAACTTCATTTATATGACCATGTTATTAATCTGTAGGCATTAATGGATTTATGTAGCCTGTTCAGAAATTAATGAAGCCTGTTTTCTATGGATTTTGTTATTAGCTCCTTCCCTCTTCTTTTGTCTTCTTGGCATCACTGTTGACATCACTGATGGGAATCCCACTACTGCAGCCATTGCAAGTGTTTTTGGTGATTATTGTTCACTTAGGCACCTTTGTGCACTAGATCTCTGATCAAATTATTTTGAAATTTTAATATGAAATACATAGGAGAAAAAATTGAAAATGTGTAGCAGTAGGAAAGCTTTTCTTTGTTAAAAAAGTGTAATTTAATAGAGTAAGAGGTGTGAAATATGTCAGGAATTTTGCTAACATGAAATTTCATCATTTGTCCAGTTGTGTACTTAATGGATTCATCTTAAGTATACCGTAATTCCTGGCAATAATGTGGGGAAGCTCAGATTTACTTTTCAGTGCATGTTAGTATGTAAAATGACCCCTATCTTCAATATCTCTATGTTTTAACACCTGCTTTGTTTTTACAATAGAGGCCCTTGTTTGGAACAAAGCCACTTAAGCTGAACGTCATTGTACCTGCACAGTTACCTGGGTTATCTGTGGTTGTGATGAAAATTACACCACCATAATCACCCCAGGCTACTTACAAGGCACCTTCATAGAAATTATACTGTGCCAAGTGCCACAAAGAATATCAAAATGCAGCCCCTGCTTCAGGCGCTTATGTTTCCAAGGGGAAAAAAACTGGCCTTTGGATTTAGATAAGAAACTTTATTGTGATTACAAATTGGATTTCCTGTTTTTATTTCAGGAAAGTTATATTTGAAGGTAGAAGATAGCTAGAATTGCCATTTATCTCACCCCTGGAGGGTTTGAAACCATTCTTGAATGAGTAAATGTATTCAAAAATTTAAAATTAAATCAGATTTGTTATATGGAATCATTTAAACCTAATTTCTTAATTAAAGACATTTTAAGTTCACTTTCTGTTCCTTAGGTGTAAACATCTCATGCTACAAAAAACAAGAATAGATTCCACTGCTGGGGTGAAAAGCCACGACTTTTCTTCCTGTGTTCTGTTTCCCAGGCCTATCAAAGATATTTAAGTACTGAGTTAGGTCTGGCTAGGGAACTCTCCTGACTGCTTTAGGGGCACAGATGATAGGGAAGAAAAGAGTAGACTGTGGGGGTTAGTCTTGGAATGATTTCAGTACTCCCCTTTGATGGTGATAGCTGCTTCCTGTTAGGAACTTCTGTTGGAAGCATACTTCTTACCTGAAGAAAGTTCTGGGTTGAGACAGTTCTACCTTGACTTATTTACCAAGGCTTCTAAACCATATAGCACATCACTATGAATACACTCAGGGTGGGGGCAATGGATCCTACCCAGATCCCTGTAAAGCCAGCGTGGTTCTGCAACCATCATTCATGGATAAGGACCAAGACTGAGCTGCTCTGGTTGAAGAAGCTGTTGGATGATATGGGGTTTGTGCCAGAGTGTGGTGAATTCATTTTCCAAGATATGCTGGGCTCACTCTCAGCAAGGCCAGCTGAAAGCTGAGTCTGCTTTGGATGCAGAGGTATGTAGTCAGTGGCTGTGCACAGGACAGGACTTTGGGATGTACAGAGGGATATACTATCCTTACAAATACTTCCTTCAGCTGTTTGCTGATGAGCAAGATTCCAGGAATAGGATACAAGGCCCCTAACTTGTCTTAACTCTCTGATTAGGTCAGATCTCCCTACTGTATGCCCATAGTGCACCATACTCATTTTAGCTTTTATTACAGTTACAGTTGTACATTTATTTGTGGGGTTGTTTGATGCATATTTATCTCTTATTAAATTGTAAGCTCCATGAAGATAAGGAGCATATCTTTTTGCTTATCTTTGTGGCCACTGTGCCTGTCACATAGAAGGCACTGGATAATCCTTTGTTAAATGAATAACTAGACCTAAAAAATACTTCAAGGTAGGTGATGCAGTCATTAAGTTCACACTACAATGAAAGACAGTTCTTCCCAACAGGACATTATATGTTTTTTCTGCTATCATTTCTATTTGCTAAATTGACTTTGAGTTTGAGAAATTGGGCTATGATGCAATATGTGCATAAAATCTTCAACAAATACTGTGTTCCATTTTTTTAAAGCAAGGATAAGGATGAAAAAAATAAAAAGATGAAAGAGTTTATTTAAGCTACTGATATCCATTTGTTGGTTGAAAAAATATGTGGCTGTTTGCATTTTGTTTAGCCACAGAACTCCCATATAAACATTTCTATCTTTGACAAAGGTTTATGCAATTGATCTGGCTGCTCATTTTTCCCCCGTGATTTCCTTTTTTTAATTCACAGGTGAATGACATTTAGTTCTCGGTTGTGGAAAATGCTCTTAATGCCTCCATCTTTTAAGGAGATGTTCCTATAGCTCAGTTACTTTGAATATAGTTTTTTGTTTTGTTTTTAATTTATGGCATCAGCAAATGATTTACACCATAGTGTTAACCAGTGCTCATGAGGATGCTGATTTTAGCAGAATCCTAGGGAACTAATAGAAAAAAATCACAGCTAATTTTAGTATTTGTAGGGCCTTATGACAGATAGATCTGAATACTATTATTCACCCTTAATAACTTCTTGCTAAATTATCTGTTTTGTCTCCTGTCTAATTTTATTTCTTTCATGAATACACATATTTTATACATCTGATATTTCAGAAAATGTGCTTAAAAATGTCTATTTTTCCATTTCTTCATTGATTATCAGTTTATCTAATCTGTGTATCATCCATCTCTAAACCTAATTTTTGGATACATATACAACCAATAGACATGGGATATACCAACAATATAATTGCATGATAGTCTTAGTTAAAAAGTTTAGTCTGTCTCTGTGAATTTGATTCTTCTGCTTTGCATGATTCTGGCTGAGTCCTTTCATCTGGTGCTGGTTTTTGAATACATATTAGGTTGCTTCCAATCCATCTGAAATGCAGTCTCATGAGAACATAGGTCTGCAATCTAAAAAAAATACTTTGATTATTCTTGATACATAAAACAATAGCTATTTTTATAGAGTTAGAAGGAATATTAGAGATTATTTATCTTATATCCCTTTTTTACAGATTGAAAAGCTGTAATCAATTTGAGTAAGTAACTTACAAAAGGGACAAAGAAAAGAACCAGAATGAGAAATTCCATATGTCTTCTTATCATACAATTCAATCCTGTGAATTGTTGATTATTTGCTTTACTACTCTAAATGACTTATGCATGTCGTTTTATTTGTCTTTCTAGCATCAAAATAGAAGAAGGCCTATTTCTTCTTCTTCTACCAGTTGCATAGTTAAAATGAGGCTGAACATTCTCTTGTAAATTCAGGGTGTTTACCTAGCCCAGGAAAATCAGGCCTAAGCAGACAAAAGAGACTTGGAATGATTTATCTAAACACCTAAATTAGTTACATCATTATTTATCTGCGAAGCTTCTCGAGTTTTGTTGTCATACTCTGGATGGAGGCCAATCAGAAATGACCCTTAAGATCTGACTCTGTCTAGCCAGTCTCCCCTTGACCAAGGAGAACATTTGGGCATGAACTGTAGTTTTCATTGTCCTCTGACCAACTCAGAAATAGCTACCTGAGGCCAGCCTTTAGTTCTATTTTGATCAAACTGTCTTATAGACACAGCCTTCAGCCTTCCCTGTGACCTTTGAAAACTGCCCCAGGGTAAAGGCGAATTACAAATACTATTAAGGTTGATGAGTAATCAACTCAGTAATGAGGATACTATTTCACATTCTTAGGGGTAGATGCTTTTTCTCTGTGGGATGCCTGAGTAGGAAATTTTGATGGCTCCAAATGTGGCCACAACAAACATCAGGAGGCTCTCCTATTGTAGAGATTTCCCTGAAACTGAACTCTGGAGGATGAAACATTTGGTGTAGATACTTGACCTTCTAAAAATAAAGCTTTATGTATGTGTGTATCTATCTATTTTTCTCATAGCAGCAATTAGTCTGAAATCTAATGCCTTGTCAGTGAACATAACAATTTTTGTAAATGTTCTCCTCTTAGCTTTTAAGTTTTTTTTAGCGATGAGTCAAATTATACTCAGGTTTTTATAGGTTATCCCTAGTATTCTTGTTTCTTGTTATTGAAGATATTCAAATGTTAATATATTGTAATAAGAAGTAGCTCAAAAAGAGCAGAATGACCTCTTCCTTACCCCCTTAGTGATACAGACAAATAGAGTATTTGTTCATGTTATATTTTGGCTTTTATTTTTAAATCAAGGAGGTTGAATTAGAGACAGAGCAAAATAAGCAAAAACCTGAAGCTATAAATTTCTAGGTCAATCCAAATACATAAAACATTAAAAAATGTCAGATGCGAAGCTAGATGCAAACTGACAGGGAAAAAAAAAACCTGTTTGTGTACTTAAAGCCCCAAACCAAAAGCAAAATTAAAATTTGTGCTGACCCTTCTCCCTTGGGGCTGCAGATGTCACTGCTGTCCAGGGCACCGTCTGTTACTGAGTGGAAGGAAGAGGAATGGCATCCAAGTCACTAGTGTAAGATAAAATTGTCTGCCTGCCAAATCCTGAAGATGTCCTGCCATATTTGTTAAGGCCAGGGGATGGAGTTTAGAGGTCAGCAACAAAGGTGACCATTAACACTCATTGATTCTTGTCTTTTATGACTCATTCTTTTATTATTACATGTTTTGTAAGAGGTTTTATACTTATACATATATAATTTTTATTTAGTCAGTCACAGCAGTAGTTACAATTCATTTAGCACTTATGGGACAAGATATTTTATACACAGTTTTTCATTGGATGTCCAGGACTATT